>NC_000016.10:2510000-3135000 GCF_000001405.40 Homo sapiens
GGTCCCTCCTGCAGAAGCCCACCCTACATTTCTCTACGGCTTCTGTTGGGGTCTCTGACCTGAGTTTCTCAAAGCCCCTCCCCCAGTTCCTGGAAATCCCCGCTGCTGTAGCAGTGACAGGCCAGGGGCTCGTGACTTGTGGTTTCACGCCAGGGGGGACGTAGCTGTGAGGGAGGAGAGAGATGTGTGTCCCTGGCCATCCCCACCCCAGAGTCCACTCCACCCTGGGGTCCTGCCCGGTGCTGGGAGACCAAGGAGAAGGAGATCTGGGTCCTTCCTAGACCTGTCACTGGTCATCAGTCATCTGTGGAGCCCACCACAGAGGCAGGCCCTGGAGCTCCAGTTTCAGGTTCCCTTGGCAGCTGCTAGCTGGATGCCTGGCAAGGCTCTTAACCTTCTGAGGCCTGTTTCGCTGACCAGAAAATGAGGGTCACGGTGAGAGTGAGGGGTGACGGTGCCCAGACAGGGCCTGGCCCACCCTGGTGCTCAGGAAATCTCTCCTGTGTGTGTCTGGCACCCTACCAGGTCAAGGACACAGAAAAAGAGTCACAGCGACCCTCAGTGGGGGAGGCAGTGAGCGGAAAAAAAAAATCACAGAGGTTGGGCGTGGGCTCACGCCTGTAATCCCAGCACTTTGGGAGGCCGAGGCAGGTGGATCACGAGGTCAGAAGATCGAGACCATCCCGGCTAACACGGTGAAACCCCATCTCTACTAAAAATACAAAAAATTAGCCGGGCGTGGTGGCCGGCGCCTGTAGTCCCAGCTACTCCAGAGGCTGAGGCAGGAGAATCGCTTGAACCCGGGAGGTGGAGGTTGCAGTGAGCCAAGATCGCGCCACTGCACTCCAGCCTGGGTGACAGAGTGAGACGCCATCTCAAAAAAAAAAAAAAAAAAATCACAGAGTGTGAGGGGAGCATCCAGAGAGGCCTGAAGGGGGTGTCTGAGGAGGAAGAAGGAGGGGAAGGAAAGTGGGGGCTTCCTGGAGGAGGTGGTGTTCTAAATACTGAGACCCATTTCTTTTTTTTTTTTTTTGAGACAGAGTCTCACTCTGTCGCCCAGGCTGGAATGCAGTGAGGCTGTCTCAGCTCACTGCAACCTCCGCCTCCCGGGTTCAAGCGATTCTCCTGCCTCAGCCTCTGCAGTAGCTGGGATTACAGGTGTGTGCCACCACGCCCAGCTAATTTTTTGTATTTTTAGTAGAGACAGGGTTTAACTGTGTTAGCCAGGAGGTCTCCATCTCCTGACTCGTGATCCACCCGCCTCGGCCTCCCAAAATGTTGGGATTATAGGCACCCCGCCAACTGAGGTGCATTTCTTAAGTAGGGAGTGAGGAAGAGAGTTGGTGCAGACACAGGTGATGCAGACACGTTGGGGGGCTGGTGATGAGAAGCGGGAGGGGACCAGGGAGGGCTCTTGAGGGGCCGAAGGATTCCAGGATGGAAAGTGCCCTTTGGAAAGAACCTGTGGCTTTAAGGTGAAGACTCGGTTGATTGGGGGTAGGCGATGAGAAGACCTAGGCCAGGCAGCGGCAGGGGCAGGGGCGCGGGCGCGGACACAAGCTGGGGAGGCAGGATCTCGGGATCCTGAGTAATACAGAGTGGGGAGGGAGCAGTGGCGTGACGTCAGGCTGCGGGGGGATGGGCGTGCCTTCTGCGGGAATGGAAATAGCCCAGTGGAAGGTGGTGGTGAAGGGGTGGGGGCGAGCTCAGCTTCAGACACGCCAGCTTGAAGTGTCAGGAGCCACACTGGAGACCCGGTGTGACCTCTCACACTAGAACTTAGGCAGAAAATGAATGGGTAAGAGGCCAGTGAGCACAGCTGACCCACTCCCTGCTCCTGCAAGAGGGAAGTCTCTCCACGTCCCCATGTCCCCAGTCCTGGTGTTTCAGCCACAATGGAGTTAGGTGCTCTTTGCCCACCCTACAATGTTTTGTTTGAGACGAGGTCTCACTTTGTTGCCCAGGCTGGTCTTAAACTCCTGGGATCAAGCAATCCTCCTGCCTCGGCCTCCCACAGTGCTGGGATTACAGGCGGGAGCCACCGTGCCCAGCCCACCCCTGAGCTTGGACTGTGCTGTTTCTCCATGGTGGGCTGCTCTGCGCCACCTTTCCTTGGTCTGAATTCGGCCCCAGGCACAGCCTTCCTGGCCTAGGCTTTCCTGGAGGGCTTGGAGTTATGGGGGCAGGCACTGGTGTTGCTCTCACTCAGAGGGCGGTCGGGGCTGGAATGGTGCAGGTGAGGGACAAGACGGCGTAAGATGGGGGACAAAGCCAGGGAAAGGATGGGATCAAGCAGGGGAAGGGCAGAGCTAGGGGTAGCCCTGGGTATGCCAGGACCTGCAGCAAAATTGGGGCTACAGGGCCTTGTGACTCCAGGAAGAATGAGGGCGTCTGAGATTTAGGAAGTCCGCAGGAGAGAGGAGAGTGTGTGGAGAGGGTGGCAGGCCACGCAGCACAGAGGTCCACTTGGACAGCCTGACAGATGTCCTTCTGCTTAGAGAAATGGCGGTCACCAGTGACCTTGGCAAGGGCAAGGAGCTGGAGAGGGAAGGGCAGGTGAGGAGGTGGAGACAGAGTGAAGATTCGTCTTCTCAGAAACAAGGGCCGGGCAAGAAAGAGGGAGGAGCAGAAAGGGCCTCTGGCCGTATCTGTTGCCTCCTCTCCTTTGAACCAGGACAGACTTAGGGACTTTCACGGGCTGCAAGTTCCAAGAGTGGCAGACCCAGGCTAGCCTGGGGAAGGGGCTTGAGGGAGGCTCCTGCTGGGGAAGGTGGGGCTGAGTCCAGCAGGAGGGCCAGACCAGGGGCCATGACCCCATTGCCTACATAGAGAAGGTGATGAGCCAGCATCCAGGCTACTCAGGGAGAGCTCTAACCCAGGATGAGGCCTTAGAGCTCAAAGGACACTCAGGCCTGGTGGCAGCTGCCCAGGGCCCCTGAAAGGGGGAATGGAGATCAGGCAGAGGGGGTGCCAGGGACTGCCACACAGGATCAGTAGGGCAGCGCCAGCCCTGGCTGGGCTGCTTTCACGGCTGCGGGAACCGCTCCAACTGCTCCAGAAAGACAGAAAGATGGCCCTGAAGGTGCAGGCTTTGCGTGAGTGGGTGGCTGCAAGGACAGGTGGGAGGACCAGGACGCCAGAACGTGCAGAGCCCGGGGGGCCTCCAGAGGTCGCAGTTCCGACAGGGCTTCCACCAGTCATGCCTACATCTTGAGGGGCAGAGACACACCCCACTAATGTTTGGGTCCCTGATGCAAAGGCAGAGACAGGTGCGGGGAGGGGGTCCTTTTTCTCCGAAGCGAGAGGTGAAGTCACCAACTGCTGGGTCAGAGGCAGTAGGTCTGGGTCTGGAGGAGACTGGGGACAGGGTGGAGGGAGGTGACCGCAGCCACGGGCTGGGACTTCACAGGTGTGGGCTGGGGGCTTTTCCGGACGCTGTGGCAGAGGAGGCCCGCGCGCCGCACATCTGCTGGGACCCTTAGCTCGCCCAGGATTGGTAGGGAGATCCTGGAAGACCAGCGCCCGGAGGGGTGAGGCCCCGTCTTGGGGGCAAGGCCGCGAAACCACGGCCTGCAGCTTCACGCCAGGGGTACAAAGAAAAGCGTCGCCGGGAACCCAACACCTGCAGACGACGCGCAGCCGCAGAGGAGGCGGGGCGTCCGAGGCCCCGCCCCGTATGCTAATGAAGCACACACCACACCGCCCCGCCCCGGCGCGAGACCGGTCCAACGCTGCGGAGATCCAGAGGCCGGCGGCGCCCGGAAACACCCGCGGAGGCCGAGGCAGGGCGGGGCCGGGCGCCGGGGCCGGGTCGCTGGGCGGGCGGCACAGCCCGGGGGAGGTCAACGGGCCGGCCGGGCGTCCCGGGGACGCGTCTCCCCCACGGTGCGAAGTGGTACGGCTCGCAGGGGCGGGGCCCAGGTCATGTGACGCGGCCGCGGCCGCCATTTTGTTCTGCGGTGCTGGTATTTAGAGCGCAGCGGCTGACGGGCCGGATCGCCTTCGCCGCCGCCCGCCCGCAAACCTTCGTGCCCGGCCCGTCCTCGCCCCCGCCTCCGCCACCGCCTCGGCCCGCAGAGCTTGCCCCCTCCCCACCCGCAGACATGTCCGAGTCCAAGAGCGGCCCCGAGTATGCTTCGTTTTTCGCCGTCATGGGCGCCTCGGCCGCCATGGTCTTCAGCGGTGAGCGCGGCGGCGGGAGGGACTCGGGGGCGGGGGCGCGCGCGTTGCTCATGCCCGCAGCTCGCCGGGGTCCGGTGTGTGACGTCACTCTGACGTAATCCCGAGCTGTCGGGGGCGCCCGGGCCTCGTGTGACAGCGGGCGGGGGTCGGCGCCCCGAGGGCTGCGGGGAGCCGCCGGGGGTCCGGGGCGCAGGGCGTGCGGGCCTGGCCGGGGTGTGAGTCTCGGGGGTCCGGGCCGGCGGCCCTGCCAGCCGGGTCGTGCGGTTGCGGGGGTGGGGCGGCGGCGCCGCTGCCATATTAGCCCCGGGAGCGGCGAGAGGGAGGCTGGGGTGGGGGCGCGAGGGGGGCGGCGCGAGGGGGGCCGATTCTGCGGGCAGGTGACATCACACCTCGAAGGCCCCAGTGCGCGGGCGGCGGCGCGGGTCCGGCCCAGGAACGCCCAGCCGGTCGCTGGAGCTTTCCGGCTGGTGGGGAGCCCATGTCCCCCACGGGAGGTCCTCAGCCCTCGCCCTTATGGCGGCCGGCCCCGAGGGTCAGGTGGGTCTCACCCACAGGCAGGTACTTCCGGTTGGAGCTGGTTACAGTTGCCCAATACCCGTGTCGCTGTGTGGGCTGTTTGGGAAAGCTGGGCTGAGGGCTTGGTTCGGAGAGCCCGCGGAGACCCGGGTGGGAGTGTGTGGAAGTGGAGGGAGCGGGGAGACAGCAGCATCGGCGCTGGCGGGGCTGTGTAGCTTGCAGAGGGTCTGTGCTCTGAGGTGGGTGAGAGGGTGGCATGGGTGTCCGAGTTTATGGGATCCAGTCGTTGCCCTCAGGACTGAGGCTTCCAGTTGTGGTCCTAATGAATGGAGGGGTGAATGAATGACCTTCCTTTCCCTCCCTGAGGCCTGAAGTTGGGAGGGGCTTCCCTGGGCTTGGAGAAGGGGCCTTCTAGGGTTCTTGGTGGCACCCTGCTTTTGAAATTGGGCCTTGACAGGTCCTGGGCGTCCAATTTAGTGACAATTGGTCTCCCTGGGAGAATGGCACTTGGGCTAGGGCTAGGCCCAGGAATGTGGGTCCGACGAGTTAAGTTCTGGCCCAGTCTCAGCCTCCGTGGACTGGCCTGGCCTGGTCTGATTTCCGCCTCCGTGGTTAGGTCTGGTTTTAGCTTTGATGACCGTGCCCTGCCCCACCCTGCCTGGTGGCCTGGGGAGGCTCCTAGTGCAGATATGTGGAGGGTTTGAACTCCAAACAGTCTCTGCTGACTGTAAACACCTGTGGGGTGGGGGCTTGGAGCTCTCTGTTCTCTTGCGGGCCTCCTTCTGCCTGGGCCTGTCTGCCATTCGTGAGTGAGCCCTGGCCTTCCCGTCGTGTGCAAGTAAGGGGTCATTTGTGGTGGAAGAAGTGGTCTAGACTTCTCCTTCCCCCTAGGCACCGCCTGCTCTTTCCACAGACTCAAGGCTTCTCCCAACAGGCTGCCGAGCCCTTCCCCCCAGCCTCCTCTGTTCTTTGCCCTCAGAATGCCTTCAGAGATTCCATTTTGCCTGGCCACCTGTGGGGTATTAGCTTGTGGCTGTCACTCATTCATCCAAACAATCTTGATTGAGCGCTTACTATGTGCCAGGTACTGGTAGGACAGCAGTGAACAAAATGGGATCCCCGCCCATGTGGAACTTAAATTCTAGCTGTTGCTGCTTGCCCTTGAAGCCCTGAGTTTGTCCACCAAGCCCTTTTTCTGCACCCAGCTCCTTTCCTCTCTCTCCGTCAAGACCTACACAGGTCTTTGGGCAGCCTGACCAGCAGGTGTCTGGAAATTGAGAACACGGTATTGCTGGCCTAGGCCTTTCCTGCTTATCCCTGGCTCTTCGGGATAAACGTGGCTTACTGTGGCTCTCCAGGAGCTGACCTCTGACTTCACTTGGCCAATTCAGACAACTGCTTTTTTTTTTTTTTTTTTTTTTCTCCCCTCCTCAAGACAGGGTCTTGCTCTGTTTCCCAGGCTGGAGTGCAGTGGTGTGGTCATGGCTCACTACAGCCTCAACCTCCCAGGCTCAAGCAATCCTCCTGCCTCAGCCTCCTGAATAACTAGGACTACAGGCACAGGCTACCATGCCCAGCTAATTTTTTTTTTTTAGAGACAGGGTCTCGCCATGTGGCTCAGGCTGGTCTCAAACTCCTTGTTGCCTCAAACGATCCACCTGCTTCTGCCTCGTAAAGGGCTGGGATTATAGGCATGAGCCACCATGACTGGCTCAACTTCTGACTTCATTTCTGCCTTCTCAGCATGCTTTCCTCCAGGACCTGGCTTCACCTGCTGTGCCGACCTAAACAAGCCCCCTGCCCTCCAGTGGCCTCTGCTGTTGCCACAACGCCAACCTCCAGCTGTGTCCCCAGCTCCTGGCCCTTGGCCTGCCTGGCACTGACGGATTGGTCTTAAACCGAATGAGGTCCACAAACCTCTTGCAGGCCCCCGTCCCAGCTTCCCCTTTTTTTTCTCATGACAAATGTCCTGTTCTTTCTTCATCATGTCCTTCAAGAAGTTGTCATTTGCTCCTTTTCTGTATTTCCTGTGACTTCCTCCCTGCTGGCGAGTGCCTTGTATTTTATGCTTGTGTTTCTGCAACTGCTTTCTGGCCCCCCACTCTTTCTGTGGCTGCTGAGCCTAGTGCCGCTCACAGGTCTGCCTTCTGCAGTCTGGTCAGGCTTGGCCTCCGGACTGGAGTCCAGGGTGCTCATGGTATTCCGCTCCTGGTGGCCATCCCTTTCTTCCCTGTGCTCCTCTTGGTGCCTCCTCCCCCTGCCAGCCACATGATTCTTCCTGCTGCCCTCTGTAGAAAAGGGCCTGGCTCACTTCCTGCCTCTGGTGGACTACTGGCCTCACAGGGTCCACTACTTGGGTTGCTGAGTTCCCTGTATTCAGTCTCCTGCCAACGTGTCTGCCATGCTCTGGTCTCTTGTGCATACATGATGCAGTTGGATGTGGTCCTGGGCCTGCAGTGGGAGCCCCCTAAAATGCACTGTAATTGCTCTATATGCTTGCCAGGGAAAAAATGCACTGTAACCAGGAGTTCAGGACAGGCGCTGGGACAGGCCCTGGGCCCCAGTCTGCAGGTGCACTGGGTGTTGGCATGGCATGTCTGGGCACCTCCAAGGTGGCGTGGAGGAGGCCGTGTGGCTCCCTGGCCCAGGTCCCAGCCTCCTTCCTCCCTCTATAGTCACTCCCTGGATACCCAGCACCGTCGTCTTGGGTGCCTCTGCAGGTGCTATCCAGAGCCCTTGTCTTATTGCCTTGTTTTTCTGTGACTCCTCTCTCCCGCCAACTTGGGATACTTGTCTGTGAAGCCCTTCCCCAGCACCCCCTTCTCCGCTCTCCTGGAGCATGTCTCTGTGCCTGGAGGTCACCGCGCCTGTGTCCTCACCCCTGCTGAGTGCTGGGACACAGGGTAGGCAAGTTTTGTGGCCCAAATATATCAATAAAATATGAAGAGGAATGGTAGGGGTAGTCCTGGTCCCTTCCACCTCTGACATATGTAGTCTTCTGCAGGTCAGGCTGTTTGTGTGTGTGTGTGTGTGTGTGTGTGTGTGTGTGTGTGTGTCTGTCAGAGATTCACTCTTGTTGTTTGTTTGAGACGGAGTCTCTCTGTGTCGCCCAGGCTGGAGTGCAGTGGCGTGATCTTGACTCACTGCAACCTCCACTCCTGGGTTCAGGCGATTCTCCTGCCTCAGCCTCCCTAGTAACTGGGATGACAGGCATGCGCCACCACTCCTGGCTAATTTTTGTATTTTTAGTAGAGACGAGGTTTCACCATGTTACCCAGGCTAATCTCGAACTTCTGACACCAGGTGATCCGCCCGCCTTGGCCTCCTAAAGTGCTGGGATTACAGGCGTGAGCCACTGCGCCTGGCCAAGTCAGGCTGGTTATTGATCTGCTCCCCTAAAAGACCATGGCATGAGTTCTGTGGGCAGAGAGGGGGCAGGGAGTTGCCAGTGCAGTCCCCACAAGCAGCTCAGTAGGCCCCTGTGGTGGCCCTGGAGGGCAGCTGGCAGAAGTCAGAAAGGCAAATGAGCCCCCGTGACACTGCTGTGTCCACAGAATTCTCCACTTTGAGAATAGGGCCCAGGAGAGGGGAACTGAAAAGAAAGGCAACATTCTCTTGGGAGAGGAAGGAGGGACAGCTCTGGAGGAGACAGGCCACCCTGGAGCCCAGCCCACCAGCACTGTTGCGGTGGGAGGCTTGGGCCCTCTGGCCAGGCTCCTGTGTGCTTGGAGCCACCCCGTGTGCAGGGGAGACCTCTCTGGGAGGTCAGCTGAGGCCTCGTAGTTGGACTGTTGATGATCCCCGTCGTCTTCTCTGCCCCCATCCTCTTCTTGGCTCACCCTGTCTCCTGTCTGGTAGAGAAGATTCTCCAATCTGTCAAGGGTTCAGGCCTGCTGTGTGGCTGAGGGTGCTGAGAGCTGCCCTTTCTGGCAGAATGTTTGGCCCTCCTAGGTTAATATTTGGGGCTGGGAGCGTTGGGGAGCTTGGCCTGGGCAGTGAGTCAAGGGAGCTCTGGCCTGGGTGACAAGAGTGGCCAGGTCAGCTGCTTCTGACCCTCCGGTCACACCCTGTAGCAGTGGCTTTGCCATCCCCAAGACCTTTGGTGGCTTTTCCAGCATGTTGTCCTGGGCAGTAGCCCCAAGGGTCGACTGACCCTGACCCCACATGGGGGCTGCTGAGGCTGCACTGAGGCTCCCTGGGGTGACAGGTGGGTTCACTGCAGAGCCAGGAGCCCCAGATGGGTCACGCCGCCCCAAGAGCTGCTGCTGGAGGAAGAGCTGGACTCTGAGGGTGGGGGCCTCACGTAGAGGAAGGAGGAGTGGCTGTCCTGGCCTCCTTTTGCTTGCCCGTGGCTGTTCCTCCTGGGTCCTCTTGCCCTGGGCTGGATGCCTTCTTCGGCTCCCCCTCTGCATGTGATAACTTGGGGTGGCCCTTGGAGCTGTGCCAAAGCTACACCTCGGGGTCCTAGTCTCAACTGGCCTGCGTACTGCTGTGGGCTCACCCCGCCTTCCTCCCACAGCCCTGGGCGCTGCCTATGGCACAGCCAAGAGCGGTACCGGCATTGCGGCCATGTCTGTCATGCGGCCGGAGCAGATCATGAAGTCCATCATCCCAGTGGTCATGGCTGGCATCATCGCCATCTACGGCCTGGTGGTGGCAGTCCTCATCGCCAACTCCCTGAATGACGACATCAGCCTCTACAAGTGAGCACTGGGGTCAGGCCCCTGCCCAGGGCTGGAGGACTGCAGGGAGGGGGGCGGTTCACCTGTGGGTGGTGACCCGGACCCTTGTCTCCCCCTGGTTGGCAGGCTGCTGATGTCAGTCCTCTCTTCTCGCCCCCAGGAGCTTCCTCCAGCTGGGCGCCGGCCTGAGCGTGGGCCTGAGCGGCCTGGCAGCCGGCTTTGCCATCGGCATCGTGGGGGACGCTGGCGTGCGGGGCACCGCCCAGCAGCCCCGACTATTCGTGGGCATGATCCTGATTCTCATCTTCGCCGAGGTGCTCGGCCTCTACGGTCTCATCGTCGCCCTCATCCTCTCCACAAAGTAGACCCTCTCCGAGCCCACCAGCCACAGAATATTATGTAAAGACCACCCCTCCTCATTCCAGAACGAACAGCCTGACACATACGCACGGGGCCGCCGCCCCCAGTAGTTGGTCTTGTACATGCGCAGTGTCCTAGTGCCCATCGTCTGTTTCCCCGGCCTTGCCCCCGCCCGCCCCGTGCCGTGGACATCTGGGCCCACTCATCGCCCCTCCAGGCCCCCGGCGCCCCACCCCCTAGAGTGCTCTGTGTATGCGGATGATTTAGAATTGTCATTTCTCTTTACTGGATGTTTATTTATAAAGATCTGGCCTGTTCCTGCGTCTGCGGAGCGGCCCTTGTCTCCCAGCTATCTATAACCTTAGCTAGAGTGTCGCCTTGTGGGTTCCTGTTGCTGAGACTTCCTGGATGGAGCCGCCCTCACCGCCGGGCCCGTGGCCCTGCGCGGAGCTGTGTCCAATAAAGTTCTTGGATGTGACGGGCCTGTGTCTGCTCAGCTTGTTGGGGGCGGGGGCGGGCGGGCGGGCGGGCGGGCGCCGGGCGCTGCCGGTCACGTGGGCTGGCTCGATCACGTGGGCGCGGCGGTCACGTGGCGCGCCGCTTCAGTCAGCTGAAGGTCACGTGGGCGCGGTCTCAGCTCTCGGCTGGGGTTCGTCACTGGGCGCGGGATTTGGCCGCCGCGGGGCTCCGGAGCCGCTCGCTCCCGACACGGCTCACGATGCGCGGCGAGCAGGGCGCGGCGGGGGCCCGCGTGCTCCAGTTCACTAACTGCCGGATCCTGCGCGGAGGGAAACTGCTCAGGTGGGCGCGGGCCGGGGACTGCGGGGCTGGGGACCGGGCGGGGTGCAGGGTGCGGGGCCGGGGACCGGGCGGGGTGCAGGGTGCGGGGCCGGGGACAGGGCGGGGTGCAGGGTGCGGGGCCGGGGACCGGGCGGGGTGCAGGGTGCGGGGCCGGGGACCGGGCGGGGTGCAGGGTGCGGGGCCGAGGTCAGGCCCGCGATGCGAGCGCCCACCCACTGCGTCCCCAGGGAGGATCTGTGGGTGCGCGGAGGCCGCATCTTGGACCCAGAGAAGCTGTTCTTTGAGGAGCGGCGCGTGGCCGACGAGCGGCGGGACTGCGGGGGCCGCATCTTGGCTCCCGGATTCATCGACGTGCAGATCAACGGTGCGGCCCGGGGCCGGCAGGGGAACCCAGGGGAGGAGCTCTGAGCTCCATGCGACACTTCCTTTTCTGTGGCTGCAGGTGGATTTGGTGTTGACTTCTCTCAAGCCACGGAGGACGTGGGTTCGGGGGTTGCCCTCGTGGCCCGGAGGATCCTGTCGCACGGCGTCACCTCCTTCTGCCCCACCCTGGTCACTTCCCCACCGGAGGTTTATCACAAGGTGAGGTGAGGCTCCCTGGCTGAGGTGGAGGGGGCTCCCGGAGCAACCAGCGCCCTCATTTTCAAACTCACGCCCCACCCCCCACCCCCAGCACGTATTCCATGGTCCTGAGTCTGGCCTCCTTTGATGACCGGATCTGGGCCTGGGTCCCGCCCCTGTGCTTCTTTATCAGTTGTCGCTCTGCCTGGCCTCCCTAGACCCTCTGTCCTCCGCAGCTGTCTCCACACTGCTGGCTCAGCACCGTCTGAGCCATAGGCCGTCCCCACCCCCTGCACTGCACTCTGGCTGCCTCCAGGCTTCAGAAACCATCCCCTTAACCAAGGCCGCAGGGGATTCTGTGATTGGCACAGCGATAGTCCCTGGTCAGGCTCTTCCTCCCTAACCTGTCTGATGTGTGACTCAGTGGAACACGCCTTCCAGAAGAGACTCCCCCTGCTCCTGTACTGCTTGCCCCACGCTTCCATTTTCTTTCCTGCCCGGAAGAAATTTGGTTGTCCTTGGTCTTTTTTTATTTTAATTTTTACTTAGGTTCTACAGGGTTAACTTTTTGCTGTATGTTACTACTATTCAGGCTCCTCTTGGCTGTACCTGTGCTACTGTTTTTTACTGAACTATTTGAGAGTAGGTTGTATCCAACATGCTTTTTTTTTTTGTTTAGTTTTTTTTTTTTTTTTTTTTGAGACGGAGTCTCGCTCTGTCGCCCAGGCTGGAGTGCAGTGGCACAATCTTGGCTCACTGCAGGCTCCGCCCCCCAGGGTTCACGCCATTCTCCTGCTTCAGCCTCCCAAGTAGCTGGGACTACAGGTGCCCGCCACCTCGCCCGGCTAATTTTTTGTATTTTTCGTAGAGACGGGGTTTCACCGTGTTAGCCAGGATGGTCTCGATCTCCTGACCTCGTGATCCGCCCGCCTTGGCCTCCCAAAGTGCTGGGATTACAGGCGTGAGCCACCGCGCCCGGCCAGTTTTTGTTATTTTTAAGAGACAGGGTTTCTCTCTGTGGCCCAGGTTGGAGTAGAGTGGTGTGGTCATAGCCCATTGCAGCCTCATTCTTCTCTGCTCAAGCGATCCTCTTGCTTCAGCCTCTTGAGTAGGTAGGACTACAGGTGTGTGCCACCATGCCCAGCCAATTTTAACATTTTTTGTAGAGAAAGTCTCACTGTGTTGCCCAGGCTGGTTCTGAACTCCTGGGCTCAAGAGATCCTCCTGTCTTAGTCCCCCAGAGTAGCTGGCACTACGGGCTTGTGCCACCACACCCGACTAATTTAAAAAGCTTTTTCGGCCGGGCGCGGTGGCTCACGCCTGTAATCCCTTTGGGAGGCCGAGGCAGGCGGACCACGAAGTCAGGAGATCGAGACCATCTTGGCTAACACAGTGAAACCCCGTCTCTACTAAAAATACAAAAAATTAGCTGGGAGTGGTTGCGCCTACCTGTAGTCCCAGCTACTTGGGAGGCTGAGGCAGGAGAACCGCTTGAACCCAGGAGGCAGAGGTTGCAGTGAGCCGAGATTGCGCCACTGCACTCCAGCCTGGGCAACAGATCGAGACTCCATCTCAAAAAAAAAAAGTTTTTTGTAGAGACAGGGATCTCATTATGTTGATCAGGCTGGTCTCAAACTCCTAGGCTCAGGAGATCTACTGCCTCGGCCTCCCATAGTGCTGGGATTATAGGCGAGAGCCACTGTGCCTGGCCCATCATGCCTGTTTATTCCTTAGTACTTAACTTTTTTTTTTTTTTTTTGAGACATAGTCTCCCTTTGTTGACCAGGCTGGAGTGCAGTGGTGCGATCTCGGCTCACTACAACCTCCGCCTCCTGGGTTCAAGCGATTCTCCTGCCTCAGTCGCCCGAGTAGCTGGGACTACAGGCGCCCGCCACCATGCCCGGCTAATTTTTGTATTTTTAGTAGAGACGGGGTTTCACCATACTGGCCAGGCTGATCTTGAAATCCTGACCTCACGATCTGCCCATCTCAGCCTCCCAAAGTGCTAGGATTACAGGCGTGAGCCATGGTGCCCAACCAATACTTAACTATTTCTTAAGATAATGAATATTTTCTTATGGAGCCACAAGAGTTAGTGAGTTTAGAAAATGAACCCTGTTAACAGTACTTTAATTGAGCCGTCTGTGTTCTAGTTCTGTCCAGAGCCCCCGCCGTTTTCCCCTCCAGCACAGGATTCATTTCAGGATCATCACTTGCGTTATATGCCCAAGGGGTCCCTCTCTTGGTGTGTGGGCAGAGCCAGAGCTGGGAACAATGGGGGTGGTGTGTGGGTTCTGGGCTCAGGCTTCCTGGATTTGGCATTGGCCTCCTGATGTCATGTATCGGCTGGAAGACTCAGGACAACCTTCTGCCTTTCTGAGCCTCCGTTTCCTCAAACCTGAAGTGAGGATGAAGGCAGCGTGCATGGCTTAGGGGCGTTGGGTGCTCAGCATCGTGCGTGAGATGCTGAGTGTTCACCACTCAGTATTAGCCATGGATGTCTTTTTGGAAATTTCCCACAGCCCTCCCCACACAGAGTCAAATGTCAAAAACCTGCTGCCAACTGGCACCTGGTTCTCACAGCTGCTCTCTGGGGCTCTGGGGCCTGTCAGAGCCACCTGTCCAAGATTCAGGATTCAGCACATCACCTCTGCCCCACCCCTACCGGCAGCATTCCTTTCCTACCTGTCCAGCCTCTTCTCTGTCCCCAGCCACATTCCCCACTCCTGCCCCCAAACTCTTGGCCTAGAAGGCCCTGGCCTGCTCCCCAGGCCTCCTCTGCTAAGCCTTGCCTACCTGTCCCCACTGTGCCCCCCACTGCCTGCGCATCTCTGGCCAGCACAGGCGTGGGAGGAACTATGGCTCTTCTTCCTTAGGAAGAGTCTCTGACAAGTAGGACTTTGTTTTCTTCCCAGCATGCACTGCAGTGCAGGTGTCTTAACCCTTGGCGCACACACAGGATGAAGGCAGAGAGCCAACTATTGAGGGTGGGAATTGGGAAGCCTCCTGCCTGGATCATCTTAGAAACTGGAGGCCCCTTTTCACTCGGGTCTCCCCTGTGCCGTGCACGCCACCTCTTCCAGGGCCCACTCACCCTGGGTGGAATTGGATGGCCACTTTGCCAGAAGCTTCTTCGGTCTTTTGTTGTCCTGTTCTGGTCCATTAAGACCACCTTCTCTTTTCTGGGGGGTTTCCGCCTGTCCTTTGCTACGGTACTTGGAGACAGGTGAGCTCACTTTGTTCTTTGCTTTAAGTCTGTTACCTCCTGAGCCAAGGTGAGGCACCTCCAGGGGGCAGCCAGGCCCCTGCCTCTGGCCCCGCACACCCTCTACACTTTGACCTTTCCGGCTGTTTACCTGCCTGGAGTGTGCCTCACTCCCCTCCCCTCAGTTGATCTTTTACTGTGCTCTCTCTATGTAGCGCCCTCTTGCTCCCTTCTAAAACTCCATTCTGGAAAAACTCAGCCATTGTCTTTTTTTGTTTGTTTTTTTCCTGTTTTAATCTTTAGTGAGCCTGTGTATCCATAGGGCTTGTGAGGAAAAACAGCGGCCCTTTGCCCCAACCAGCATCCACCCTAGGGACAATCACTTTCAACTCAGTGGACTCTTGGAATTTGCGCCCGTAGCTCTAAAAACTGTGCTGGCTGCTTCTCAGTCTTTCAGCTCAGGGCAGAATCCATTGCCTTCCACCAGGAGAGCTGAACATCAGTGCTCTCGTGGCTCCGTGAGTCCTCTTAGCCCCTTTCTCTCCTCTCATCTTTCCTGGTAGTTCCCCATAATTGTGATGAGAATACCTGTGTAGGTCAGTCATCGGAGTGGTGTGAAGGGATGTGTGGCCCAGTGACATCTCAGCTGCCATTTCTGCTTGCTTTGCCGTGAGTGTTCTTTGCTTTGTTTCTTGGCTCTAACCCAATTCCAGGCTTCCTCCTGATTGTTTCACTCTTCTCTCTGGCCACTTATTTATTTATTTTTCGAGATGGAGTCTCCCTCTGTCACCCAGGCTGGAGTGCAATGGTGTGATCTCTGCTCACTGCAACCTCTGCCTCCTGAGTTTAAGTGATTCTCCTGCTTCAGCCTCCGGAGTAGCTGGGATTACAAGCACCTGCCGCCATGCCCTGCTAATTTTTGTAATTTTTAGTAGAGATGGGCTTGCTCCATGTTGGCAAGGCTGGTCTCGAACTCCTGACCTCAGGTGATCCAACTGCCTTGGCCTTCCAAAGTGCTGGGATTACATGTGTGAGTCACTGTGCCCAGCCAAATGTTGCTTTTTTTTTTTTTTTTTGAGATGGAGTTTCGCTCTTGTTGCCCGGGCTGGAGCGCAATGGCACAATCTCGGCTTACTGCAACCTCTGCCTCCTGGGTTCAAGCAATTCTCCTACCTCAGCCTCCTGAGTAGCTGGGACTACAGGCGTGTGCCACTATGCCTGGCTAATTTATTTATTTTTATTTATTTATTTTTTTGAGATGGAGTCTCACTCTGTCACCCAGGCTGGAGTGCAGTGGCGCGATCTCGGCTCACTGCAAGCTCCGCCTCCCAGGTTCACGCCATTCTCCTACCTCAGCCTCCCAGGTAGCTGGGACTACAGGTGCTCGCCACCACGCACGGCTAATTTTTTGTATTTTTAGTAGAGATGCGGTTTCACCACATTAGCCAGGATGGTCTCGATCTCCTGACCTCGTGATCCGCCTGCCTTGGCCTCCCCAGGTGCTGGGATTACTGGCGTGAGCCACCGCGCCTGGCCAATTTTTGTATTTTTAGTAGAGATGGGGTTTCTCCATGTTGGTAAGGCTGGTCTCAAACTCCTGACCTCAGGTGATCTGCTCGCCTTGGCCTCCCAAAGTGCTGGGATTACAGGTGTGAGCTACTGTGCCCAGCCCAGTGTTCCTTTTTCTGCCATCCTATTCTTGTTTCAGGGACAGAAGACCTCTTATTGGCTGGAGGGTGTCCGTGATGGCCCTTTTCCCTGTCCATCTCTCCTCGTGGTCTCTGCTTCCCTGCCTGGCCCTGTCCTCTTTTGTTCGGGCTCCTTTTCGAGGCTTGCCCAGGCTGCCTGCTGACCTTGGTGGTGTGCTTTCTTTCAGAAGAGGTGTCAGCAGGCCAGCTGGGGGCACCCAGCCTGCAGGAGGGGCATTATGGGGGTACTCGTAGGTTGGGGTCCCTGGCTCCTTTCTCTTGGGCTGGCTGGGTTCCCTGAGAAGAGTCTAGCAGTGCTCAGAGGGGCTGGGCCTGGCTGGCACCCTGCTGAGCACCTTGAGAACACACATTTCGCAAGTTCCTGCTGTGCCCACACCTACCCTTGCCAATCTGCTCTACTTCCCCGGGGGCCCGACCGGCACACTCAGGGCAGGCACTCTTCCGTTGGTCCCCACGTCACCCTACTTCTCAAGGCACCATCCTGAGCCTGTGGGGGTCACTTCCCCCACTGCGTGCACTCCCCCAGACCTGCCCAGTGTCCCTCTTGCCAAGCCTCCAAAGTCTGGCTGTCTTCTTTCTATCATCTGCTACCCCCCCAACCCCGCCCCCAGGTTTAGGGCTCTTAAAAGTCTTACCGTTGGCCAGGCATGGTGGCTCACGCCTGTAATCCCAGCACTTTGGGAGACTAAGGTGGGTGTTTGGTCAGGAGTTTGAAACTGGCCTGACCTACATGGTGAAACCCCGCCTCTACTAAAAATACAAAATTAGCCGAGCATGGTCGTGCACGCCTGTAATCCCAGCTACTCGGGAGGCTGAGGCAGGAGAATCGCTTGAACTCAGGAGGCAGAGGTTGCAGTGAGCCGAGATCTTGCCATTGCACTCCAGCCTGGGCGACAAGAGGGAAACTCCATTCCAAAAAAACAAAAAAAGTGTTACTGTTGTGTGGGTTGGGGAGTTCAGGGGAGGGTACAATCCAGCCACCATCCTCACCTGAAGCTCTTCTCTCTGGGAAGGCTCCCCCAGCCCATGCCTGTGTTGGAGAGAGGGAGTGTGCACTGGACTGCCTGCCCACCTGTTAGCCTCTGAGATGTGTGGTGTGAGCCCGTGTCCCCCCGTTCCCTGACACACTCGGTCTTCCTGATGGCGTCCAGCTCCGGCCATGGTGTGGACCACACACAGTGCTGAGCCCTGGCCATGCCCACACTGAGCTCTGCCCCAGGGTCCCTGCTGCTCCCAGGAGCCTCCTGCCTCCCAGCCCTGCTCCCTGGGCTGCTGTGCCCAGGGCCACCCTCAGTGCCCACAAGCCTGCCCACATGGCCAGGGACCGCTGGCATCCCACACACCTATCATTTCTTCCTGCTCCTGCCATGGGTCCTTCAATTCTGCCGGCTGTGCTTTCCCTGACCCCTGTGAGGGGACAGGCGGCCGGGGCTGGGCTGGGTGCTGGGCTCTGAACTCTGACCTGAGATCTCTGGCCTTGGCTAGGCTGTGGCCTCTGGGAATGGGCTGTGGGGGACAGGGCTTTAACAGCTGGTTCCCCCCAGGTTGTTCCTCAGATCCCTGTGAAGAGTGGTGGTCCCCATGGGGCAGGGGTCCTCGGTGAGTGGCTGACCTCCTCCCCGCCCCCACCCTGGGAGGCTCCTGCGGGACCTGTTGGCAGCCCCCACCCCTCCAGATGCCCAGCTGGTGGGGAGGGCAGGTGATAAGGGCTGGGTGGGGCAGGGACCTGCTGGAGCCACTTGCTCCCTCCTCCCAGGGCTGCACCTGGAGGGCCCCTTCATCAGCCGGGAGAAGCGGGGCGCGCACCCCGAGGCCCACCTCCGCTCCTTCGAGGCCGATGCCTTCCAGGACTTGCTGGCCACCTACGGGCCCCTGGACAATGTCCGCATCGTGACGCTGGCCCCAGAGTTGGGCCGTAGCCACGAAGTGATCCGGGCGCTGACGGCCCGTGGCATCTGCGTGTCCCTAGGTGAGGGGCCGGCTCGGGGTGGGCCTGCTTGGGGGACCTGGGCCAGGTGCAAAGTCTGAATCCAGGTCCCGCAGGGCACTCAGTGGCTGACCTGCGGGCGGCAGAGGATGCTGTGTGGAGCGGAGCCACCTTCATCACCCACCTCTTCAACGCCATGCTGCCTGTGAGTGCTATGGGGCCCCAGGGGCGGGGCTGGGGTCCCAGCAGCCCCTGCTGTCGCTCAGCCATCCCTTCCCTCGCCCCTGCCCAGTTCCACCACCGCGACCCAGGCATCGTGGGGCTCCTGACCAGCGACCGGCTGCCCGCAGGCCGCTGCATCTTCTATGGGATGATTGCAGATGGCACGCACACCAACCCCGCCGCCCTGCGGATCGCCCACCGTGCCCATCCCCAGGGTAAGCTGCGGCAGGTGGCCAGGACAGGTAGGATGACTGGGCTAGCAGGTTCTGAGCCTCTTCTCCCCCAGGGCTGGTGCTGGTCACCGATGCCATCCCTGCCTTGGGCCTGGGCAACGGCCGGCACACGCTGGGACAGCAGGAAGTGGAAGTGGACGGTCTGACGGCCTACGTGGCAGGTGAGCGCCCTGACCCACTGGGTCCCAGGTCCCAGCCCGCATGCCAGGTGGCCCACGACCCCCCCAGAGCCTGCCCTCTCTGCTCTCAAGGCACCAAGACGCTGAGTGGCAGCATAGCCCCAATGGACGTCTGTGTCCGGCACTTCCTGCAGGCCACAGGTCAGTGAGCAGCACGGGTGCGGGTTTAGGTGGTCTGTGAGTGGTGGGTCCCCAAGGGGCTGGACCGGGTGCCCGGACTGTAGCCCAAGCTCTGCCCACAGGAGCTCCTGGGCATTGGGTACTTGGTGACTCAGGCCCAGGGTGACAGGCAGACCAGCAGGGTCCTTGTTAGCCTGCTGCAGAGTCCCTGAGACAGGGAGTGCTGGTGTGGTTGGGGGCTGTTGGCAAAGCCATGTGGGCTTGGGGACTGTCACCTAGCTGTGTCCCCCAAGCAGGCTGCAGCATGGAGTCGGCCCTGGAGGCTGCATCCCTGCACCCCGCCCAGTTGCTGGGGCTGGAGAAGAGTAAGGGGACCCTGGACTTTGGTGCTGACGCAGGTGAGGGCCTGTCGCAGGGTCACCGGGCAGCCTGGCCCTGCCTGTAGACTCTGTTGTTCCTGGGGCGGCCTGGACAGGGCCAGGGAGGGTGGGTCCTCCCTAGCTCCCTCCTCTCAGGTGGGCTGCCGGCTGCCAGCCTCAGTTGTAGCCCCGTGTTGCCATCAGGCCGGGCTTTCTGGTGTTGCAGACAAGGCCAGGCAAGGGGTTGCAGGGAGCATTGTCCAGTACCTCTGTCCATCTGTGATGGGTCAGGGTGTCTTGCACTAGTCGTGTCCCTGGGCCTCAGTTTCCCCACCAGCGTCGGGTTGTTGGGGAGCAGCTCTGGGGTAGGTGGGCGGCCCCACTCCTGCCCCCTACTCATTGCCCGGCTCTGTCCCAGACTTCGTGGTGCTCGACGACTCCCTTCACGTCCAGGCCACCTACATCTCGGGTGAGCTGGTGTGGCAGGCGGACGCAGCTAGGCAGTGACAAGGACCTCGGCTGAGAGGACACCTGGCCGCAGCGGGATGCCATCAGGGCCGGGTGGTTGGGGAGCTGGTCTCCAGGGAGTGAGTCGGGAGCCCTGCTGGATTGATGCCCAGGGCCTGTGCGGCCGCCCTGGAGGCGGTGGCTGGGATAAACGTGCACCCAGCAGGACTCGCCTTGGCTCCGGGTTTTGCTTGTGCTCACATGTGGCACCATCCTTGGTTGCCCTCCTGGAGAAGGCATTCACGGCCTGGGGTGGGATGGCTGGGCTGTAGTTTAGCCTGGGCCTTGGGCCCCAGTGGGGGACAGGGCCTGTCTGCATGAAGTGGACCGGAGACCTGCAGACCCCAGGAAAGTGTCACTATGGGAGGGAGGGGCAGGCAGTCAGTGGCTGGTGCCATGGGGTGAAGCCACCATGGGCTGGGGGTGAAGAGCCGGCAGGAAGGGGACCAGTCACAGGGAGTGTGGACAGTCAGGGGTTTGCTTTCTGCTCCTGAGTTGGGGTGTGCAGCGTGGAGCCCACAGCCTGGTTCTGGGCCAGGGCACAGTGCCAGGGGCTCCGCTCTGACCTCCAGGAGGGAGACTGGGCCCGGGACCCCTGTTTTCTGCTCCCTGGACTGCCTAGCCCTGAGTGCCACGGATGACCAGCGTTCTGTTTTCTCTTCTCAATAACCCTATCTCTTCACACATCCCCAGGCCCAGTGCTTGCCGGCTGTGGTGACCCTGCCTGGTGCTGGAGGGCAGTATGGGAGGCACCAGTGTGCCCTGCTCACCCCATTAGTGTCATCCTGCCATCTTCTGTGTCCCCTTGGCCCTGGCACACACCCATGTGGCAAACACGGGCCGTGAGGCTCCCTGAACAGCTTCGAGGCGGGTGGGCTTCTGGAGCCCTCTTGGCTCTGAGGACAGCCACAGTGGGGTCAGACGTCAGGGATTGGTGCAGCCCCACGTCAGGGGTGATTGTCTTGACTTTCTCTCCATTTGAGTTCTGGGGTGGGTGGCTCCCTTCCCCCTTGCTTACAGGTGCTGTCCTGGGCACAGGAGGTACGCGCCTGGCTCTGCCACTGTTCTCTTCCCTCTGCTGCAAAGCCCAGTTAAGGAAATGTCTCCAGGTCCAAAGAGATAGGATGGTCTGGGCCCCACCTGTTGGAAGGGAACAGCCAGGGAAGAACCACCTGCCTGGGCAGGGCCTCGCCTGAGGGAGGGCCTGGGGCAGGGCACAAGGGGTTGATCTCAGCCCACAAGCCCCAGGGGCAGCCCAGGAAAGCAGGCGACGGATGTGGATCCTGACCTCCTGAGAGGTGTGAGGTGCAGGGATACCCACCTCTGCCTTGACGGCCGCGCACCCCTTAGGAAGTGGCTGTCCAGCGCCTGCCTGTGCTGGGCCTGGGAGAGGAGCTGTCTTGCCAGGGCTCCCAGGCAGGGAGAGGCAGGTGAGGTTCTCAGCCGATGTGTTAGAGGTTGAGCATCGCCTGTGCCCAGCTTGCTGGCTGTCAGTGCTTGATGTGCCCATCCTCAGCTAAAACCCAGAGCTGGCATGTTGGTCATCCCCACCTCAGACGGGACGCCCAGTCCAGAGCTGGTGAGCCCTGGGCCAGCCTTTGGGCCTGGCCTGCCCCATTCACCGGCCAGCGCCCCACCTCCCTGGCTGGAGGGTCGGGGAGGGGCTGGCAGAGATGGTTGGTCCACAGGGCTAGCCCTGGGTGGTGGGAGAGGGGCCCAGGGTCAGGGTGAGAGAGAGCTGGGCCAGGGAGCTGCTGCAGGATGATTTTGAGGTGTGGGGGAAGCACTCTTGGTTGGTTTTGGTTTGCTTTTTAAAAATTGTGGTAAAATACATAACAAAAGTAACTATCGTAACCTGAGCAGTTCTGTGACATGAAGTGAATTCACTGCTTTGTGTGACCTTGGCCACCATCATTCCCCACCACTCACTCCCGCTGGGCTCCCAGCCCTGCCCCACCATTCCGCTCCCTCTACAGCTATGGGTTTTACAAAGAAGGATGCAGGGCGCCCTGACTGCGGGGTGAGGGGCAGGCCTGCCCGCGGTGTGGGCATTCGCTGAAGGGGGACGCCCAGGTGTCTGCCTGAGTTACGGGTTGGGGGGTCGGGCATGTGGGGAGGGATGGAGTTGGAGGTGCATGCTCTCAGAGCTGGTAGGGGTGGCCCGTTTCGTCCCGTGTGTGAACTGGAGATGAGACCCGGCGCCTGCGATCCCGCAGACCGCGCCCGGCCGGGTGTCACTTGTGGGCGCACGCTGCCGGGATGCTGGGCCGAGCCCGCGGTTTAAGACCCAGATCTCAGCCAGGTCCCTTTCGCCGTCCGAGCCTCTGCACCTCGTGGGCTCCGAGCACATCCAGGCCAGAGACTGCGTTTGGGGCGTGGGCACGGGAGACCGTCATCAGCCAGGACGCTCTCGACCGATCCGGCCGCGCCCCGCCCAGCCTCGTAGCGCAGGCGCTGAGTCCAGGCTGACGCGCAACTCTGGGAGCGTTGCGGCACGCGGGGCCTTGCCTACTGTGGGAGGGGCTTCTGGGGGCGGGCTTCTGTCGGGCCAATTAGGATCGCCGCAGGGAAGGCACGCGCCGCGGCTGAGCAACAGGGGCGCGCGTCACCTTCTCTAGTTAACCCGCGCGGCCCCGGGCACAGAGCCCGAGGCTGCGCGGTCCCCGGCGGGCCCGCGGACCCCCCCCATCTCTGCGCCCCCCACATCTCTGCGGACCCCGCCTCGCCCCAGCCCTCCCATCCACAACCCTCACAACCTTGCATACCCCGCTACGCTCCCCACCGCGCCCTCACATTCCTGCAGACCCCGTCTCCCCACAACGCTCCCCGCCAACGCTGCGGAGCTCCGCGTCGCCCCAGCGCTCCCTGCCAAGCCCCCCACACCCCTGTAGACCCCGCCTCGCCCCAACCCTCCGAGCTGCTCCCCTTATACCCTTGCGGACCTAGTTTGTTTCGTCCCAGTCCTCCCCGTCGCGTCTCCCACATCCCTGCGGACCTCCCCGCGCCTCGCCTCTCCCTTCTGTTACGTATCACGCACAGGTGGATCCCACTACGACCCAGCTTGGCTCCTGTCCCGCACCTCCGCACCTGGCCTCTAGCCCCGCCCTCACTGTCTTGGGAAATGAAGCGGAGGGGTGGGCCGGACACTCTAGAAGCACCCTGGCTCGGAGCTTCCCTAGCTCGGAGTTGGTTTGGAGCCCAGGCTAGGGACCCAGGGTGGGCGCAGCAGGGGAGATTGGCACCAGAAGCGTGGAGGAAGGGCACCTCTTCAGCCCGGCTTTTCCGCCCCTGGAGTCTGGGACAGCTCCGGAGCGTCCGGGTACTCCCTCCCAGACTGGCCCTGTTCCTTTTATCACATTTATGTCACACACGTTTTTTCTAAATGGGTTTACACTTTTGCTATTACTTTGCAGTTCGGTTTGTGTGTGTGTGACGGAGCCTGGCTGTGTTGCGCAGGCTGGAGTGCAGTGGTGCGATCTCTGCTCACTGCAGCTTCCGCCTCCCGGGTTCAAGCGATTCTCCGCCTCAGCCCCCTTAGTAGCTGGGATTACAGGCGCACGCCACCACACCTGACTAATTTTTTTGTATTTTTGGTAGAGACAGGGTTTCACTATGTTGGCCAGGCTGGTCTTGAATTCCTGACCTCAATTGATTCGCCCGCCTAGGCCTCTGAAAGTGCTGGGATTACAGGCGTGAGCCACTGTGCCCAGCCTTTTTTTTTTTTTTTTTTTAACACGGAGTCTCATTCTGTTGCCCAGCCCGGCGCGATCCTGGCTCACTGCAACCTCAGCCTCCTGGGTTCAAGTGATTCTCCTGCCTCAGCCTTCCCAGTAGCTGGGATTACAGGCATGCACCAACACGCCCAGATTTTTTTTTTTTTTTTTTTTTTTTTTTTTTTTAGTAGAGACAGGGTTTTACCATGTTAGCCAGGCTAGTCTCGAACTCCTGACCTCACGTGATGTGCGTGCCTCGGCTTCCCAAAGTGCTGGGATTACTGGTGTGAGCCACCACGCCCAGTTTTTTTTGTTTGTTTGGTTTTTTTTGAGACAGAGTCTCACTCTGTCGTCCAGGCTGGAGTGCAGTGATGCTACCTCAGCTGACTGCAAACTCACTGAACCTCTCAGGTTCAAGTGATCCTCCTGCCTCAGCCTCCAGTTCCTGGCTAATTTTTTTAGTTTTCGTATAAACGGGGTTTCATCGTGTTGGCCAGGCTGGTCTGTAATTCCTGGCCTCAAGTAATCCACCCACCTCGGCCTCCCGAAGTGCTGGGATTACAGGCGTGAGCCACTGCGCCTTGTCTGCGCCCAGTTTTTGTTTGTTTTTTAAAGAGACGGGATCTCACTATGTTGCCCAGGCTGATCTTGAAGTCCTGGGCTAAATTTTTGTCACTGTGCCTGGCTAATTTTTGTATTTTTAGTATAAATGGGATTTCACCACATTGGCCAGGCTGGTCTCAAACTCCTGGCCTCGTGATCCACCTTCCTCGGCCTCCCGAAGGGCTGGGATTACAGGCGTGAGCCACCGCGCCTGGTCTGCGCCCAGTTTTTGTTAGTTTTTTACGGAGATGGGATCTCACTGTGTTGCCCAGGCTGGTCTTGAACCGCTGGGCTCAAATCATCCTCCTGCTTCTGCCTCCCAAAGTGCTGGGATTACAGGCTTGAACGACCATGCCTAGCCATAATTATCCAGCTATAAGGTCAGCTGATTAATTCGTCTCTCTATATAATAACATATTCACAGGTTGGGAGATTAAGATGAGAACATCTTTGGAGAGGACATTATTCTGCCTTTTAGAGAGAAGGGCCTAGGACAGGAATTCCCAGTGCTCAGGTTTAAAGGAAATATGATGTTCCCATCATCGGTACATGAACGTGCCCCTTTCTCTGCATTCCTACCAACACTGGATATTTTCCACTTTTGGGACTTTTAGCAGTTGTTGAGCCAGCCCATTTTACAGCGGGGATAATTGAGGTTTAAGGAGGGGAAATTACTTGCCTAAGATCTCATGCAACTTTCTGTTTCCTGACTCCCAGTCAAGTCTGATTCTCCCTTGGTATGGCTTATATGGGAGGATATTTACCTGGTGGCTTGGAAACCACTGAATGACTTTGTATCTTCCATCCATCCATGTATCCGCAGCCCAGCGAATGTATATTGGGAGCCTCAGACATGTGACCAGGGCCTTGTGGGCCAGAGGCAGCCAGGAGACCTTTTTTTTTTTTTTTTTTTTAAGACAGAGTCTCCCTCTGTCACCCAGGCTGGAGTGCAGTGGTGCGATCTTGGTTCACTGCAACCTCTGCCTCCCGAGTTCAAGAGATTCTTCTGCCTTAGCTTCCTGAGTAGCTGGAATTACAGGCGTCCATCACCATGCCTGGCTAATTTTTGTATTTTTAGTAGAGACGGGGTTTCACCATGTTGGCCAGGCTGGTCTCCAACTCCTGACCTCAAGTGATCCACCCACCTCACTCTCCCAAAGTGCTGGGCTTACAGGTGTGAGCCACAGCGCCTAGCCAGTGCTCTTGTCTTTTGAGAGCCCCCTTTTCTCTCACCTGATCTCCCTGCCCCCTATTTTCCCCTTTAGTCTCCTTTCCAGACGCTACTGAGTAGCTTCAGGGTCAGTCTAGAGATGCAATCCAGGTTGGGATCCTTGCTGGGAGAGCCCTTCCTTCCCTGGCTTTGTAACTCAGGGCCTTCTGGTGTGCACACCTGCAGGGTCCAGGCTGGGCCTGTGCTTCTAGCTTCTCTGTGTCTCTCCCTGAGATTGGAATCCTGGCTCTGTCCTCAACTAGCTTGAAGGGGGGCCCCCAGGAATGGCCCCTTCTGGATTTCATACCCTTGTGTAACCTTGTTTCACTTTTTAAAAGATTTTATTTAAAAAGTTTTTTTTTTGTTAGAGACAGGGTCTCACTTTGTTGCCCAGGCTGCTCTCAAACACCTAGCCTCAAGCAGTGCTCCTGCCTCAGCCTCCCAAAACACGCCCGTTCACTTTCTACCAGGGTTGTGTGTGACCAGCAGATGTGTTGGAAGTGATGGTGTGTCACTTCTGAGGTTAGGTCATTAAAGACGCAGCGGCTTCTATCTTGTGTGTGTTCTCTTTTTCTTGGGCCACTCGCTCTGGGGAAAGCCAGCTGCTGGGGCTTGAAAACACACACGCCTGGGAAGAGGCCGCACTGGTGAGGGACGGAGGCCTCCAGCCCACAGCTGTGGGAACGTGGGAATGAACCTTTTAGGAAGTGAATCTTTCGGCCCTGCTCTAGCCTTTAGATGACTCAGTCCTGGCAGCATCTTGATGGCAACTTCACAAGAGAGCCTGAGCCAGACCACCCAGCCTGGCCTCTCCTGGATTCCAGACCCGCAGGAGCCATGAGTTTCTTTGTTGTTTTACACATCAAAGTTTTGAGGCAATTTGTTACACAGCAGTATATAACTAATACACCAGCTGTAGGGCTTTGGGCACGTTCCTTAGCCTCTGCACCCCCGTTTCCTCCCTCGTGCCATGAGCATTGTAGAGGCGAGTGAGGAACACGTAGACGCAGCACAGTGCCACGCACATGAGGCAGCTTTCCAGCCCCTCCCGGGATGGTTGTGGTCATTTTCTTGCCCCTCCCTGGATGGACCGTGACCTCACAACGTCAGGCCAAGTTATTGCATTCTTGGCCTGAGGTCATCCATTGGCCATAGACAGAGGTTCTCGGCAGGAAAGGGTGAGATAAAGAGAGGGGTCAGTCTCTTTCCTCCAGCCCGGGTCGGGAGAACCGTGCTGGGCCAGGTGAGACATCCGCTGTCTGTGCGGTGTCCTGGGATGAGCCACTGGACCTGACCCATGGGGAGATTTGTCTGTGTCGCCAGAGGGCGAGGGGTTTCCTGGTCTAGCTTGCCTTGGGCTTGGCCAAGCATTCTGGCTGCCACTGGGGCCCCCAGGACAACTGAGAACTGTCCTTTCTTCTTTGACCTTCAGCTGCCCCTCTCTCCCCTGTCCCCTGGTGCCTGCTCAGATGCTTTCTTCTTGTGACCCTTGACCCTTGGCCCTTGGCCCCTGCCCCGAGGCTCCTCCACCCTGGGCTCCGTGTTCTAGAGTTCACTGTGTACTAGTTCCTCAAGCTGTTTGTCCTTCACTGCTTCCGATTTTTCTGTGCATTACTCAAGAACTGCATGGGCATGTGTCAGTATAAAAAAAAATAAAGTTGGCCGGGCGCGGTGGCTCACGCTTGTAATCCCAGCACTTTGGGAGGCAGAGGCGGGCGGATCACGAGGTCAGGAGATTGAGACCACGGTGAAACCCTGTCTCTACTAAAAATACAAAAAAATTAGCTGGGCGTGGTGGCGGGCGCCTGTAGTCCCAGCTACTCGGAGAGGCTGAGGCAGGAGAATGGAGTGAACCCGGGAGGCGGAGCTTGCAGTGAGCCGAGATCGCGCCACTGCACTCCAGCCTGGGCGACAGAGACTCTGTCTCAAAAAAAAATAAAGTTGGCCGGGCGTGGTGACTCACACCTGTAATCCCAGCACTTTGGGAGGCGGAGACAGACAGATCACTGGAGTTGGAGACCAGCCCCTGGCCAACATGGTGAAACCCTGTCTCTACAAAAAAATACAAACATTTGCCTGTGTGTGGTGGCACATGCCTGTAGTCCCAGCTACTCGGGAGGCTGAGGCAGGAGAATCGCTTCAACCCGGGAGGCGGAGGTTGCAGTGAGCAGAGATCGAGCCACTGCACTCCAGCCTGGGCAACAGAGCAAATTTCCATCTCAAAAAAACCAAAAACCCAAAACAAAAAAACACAAAAAAACATTATCGACATTAACAACTACAAGGCGCCCGGCTAATTGTATATTTTTAGTAGAGACAGGGTTTCTCCATGTTGGCAGGCTGGCCTCGAACTCCTCACCTCAAGTGATCCGCCCGCCTCGACCTCCGCCTCCCAAAGTGAGCCACCGTGCCCGGCCGTGAATGTGACTTGATAGCCCAGATTTCCTTCCGTGAACGCTTGTTAGTTGTGAAACTAGCAAAGTTGCGCCTCTGAGTTTACGCAGAGCCGGCTCCGGAATCCGAGTTCCGGGTTCGAGCACAGCTCCGCCGCTACCTCGGGCGTGACCTTGGCCGGAGCCTGGTCCCCTCTGAGCCTCAGTTTCCCGGTCTGGGATGCCGGAATGACAGCTCGCCCCCTGCCCCGCCCAGCCCCGCCCAGCCCCGCCCCGCAGGCCCTGGGATTGGTTCGCGCGAGGTCCCCCTCCCCAGGCGGGGTCGGGCCTCTCCCGCCCGCCAGGCCCCAACCCGGAAATGCAGCTGGAGCGGAGGCGGAGCCCACTAAGGCCGCGGCGGAGCGACGATGGGCGCGGCCAATGGGCGCGGGCGTCGGCTGCGGCGCGACGGAAGTCCTGCCCGGCGCCGCGCGGGGGCGGGGCGGCGCCGGGGGCGGGGGGCGGCGGGCGACGGGGCGGGCGCAGGATGAGGGCGGCCATTGCTGGGGCTCCGCTTCGGGGAGGAGGACGCTGAGGAGGCGCCGAGCCGCGCAGCGCTGCGGGGGAGGCGCCCGCGCCGACGCGGGGCCCATGGCCAGGACCACCAGCCAGCTGGTGAGCGCGCGGCGGCGGACTGGACGCGCCGGTTTGTTACCCTGCCGGGTCCGGCGGCCGCCCGGGTCCGGCGAGGCGGGGCGGCCCGGGGTCCCGAGGGCCGGGTGCCTCCTTACCTGCAGCCGGGCGGCCGGGCCGGGGATGGCGGGCGCCGGCCGAGGGCGCTGCTTGGCTGCGGCGGGGAGACCGGGCCTGGGTTGCGGCGGGCGGCGGCCTGGCCGGGGGCGCTGACAGACGCGCGGAGGGCGGGGGAGGCCGGGAGGTGTCACCCGGCCCAGCGGGGTGGAAGTGCCTGGAAAGTTTGTTTTCGGCTTGGCGCAGCCTGGAGCCGAGCCTCCAGGGTTACCTTTCGGTTCTGTCTGTAGAGGAACCGCCCTGGGCTTCCACCTGGAACGGGGTCCTTGGCGCCTCCGCCTGCGAGAGAAGCAGAAGGTGCAAGTTCTTGCTGAAAGCACCTGATGCTCCTGGGCCCCCTTTTCCAGATTCTTGATGACAGTGGTCGGGAAAACTCGCCTTTCACGGCCCGGCCAAGGGGCATTTGGGTGCTTTTGCTGCCCGTGGCTGTGCTCAGCGTTGTGGGAAGCCCCTGGGAGGCCGAATGTGCAGGATCACCGAGGGGAAAGTGAGCTTGACAGGTAGGAGGGATTTTAGGGGAAGGACCAAAACAAACCACTTGTTGGGTGAAATGTTTTGCTAAAAGTGTCGCTGGTGTTTCTATATTTTCTCTCTATCGCTAAAAGTATCCCTCGTGTTTTTATGTTTTCCATATGCTAAGTTCTACAGTCTGGGGACGACGGTTTAAAAATTTATGCCTTGTATGCGATGTGCAGTGGGTGATGGAAGAACGTCTACATGGCTTTAACATTTGATTTAAAAGGCAAATATTTTAAATGAAGGAAAACCCAAGAAATTTAATTGATCCCGTGTCTTCCAGGATGCGGCTTTTTTTTTTTTTTTTTTTTGATGGAGTCTCCCTCTCGACGCGCAGGCTGGAGTGCAGTGATGCGATCTCAGCTCACTGCAACCTCCATCTCCCGGGTTCAAGCGATTCTCCTGCCACAGCCTCCTGAGTAGCTGGGATTACAGGCGTATGCCACCATGCCCGGCTAATTTTTGTATTTTTAGTAGAGAAGGTGTTTCGCCATGTTGGCCAGGCTGGTCTGGAACTCCTGACCTCAAGTGATCTGCCCGCCTCGTCCTCCCAAAGTGCTAGGATTACAGGCGTGAGCCACCACGCCCGGCAGATGTGGCTTTTTGATAGGCGTTCTTGATCTTTTTTTTTGTGGGGCGGGGAGTGGGGGGTTGTGAGTCTGTTTGAGAACCTGAGGAAAGGTATGGGCCCTCTTCTGAGAAAAAGGCAGAGTGACGCTGAATTTTGTAACTACGTCAGGAGGCTCTTGAACTTTCTGCAGCTCACTCGTGGACTTTGTAGAGATGCGTGTTAAGGAAGAAGGTTCAGCTGAGAAAAATGTTGAAGGGATGCCTTTCGCTATTTCGACATGTGTGGCTGTACACCAGAGTGGCCCGGGTAACATAAAAACATGAATTAGGCGGATTGGCCAGGCTCAGTGGAGGCTGGGGCCGAGAGTTATGTCGAAGTTTGTGAGGTTAACCTGCACCCAGTGACAGTCATGGCGAAATTTGTGAGGTTAACTCGCACCCAGTAACGCTGTTCCAATGCAAGGTGTGTATTTGGTGTCATCCACGGGAAGAGGAAAGAGCAAATTTTCTCATGGCCTTGGCAGTTCCACATGATGGACATTTCATATCTGCAGTTTTCTTCGCATGAGATGGCTTTTTTGCACAAAAACACTGGAATCCAGTGAGCAAGAATGATAGAATGCAAGATGGATTTCCACATGAGGAAGTGTCACGAACGAGCGTTTTGCATCTGTCAGCTGGATTCCCCCATGTGTACGTATGTGAGAACATGCCGTGTTTCCTGTCTGTAATGGTAGAGGCAGCCCTGATCCTGGATTTTCACCTGAGGATGGATAGATCTTCAGGGTTCAAGTGGGTTTGCATCTGGACTTTAGGGTGGCCCTGTAGGCCCTGTGTGAGAAGCCCCCTTCCCAGTGAACTTTCCCTTGTGTGTCCGCGTGGACAGCCAACAGGGGGAGCAGTGCGAGCGTGAAGGCAGACAGTGGCCTGGCCCAGTCTGATGCTAAGTGGGCCAGAGGCAGTGAGTACCATTTCTTGATCTGACTACTCAAGACAGGCGCTTCCCTAGGTACTTTCACACCTCATTGCGAGGTAGGTGTTGTTCCCATTTTACGGGTGCAGAAGCTGAGCTGCAGAGGCGTTAGGTACCTGCCTCATAAGTGGTAGAGACTCCAGTGTCACCCTGCCCCTCACGTTCGGAGCCCCTGAGGGAGGGTCTGCCGGGCAGCTCAGCCCAGCACTCTGTAAGGAAATCTTCAGTGCCACTGCCCAGGATGTCTTCCCAGGGATTGGGCCTGAATGTCTTGACCATGCCGTGCTGGAGGTAGGAGGGGTGTCTTCATATGGAAGAACTGTACATATTTCTTTGGCAGATGGCTGAACTCTGTGACCCCGGGGCCTGTTTCAGCCTCCTGCTGTCAGAAAGCAGCTGTTTGGGAAGAGGCTGTGATTCGGCCTTGTTTGAGGGCCGATACTCTGAATGGGTGAGGCTTGAAATCCTCCCTTTGGAACAAAGAAACATGTAATGATTTTGCTGAAGGTAGAATTGGGGGACTAGGCAGAGTGGCCTCCTGCCCTCCCTAGGGTGGTTCTGTCTTTTGCAAAGGTGGCTGCATCCTTAGGGGAAGGTGAGGGGAGAAGCAGGGAGCATGGAGAGAAGTGGCTTTCGATTTTCTCTCTCCTTTTGGGGAGTTCCTCCTTATGTGGCTGGTCTGGTGCATAGTGTGATGTATTCCTGTACGCAACGTTGCCCTGACAGCCAGTCCAAGCTGAGTCTAGAGCTGGCAAGGTGAGCTCCCAGTGGTAAGAGGGAAGTGGTTTGTTCTGCTTTTCTGAGATGTGTTCTTATGAGAAGGATCCAGCAGCAGCCTGCAGAGATGTGGGGCCTGAAAAGAGGCCTTGGGCAGCTCTTCTTGACAGGTCTTGGCCCTCTAGACTGCCTTCAGCACAGTTTTGGGGAGAAACAGGGAGTGTTCCTTTTTCAGTCTATGCACTCATCCCCTGAGCCGCCTGACCCAGGGTTTAGATGCTCCAGGGCAGCTGATTGACACCGGTGGGAGACGGAGTCTGGCAAGCAGGTGATGAACTGGGAAGCGCTGCAGAAATGAGGGGGCAAGCGTGGCCAGTCCCTTCTGAGAGGATGTGTTTGGAAGAGAGTGGGCACTGGCGTGGCACTTTCCCCTTCTGAGGAAATGGACAGGATGCCACGTGGTGCTGCAGTTCTGTGTGGGGCAGGTTGTGGCTGCAGAGAAGCCCTGGGTGCAGAAACAGTCCCCCAAGCAGGTGCGAGGGCCAGGGTGCTCTATGCTGCTCCACACCTGCTGTGCGATGACATGTGGCCACTGGGCTGCCCAGCACAGTTGTTTAGAAAGCAGGTTCAAAGGGCAGTGTGCTGGGAGGAAGTGCTGCTGTGGAAACTGCAAGTTTTGGACATGAGTTGCTCAGGTCTTTTCAGCCGTGCATTCTTCTACAGCAGAATTGCATTATTCACTTGCTCAGTGTGATACCATGTCCTTTAAAAAATTATTTGAATATTGAGAACAGGTTGTATGTTCCGTCTCTAGCTGCTAGATCACAGGCAGGGCACATCTTCTCAAAGAGTAACAAGGCATGGGTTGTGTGTGTTCTCTTCTCTTAGTGAGGAGAAAGGCCTGTTTGGGTTCATGATGATTGTTGGGGTCTCTTTTCTGTACCTGATGTTGGTTGCACAAAGTCCGTTTCCATTCTCTTAGTCTAGACAATTTTCCTGATATTTAAACTGGAATTTTTGCTCCAAGAAATTCCAGGTCATTTAGAATGTGTTAAGATTGAGTTTCTGGGCTACACATCCCTTATAAGAGCACCTGATTCTGGTTTCTGTTTGTTTATTTATTTATTTTTTCGAGACAGTCTCGTTCTGTCACGCAGGCTGGAGTACAGTGGCATGATTTTGGCTCACTGCAACCTCCGCCTCATGGGTTCAAGTGATTCTCGTGCCTCAGGCTCCCAAGTAGCTGGGATTACAGGTGCGCACCACCTACATTATTTATTTATTTAATTTATTTATTGAGATGAGGTCTCACTATGTTGCCCAGGCTACTCAAACTTCTGGTCTCAAGGGATCCTCCCGCCTCGGCCTCCCAAAGTGCTGGGATTACAGGCATGAGCCGCCGCACCCAGCCTGGTTTCTGTTTAAAGAGTTGGATTATACAGGGACCCACAGAATTGGGAACTGACAGTACTGTAGAGCCTGTGTATGAAAAAGATGGACAAGCCTGACATTAGCAGCTCACTGTTGAGCACACGGCCCCCTGCAGAATAAACAAGTGTGTGGTTTCCATCTGATGAAGGTGGGCATGTAGTTCCTGGACAGTCCAGTGACTTCCGTCATTCCACAGACAAGATCAGATGCCCTCTCTACCAGCCACCGTGCTGGGACCGGCCCAATCTGTGTTTCAAGTCAGCTTGTAGCACGCAGGGATTCGAAATATTTAAAGATGAGGTTTGAAGGTAGGTCTGGAGACCAAGGACGTTAGTTCTGGAGGTCCCCGTCTCCTGCGTGTTTGCGGAGCTGGTGACAGTGCCCTCTCCCCGTGCTGGAGAGGGCTGAGGAGAGGCTGTGTGTCTCAGCAGGATGCCAGTCAGGATTCTTCTGGCTATGGGCTTATTTTTTGCAATAAATTCATCGTTAAAGTCCCATTCTTTAACCTGTTTTTTCCCTTTTGGAATTAATTCGACTGCAGTAGGAAGGGGTTGTAGCTGAAAGTGACCGCTGTGCATTGAATGCCATCAGAAAAGGCTGATGAGATTTGCAGGGAAGACTTGAAGCCTCACTGAAATGCGCCTGGCGTGTGTTGACCTTTGCAGTGGAACATGTGGGAAAGGGGCCCGCACTCACTTTTCAGTTCTGCCTCGGTGATTCCAGGAGCCCCGGGGTTGGGAGCGGGGACAGGACCTTGCTCCTGAGTCTTAGGTGTGGTGTCTCTCGCCCCTTGCTGCATTGGCGGGACCCTCGGTGCCGCGGCCTCAGTTGCAGGGCGGCCAGGGCTGCTCCGTGAAGGAGGCGCTCACTCCATGGAGCTGCAGGACGCTGCATTCTCCTCACTCTGGCCATTGCCGCTGTCCTTCCTGCTTCCCCTTTTCTGGTGAGGGAGGGCTCCAAGGACTTGCTGGCTGGTCCCCAGATGCCAGCACTCCTGCATCTTCCCCTCCTCTCCTGGCCTGTCACTTTGTTCCTCCTCTGTGAGGGGCCCAGGCTCGGATGCCCGGCCACGGCCTCTCTTTCCAGCCTGTGCGGCCCAGGTGGGTCCAGGATGTTCCCTGCTGCCCTGTTCTCAGCAGTTCTTGTCTTCTTCAGGCTTTTCCTCCTTGCCTAGAGAAATTTCCCTACATGGAAACCCCTGTGGCTGTACAGTCTTTTCTGACCAGTCTGCTGGGTTTTTTGTTATTTGTTTTTTGTTTTTGAGACAGAATCTTGCTCTGTCGCCCAGGCTGGAGTGCAGTGGCACGATCTCGGCTCACCGCAACCTCCGTCTTTCAGGTTGAAGCAATTCTCCTACTTCAGCCTCCTGAGTAGCTGGGATTACAGGCACGTGCCACCGCACCCGGCTAATTTTTTTTTTTTTTTTTTGTAATTTTAGTAGAGACCGGGTTTTGCCATGTTGGCCAGGCTGGTCTCGAGCTCCTGACCTCAGGTGATCCGCCCACCTCGGCCCCCCAAAGTGGTGGGATTACAGGCGTGAGCCACCGTGCCCGGCCTGCTTTACTATATTCTTTAGGGAATCATGACAATAAAAAAAAGTCTGTGCATGTTCAGTACAGATGCAATTTCTTGTTTTTCTAATATTTTCTATCCACTGTTGGTTGAATCCATGCATGTGGAGTCAACCTATGGTTGGGGATGGCAGACTGTATGTACTCTCCTGATAGGTGGTTACAAAGTGTTTCTACCTGAAGAGACCTGGTTGCAAAGCAGCATGCCCAGTATAACTTTCCTCAGGCCCAGGGAAAAGCTTGGAGGGAGGTTCCCACAGAAATATTAGCAGTGGTTTCCTGGGCCAGTGGGATGAGGACCACACATTGAGCTAGCAGTGGAGAAACAGTGGTGAATAAGGTAGGTCTGGCTCTGTCTCCTGGAACTTACTGGACTGAGGATGAACCTTTCTCCACTAATTTTTGTTCTGAAAAATTTCAAAACCGAAGAATAGTTGAAAGCATAGTACAATGAATATCCCTAGCCTTTTCACCTGGATTCTACCAGTTGTTAACCTTTTCCATATTTGCTTGTATACATTACCCCCTCACCTCCCCCAAATTTTTTTTTTTGAGACGGAGTCTCGCTCTGTCGCCCAAGTTGGAGTGCAGTGGCGCGATCTCGGCTCACTGCAAGCTCCGCCTCCTGGGTTCACACCATTCTCCTGCCTCAGCCTCCCAAGTAGCTGGGACCACAGGCGCCTGCCACCATGCCCGGCTAATTTTTTTGTATTTTTAGTAGAGACGGGGTTTCACCCTGTTAGCTAGGATGGAATTGATCTCCTGACCTCGTGATCCGCCCACCTCGGCCTCCCAAAGTGCTGGGATTTACAGGCATGAGCCACCACACCTGGCCCAAAATTTTTTTCTATTATTTTTATTATTTGAAAGTAAGTCACACACATGATAGCATTTCACCCCAGAATCCTTCTCCAGATGCCTTCTGAGCTCAGAAGCTGTCACCTGTACAACCTCTTCATCATCACATCCGAGATAGCATTAACATTGCATTTTTTTTTTTTTTTTGAGATGGAATCTCGTGCTGTTGCCCAGGCTGGAGTGCAGTAGTGCGATCTTGGCTCACTGCAACCTCCGCCTTCTGGGTTCAAGTGATTCTCCTGCCTCTGCCTCCCAAGTAGCTGGGACTTACAGGTGTGTACCACCAGTCGTGGCTAATTTTTGCATTTTTAGTAGAGGTGGAATTTTATTGTAACGTGGCATTTTCTAATGCAAAGGTGACGTGCAGCCTTCCTCAGTGGTCACCTGTCCTCCTCAAAGCTCTTTCTTGTTCTTCTTTCTTTCTCTCTCTTTTTTTTTTTTAGAGACAGAGTTTTGCTCTGTTGCCCAAACTAGAATGCAGTGGCATGATCATAGCTCACTGCAGCCTTGAACTCCCTTGGGCTCAAGCCATCCTCCAGCCTTAGCCTCCTGAGTAGCTGGGACTATAGGCCTGTGCCACCACACCTGGCTAATTTTTTTTGTTTGAGACGGAGTCTGGCTCTGTTCCCCAGGCTGGAGTGCAGTGGTGTGATGTCGGCTCACTGTAACCTCCGCCTCCTGGGTTCAAGCAATTCTCCTGCTTCAGCTTCATGAGTAGCTAGGATTACAGGCGCCCACCGCCACACTCGGCTAATTTTTATATTTTCAGTAGAGACGGCGTTTTACCATCTTGGCTAGGCTGGTCGCGAACTCCTAATGTCATGATTCACCCGCCTTGGCCTCCCAAAGCGTGAGATTACAGGCGTAAGCCACCATGCCCAGCACTGGCTAATTATAATTTTTAAAATTTTTTGTACAGATGGGGTCTCGCTTTGTTGCCCAGGCTGGTCTTGGACTGGGTTAAAGTGATCCTACCACCTGCTCCTCCCAAAATGCTGGGAATACAGGCATGAGCTACAGCAACCTGGCCAGCATTTCTTAAAATATGAGGGTAGTTGTCTCGTATTTTATATAAATACAGGATTCACAATCTGGATTTGTCTCATTGTTTCCTTGTTAGATTAGGTTCAGGCTAAGTATTTATGGCAAGAATACTGCTTAGGAGATGATGAGCTAAAGGTAACTTTTTTTTTCAAGATGGAGTCTCACTCTGTCACCCAGGCTGGAGTGCAGTGGCGCGATCTCGGCTCACTGCAACCTCTGCCACCCGGGTTCAAGCGATTCTCCTGCCTCAGCCTCCTGAGTAGCTGTGATTACAAGTGCCTACCACTGCGCCCGGCTAATTTTTGTGTTTTTAGTAGAGACGGGGTTTCACCATCTTGGTTAGGCTAATCTTGAACTCCTGACCTCGTGATCTACCCACCTCAGCCTCCCAAAGTGCTTTGAGACAGAGTCTCGCTCTGTCGCCCAGTCTGGAGTGCAGTGGCGCGATCTCGGCTCACTGCAATCTCCACCTCCCCGGTTCAAGCGATTCTCCTGCCTCAGCCTCATGAGTAGCTGGGATTACAGGCTCCTGCCACCATGCTGGGCTAATTTGTGTATTTTTAGTAGAGATGGGGTTTCACCATGTTGGCCAGGCTGGTCTTGAACTCCTGACCTCAAGCCATCTGCCTTGGCCTCCCAAAGTGCTGGGATTACAGGTGTGAACCACCGTGCCCGGCCTTCCTTAGTGGCCCTTCTAACCTTAAGCTGCTTTTCCTTCCTGACAGCGGGGCCCTACTCTCCTGGTCTCTTTCCTGCTTGGGCAAGGTGCCATGAGGCTTTTCCTAGGCCTTGACTTTGCTGTAGCTTCTAAGGTGTCCTGTGGCGGCAAAAGGGACGTGTGCTCTGTGGGTGGGTGCAGCCACCTGTAGAGCTGCAGCTATATCCGCAGGATGGTTGTGTGACTGATGGTCCTTGGGGAGCCCAGCAGTGAGGATCTCAGCAGCCCACCTGTCTCAGAGTCCCCGCTGTGCACCCAGGCCCAGGGCTCAGTGAGTGAGAGCTCTCCGACCTCGGTGGGGGCGGGGCTAATTGACCTTCAGACCCACCGTGTGCCAGTGCTGGCTGGCACACAGCACTGCTTGGACTTCCCCTGTGGGAAAGGATGGGGACAGATCAGTCTTTGGAAGAATGGAGCGCTGGCTTTGCTCAGCCCTGTTCTTGGGAAGGTTTGATCTGGAGAGCCGCAGCAGCCAGACCCTGGGGAGGCAGGTTAGTGAGCAGGCTCCCAACTTACGAGCTAGGAAGGCTGACGGCTGCTCATTTCCCCCCATGTGGACCTCATCAGGGGGTCCTTCCTGAGGGCGAGCGCTAGGTTCGTCTGCGTTTCTCTCTCCCAGTTGGGCCTGACTCTGGACGCCAGGCTGAGGGAGTACACAGCTCCTTCAGAGCACGGGCTCAGACGCTCAGATGCTCGGAGCGCTTCCGGCTGCTTTTCCATGGGTAACTCACATGTTCTTCCTGCAGGCTGGCATTTGTCTTTCATGGCTTTTTTCCATCGGTCAGAATTACAGTCTTTTGATTGTATGTACGTACCTGGTTATTATCAGATATCTAGTTTAAAATGTGCATCTGAATATAGATTTTCTTGGTGAACGCATTGCGTTCTCATTCCGTAAAAAGTCGGAAGCTCAAAATGATGCTTAAAAAAAAATCTTAGCAAGCTCTCCTGTGCAGATGCTGCTGGCGCTGAGCTTTGTGCCTGGGGCAGAAAGGGTGAGGACGGCCCCGGTTGGTTTAGGAAAAGTGGTTATGAACAGAACGGGCCCCATGCTCCTGGCCTGAGGAAATGTTGTGTGAAAAAGATGGCTTCTACAGCTTGAAGGGGGACGGTCCACCTGATGCTCCTGTCCCTCTCTGAGCCCCAGGGGCAGAAGGGAAACAGTCAATAGCACGGCCGTTGCAGATGGTGCCCATAGAGGGAGGGTAGTTAGTGTCTGAGCAGGAGAGGGTGACCGGCCTTTGTGGGGCTGCTTCAGAGAGCCGGGCAGAGTCTGGGCCCCAACGTGGACTAGCAGGGGAGGAGCTCTCCTGGCTGGGGTGGCGACTCGGGGAGGTCTGGGTTGCCTGAGCAGGGAATCGGCCTCCAGTGGGGGAGGTTCTGAGTGGGACGCGCTCTTCGTGTGGGCCTGGAGGACCTCTAGGCGGCCTGCACTCGCCTGATACAGCTGGCTTCTGCTGGGAGGCTGGGTTTGCATCCAAACTCTGAGACCTTTTGGACAAAACATGCCAAAGAAGTTGGTGGTAGTAAGAAATTCATACTAAACTTGTTCTGTTAGGGTTTTTTTCCTTCCAGGTATATTATTTCCCTTCAGTAGCCCTACATTTTAAAAGTTAACGTTCAGCGTTGAGTCAGGGTCAGGTTTTGAATGACACAGGATGTTTTCAGATCCTGAGTTTACCTGAAGCTCTCAAAGTAGCCTCCTAACAAAAATTATTGAAAACATCAACTATTTTGGAATACTTTTAGGTATGTAGAAAAATTGCAGACGACACAGAATTTCCATAATTTCCCCCAGCCAGCTTCCCCTAATGCCATGACATGACCGTGATACCTCTGTCACTCTGTCGAAACTGAGGTGTTCGCGCTGGCACCACACTACTCACCGAGCGACAGGCCTGTTTTGGATTTTATCAGTTTTCCTCCTGATGTCCTTGCTGTCCCAGGACCCCGCCCCGGTGCCACATCGCATCGCGTTGTCCTGTCTCATTCGCCCCCTCTGGTGTAGGATAGCTGCCGTCCTTCCTTGTTTGTCATCAGCTTGGTACTTTTGAGGAGTCCTGGTCAGGTATTTTGCAGAATGTGCCTTCATTTGGGTTTGTTTGATGTCTTGTGGTTGGACAGGTTGTGGGGTTAGGAAGAATCCCACAGAGATGAGGTGCCCTTAGTGCGTCGTATTGGGGTACAGGACATCCACGTGACTCATCGCTGGTGACGTTCAACAAAATTACTTACAAAACTTTTAAAAAATTATTATTGTTTGCTTTAGAGATGAGCTCTCGCTCTGTCATCCAGGCTGGAGTGCAGTGGTGGGATCATAGCTCACTGCAGTCTCCAACTCCTGGGCTCAAGCGACCCCCCCACCTCAGCCTCCTGAGTAGCTGGGGCTACAGGTACGTGCCACTGTGTCTGGCAAAATTAGTTTTACTTTACCAAAAGGAAGCACATAGGCCTGCTCTGCTCTCTGCTACTTGGGGGTTTTGTGTCATAGATTGTAGGACACTGGTGGTAATTTAATTTCAGAAGGGACCTTCTTGCTCACCCAGTTGGATCCTTCCAGTTTCTAGATGAAGACACTTGGGACCTGGAGGCCTTCTGACTTTTGGGTCAGAGCTGGCATGGAGTCCAGGCACCTGCTTTCTGCAGGCATGCATGCTCCTGGGACACTCTGCAGGGACAGAGCCATCCCCAGCAAGGCAGACTGACAGGGCTGGTTTCCAGTCGGGTGGGGCCGCATCCCTCCAGGGGATGTGAGGCAGGTTTGAGATGAGTCTGCTCCCCTTCTGCCTGCTGCTCCTGTCTTTTTTTTTCTTTTTCTTTTTCTTTTCTTTTTTTTTTTTTGAGACGGAGTCTCGCTCTGTTTCCAAGGCTGGAGTGCAGTGGCGCGATCTCAGCTCACTGCAACCTCTGCCTCCCAGGTTCAAGTGGTACTCCTGCCTCAGCCTCCCAAGTAGCTGAGACTACAGGCATGCGCCCCCACACCTGGCTTATTTTGCGTTTTTAGTAGAGACAGGGTTTCTCCATGTTGGTCAGGCTGGTCTCCAATTCCTGACCTCAGGTGATCCTCCCAAAGTGCTGGGATCACAGGCGTGAGCCACCGCAACTGGCCTAGGAGTAACTTCTTAATGAATATTTTAATAATATAAATCTTAGTCTGAATTTCTGACTGTGTCGCCTAGATGCCATGTAGGGGAATGGGCAGGTCAGAGGGTGTGGCCTGCGGTGTGGCGAGGCACTGAGGATTAGGTGCTGCAGTTTTCCTCCGGCCCCTCCTGGTTCCCTGGTGAACACACATCAGCCTCAGATGGGCGACCCCCTACTCATGGGAGGGCTGGGAGTGTGGGCCTTGTAGTTGGATTCTGCTTCAGAATTGCGTGTGACCTCACTGTGGAGTGTTTGACTGGACAAAAGCCTGCTGTATACTCAGTGTCCCCATCTGTAGAAAGGATGCCGATGGTACCCACCCCCAGAGTTGTTTTGAGGACTAACCACGATAATACATGTAAAATGCTCAGAAGAATGTGTGGCAAACAGCAAGCACTTAATAAATTTTTTTTTTTAGTAGAGAAAAATGGCATTTTATTTATTTTAAACAACAGCATTTAAAGTTATACCTATAAGGGGCACACAGAAGATATATGGAGAGTTTAAAGAATGAAAATAAACTCACACGTGCCCACCACCCTACTTGAAAAACAGGATTTTACCAGAAGGCTCGAGTGGCCCTCCAGATTGTAGTTTCTGGCCCCTCCCGTTCAGAGGTAACTGGCATCCTGGTTTTCATGTTGATCAGTGGTGTTTAAAGTACACCTGTAGGAAGTTCCAAAGTGCAGGAAGGGAACAAAGCCTCCTTGCAGAGAAATCTTGTACTTTGGTGTTTCATCATCTGTTTGTGTGACAAATATACAACGTTAATGTTGAAGATGTGGGTTAGTGAAATTGAGACCTGGCGCTTCCTGAGGCTGGCAGCCCGGTTGAGCCTGAGGACCAGACTTGAGGCAGTTGGCAGTCCGCGCCTCGTTGCCCTCTGTCTGCCCTGGGTAAGTGAGAGGCTCCTTGGGAGGCCAGTGGAGATGGCTGTGGGAGGACAGATTGAGTAGCTGTCCTTGGAGCTGCTCCTCCCTCCCTTCGTGGAGAAATAGAAACAGCTTTCCTCCGGCCCTCACCTGTTGCCAGGGCTCCACGCTGGTGGGGGCGAGCTGCGTTTTGCTGAGTTGCACCGTGGGAGAGCGTTGGTGACCACTTGCCTGCTGTGGGCCAGCTCCCCGTGGCCAAGGACCAGCGTGGGCAGGGCCTTCGGGCACGGGTTGCTGGTACGAGCACACCGAGAATCCCCTCCGCCATAGGGCCTGCCCTGTGAGCTGCCCACCAGATTCCACGGAGTGCTTCACACTCCTGTCTGGTGTGGGTCCCGCAGCCCTTGTGGGTGGGCCCATGTCATTAGCCTCATTTTAGAGAAGAGTCTTGATGGGTCGGAGAGCGGTGGCTTACCCACAGGTAAGCTGTAAATCTGGAACTCAACTGGGGCATTGGTTTTGCTAGTCCACCACAGTTGTCCTTGGTGGTGGCAGCCTGAGGGGTAGGGGAAGGTGGCGGCTGTCCCTCCCTAACACCCCCTTCCTCCACCTGGTTTTCTGTGCTGGGCCTAGCTTTGTGGAGTTTTCTGAGGTGAGAGGAGGTTTTTACCAGAATGTTCTTTGCCAGTGAGCACAGCTGACCTGAGGGCAGGATCCCTTTGGAGATGAGCTAGGTGGATTGTGGCAGCCTCCCACAACTTTGGTCCGGGGGCCTGGAGAGAGCAGTTCCTGCTTGCCGCGTGTGAGAGTGTGCGGGCGCTGGCTCTACCTGTCGCACTGCATTCCCAGGCTCCAGAGCACACACTGCCATTTAAAGGTAGCTTAGCTTTCTGTTCGGGATCCTTTCTCTTGCTGGCTGAAGTGTTCATCTGCGTGACAGCATCTTGACCATAGGAGGCGCCCTGATTTCCATCTTTTTTTTTTTTTTTTTTTGTTTTTAGACGGAGTTTCGCTTTTTTTACCCAGGCTGGAATGCGGTGACGCAATCTCTGCTCACTGCAACCTCCGCCTCCTGGGTTCAAGCGATTCTCCTACCTCAGCCTCCCGAGTAGCTGGGATTATAGCTGCACACCACCACACCCAGCTAATGTTTGTATCTTTAGTAGAGACGGGGTTTCAACTATTGGCCAGGCTGGTCTCAAACTCCTGATCTCAGATGATGCGCCTGCCTCGGCCTCCCAAAGTGCTGGGATTATAGGCATGAGCCACTGTGCCCGGCAAAGAGAGTATCTACTTTTTTTTTTCTTTAAAAAAAGATGGGGTTCTTAAAAAGAGATGGGGTCTCACTGTGTTGCCCAGGCTAGTGTTGAACTCCTGGCCTCAGGTGATTCTCCTGCCTCAGCCTCACAGGTAGCTAGGACTATAGGCACACGCCACTATGCCTGGCTACTTTTTATATATTTTTTTGTAGAGATGGGGTTTCACTATATTGCACAGACTGGTCTTGGACTCCTGGACTCAAGCCATCCTCCCACTTCGGCCTCTGGAAGTGCTGGGATTACAGGCATGAGCCACTGCACCCTGCCTGGTTTCTACTTCTAAGAGATGGAGACTGCTGAACTTCATACCCAGACAAGTTAAAGAAATTGAAACTCTAAGTTCTTATATACATATTTTATGAAACAAAATTCTCAGAAAATGCCCAGTTTACCCATGGGCTACATTTTTACAAGTTCCAATTTGTTTAAAACTCAGGGTTTGTTTTCCTATCAGAGGTGTGGTTGGGGGCTCGGGCTGGGGCTGGCTGAAACCTGAGTGCCTGCTGTGGAAAGTAGCAACAGGACCAGCACCTGGTGGTCCCATCTGCCTGTGGGAATAAGTAGGGGGCAGTGACTCGTCATTGAGTGGCGCGGGGGGATGTGAGAGCCCCTCTTCCAGGGACTTGGGGGATGGCACCTGGTAGCTTTAAGGACCTAACCTGTTGATGGTGCTTATTCTCCCAGCCACATTCTGTTGAGAACATTGGCCTTTCCCTGTTCTCAGTAGACCTGTGCCGTGGCACGTCTTTCACATTTCTCAGCACTGATGAAGTCACAGAAGCTTGTCTCGACAGTGCAGTAGAAGGTAGAAGAGGACAGAGGGGGTCCTGTCCTGAGTGGGGAGATTGATTGATTGCCAGGACTGAGAAGGGGGTGTGGAAAGACGTGGTTGGCAGGAGGCTCCTGGTGGGAAAGAAGCCGCACTGACCTGGGCAGGCCTTGGTCATGAGGAAGGAGCCCCAGGGAGCCAGCGTGCGAGGCTGCTGGCGAGGCAGGCCACAGCTCCCCGCCTTCCCTTGGGGGTGGTACGTGCACCTGTGTGTGTGTAGCAAAGCCCAGTGATCAGGTCATAACCAGGGAGTGGGGGGCTTGCATGGTGACCCCACACCTGTGAGGTGGGCACTGGTGTTTTTGGTGGACTTCTCTTGTGAGGAGCTTTTTTTTTTAAAAAAAAAAAAGAAAAAAAAAGAAAAGAGAGCCTTGCTCTGTTGCCCAGACTGGAGTACAGGGTCTCGGTGATAGTTCACCACAACCTTGAACTCCCAGCCCAAGTGATCCTCCCACCTCAGCTGGAAGTGGAACCACAGGTGCACACCACCGTGCCTGGCTCTTTTTTTTTTTTTTTTTAATTTCTTTTTTAAAAAGAGACAAGGTTTTGTTCTGTCACCCCTGCTGGAGTGCAGTGCTATGACCACGGCTCACTGCAGCCTCAGCCTCCTGGGCTCAAGTAATTCTCCCACTTCAGCTGGGATTACAGGTGTGCGCCACCACAGCCAGCAGATTTTTTTTTTTTTTATTAGATGTGAGGTCTCGCCATGTTACCCAGGCTGGTCTCCCAACACCTGGGCTCAAGCAGTTCTCCTGCCTTGGCCTCCCAAAATGGGAGATTACAGGCATGAGCCACCACGCCTAGCCCATTTCATTAGGGAGGACAAGGATAGTAGACAGGTGCACCTAGGGTCTTATTACTGTAAATTGTTCCAGAGATTTAAATTTCAGAAGCTGTTGAGTAACTGGAAGTGTTGACTTACTACAATTTGGGGTCACCAAGTGGGTGGCAGATGGATTGGGCTGTGCAGGGGCTGAAGGACTCACCCGCAGGCCCAGAGTCGCTGGCCTCCCTGAGGCTGTGCTGCCTCCATGGGACTGAGTGCTGGGACGGGGCGTTTTGGGAGCCTGGCAGGACCCTACCCTGCACGTGGGCCCTGGCCGTGCGTTTCCTCCAGATCGTGGCAGGCGGTCTCGGGATGCTGTTAATGCAGTTGAATCACCACCTCAAAATGCTACAAAATCTACCCTTTACAACAATAGTAGTACAAATAAACGTTTAGACACTTCACGCTCAAAGAGGGCTTTTGCTCGGGCTTTTTATTTCACAATTGATGCTTAAAAGTGCTTTTAAAGGCAATATTGCAACTACATTTATTTATTTATTTATTTGCTGCAGAAATGAAGTTATTTATTAAAACACACCCATGGTAGCAAGTTCTGATGGGTCTGAAGAGGAGGCAGGAGCAAGGTGTTGAGCTTCTAAACATCGTCCTGCCAGGGAGGGACCCTGACAGGTGCTTGGCTGACATGCTGTGGCCGAGGCAGGAAGGAAGTTGCAGAATTCCACGAAGGCAGAAGACTACCAGTAGGCAGGTCCCATGTCATCACACCCGTGAGAGTGGCAGTGGTCTGGTGGCCACAGAGATGTCTGACAGCGTGGGTCTGGAGCCGGTGATCGGCTGGCTTTGAGAGGTTCCTTCAGGAGGTGCCTGGACCCTGATGGACAGCCCCCAGCCTCACGCTCCCCCTTGAGGTTTGCAGAGGGTGCCAGAAGTGACCCCAGAAAGGGTTCTCTGAGGTGCTGCGGTCCCTACCCAGCAGCCAGGGGCTCTGTCTGGAAGTGGCCGTGTCGTGGCCGTGCTGAACCGCTATGAGTCCAGAGCTTCCCGGGCCTCCTCTGCTCTGCGGGGAAGGCTCCGGGGCTCTCCCCACCTTCTCGAATCTTTGCTCAGATATCACCTTCCCAGCAAAGGCTGTCTGATTATTTGAATTTGCACCACCCTCATCCAAATAGTCCTGTTCTCTTTGCCTGCTTTATTTTTCTCATAGTAATCATCATCATCTGACACGCTGTGCATTTTCCTGCTCTGTGTATGGAAGTCTGTCTGTCCTGCTGGAATGCAGGCTTCTGGAGGGTGTGGTCTTGGTTTCGTTCTCTGCTGTACTTCCAGTGCCCAGGACGGTGCCCAGCATGGAGTAGCTGCTCAGCCAATGCTGTGGTCTTGATGGGACTGCATTCGCTTTACATGATTGAAGCTGCTGGCGTGGAAGCTGTGCCATGTCATGTAAAGCATGCAGTGGGAAAGCAGTGGGGTGGGGGCGTCTTTGTATTACATCATCTGTTGTTGCCGTTTCAAAAATCCAGAGGCCTTTCTACACTTCAGTTGGATGTTGATTTCAAAATGACCGATGTTTCTTTCTGACTCATGAAGGCTGCTGTCTTTGGAATCTGACATTAGAGGGAAGCGAAACTTTACAATGTGTGGGGCAGCCTGGTGTGGTGGCTCAGGTCTGTAATCCAGCACTTTGGGAGGCCAAGGATGGCGGATCACTCGAGCCCTGGAGTTTGAGACCAGCCTGGGCAGCATGATGAGACCCCATCTCTACAAAAATTAGCTGGACACGGTGGTGCACACCTGTGGTCCCACTACTCAGGAGGCTGAGGTGGGAGGATCACTTGAGCCTAGGAGGTCGAGACTGCAGTGAGCTATGATCATGCCACTGAACTCCAGCCTGGGAGACAGAGTGAGACCCCGTCTCAAAACAGAAAAAAAGTCACCAGGCATGGTGGCACATGCCTGTAATTGCATCACTTTGGGAAGCTGAGGCAGGCAGATCACTTGAGTTCAGGAGTTCGAAACCAGCCGGGACAACAAGCAAAACCCCATCTCTATTTTTTCAAAATTTGTGTATATAAAATTTTTGTATGAAAGCTGTGTGGTACATGTTTAGCTGTTTTATGTTTCACTTTCTGGACATGAGTGTGATCCTCCCTGCTCTTGCAGTGCCATCTAAGCTGTCATCAGTTTTCCTGGGCGAGTGATGCATCTCCCCAGCTGGTCTGTCTGAGCCCCTGGCCAGCCAAGGGGCTGCCCTTGACTCTCCCGGCACCCGCCCGTCTCTGCATAGCCACCCCCACCACTTTAACTGGATGGTTTTGTATTGAGGTCAGGCTGGACATCAGCTTTCTATGGGCAGGGACCGTGTCCTCTTATTGGCTGAGTAATTGGGTCCATAGCGTAGGTAAGTCACCTCCTTTAAGAGACTTTGATAAGCAAAATAGTGAATATATTCTTTTTATTTATTTACTTATTATTTTTTATTTTTGAGGCAGGATCTCCCTCTGTCGTCCAGGCTGGAGTGCAGTGATGTGATCTTGGCTCATTGCAGCCTCGACCTCCCCGGGCTTAGGTAATCCTCCTACCTCAGCCTCCCAATTAACTGCGACGACAGGCACATGCCACCGTACCTGGTTAATTTTTATATTTTTAGTAGAGGTGAGGTTTTGCTGTGTTTGCCCAGGCTGGTCTTGAACTCATGGGCTGAAGTGATCCACCCACTTTGGCCTCTGCGCCCGGCCTATTTTTTTTTTTTTTTTTTTTTTTTGAGACGAAATTTCACTCTTGTTGCCTAGGCTGGAGTGCAATGGCATGCTATCAGCTCACTGCAACCTCTGCCTTGCAGGTTGAAGCGATTCTCCTGCCTCAGCCTCCCAAGTAGCTGGCATTACAGGCATGCGCCAACAAGCCCGGCTAGTTTTTTTGTATTTTTAGTAGAGACGGGATTTCTCCATGTGGTCAGGCTGGTCTCGAACTCCTGACCTCAGGTGATCCTCCCGCCTCTGCCTCCCAAAGTGCTGGGATTACAGGCCTGAGCCACTGTGCCCGGCCTAATTTTGTATTTTTAGTAGAGAAGGGGTTTATTCGTGTTGGTCAGGCTGATCTTGAACTCCCGACCGCAGGGGATCCACCCGCCTCATCCACCCAAACTGCTGGGACTACAGGCATGAGCCACCAAGCCCGGCCGTTTTTAGCGTTTAAAAGGATTGCAGCTTGGCTGGTGGCAGTCCCTCTGTCCTGGCACAGACGCAGGGGGAGACCCTGTGTCTTCAGACAGCATGGACTTCAGGACCCTACTGAGAGATGGAATCAAGAGCTCTCCGGGGTTCTTTGAGTGGGGAGTTGTATCGGAAACCACCATCAGCGCGCCTGAGCTCGCCTCGCATTGTTCTTCTGTAGTGCGGGGGGCCACTGCCACCACCGTGAGGACACGTTGGGGTCTGGGGAGGGATTGTTATGGCTGTGGGTGCACCTTGCACGTCTTGCCGACCTAGCTTTGCACGCTGATCTTCCCTCCGTGCCCGCTTACATTGTTAACTGGGTTTCTGCCCTCCCTCCTCTCCTTCGTATTTCTGTGTCTCATTGACAACTGTTCTGTAGTCGCTTTGTTGACAGTTGCCAAACTGCTTTCCAAAAACATTTCCACTGCAATCCCGGTTTTTGGTGCCAGCCGCAGTGGTGTGAGTGCGCTCGCTTTATTATAGTCTTGCCAGCACTGGGCGTCTCTGTGTATTGTAAACACATGCGATCATCACTCTTATCTCTCCATCCCCCCCACAATTAAAGATGTGCCGTGCTATCTCTGCTCAGGTTACCTTGGCCTTGGGATGAGTTGGCTGGAGGCTCAGGCAGCGCGAGGGACAGGAGGAGGGCGAGGCGCTGCCTGGTGGATTAGCGGGGAGCCATGGCACGGGCAGGACTCAGGAGAGGAGGCCGGCAGCTCACAGCAGACCGCGGGGCTCAGCTGGCCTGCCCTGTGCTTGGGGTTTGTTTTTGAGCGTTGAAATGAGGTCCTTAAACCTTAGTCCGTGCATTGAGAGCAAGGCAGCTGCCTTGAGCCTTACTTCCTTTTCCTCTTTGTCGCCTAGTATGACGCCGTGCCCATCCAGTCCAGCGTGGTGTTATGTTCCTGCCCATCCCCATCAATGGTGAGGACCCAGACTGAGTCCAGCACGCCCCCTGGCATTCCTGGTGGCAGCAGGCAGGGCCCCGCCATGGACGGCACTGCAGCCGAGCCTCGGCCCGGCGCCGGCTCCCTGCAGCATGCCCAGCCTCCGCCGCAGCCTCGGAAGAAGCGGCCTGAGGACTTCAAGTTTGGGAAAATCCTTGGGGAAGGCTCTTTTTCCACGGTGAGTATTTGCTGCTGCTGTGTGTCAAACGTACGTGATTTCCTTGGGGAGGCTCACCTTCCTCGGGGCTTGCCGGAGACTCCAAGCAAGGCTGGTGTCCTTCCAGGCAGGAGGTCTCAGGCCCCTTGAGGGGTGTCACCTGTTGTGAAGGCCACTTGAGTCTTTGGGGGCTGGGTACCCCCCAAGCAGATGACGTGATGAGTGTGGCTAAATATTTAACCTGGTTTTGTAGATGAGAACGTTAGACACATCTCTTGATGGTCTGCGGAGGTTTTTTCTGATGTAGTTAATTTCATTTTAACCTGGCATCAGCAAGTTACATTCTGTGTCCTTGTGTCTCACTGGCAGGGCCCTGGGAAGCTGTTCTTTTTCTTAGATTGAAAGTTAGTATCTCTCCAGGGTTTTTGGGGACATTTATTGACCTCTTCTTATTTCTCTGTTTTGTTTTTTTGAATACATAAAACAGTACGCTCTGGACATTTGCTGGAGACACAGCCTCCAGAGTCTTGTGTTCCGAGTTTCACAAACAGGAGTATTGTCGCAGTACTGTCAAGTCACACTTGTTACCTGTCTTCGGGGTGTTTTTTCCTCTGAAAGCAAAGAAATGAAGGTCGAAAGCAGCTGACATGGGACGTTTTGCTGACGTGGGACCCATGAAGCCGTGTGTGGTTGTGGATTTAGTGAAGGTTGTAACAGGTTCAGGGGAGGCCTGAGCAACTCGGGGTGTACTGTCTCCATCTGGGCCTCTAAAGAGACAGAGTCCCGTGCCGCCACTGTGGTCGCCAAGGTGGCCGCCGTGTGCGTGCTAGGGCCATTCCAGGGAGCCCTGGGGGCACCTCACTCTGGAGGGCCTGGGTGAGTTCCTGAATAATTCTTTCTTGCCTGACCTTTGTGAAGAAACCGTAGGTGAGGTTTATTTTCCTTTTTTCTCTTTTTTACACATAGGAAATATTTCACAATGCAAAGAAAAACATGAAATATAGCTTACCCATATTCCCAACATATTGTTTTAATTAATGTTAACTTTTGCTGCCCTTACACTTTAGATTTTTTAAATTGCAGGTTTTATGAAATAATTTTTTTATAAAAGGATTATGCCCTCATGAAAAATGCCTTCAACCATGAGACTAGTCCCCAAAGTTTTGGGGACTCAGATCCTTTCAGAAAGAAGAAACTCTTTGGAAAACCTTGGGCATTCTGCATGGCTGCTTACAACCACCCAGTGAAAGAACAGGCCTCCTCTTTTCTCAGCTTTACCTGTTTTTTGAGACAGAGTCTTGCTCTGTCACCCAGGCTTGAGTGCAGTGGCATGATCATAGCTCACTGCAGCCTCGACTTCCTGGGCTCAAGTGATCCTCTTACCTCAGCCTCCCAAGTAGCTGCAGTTACAGGAATGCACCACCGTGCCCAGCTAATTGTAAAATTTTTTGTAGAGACAGGGTCTCACTTTGTTGCCCAGACTGGTCTTGAACTCCTAGGCTCGAGTGATTCTCTCCTCAGCCTTGCAAAGTGTTGGGATTACAGGCGTGAGCCACTGTGCTTGGCCTCAGTTTTACTTCCTTGTATGTCTCTTTTTAATTTAACTTTATTTTATTATGTATGTATTTATCCTTTTAGAAACAGAGTCTTGCTCTGTCACCTAGGCTGGAGTGCAGCGGTGTGATCATAGCTCACTGCAGCCTTCACCACCTGGGCTTAAGCGATCCTCCTGCCTTAGCCTCCTGAGTAGCTGGGACCACAGGCATGTGCCACCATACATGGCCCTTAACATTTATCTTGACTGAAAAAGGAAGACTCATCTGTGAAATTGCCTGTTTCCCTGGGTTCTGGAGATGGGTGGAGAGCAGGCACTGTCCCTCCAGGGGCTGTGGTCCGTGTCTTTCTGAACCTGCACCAGGGAGGTGCCCGGGAGAGCACGGTGAGCCGGAGGCTCCTCCATGGGGCTGTTTGGAATCCACAGTACTGGGTCTCAGATTACATGTGTTACCCTCAGTTCTTTCTCAGCTTTCCTGAAATGGAGATCACATAAAAGTTGATTTCCAGGGGAGGGGGAAAGGACAGTGATAGGAGGCTGGGCAAGAGCCAGCTGCAGCACCGGAGAGCCGGGAGGCCCCCTGAGGACGGTCACAACCTCCAGGGAGGGACACGTCACGCGCCATTCTCTGGAAGAGGATCCTTCCTTCTTGTAGGAAACCTGCTTGTGAAGTGTTGAGTTTAGACAACGGAAAGATCACATCAGTATCCCCTTAGAAAGGGTTCCACTAAATATCGGTGCTCGTTCACAATTCTTTCTTCCTCTTTTCTACTTATGAAGCTAGCACGTGCTCTTGTGGAGAAACGTGACCTCACAGAAACACATGAGCTAGAGAGGGGAGCCCTGCCCGGCCCACTTCCCCTTTCTCCCTGGCAGCTGAGAGCCATCCATGCGTGGCGTATTCCTCTGGGAAGACCTTGAGTATGTAGAGTCCCCAGAATCCAACTTCATTCTTCTTGAGTGCCACAAGGCGTCTCACATGGTGCTTTCCAGGATCTCTTCTGACGTGTCCCATCAGGAGTCCTGCCCCGATTGCGGCTCACAGCCCGGGGCCAGGTGGACCTGGCCCTGTGGCCTCCTGAAGGTCTTCCTGCCAGCCCCCAGGAATGTCACGGGACAGGTTTCCTCTGCTCCCTGCTCCTCAGGCCGTCCCCCTGTGGGTGTCTTAGGAGACACTTGTGTCCCACTTGGTGGTGGTGGGGCCTCCCTGGCACAGCTGCCTCATGCTCTCTGGCTAAACCGTGGGCCCACCAGGAATCTCCAGTCTGGTGCCTCAGGGTGTGCCCCAGGCTAGTCCGAGTGGAGGGTCTCTCCCCTGTTTGGGATGCCTGCCCTGCTGGAGTGCTCTGTCTCGGAGGTGGGGTTTGAGTGCAGGGCTCAGGGGTGCTGAGAGGACAGGGCAGGAGGCCTGCTGCATCCCGGGCAGGTGGCTCCCTCTTGTGGGCACGCAGGGCCATGCATTGCTGGTTTAGCTCCCTCTGTCCTTTACAGCCAGGCTCTCTTCATGGTGCCCACAAGCAACATCATACAAAATGTATGATAACAGTTATTTCCAAAAACGAAACTTCAGGGCAGCCTTTGCAATGAATGTATACTAGAAGGACATATTGTTGTCACAGAAGCCCCTGTGCCCTGCCACTTGTGGTGGCGCCACTGTCTTCCTTCTGTTGGTGAAGGGCGTGGCAGTCGAAGAGGTTCCTGAGTTTGTACTTGTGTTGCACCGTTAGGGCTGTTAGCAGCTGATCCAGAAGCTTCTGGAAACAACAGAGAGATGGATATGTTTTCTCTTAGCTGTTAGAACACATCAACACGAGCATTGGCTTTTAGCTCTACTTGTCAGTACAAGACCCAAAATATTTCACTGTAGACTCAAGCCTTCAGTGGGGACAGGAAGCGTGCGTGTGGGGCAGAGGGACTCGTCAGGCCCAGTGTCCTGGTTATTACATTGTGTGTTTCTTTTTCTCCTTTTCTTTCCCAACCAGGTTGTCCTGGCTCGAGAACTGGCAACCTCCAGAGAATATGCGAGTGAGTATGGGCTGCAGGGAGCTGTGCGTCCGGGAGCAGGGCAAGCGGCTCCGTGCAGGGCGGCTGGGGTGGCAGGGCCGGTGTTTCTGTGCTGATTTCAGGGTACAGGACACTGTTGGCTTTAGAGACCACCAGGCTGTTGTGTACAATGTTTGAAAGACTTTAATTTGTACCAGTTACCTTTGTGAGTCATGTCTTTAGTGTTTTTTGTTGTTTCTGATAGTAACTCACTTCTCTCTCACCTGAAGTTAAAATTCTGGAGAAGCGACATATCATAAAAGAGAACAAGGTCCCCTATGTAACCAGAGAGCGGGATGTCATGTCGCGCCTGGATCACCCCTTCTTTGTTAAGCTTTACTTCACATTTCAGGACGACGAGAAGCTGTGTATCCTTTGCGTGGTTGGTGCCGTCTGAAGCCACACCAGTCACCCCTCTCACTTGGAATCAGACCCTGTGTGTTCCCACAAGCAGCCCCCGCTCCCTGCCGAGTGGGGTCCCTCAGGCCGCTGACATTCAGGGAGGCAGCCGAGGCAGCGCCAGGGTGTGGCTGGGAGTCTGCACAGGACGTTACCTCCCGGAGAAGCCACCGATGTGGCTCCAGCACAGTCCTCTCTGCTGCGGCTTGCTTGGTCGGCGTCCCTTGCTCCCCTAGAGCGCCATCTTTTCTGTTATTAAACCTTGGCTCAGGAATCTGGGAGGCAAGGCCCGGTGGAAGTTGGGGTGGGCCCCACCTCTGCCCCATCCAGCTGACCTGTGGGCCTGCCAGTGGCTGGGCTGGCCACGCCACACCGTCGTCACCCCCAGCAGGTGCAGTCTGCATCTGCTCTTCTCCTCCCCCGCCACCCTCCAAGCTGGCCCAAGTGTCGTGGCCTCCCCATCCTGCCTGGGGAGGGGCCTGAGTCCTCCCACCTGTCCTCCCCGTCTCTCCCCAGCACCCGGCTCTTCTGTGTTAGAGCTTCGTTCTGGCCTGCTCCCACTCTCAGCACCATCCTGCAGCTCCTTCGGCTGCCGGCGGAGTGTGTGTGCTCTCTCTGTTTGGAGGTGCTTGCCAAGTGCAGGTTGATGGGTGATGGGGATGCGCTGCTATGCCGGGTGGCGTCTCTGCCCACGAGAAGCTTCGATTTTGGTGGAGGAGCTGGACGTGCACTGACGATCCGTGTCAGAGGCTTCCCGGCAGCAAGATGCGCTGCCAAGAGTCTTAGGGCTGGGTAGGGGCTGGCGGCAGTGTGGGGCTCTTTCAGCTCCTGGGCAGGAGTGTGTGGGGGGGCATGAAAGGCTGTGGTGGGCTGGGCCCCTGAGCCGTGGCAGCCTGGCACTGACTCTGGACTTCCTTCTCTTTGTGGCGGGGAACGTGGGGTTTGCTGTGGCTTCTCCTAGGCCAGGCGGGAGAACGGGCAGGAGAGCAGGGGCAGGGGCCGTGGTCGAGGTCTGATGAACAGACCGGTCAAGAGAATGGAGTCAGGGGCGGCTCCTGGGAGGTGGCCCTCAAGCCTAGTGCACAGCGGTGTCTGCTGCTGAGCTGGGAGAGACCGGGGCGGGTGCTGGGCTGGCATTTCATGCATCCGCTGGTGCCACCATTCAGGTCTGAGTGGGCACTTAGGTGCTGCCAGCAGAGCTCCAGGAGGAGTCAGGGCCGTGAGGACTTTCACAGCGAGCTGGCAGGCTGCCCAGAGGTTGGCTCCTCTGTGAGTGGAGCCTGGGTTCCCCCCAGTGCAGGGGTGAACACGAGGAGGGGCCCACCGAGGAGAGGAGATGGTGATGGGATGTTGCTCCCGAGCTCGAATGATGGAGACCCAGAGGCCACGGGATCAAACGATTTCTGATGGAGGGTGCTGGCTGCCCACGCAGGGGTTATGAAGCGGTCAGGTGCACACAGCCTGACCCGTGGATCTGCCCTGTGCCAGTTGTTGATGGTGGGTAGGCAGTTTCTTGGGGGGACTGTTCAAGGAAGAGTAAGAGGTGAGGAAATGGAAACGACGCAAGGTGCTTCCCTGGGATTTTGCCTAGGGAGGAGCGGGGCAGTGGCCGAGCAGCTGCCAGGCACGTGGCCCGGAGCGGGCTTTGCTGTTGGTTTGTGGAAGGTTGTAGAGAATGCTGGCCTCCAGGCAGGCCTGCTGTCCTCCAGTGTCATCCCTGTTCCTGCCTCTGTCTCCCACTCTCAGTGGCTTCTTCACGGTATGTTCTGTCTCTCACCTTCACGTTCCCCGGGGCCCTGCACGTCTCTGCCCCCGTATGAGCCACGGGAGTCCCTCTGGGCTTCCCGCAGAGCCGTCGGAACACGGCTGCTTGTTGGTTGTGAGGCTGCAACAGAATTGCACACGCTTGACCTCTCCCATCCTCTCCTCCCGGGGGCTCAGAGTCCAGAGGAGAGTGAATCTTGCTGACTGATTTCCAAATGGGATTGGCCAGAGCGGTGCAGGTAGTGGGAACTCCAGGTCTTTGTCCAGTGGTCCATGTTGCCCTTCATCATTAAGTCAAATTCCAAAGCCCCGGGAGGTTGTGAAGGTTCACTCGCCCCTGACGGGAACGAGACCCAGGGACTTCTGCCCCACCAGGCATCCTCGGTGTGGGTTGTATTTAGAGATGGGCCTGGACAGGGGCCACTTTGGGCAGCCTTGGTTGCAAGTCCCTTCGCTTCTGGGTTTCTCTTCGTTGCCCTGAAGCTTCAGGTTCATCCTTGGTGGGAGATGATGGTGCCCTGGCAAACAGAAGTGAGCAGGCAGGCCAGCCTGGCTCTGAGCACGAGCCCCCCTTCCTGGCCTCGAGAGCCACTGCTCAGGGCAGGCAAGGATTTGGGTCCCCGTGTCCTGGGCTGCCAGTAAGTGTGAAGTATCTGGAGGTTTCCGGTAATGGGGATGGACGTTTGCCGCTTGCAGGGGAATCTGTATCTGGGATCCATTTATTGTCGGTCTTAAGTCCTCTTGGAAAAGGAGGCTACAGATGGAGCCATCGTAGGGCAGTGGTGCCCAGAGGAGGGGGCCTCCCAGACACACTTCATGGGTGTAGAAGTTCATGAGATGGCTTTTGTCTTACAAAGTGTGTCACTCGGCCAGGTGCGGTGGCTCACGCCTGTAATCCCGGCACTTTGGGAGGCCAAGGCGGGCAGATCACGAGGATAAGAGATGGAGACTATCCTGGCCAACCTGGGGAAACCCCGTCTCTACTAAAAATACCAAAACTAGGGGGGCATGGTGGCGCGTGCTTGTAGTCCCAGCTACTCGGGAGGCTGAGGCAGGAGAATTGCTTGACTCCGGGAGGCGGAGGTTGCAGCGAGCCGAGGTAGCGCCACTGCACTCCAGCCTGGCGACAGAGCGAGACTGCATCTTAAAAAAAAAAAACAAAACAAAATGTGTCACTTTATCCACGGAAGGAGACTGCATGGAAGGGGCAGTGCCACGCGTGGATGCGTAGCACATAAAGCCGGGGTCTCAGGGCAGGGGCTGTCGCGCTCTCCGACCCTGCTCCGCCGGCCCCCGGGGTCTTTGTGCATCGAAGCCTGCACGTGAGTTATATGCGCTTTTTGGTCGGGGTCTGTAGGCCCTGTCACCAGCGGTTCCCTTTCACTGAGGCCGTGGACACGGCCAGGGGCCAGAGGGGCAGTCGGGGCTGAGAGGCTCTGTTCCTGTTTCCTCGAGACCGTGTAATGGCGTTCTTAATGAGAAAGCCCTCATCATGCTGGTGCCTCGTCTTGGAGCTGGGGCCTGGGATGCCCGGCAGATCCAGTGACATGACTGTCTTGGGCCACAGGTACTTTCAGTTTGCACTGAATTAAAAATTCTTATCAGACTTTTAAGGTTAGTTTTCCAAAAATGACTTTTACAAAATAAAACACATGAGCCAGGCGTGGTAGCGCGTACCTACGTTCCCAGCCACTTGGGTTGGTTAAGGTGGGAGGATCGCTTGAGCCAGGGAGGTTGAGGCTGCAGTGAGCTATGATTGTGCCCCTGCACTCCAGTCTGGGCAACGGAGTAAACCTGCTCCAAAACGAAACAAGAGATTTTTACACTTCCTTAACTGCACGATATTCAGATTTCGGCCTTAGTTATGCCAAAAATGGAGAACTACTTAAATATATTCGCAAAATCGGTTCATTCGATGAGACCTGTACCCGATTTTACACGGCTGAGATTGTGTCTGCTTTAGAGTACTTGCACGGCAAGGGCATCATTCACAGGTAACCGCGGGGGTGGCTGGGTGGGTTTGCAGGACGTCAGTTTGATGATCAGGGCCAGTGACCGTTTGGCTCACAGGCCACGGCTGATGCCCAGATGGCCCCCGCCCTTGAGGTCAGCCAGGTTGGAGTGCTCCCTGGATGGGTGGGACTGAGATGCCTGCCTGTGCCACAGCCTGAGTGCCAAGGCGAGGCCACACGTCCACGGAGCGCTGACGTGGAGAGGCTCTCCTGCCAATACCACATGCAATGGTTGCGTGTCTTTCCTGGCGAGCTAATGATTCTTTTCACCATCTTGACTGATGCTTTTTATCTTTTTCAGTTGTAGCTTCTGTGTGTACTTCTTTCTGGTCTCGTTTTTCATGACTTTCTGATAAAGTCAGCTCAGAAGTGTGCATAGCTTTCATTTTGTGCGTTAAAAATGATAGATTTTACTTCGTTAAAAAACGACTTAGAATGACATGGAGATGTGAGGTGGTGAATCCCTACTGTGTCCAGCCAACACTTGTTGCTTGTGAGCTTTAGGCCTGTAGCCCTGGTTGTCAGCCTGTAAGGATCATATACATTCATTCGTTCATTTTGTTTTCAGCAAAATTTAGAGTACGTAATAATGTTGCTGTTTTAAGTATTTCTTCTCAAATGTGAAAATCTGCTTTTACAGGGACCTTAAACCGGAAAACATTTTGTTAAATGAAGATATGCACATCCAGATCACAGATTTTGGAACAGCAAAAGTCTTATCCCCAGAGAGCAAACAAGGTGTGTGAGTTTTATTTCTAGCAGAGCCTGGCTCTGTGCTTCAGATGGAAAGCGACTTCTGAGGAGTGTTTGCATTGTGTCATCTTCATCAACGACTGAGGTGGGGATACCTTGGCCGTTCTCAAACAGATCTTGAACTTTCTCTGGGCAAGACCCTGCCACGCCAGCAGGTCTTCCTGGGGGGGCCCCAGGCAGTGTGTGTTGGTGTAGAGTGGGAGGTCGCTGGTTCTCCTCGGCGCCTGCTCTGGTTCATCCTCCCTACTCGTCTTCTGGACAGTGTGGGGGGCCACATTCGTACCCAGCCACCCGCGTGCAGGATGTGGAGCCGGTGTGGTCAGCTCCTGGCTCCTCCTGCCTGTGTTGCAGGTAGTATCCGGGCGCGCACATCCCTGTACCTCGGTGCGCTCCCTCCGTTAGCTGTCCGTCTGTCTCCCTGCTGGCCACGTGCACGTTTGTCATCACAAAGCCTCCGAGTCCTGTTCCCAAGGGTAGTTTCTAGCCTCGGACCATGTTGTGACAACTCCATCGGAGATGTTGCTGAAAGTCCACTCGGGCCAGAGAAGTGGCCTAGGTTGTCTTAGCCGGCCGGGGGTATCTCGATGCCCTTCAGGTGCTTATTGGGTAGAAATCACAAACTCTGGAGGTGTAAAGAAAGGCAGCTGAAATTCTGAAGAGTGCTCCCGAGTGCTGGGTAGAGAGAAGATAAAGCCTTGGGATGAGGTTTGGGGAAGCTGAAGGCTGCTGTGTGCATTATAAGTGACCTTGAAGGTGAACCTCGGGTGATTGCTGGAGTCTGTCTGGGTCAAGAGGCTGGGTCCAAGGGCCTCCAAGTGGTGCATGGGCCTCTGCCTGGGCTTGGGGTGCCCGTCAGAGAAAGGCCTCCATAGAGGGCTCTGTGGGGGTGAGAGGTGCTGGAGCCCGGTTTGGAGGGACGCGAGTGCAGGTTTGTTGGTGGAGGAAAGATTCAGACAGAAGTGACCGTGTTGTTGTAGCTGCTCTCGTGTGGAAAAGGGGAACCGTGAGCACAGAGCAGTGGTGGTTCTGGCCTCGTCTCCATGGACGGCCAGCCGGCCCCCAGTAGCTGGAGGAGAGCACAGCTGGGTGGAGAGCAGGCCCTTCAGCAAGGCAGGCACTCTGGACTCAGCTCGGCTTTTCTGTTTCTTAGGAATTGGCCCTGTATTCTGTGTGCTGGGAGGTACCCAGCTGGTGCCTGTGGGGCCTCTCTTGGCACCTTGAGGTAGTTGCTCGTTTCCTCCACCGGGCCTTATCTTTCCCTTCTGGGCGTTTCCAGCCCTGTGTTTTCACACTCAGGGCTCTGGCTGAGATTCTGTCAGTTGGTGCTTTCATCTCTGCACAGTCATGGAGGCCCTAAGACCTTGTCTTGGATCTGGGAACTTCTCTCAGAATCCTCAAACATCACCCTGGCTGTGCATGGGAGCTCACACCTGTAATCCTAGGGCTTTGGGAGGCTGAGGCAGGAGGATCGTTTGAGGCCAGGAATTTGAGACCAGCCACTGGGCAACATGGTGAGACTCCATATCTACAAAAAAGCCAAAAATCATCCTGGTGTGATGGCACACACCTGTAGTCCCAGCTACTCGAGAGGCTGAAATGAGAGATGGATGATGCAGTGAACTAGGATGATCCCACTGCACTCCAGCCTGGGGAACAGAGCGATCAACTGTTAAAAAATAGTAGTAATAAATAAAAAATAAAAGAAGCCTGTAATCCCAGCACTTTGGGAGGTCGAGGTGGGCAAATCACGAGGTCAGGAGATCGAGACCATCCTGGCTAACATGGTGAAACCCCGTCTCTACTAAAAATATAAAAAATTAGCTGGGCGTGGTGGTGCGCGCCTGTAGTCTTAGCTACTCGGGAGGCTGAGGCAGGAGAATCGCTTGAACCCGGGAGGCAGAGGTTGCAGTGAGCCACGATCGTGCCACTGCACTCCAGCCTGGGCAACAGAGTGAGACTCCGTCTCATAAATAAAGAAATAAAAAACATCACCCTTTTGGGGCTAAGATCGAAACTAGCAATCAAGCCGGAGCCTCTTGTTGTCTAAGGTGGCTTAGTCCTGCTGCCGTCCGCTGCCTTTTGTAGCCCCGTTCCCCTCCCCGTCCAGTGGCATGCCAGAGTGCGCACCTCCCGCCCAAAGCTGCACAGAGCCAGGGCGGTCTTCCTGGCGTTTCAGACATGCCCTGAAACCTTGATCTGTTTGACTCATTCCTGTTAAATAGTAACCGTCTTACTGACTGGTAATCCTGTTTCTGTGTACACAGTGTAACCTCATCTCCCTCAGTGTTGTCTGTGACAAAGTTGAACCAAACAGGAACTTCTGTCTCGTAAGCTTTCTTAGGATCTGTCAGTGTCTTGCTGTCCTTGTGCTGACTTCCTGCCCAGAGATGAGCCCACAACATTCCGTGGGGTCAGGAGCGCTGCGGGCTGGCTCTGCCCCCAGTCAGTCCCGGGAACCGCTCTCTGGGCTGTGCCCACAGCCAGCCTCAGGAACCACCTCCCTGGGCTGTGCTCTGGGCATTTTTCCCTTCGTGTGGATTTTCTTTCTTTTTTTTTCCCCTCCCTTATTGCAAGGCTTTATTTATTCATAATTTCAACTTTTATTTTAGATTCAGGGGATCCACGTGCAGGTTTGTGACGTGGGTAGAGTTTCTTTGGAATCTGGTATTTGGCACAGGGATAGTCTTGTTGCCCTGTAGCCACTTAAAAAAAACGGGCATTTAAGTGCGCTGATGAAATAGTGAAATAGCTTGGGCACAGTGGCCCACCTGTAATCCCAACACTTGGGGAGGCCGAGGCAGGTCGATCATTTGCGCCCAGGAGTTTGAGACCAGCCTGGGGAACACGGCAAAACCCTGTCTCTATATAAGATAAAAAACAAAAATTAGCTGGGCGTGCTAGTGCGTGCCTGTAGTCCCAGCTACTCAGGAGGCTGAGGTGGGAGGATCACCTGAGCCTGGGAGATTGAGGCTGCAGTGAGCCGTGATCCTGCCACTGCGCTCCAGCCTGGGCGACAGAGCAAGAGCCTGCCTCTGGAAAAGAAAGAAGAAATCATGAAATAAACCTTTGCTTTTTGGTAGCAGGAGGCTAAAAGTCTTTACATCATTGTAAACCAGGGCCAGTTGCTTGTGCGTATAGATGAGTTGGTGGTTCTTTTCCCCTTGTTTGAGGAAAAGGAAAAAACTATAATTTATGTGGCGGATTAATTTTAGTAACTTATTTTCTGTTTGAGGTAGTTCAGTATCTTGGAATTTATTCCTGCGTTGACTTCTTTTGTGCAGAGATGGCTTCCCCAAAACACCTTCAAATCTAGAATAAAAGTGTTGATGGGAGCAAGGCATAGCGAGGTTCCTTACCCGCGCAGCAGCTGTGCCACGCCCTCCTCCTAGAGGGAGGCAGGTTTTCCCATCGTTCCTGTGGGGTGGGTAGGGTGGCCCCCGTATCTGCAGGGGGAGGTGGTGGGAGATGGAGCAGGGCAGTGGTGTGGGCTTGGGAGATTGAGGAGGACCTCCTGGCAGAGAGGGACTTCTGCCTCCTCTCCTTGTACAGGAGCCTGTGGATGTATCTTGGTGAGGGCAGCTGACTCAGAGTAAGCTTCCCACCTGGGCTGTCTCTGGCCTGTGCCCTCTATGCAAGAACCTTGGGGAGCTCGGGGTGTCCTTGGAGGTTCAGACTTGGAGTAGGGTTTGGAAACCTGTGTTCTGACCTGTGCAGGCCTTTCTGGCATGCAGCCAGGTGTGGAGGCAGCACTCACCAAACAGGAAGGAGAGGAAGGCCACAGGTGTGGGCAGGGCTGGGTGGACAGGGTGGACGCTGTGGGCTTCAGGTGTGGGCGGGGCTGGCTGGAGAGGGTGGATGCCGTGGGCTTCAGTCACTACAGTGGCTCCTCTGTCCTCATCTGTGCATGGCCATCGTCCAGACCCTCAGACTAGCTGCCGTTGCGCTTCCCACTGTGCTGTGGACTCCAGACGCTCTCCTGAGGGCCACAGCTGCCTTGAGCTTGCCGCCATTCTAGCTTAGGCTGGATCACCCACCCCCGGCACAGAGAGGAGCTGCCTTCAAGACGGATTTTCCTGCATGATGGAAAGTGGAGTTTGCACAATAAAAGAGAGAGTCCCCATTCTCCCATCACCAAGAGCAGCTCTTCCCATCTTCACGTGGTTTATTTTGGTCTTTTCCAGATTGGCATTCATTTAGGATTGGCTATGATGCATGGGGCTGGGGAGAATTACTGCTTATTGTAAAAAATTCACTCGGTGCTAGTGACCTGATGCCCAGCATCCTCAGTGGGTTTTCCCTGTAAAAATTCCAGTATGTGTCGCTAAAATACAAATCTTTTTAAAAGCGTAACCACAATACCATACTGTTTGATATGTAAAAATGAACGGTAATTGCTTAATATCTCAAAGTGTCCAGTCAGAGTTATATTTCCAGTTGTCTCATGTACATCATAATGTTTTGTTGCTCACTTGAACAGGATTCAAATAAGTTTTGCACAATTTCATTTTTAAATTTTTTCTTTTTCTTTTGCCATTAAATACTCTCCTATCCAAACACATGTATTTTAATCTGTAGCTTCCCCCATTTTTATTTTTTCCCTTGCAGTTTGTTGAAGAAACAAGTCATTTGCATCTGTGTGGCGTTGTTGAACATGGTCCTCTCTCCTGGCCACTACATCACATTCAGAGTTGATTCTCCCCTCCCTGTTCAGAGACTGGTGGTGGGTGTTCTTTATCCGGCATCTCTCTGTGACAGCAGCAGCATTTGTGGCCATAATTGGCCTAAATTCATGAACTCATTAGAGAGTGCAGAAAGGTCACAGCCTGATACATTCATGAGATGCAATTCATTAAAGAGCAACTTCTCCCCAGCAACTTTTGGGTTGACTCGTGGTATCATCTGTAAAAGAAAAGTAGGATAAATGCTTCTTTCCCCTTTTCATGCCATTTTTGAAAACCACACATTGGTTCTCCATTCTCTTCCAATGATGATTAATTCATTAAAAAAGTTATTACCCTTCCTCACACCATACACAAAAGCTCACTCCAGGGCCAGGCGCGGTGGCTCACATCTGTAATCGCAGCACTTTGGGAGGCTGAGGCGAGTGGATCACCTGAGGTCGGGAGTTCGAGACCAGCCCGGCCAACGTGACGAAACCCTGTCTCTACTAAAAATACAAAATTTATGGCTGGGCGTGGTGGCTCACGCCTGTAATCCCAGCACTTTGGAAGGCCGAGGCAGGCGGATCACCTGAGATCAGGAGTTCGAGACCCGCCTGACCAACATGGCGAAACCCTGTCTCTACTGAAAATACAGGTGTGTTTTTAGCTAGGTGTGGTGGTGCATGCCTGTACTCCCAGCTACTCAGGAGGCAGGAGAATAACTTGAACCTGGGAGGCGGAGGTTGCAGTGAGCCGAGATCCACACTATTGCACTCCAGCCTGGGCAACAAGAGCGAAACGCCATCTCAAAAAAAAAAAAAAAAAAAACCAAAAAAAAAAACTTAGCCAGGTGACTCCTGTAATCCCAGCTACTTGCGAGGCTGAGGCAGGAGAATCGCTGGAACCTGGTAGGCGGAGGTTGCGGTGAGCCAAGATCACGACACTGTGCTGCAGCCTGGGCAACAGAGGAAAACTCCATCCCTGTGCCTCCCATCTCCCCGCCTCACCAAAAAAAAAAAAAAAAAAAAAAAAAGGGTGACTCCAGGCCGGGCGCGGTGGCTCACGCCTGTAATCTCAGCACTTTGGGAAGCTGAAGCGGGCAGACCACTTGAGGTCAGGAGTTCGCGACCAGCTGCCCATCTCTAGTAAAAATACAAAAATTAGCCAGGCATGGTGGTGTGCGCCTGTAATCCCAGCTATTTGGAGTGGGGGCTGAGGCAGGAGACTCACTCGAACCTGGGAGACGGAGGTTGCAGTGAGGCGAGATCGCACCACTGCGCTCCAGCCTGGGCGGCGGAGTGAGACTCCATCTCAAAAAAAAAGTTCACTCCGAATGCGTTAGAGGTCTGAATGTAAGGGCGAAGACTATGACACTCTTAGAAGAAATTATAGGATTAAATGTGACAATTGGGTTAGGCAGTGTTTTCTTAGATACACTGCCAAAAAAAAGCATAAGCGACCAAGAAAAGGATGAGTTAGATTTATATCAAGTTTAAGCACTTTTGTGCTTCAAGTGATATCACGAAAGTGAAGAGACCCACCAAACAGGAGACACGATCTGCTAATCATCTACCTGATATGGGACTTGTATCCAGAATGTAAGGAACTCAGAGGGAGAAAAAAAAAATAAAGCACGGAACAAAGGGTATGAGTAGACATTTTTCCAAGGGAGAGATACACAAATGGCCCATAAGCACATGCAAAGTTCCTCAACGTTATTAGTCATTAGGAAAATGCAAATCAAAACCACAGGGTGATACTACCTCACACCCACCAGGAGGGCTGTGATGAGAAGACAGATAATAACAAACGTTAGCAACGACGTAGGGGACTGGAACCCACGTATGCTGTGGGTGGGAATGCCAGAAAGTACAGCCACTTTGGAAAACAGGCTGGCAGCTCCTCAGAAGGAAACAGAATTACCATATGACCCTGCAGTCCCACTCCTAGGTATGAACCCACAAGAAATGAAAACACACATTCAGACAAAAACAGGTGCTAGAATGCCCGTAGCATCATGCACAGTAGCCAAAAGGTGGAAACGACGCACGTGTCATCGAATGAGTGGATGAACGAGTGGCGTGTCCACACGACGGGGGAATGTTCTCCAGCCCTAACGAGGGATGAGGCGCCCATGCACGCTGCCATGCAGATGGGCCTTGAAAACACTGCCCTCAGTGAAAGCCTGCCGGGATCTGAGAAGGGATGGCATCGAGTCTAGAGATGAGCTTACGAGGCGTTACCATTGTTAACCCACGTTAAGTCTTCTGAGCCATCACCATGGGCTGTCTTTCTGTTTATTTAGATCTTTCTTTCAAAAACACTTTGTAGTTTTCAGAGTATAAGCTTTATGCGTCTTTTGTGACATTTATTCTTATTTGTTTTTAATGTTATTCTAAATAGAGTTATTGGCCGGGCACGGTGGCTCACACATGTAATCCCAGCACTTTGGGAGGCCGGGGTGGGTGGATCACCTAAGGTCAGGAGTCGGAGACCAGTTGAGGTGGGAGGATCGCTTGAACCCGGGAGGCGGAGGAGGTTGCAGTAAGCTGACCTCAGACCGCTGCACTCCAGCCTGGGCAACAGAGCGAGACTTTGTCTCGGGAAGAAAAAAAAAAAAAATAGAATTGTGAATTTTCTTCCCTTTTTTTTCCTTTTTCTGTTTTTATTTTTTTTTTTTTTGAGACGGAATTTCGCTCTTGTTGCCCAAGCTGGAGTGCGGTGGCGCGATCTCGGCTCACTGCAACCTCCGCCTCCCGGGTTCAAGCGATTCTCCTGCCTCAGCCTCCCGAGTAGCTGGGATTACAGGCGCCCACCACCACGCCCGGCTAATTTTGTGTGTTTTTAGTAGAAACGGGGTTTCACCACGTTTATGGATAACATGGTCTTGAACTCCTGACCGCAGGTGATCCGCCTGCCTCGGCCTCCCAGAGTGCTGGGATTGTGAATTTCATTTCTGGGTTGCTCCTGGAAATTGTGCGGAAATGCAGTTGGTTTTTCCCTGCCCCGCACCCTGCTGAGCTCTCGTTAGTGGTAATAGCTTCTCAGTGGAGTCCGCAGGACTTTGTGCACACAGGATCCTGTCATCTGTGATTCGAGCTAGTTTTATTTGTTCCCTTTCAACCTGGCTGCCTTTTGTCTTCTTCCCTAATTGTCCTGGCTGAGACCTCTAGTTCGGTGTTGGCTGGATGTGGTGAGCCGGGCGCCCTGGTCTTAGGGAGAGCGTGCGGTTTTTGACCATCGAGCATGATGTTGGCCGTAGGCCGTGCGTGCCCTTTGTCAGACCCTGGGCCCTCCCTTCTGTGCCTCGGCTATTCCATATTTTTGTCCTGTAGAGGTGGGGAATTTTTGTTAACTGCATTTTCTGCATCTGTTGAGATGATCCTGTGTTTTCCTTAGTGCTTTATTCTAATGAGATGCAATGCATTGCTTTTTGTATTTTGAACCAACCTTGCACTGTGTCATACATCCTCTTGGTCATGATGCCTAGTCCTTTCTAGACGTTGCTGCATTTGGTTTGCTGGTGTTTCGTCCAAAGGGTAGTCACGTTTTGCGGAGCGTTTTTCTGTGCTTCTTTGTGGGTTTATGGATAACATGGCAGCCGGCACCCTTGGCTTTGAAGAGAGTGTGGGTGTCTCGTGAGCTCAGGATCACTTCTTCAGGTCGTCCCTCCCACTGCCCCTCCAAGTATGACTGGCAGATCTGGGGGACTGTGGGTGGTCCATGGAGTTTCTTTGATGAGGGTGGAGACAACAACCCAGACAAGATCCCACTGTCTCTTTCCCCAGCGTCGGTAGTCCCGTGGCATGCGGGGGCATCAGCAGCCAGTGCGGGGCTCTGGGCCTGAGTTTCCAGCAGCTGGAGGGGCGTGAGCTTTGGCCAGTCTCTGAGCTCCCAGGGAGAAGTAACTAGGTGGTCTCTGAGATTTCCTAACGCTGTGTCTGGGACTCTGAGCTCGGATGTCACAGATAGAAGTCAGGGGATCTGTGAGGCTGGATAGGAGGAAATTACTAATTTTCACTAACCTTTCAGCAAAGCGTACCATTTCCTTCCATTATGAACATCAGCAACAAACATCTGTCATCAGAAGTCACAGGTGTTCCCATGTCCTGCCGCAGGGGTCACGTCACGGTAGTGACGCCATGCCAGTTGTGCCGAGCACCGCTGCCGGGTTCCTGCGGCGTGACCTGCTGCTGTGTCGTGCAAGTCACATAGTACTACATCACAGATCCATTCCTTCAATAATTTGATACGTGTATTGGATTATAATTGCTTTCTCCTACAGTCCTGTGTATTTTATGCATTTGGAACATTATTCCGAGGGTAGCCATCTTCTCCACGCTCTAGCGGCGCTGTCTGTCTCTGGATTAAACTAAGGACAGGTGTCCTTTTCCAAGGGGGTGACTTTGCGTATGCCCAGAGGCTCGGAGTCCCACCTTCAGGAAGGTGTGGCAGAGGAATCGAGGGTGAGGGTGGGCAAGCCCTGAGGAAAGAAGGGAGAGGGGGAAGACCCTTGGGGAGCTAGGAGGAGCTGAGGTTGGAGAGGGCAGGGAGGGATTCCAGGAGATCCGAGCCCGTAGCTCGCTTGCAGGAAGCTTAGAACAGCAGCAGCAGCAGCGAGGGTCCCGACAGCACGGCAGGTCACTATGTAGCGCTCATCCGAGAGATAGGGTGGGTGTTGGCCTCACGGACTTGCTCCGTGCACGCTGTGGCTGTTTAAAAGCACATACGGCTCCGCGTGCTGCACGACGACCTCAGTCATTTAATTATGCATTATATACATCTCTCCAGAGGACAAAAACCTAGACTTTTTAATAATGGCATTTGAAAAAGTACAAGTCACAAAAGCAACACTCGATGATAGTAAAGAACAGAAACGCCGAATATGTAGGTGGAGCAAGTGGCGTCCCATCCCGCCAGCAGACGCGGCCCTCGTCGCTGTGCCACGCCGGACCCTGAAGGACAGAGCATGGAGAGGGAGCTGCAGGGTCTGGGAGGCAAACATCTTTGTGACTTCTGATGCTCATTGGAAAGTTGCCCCCAGAAGCGACGCCATTTGACAGCCCCACCCTTAGCGCTGCGTCTGTCCCCTCAGATCCCTGCCAGCGCTATGTATTTTTATTCTTTTTTCCCTTTGCCAGTGTGATAGGCTGTCGTGTTTTAATTTGCATTTCTTTGATTCTTTGCAGGGTTGAATGGCTTCGTTTGTTTTTGGCCCTTGGTTTGGTTGTCTTTCCTCTAGGCCGGCAGGGGCGGGGTGCGTGTTTGCGGATGTCCTTGGTGTTCTTGGCAGGATCACTGAGGGTCCTGGCAGGATGCAAATGCAGCCATGAAGTGTTTGTTTTTTGTTTATTATTTGAGACAGGGTCTGGCTCTATTGCCTAGGCTAGAGTACCGTGGGGCCATTGTGGCTGACTGTACCCTCAGCTTCCCGGGTTCAAGCGATCCTCCCTTCTCAGCCTCCCGAGTAGCTGAGACTAGAGGTGCACCACCATGCCTGGCTAATTCTTGAAATTCTTTCTAGACACGGAGTCTCACTATGTTGCTCAGACTGGTCTCAAACTCCTGGCCTCGAGCAGTCCTCCTGCCTTGGCCTCCCAAAGCAGTGGGACTGCAGGGGTGAGCCACCGCACCTGGGCAGTCATGAAGTCCGCAGAAAAGTCATTCACTGAAGGGATTGAGTCCCCGCAGCAGAGGCTGGGAGGTTCTCTCAGCGTGGCCGGAGGAGGGCAGGTGGAAGGGACCACTCAGAAGCGGCCCACGGGCAGGGCCGGTGTGGACAGCAGCTGCGTGGTGGCCCTGGGCCAGCTCGTGCTGTGGCTCTGCTCCGTCACAGCTCCTCTGTGGAGGAAGGCCCTTGGGCTGGAGGCCTGAGTCTTGTTCCCTTTGTAGCGCCTCAGCTCCCAAGCTGTTTGTGATGGAAAGGAGGTTTTTCTGGCCTGCAACTGTTTATTGTGTGCCTAGGCACGTTTGGATACCCCAGGTCCTGCAGTGAGCCAGCCAGCGCCGTGTCCTCATGCCCTCCGTTGAGCGGGCGCCACCGGCAGAATGTGCTGGCCGTTTGTGTGCAGCTCACTGTCCAGGCGCGTGTCGGGTGGGAGCGCCAGGGTGCAGGGCGCCGGTGTCCAGGGATCAGGCAGGCGTCTTTGAGCCGGTGAGCCATGAGCCAGCCCCGGTGCGCCCCGGACAAGTCTGGCTCCTGGGGGTGCATGGTCCGCCATGTGCGACACCCACCGCGCAGCCCTTGATTGTCACAGATCGTGAGTCCGAGTGTGACCTTCTCTCTCCTCTGCAGCCAGGGCCAACTCATTCGTGGGAACAGCGCAGTACGTTTCTCCAGAGCTGCTCACGGAGAAGTCCGCCTGTAAGAGGTAACCACTTTCATCTAAGCCGTGCTTCCCTTTTCTTTAACACAGAAATTAATATTTGAGAGAGTGAATTTGGTGGCCTTTAAGTAGCTAAGCATACTTGGGAAGAAATTAGCATTTCGCATTTTAAGGCGTATTTTCCGTGGCGTACACACACGTGATGCGTTAGTGTTGTGTTCTAAGCTTCCTGGGTTTGCTGATGCTTTCTGGTTGCAGATTGAATCGTTTGGGTTTTTTTTGTTTTTGTTTTTTTGTTTTTTGAGACGGAGTCTCGCTCTGTCTCCAGACTGGAGTGCAGTGGCACCATCTCTGCTCGCTGCAACCTCCGCCTCCCGGGTTCAAGCAATTCTCCTGCCTCAGCCTCCCGAGTAGCTGGGACTACAGGCGCACGCCACCACGTCCAGCTGATTGTTGTATTTTTGGTAGAGACGGGGTTTCACCATGTTGGCTAGGATGGTCTCGATCTCTTGAGCTCGTGATCTGCCAGCCTCGGCCTTCCAAAGTGCTGGAGTTACAGGCGTGAGCCACCATGCCCAGCCTGATCGTTTCTTTGGGAAAAACTATTGAGTGAGGAAAGCGTGGCTGCCGTGTGCACAGAGCCCAGGCTTCCTTGGTGCTGCCCCCCGTCGGGGTGGAGGGCAGGCAGCCCGGCCTTCGGGTTGCTCGGCCACACACCAGCTGCAGTGGGACAGCGTCCCGCAGAGCGCAGGGAGGCCCTGGAGGGTGCGGGTGTGGGAGGGAGGAGGCGTCCAGCAGGCATGAGGGTCTTTGAGAGACACAGCTGGGTCTTGGTGGCAGCCTCCATAGTGAAAAAATGAAAAAAGTGCAGATGGTACAGGGGCTGCAGGGCCGGTGCGGGTCAAGGAAGGGGAAAGTGGAGAAGCCCAGCCAGGGGACCACCGGCGGTGTGGGGGAGGATGTCCAGGGAGCTGACGGCAAGGGTTGGTGAGAAGTCTGAGGTGCTGTCTAGGGTGGCTGGGAGGCAGGTGGCAGGCTGAGAGGCAGCATCAGAGTCTGGAGTTTCAAGTCTAGGGAGCAGTTTTGTGGAATGAGGGTGGGGCTGGGGTTCCTCCTGCCCCAGGCCAGTCAAGTGCTGCTGAGGGCTGGGGTCAGCTTCGGCTGCTGGTGCTCTCGTGAGTCGACAGGACCACAGGAGTCCCATGCTGCCACTCTCCTGCTCCGCCAGGTTACAAGGGGCCACCTTCCTGGAGTGAAGTGAGCCACTCTGAGAGAATGAATGATTCTGGGGACGGCAGTTCTGGATTTCTGAGCTGGACAGCTTCAGGAAAAACTGTGGGAGGTGGGGCCGTGGCACAAACGTGATGGGAGGGTGGAAAGGCTCTGAGCACTCACTCAGCGTCTCGGCCGTCTCCAGGCGTTTTCGGTTTTGTTGTTTTAACTTTTTTCAACCAGCAGATACTGAGTTGTCTTTTCATTATTATTGAATTCTTTTTTAAAACAGAGATGGGGTCTTGCTGTGTTGCCCGGTCTCATCTTGAACTCCTAGGCTCAGGCGATCCTCCCATCTCGGCTTCCCAAAGTGCTGGGATTACAGGCGTGAGACATGGCGGCCGGCCAGATACTGAGTTCTTAGCATGGCCAGACACTGCTTTAGGTCAGAGCTTCCCAACTGGAGTGATTCTGCTCCCCAGGGGACACTTGGCCCTGTCTGGACAGTTTTAGTTGTCACAGCTGGAGCAGGGGTACGGCTGGCATCCAGCGGGGGAGGCGAGGATGAGCTGCTCAGCATCCCGAGACCCAGAGGACAGTCCCTCCCACAGGTGGGGGGTGGGCGGGGGGGGGGCGCGACGTACCCGGCTTTCAAAGTGCTTGTCGTCGCCACCTAAGAGCTAGCGTTTCCTCGTTTGTAGATTTTACTTTCAGGGCGGAGGGCCACTTTAGCATTGGTGCAGAAAGATCTCCAAGCTCTACGAATATACGCATAGGATCCTGCCCTCTTCGAAAAAGGAGGAATGTGTATTCACGTTTTCTCGTTTGCGCGTTTCAGGTTCTCTGGAGGGATAGACACTGAACGGATGATGGTAGTTGTCTATGGGGTGAGGGAACAGGTTTATGAGGAAGGCATTTCTGCATCTCTTTTTATGCTTTTGAATTTTTTAATCATGTGATATTAAACATAGTTAAGAACTTTTATTATAAAGAATTGAAAGAGGCCGGGCGTGGTGGCTCACGTCTGTAATCCCATTACTTTGGGAGGTTGAGGCTGGCAGATTGCTTGAGGCCAGGAGTTCGAGACCAGCATGGCCAACGTGGCGAGACCCTGTCTCTACTAAAAGTAACAAAAATTAGCTGGGCCTGGTGGCGAGCGCCTGTAGGCCCAGTTACTCGGGAGGCTGAGGCGGACGCAGAGGTTGCAGTGAGCCGAGATTGTGCCACTGCATTCCAGCCTAGGTGACAGAGTAAGACCCTGTCTCAAAAAAGAAAAAGAAAAAAGAAAAAAAAGAAAAGAGAAATTAATTATGAAGAGGTCTTAGAAAATAAATCTCCAAACCCACTTATAGTCACAGATAATAATTGGGCGTACAGGTATATGTCTTTCCAGTCATTCTTTCTGTGCATTTTATAGCTGTTTGCGTGGCTTTTATGCCATTCGAGTCACGTTGGACAAGCAGTTTTGAGCCCTGCATGATTATATAATGGGCGCTTCCCCAGGTCATTGGAATGACTTGTGGGTGTCTTGATCAGTGTGTGGTTTTCTGTCGCATGAACAGATTGTGGTTCATGGGCCTGTTTCTGTACTGTTGTGCGTTGAAGGGGTTTCCATGGATTCACACACTGGCGTGTGTCTGATGCGCCACCCAACCTGCATGGGCAGGAGGAGGTCTCTTTGCCTGGGGTCAGGGTGGGGGTGCCCTGTTCTCCCTCTAGTGGGCGAGACGGGGTCTGCTGGGCTGAGTGAGAGGCCGCCCTGAATTCCTCGGTGTGGATTTCAGGAAGTGGCATGACTTGTTCTAACTGAACGTTTATTTGATACGCCCTTGGTACATGTGTTTTCCAGAAGTGTAATACTGGCTTCCCCTTCCATTTTTGTATCGTATTAAAAAATACGTAAATTCTAAAGTAAGTGTTTATGATAAAACATTCGATAATTCACAGAGGTGAAAAGCTACCCCCAGAATCCCTTTCTGCTTGAATTCCACGCTCTGGAGAGGACCCCGTGAGGGTCCAGGCACAGCTCTGCCCCCGGCACCCCTCTTCTCTCTGCTGCTTCCACACTGAAAGGCGGAGGCTCTGCTGCCTGTTTTCTTTTGTTGCTCCCCATTTTAACTAAACACTAAAGAAAGTCAAGTGTGAACGTCGCGGTCATTCATTTCGCCTGTGCCGCACTTTCCTGCCCCGGCGAGCCCTCCGCCAGCACTGACCGGAGGGCGCTTCCTTCAGCTTTCTGGGTTGTCTCACTGGAACAGGGTCAGCCCCATTCCCTCCCATCCTGCCCCCTGCCTGGTCTGTAGCCACGTGGTGCCAGGAGTGAGCTCTGCTCTGCTTCAGGATGACAGGCGTGTGTGGACGTTGGTAAGCCCTGTTGGAAGCCGCGAAGCTTTGGGCACAGCTGAACGACCGCCGGTGCCTGCCGCGTGCACACCCTCTGGGCCCAGGCCGCAGGGAGGCTTCTCCAGAGGGCGGGTTCCCCACCCTCACACCCAACTGGTCTGAAAGGATAGAAGCGCATTAGAGGTGAAACTGGGGCCTTGGAGACAGAGTGGGAAATGGACTGGGCTTGTCGCTTGTATTTTACACATGTCTTTGTTTGTTTGTTTGTTTCCCCTACCTTAAAGTTCAGACCTTTGGGCTCTTGGATGCATAATATACCAGCTTGTGGCAGGACTCCCACCATTCCGAGCTGGGTAAGGAGACGGCGTTGCCTGGGCCTTGGAGCCTGTTGGGGTGCACCCCACCGGCCGGCAGTCCCTCCCAGCCTCGAGGTGGGTGGGGGAGGGCAGCACTTGGTGCCGTGCCCAGGTGGGGGGCTCTCGGCGTGCGGGGCCGGGGTGCGTTTGCCGTGCTGCGAGTCCGGGGCGCTCATCCCTGCGTGTGGAGGCTTCTGGGACCCTGCCTGGGATGACTTTTTTTTTCTTAAATTTTTACAGAAACGAGTATCTTATATTTCAGAAGATCATTAAGTTGGAATATGACTTTCCAGAAAAATTCTTCCCTAAGGCAAGAGACCTCGTGGAGAAACTTTTGGTAAATATCGTGAATTTCCTTTTAGAAAGGTGATCCGGGACACCCTGAGTCCTCTGAACCTGCTTTCTGAGTGGCTTTCCTGGAGGCTCCCGTGTTCACAAAAAATGGTGTTTTTAGGGTTAACAGTGAGTGTGGATCATTACACCTAGTCTCGCCAGACACATTGGCTCACGCCTGTCACCCCAGCACTTTGGGAGGCTGAGGCAGGTGGATCACCTGAGGTCAGGAGTTTGAGACTAGCCTGGCCTCTATGGTGAAACCACGTCTCTAGTAAAAATATAAAAATTAGCCGGGCATGGTGGCGGGCGCCTGCGATCTCAGCTACTTGGGAAGCTGAGGCAGGAGAATGGTGTGAACCCGGGAGGCGGAGGTTGCAGTGAGTCGAGATCGTACCACTGCACTCCAGCCTGGGCGACAGAGCGAGAGTCTCAAACAAACAAACAAACAAACAAAACCCAAACGTTTTGAGTACTTATTGTCACTTCTCAGTATCTGCTGGAGAGCACCCCGTACTGTTCCCCGCCCCCCCGCCCCCTCCATCCACCGCAGAGCAACTGGACGGGGAGGCAGGCCCTGGGATCCTGTGCTGCCCCTCAAGGCTCGGCCCCTTTCCTCGCACAGGTGAAAAGGAATCTCAGTCTCAAAACACAATGAACAGCAGCAAGGATTCTTTTACAGTGTATAGTTAAAAATCCTAAAACAAGAAACACTGAGTAATTAACAAAGGGAGCGAATCATCACTGGGACCAGCACGCTCCTGCGCTTGTGGAGTGGGTGTCGCTGGGACCCTCGAAGGCCGCAGAGCTGTCTCCTCCAGGGACTGATCAAGCCCACACCCCAGCCCAGGGGAAAGAGGTGAGACAGGTTGGGAGAAGCCAGTGGCTGTGGAGCCTAGCGATCCCGGGGCCACCTGCAGGGGCAGGACTGAGCCCGCTCCCAGAGTCGTGGTAAGGAGGGACGTCCAGGGCCAAAAGCACAGGAAGGTCAGGAGACTTCTGTTTCTAGAATATAAACTGATACACCTTTCCCAGGCTAACCTCTCTTCTCTGTTTTACCTGGGCTGGTCGTTCGAATTTTCATGTAGCTGACTCTAAAGCTGAAATGTACAGATGTCACGAACTAGGGTCTGCAGCCATCTGCGCTGTCATAACCCCAGTCGCTCCAGCACCAGTAACTTAAAATGCTGTGCAGTGTTGAGCAAATGCTAAATGGTACAGTAATTTCCGTTGATTTCTAAATTTTAGTTTCTTTTATTATTCCTGCTACAGTCATTTCCTGTCAAGAATCAGGCACTTGGAAATGGAAAGGGACTTATGATGAGATGAGATAAATATATATTTTTTTTTTTTTTTGGAGATGGAGTTTTGCTCTCGTCGCACAGGCTGGAGTGCCATGGTGCGATCGTGGCTCACCGCAAATTCTGCCTCCCGGGTTCAAGCGATTCTCCTCCCTCAGCCTCCCGAGTAGCTGGGATTATAGGCGTGCACCACCACGCGCAGCTGATTTTTATATTTTTAGTAGAGACGGGTTGTCACCATGTTGGCCGGGATGGTTTCGAACTCCTGACCTCAGGTGATCTGCCCGCCTCAGCCTCCCAAAGTGCTGGGATGACAGGCATGAGCCACCGTGCCCGGCTACCAGGTTTGGGTTTCTTTGGTCAGAATCACGTTTTCACCCTGGCAGTGACTTGTCTTGATTGTTACTTAAGGTTTTAGATGCCACAAAGCGGTTAGGCTGTGAGGAAATGGAAGGATACGGACCTCTTAAAGCACACCCGTTCTTCGAGTCCGTCACGTGGGAGAACCTGCACCAGCAGACGCCTCCGAAGCTCACCGCTTACCTGCCGGCTATGTCGGAAGACGACGAGGACTGCTATGGCAATGTAAGCTGGCCGGGATGGCGGGCGAGGCAGGTGGCACTGGGTCCTCCGTGCACTGGGCTTCATGCCCGTGCGCCAGACCCACGTGTGATTTGTAGCCGAAAGGGGAGGGTGTCTGTGCCACTGCGGCAGGCCTGCTGGTGGTTGTAGTCTTTGCTGCCGTGAGGCAGTGGCGGGTGAGGTGCTGGGTGGGTCATTTTCTCCTCATTTCCGTGGCCGTGGACAGGCTAGTGAGTTTCCACCCACAGGGTGCCGCTAGAACCGGACGCCGAGCACCCCCGGCACTGGCCCCGGGGTCCCACGTACGGGGCCTCCTGCCCGGCCTGTCGCATCTGCGCTTGGCTTGGTGCTTGTACAACTGTGCGGCCAAGATGCTCCAGAACACTGCCTGTCTTTCCACAGAAACCCCCGAGTGTTGTGTGCTTGAACTTTTGGGACGTGGCGTTGGTGGGGACACTGGTACCTTCTTCAGTGCTGAGTAGGCTCTGAGGCTGCTGGTCTCCCAGCTTGACCACAGCCATGGGGTCTTCAGCACGCTTGGCTCTTTAAGCTTCTCGTAGAGAGCGTGGACCATGTGCCCAAGGGACCGAGGGTGTTGTGAGAGGCAGGCATGTCGCCCACTTCAGCCTTGTTTCCTCTGAGTTCCTCTTGCCACCTCCCCCGTGACCCCCTCGTACTTAAGTGCTGTTATCATGAGATCCATTTTTCTGGTTTGACTTCTGTCGCCATGGCTTATTCTAACTGGCACCGTGTACGGAGTTCCACTTTCCATGACTGAGGAAGTCCAGATTTTGTTTGTTTTGAGACAGGGTCTTGGTGTGTCACTCAGGCTGGAGTGTAGTGGCGCGATCTCGGCTCACTGCAACCTCTGCCGCTGTGGGTTCAAGCGATTCTCCTGTCTCGCCCTCCCGACTAGCGGGAACTGCAGGTGTGCACCACCATGCCCGGCTAATTTTTGTATTTTTAGTAGAGACAGGGTTTCGCCGTGTTGGCCAGGCTGGTGTGGAACTCCTGACCTCAAGTGATCTACCCGCCTCGGCCTCCCAAACTGCTGGGGTTTTAGGCATGAGTTACTGCACCCAGCTGGGAATTCTAGATTTTATCTAAAAGTCATCCACAGCTAAATTTCTGCTAGTGTCAAAGTTTCCCAACGCCCCTACCTGCTGTGTAACGCCCCTCATCCTCCCGACATCCTTTGAGCCCAAACTCTAAGGGAGCCAGGCTTGGGGAGCGGAGTCTGTGCCGCTTGATGTGGCCACCTGCAGCTTTCATGTATGCAGAGGCCTGGGAGCCTCGAGGCCCTTGCCCCCACCCTGTGTGCCACTCAGCTGCTCCTGCGTGGTGTTTGGTTACGGCTGGCAGGTGCCACGGGGCTGCAGTGCTCTCCCTGCTGGGCCTGCTGTTGCTGCAGAGGTTTTGCTCGCGACTGGCTGGTGGCCGTTCTCCCGTGGGCTCTGTGCTCCATTGCTCCCAGGGAGGTAGCTGGGCTCTGAAGGAGCAGCACAGGCTTCAGTTGTCTCCAGTCTCAATGCCTGGGGAGCTTCTCTGAGTGTGGGGGTGTGTGTGCTTGCACTTGCCGCATACCTGTGCAGGCCCCTGTGCCTGGGCCTACTGAGAGCTGGGGCTGCTTGATACGTGGCTTCTGTTGCCGTCTGTGAAGCCAGGCTCCATTTGTTGGCAGCCGCCTGTTAGATGGCCCATCCTTAGCTCTGCACAGCTGTGTGGTTTGAAAGCCTTGGAGTGGGTCCAGGCAGGGAGCTCCCAGGCCAGACCTCACACGGGGACAGTGAGTGAGTCTTGGCAAACGGTGTCAAGCATGGAAGGAGACTTCAGGGCTGTACCTCCTCCCTCCCTGCAGGGCCGCACCCCCTCCTTCATGGGGAATGGGCACTGGGCGTCCCCTTCAGCCAGGGAGGTTGGCCATGGTACCTGCCCTTGGGCCAAGGCAGGAGAGCAGGTGCTTCGTTGGCTCCTGCTCTCCTGAGGTCCTGTAAGTGCCGGGGCAGTGTGACCATTGGGCAGTGTTGGAGACAAGCAGGCTGGGCAGGCCCACACCCCGTGGAGGGGTCGGCGTGGAGGGGCCGGCGTGGAGGGGCCGGCAGCGTCGGGCGTTTCCACCATGCCCGTTGGCGAGCACCTTGCTCCAGCCCAGCTGGGTGCGAGGCTTTAGGGCTGTGAGGCGGGGCTGTGGTGCAGCTGTAGGAGTGTGAACACATGGGGGACGCTGCATGTGTGGATGGTTGCGTGGGGCAGCAGCCAGGGCCTGCGTCTGGAGGCACGGAGGACGTGGAAGGGCATGCCGCACTCTTATCCTAGCCATTGCTCGTGGCACCTTTTCTTTCCCCTTGTCCTTGGCCTCCACAGAGCTCAGATGTGGGGCCTGCAGCCGGGGAGGTGGCTTCCCTTGCCCAGGGACTCTCTGGCCTTGGCAGTGCCAGGAGCGTGTTAGTGCACAGGCTGTGTCCGCTTGGCACGTTTATGAGTGAGTTTCCGTTGTCGACACTAGCTTGTCTTTTTCCTAGAGTAACAGGCAGCGTTATCTACAGTAAGTTTAGTTTATCTTTGCTGGGATTAAGAGGAATGTCTTTTAAACAATTGAATGTGTTTAGTCAAATCAAAATATTTAGCATCTACCACAGACTCAGACTCCTAAGACACCTGGGGCCCAACAAGGTCTTGCACGGAGGCCCTGTCTGCCAGCCTGTGTGATGGATCTGCCACCAGGCCTCCTTGGGCCCCTTCTCTTCCCAGCAGGCATCCCAGCCCCCACCTCCGGGGGGCAGCACTGGCATTCACGGGGCCCGCAGGGTAAGGGCCCAGGTCCCCTCTTCCTGGAGAGGAAATCTGAGGCTTCGCCCCTCTCTGGCCCTGATTCCCATGGGAAGAGGAGCCCGACCAGGCAGGATCCAGTGAGGCCTCGGTTCTGTGGCCAGGTGTCCCATGGAGGAGAATCAGGGCTGCCCACCCTGTCGCCTTGCGCCTTGCTGTGTGCGAGCTCCCAAGGCCTGACAGCGGCAGTGCGGGAGGGGCTGGGGTTTTAGGACCTTAGAGGCAAGTGAAGGTGCGGTTCTCACTTTCCCTTCTTCTCTGCAGTATGACAATCTCCTGAGCCAGTTTGGCTGCATGCAGGTGTCTTCGTCCTCCTCCTCACACTCCCTGTCAGCCTCCGACACGGGCCTGCCCCAGAGGTCAGGCAGCAACATAGAGCAGTACATTCACGATCTGGACTCGAACTCCTTTGAACTGGACTTACAGTTTTCCGAAGATGAGAAGAGGTTGTTGTTGGAGAAGCAGGCTGGCGGAAACCCTTGGTAAGAACTTATGGACATAAGCAATGCTTTTTGCAGAATTGCAGCGTGAACACGTGGGGGCTTATGGTGGGTGCCTTTGCCTTGTCACTGCCTCCCTCAGCAGCCTTGGACGCTTGGCCAAGGAGCACATCGTAAGTGCACAGTTGGAAACAGGTGCTTAGGAGGCAGCCGGCCCAGGGGCTGAGTGGGTTGTGACCGCCGGGCGCTCCCCTCCTCTGCCGGGCATTTGGACCTGCTGGTTGTGGCCATGGAGTCACTGTGGTATGGACAGACGCGGCCTGGACCTGGCCACTTGGGAGTTTATGAGGTTTGCTGTTGTAGCCCCTCTTTTCCACATAGCTTTCCCCACTTGTCCATTTATGTCTTCTAAGGTGAGTGCCAGGGGCAGTGTGTGATGGAGGGCGTGCGTGTTTTCAGGGCTGGGGATCTGTCGCGGGGGCGCCAGGAATCTGCCTTTCCCAATGCTCTTGCCTGCCTGAGAGTGTTTTGATGCTCCAAAAACAAACTTGTGAATTTCTGTTTTATTCCTATTGAGGCAGATGTCTCCTGTGTTCATGACCATTTGTGTTTCTTTTTTGAGGTACTTTGTGTCCTTTGACTATTCTTTCTTGTATATTTTGCATCTTTTTTTTTGAGACAGAGTGTTGCTCTGTCACCCAGGCTGGAATGCAGTGGCGCGATCTCAGCTCACTGCAACCTCTGCCTCCTGGGTTCAAGCAATTCTCCTGCCTCAACCTCTCAAGTAGCCGGAATTACAGGCACCTGCCACCACACCTGGTTAATTTTTGTATTTTTTGATAGAGACAGGCTTTCCCTGTGTTGGCCAGGCTGGTGCCTCTTTTTAACATGGATTTTTAAAAGCCACGTGTATGGAGACTATTCCTTGTTGTATGTTTTGCAAACATTCTTCAGTTTCTCTCCAGTCTCGATACTGTGTTTTTGTATGGAAGCTGCAAATTCTTACCAAGTCCATCCTGTCCCTATTTATATTTTATGTTTTCCATTTTAATCTGGTAAGACGGGCTTCCCCCCTAATATTTTTACCTGCTTTTCCCTTTTGTGTGGGCAGAGAGGAGCCCAAGGGGGTGGGGAGAGGGCCTTGCAGGAAGGCATGCTGGAGTGGAAGCACAAGACGAGGGGGAGTTGAGGGCCTGGCTAGGCAGGGACAGGACACATGTGACTTGAGAGACTTGTGGGGAGGAATGAGAGGAAGGAGCTGAGCTCTGGGCCGCCCCGGCAGGTGGGGAAGACCACGGCTCTATGCGGTTCGCCACACCTGTCTCTAGAAAACCTGTGCAGAGATGCTGGCAGGCAGCAACAGTCTACAGCTAGGGGCTCTGAATCACACCTAGTGTGATTGCTAGAGATGTTAATGTGTACTGAGCAGGAGAGGAGGGCTCTTGATGGGAGCAATCTGAGCCGTGCTGTGCTGCGCAGCTCCAAGCAGCAAGGAGGCGTGTGCCTGGCTATGCAAGGAGCTTCCCGGGCTCGTGTGTGCTGGGGTCCCCACGAAGGGCTGCTGTGGCCACTCCAAGTACTTGGCCAGGAGCGCTCTCTCTGCAGATCCCAGCTGAGAGGTGCTGTCTGCAGGTGTGTGTGTGTTTCAGCTCCTTTGGTGACTCCCAGAAGAGGCCCCTCTGCCTGGGGCTGTTCTTAGAGGGCCTTGGGGTCCGTCTGGGTACCTTAGCCTGGTGATGGCGGCAAGTCAGGATACACATTCTCCTGCCTGCTTCCTTTGTCTTCAGGTTTCTCTTTCCCCTTCCCACTTCCTTCAGATTTTAGGTCCTTTTGGGAAGCTGATGACTCCTGAGATCTTGCAGGATCTGTCTGGCTGCTGGGAGGTCTGTCCAGCACCTGCTCTTTACAGTAGTGGTTTGCATTCTCAGTGTGTGGCCACCAAATCCCCGAGGTCAGGGCAGTTTTTTTTGTAATACTAAGATGTTATTTGCCTTTTTGCTGTCATTCTCTGTGCGTGTATGGTGAGTTTTTCAGTGGTCACATGCTGTAGAATGGAATCTGCGTGCTTTTGGTCTTTTCTAAGGTCATAGGTTTTTGGTATCAATATGTTTTGTTTTTTAAATGAGAGAGAGTCTTGCTCTGTCGCCCAGGCTGGAGTGCAGTGGCGTGATCTCTGCTCACACAACCTCCGCCTCCTGGGTTAAAGTGATTCTCCTGTCTCAGCCTCCTGAGTAGCTGGGATTACAGGCACATGCCACCACGTCCAGCTAATTTTTGTATTTTTAGTAGAGAAGGGGTTTCACCATGTTGGCCAGTCTGGTTTCGAACTCCTGACCTCGAGTGATCTGCCCACCTCGGCTTCTCAAAGTGCTGGGATTTCAGGTGTGAGCCACCGCGCCAGCCAATGTATGCATTTTTTGAGATTAATATTCAATATTTCTACTGAGCTCTTACTATCTCTTCATTTATACCTGCTATAGCCTCTGTAATTTTATCATCCACTGAATCATTATTTTGAAATCCTGAAGTTTTCCTTGTGCCTACATGAGAATACGGTAAGTTAAGTTCAGGATCACACCTGTAATCCCAGCACTTTGGAGGCCAAGGTGGGTGGATCACTTGAGCCAGGAATTCGAGAGCAGCCTGGGCAAGAAACTGAAACCCTGTCTCTACAAAAAATACAAAAATCAACCAGGCATGGTGCTGCACACCTGTAGTCCTAGCTGCTTGGGGAGGTTGAGGTAGGAGGATTACCTGAGCCTTGGAAGTTGAAGCTGCAGTGAGCAGAGAGCTTGCCACTGCCCCCCAGCCTGGGTGACAGAGTGAGACCCTGTCTCAAAATTGGAAAAAAAAAAAAAAAAAAGGTAAAAGGAATTTTTAAATTTACATGGAATAGTTTACACTTAAAAGGAACATTTCAAAAATATGTGTGATGAGCTCTTTAAAATCCAATGTTGTTTGTAACAGCTTTTCAGACAATAAATTAAAGAGTCACTGAAGCTCTTAGAAGCTGCATTGTAGAGGCTGGAGAGGCCACACGGTAGCTGAGAGACAAAGCCTCCGGCTGCAGCACAGCCTCAGGCTTGGTCATCCTGTGCTGCCACAGTCCACAATGCAGTCGAAACTTGCTGGATTCAAGATACGACTGCAGGCACGAAGAGGGAGTTGACATGTCTGCTGCTGAGTTGTGCTTTTGCCTCACAGTGGATGAGTCTACAGACAGCCTGGACCTGTCGCTTGGCCTGTGTCCCCTGGCTTCTCATCACGGATGATGTTCTTTTTTTTTTGAGGCGGAGTCTCCCTCTGTCGCCCAGGCTGGAGTGCAGTGGAGTGATCTCTGTTCACTGCAACCTCTACCTCCTGGGCTTAAGCAGTTCTCCTGCCTCAGCCTCCCAAGTAGCTGGGATTACCAGGTGTGTGCCACCGTGCCTGGCTCATTTTTGTATTTTTAGTGAAGACAGGGTTTCACTATGACTTGAGGCCATGGCACCAAGCAGTGCCAGGGCAATAGTCATATCTTCACAGCACTCACCCACAGGAAGAGAGAGAGGAAAGAAACCAGTCTCGCTTCTGAGCCTTTGTTAAAAATGTTGAATGTTGTGAATACTTTGTGGGATGAAGTGGGAAGTATACAGAAGGGCACTCAATTCTGCCGCAAACATGAGTGTGCAGCCATCTCAGGGGAGACACGCTTGTGGCTGTTGGCCTGCTGTCCTCGCGGAGCGTCTGGCTGACGGGCAAACCGCCGTTATGCAGACTTAGCTATTTGGCCAGTATTTTTCTTGAAAATGATTGGAATGAGCTTGTTACTTTAAGGAAAACAACTGCCTGTATTTATGTCAGTGATAACATTGAAACCTTCAAGTGAAAATTGGAATTTTGGAAAACTTTATTCATTACTGTGAGCCTGATACCTTCCCAATAAAAGACTTTTTTTAGCTATGTTTTTTTGTTTGTTTATATTATTTTTTAAAAAGAAAGAGACAAGCTCTCACTATGTTACCCAGGCTGGTCTCGAACTGCTGGGCTGAAGCATTCCTCTCGCTTATGACTTCCCAAAGTGGTGGGATTACAGGCGTGAGCTACTGCACCAGGCCAAAAGTCTTTTTTTTTTTTTTTTTCTGTTTTTGAAACGGAGTCTCATTCTGTCGCCCAGGCTGGAGTGCAGTGGCACAATCTCAGCTCACTGCAACCTCCGCCTCCCAGGTTCAAGCATTTCTCCTGCCTCAGCCTCCCGAGGAGCTGGGATTACAGGCGTGTACCACCACACCCGGCTGAGTTTTGTGTTTATAGTAGAGACGTGGTTTCACCATATTGGTCAGGCTGGTCTCAAACTCCTGACCTCAAGTGATTCACCTGCCTCGGCCTCCCAAAGTGCTGGGATTAGAGGCCAAAAGTCATTTGATACATAGTGATATCCATGAATTGATCTGTGGAAACCGTAGAATGAAATTTGTCAACGTTTGGAAGCTTTACATCATTCAGCCCCCATGTATGACCCTATGAAATCACATGAGGGTAGAAGAGCCCCTAGTGCAGGGTAGATTGATGGTTTTTAGTGTCACGGTGTGTGGAAATGTATTGTTACGAGTCAGATTTCACATTGCAACCGAGCTTTAAGCAGCCACCACCTTCTGAACTGCAGTGTAGTGTCCAAGAAGAATATCCACAAACATCTACACTTATTCTTAGCCAAAAGGCCAGGAAGTGACTCCAGTCTCTAAAAAGGCTGAGTATACTCCTCCCTTTTCTAGCTGTTTATCTGAGTGAGGCTGGGTGTTTGCCGTGTTCTTCCGCCTGAACACAGATCTCAGCAGAGTATGGGCGCAGGTGGATGCGGGGACCCAGCACTCTCCTTATCAGCCGAACAGGAGAGGCCTGTGCAGCGCACAGAGTGGCACACTCTCCTCATTCATTATTTTTGTTTTGGAAAGTAGTTATTTTAAAAATAAAAGTAATGTATGTTAATAGTAATGGGTTTATTGTATTTTAATGAATTAAACATTTGAAAATGTCTCAGTTTTAATTTCCTGCGTAGTACATATCAGTTGATCTGAAAGCTCTTTGGGGTCTTCCACAGAGGTAAAGAGTGTGAGGGGCCATAGGACTGGAAGGTTGGAGAGGAAACCTGGGGCCCGTCCGCCATTGCCACTGGCTCCCGCCCTTACTGGCAGTGAAGCTGAGCCTGCAGAGCCCTCCCGAGGGGTGGAAAAGCCTCCAGCGGGGCTCTGGGTCCTTGCTGGGGCTCTCCTGGGCGTGGCAGGTGCTTTGCCAGTGGCTTTGGGCTTGGATCCTTGACAATGCTCTTTTTGGGGTCTGGGTGAGGGAGGGTGGAGGAGGTGGCAAGAACCTGCGCTTTGGCATCGGGAAAGGGGGTTTTCTATGGTCACCCCTTGTGGATTGCCCTGCATCCTCCTCTGTGCAGAGGTGGGGAGAGGTGTCGCCTGTTTTGAGGGAGCCAAGATGGCGGTGTATGAGAGTGAGGTGCCTCGGGAAAGTCCCGTGTGCATGGCGAGTAGTTAGGTGTGTCTCCAGGTCTTCAGCTCTTGCCCAGCCTCCCAGGGAGGAAAGGGCTCTCAGGGCAGGGGATTTTCTGCAGGAGACAGTAGAAAATCAAGGTGATTGCAGCCTGGCCAACATGGTGAAACCCTGTCTCTACTAAAATTACCAAAAATTAGCTGGGCCTACTGGTGGGTACCTGTAATCCCAGCTACTCAGGAGGCTGAGACAGGAGAATCGCTTGAACCCAGGAGGCAGAGGTTACACTGGGCCAAGATTGTGCCATTGCCCTCCAGACTGGGCAACAGAGCGAGACTCTGTCTTAAAAAAAAAAAAAATCAAGGTGATTCCTGGAAGTGCTCACAGCAAGGAGCTGTTTCTGTCGTGAGCTGGCAGGTGAATCCGCTGCACACACGCTGTGCTCTAGATGCCGCCAGTGGAGCTTTGCCCGCAGTCTCTGTCCATGCACCCTGGGCCACCGGGGAGTGGAATTGTCCATTTCATTGTCTCTCTCAGGGGATGCTGGCGCGGGGGTGGGTGGCGCCTGTCCGTGGGGCCCTTGCCTGCCTCCCCGTGGTGCTGGCGTGTTCTGTCACTGAGCCACTCTGGGGCTTCAGTGTCCCTGGCATGGGTGACACTGCTGGGAGTGCCTCTGGGCTCCTTGCCTGTGGCCTTTTTTTTTCTCAGGATGGATTTCTGGAAGCGAGGCTACTTCTCAGTACTATTTCCGAATCGCTTCCTCAGTGAGTCCTCCCCAGGCTGCAGGTGCCGAGCGGGAGCACCACTCCTGCACGCCCGTGCCTGTGGCATGCCCAGATGATCAGGGTGGAGCGGCCCAGCTCAATGTCTTCATTTAGGGCCATTGAGAGTTTCTTGTGTCACTGAATTCCTCTTCTGGGAATTTTTAGTTTGTGTCATTTTGTTGAGTTTTCTGTTGGGTTCCAAGCCTCTCGTGGCACTGTGAATTTGCTGTGGGGTGCAGCTGATGGCCCATGGCGGCTGTATCTGGAAGTCCTTTCCCGCCCCAGCTGTGGTCCTGGTGGTTTTTTAGGTGGAGGTGGTTTCGTCCTCTTTCCGTGGCTCCCACAGCTCAGTGCTGGGCTGCTGTTCTCGCTCTCAGCCAGGAAGGCGGCCCCTCCCACACAGGTTGCAGGGATGGGCTGCTGTGTTCTTCTGGTTTTTCTCTCCTTCGAGTTGGTATTTTAAACCATGCATCTCATCACCTCTTCTGGCACTTGCTGGCGTGTGGTGAAAGCTGAGGATGGGGAGAGGCCGTGGGGCCCTCTCCGTCCTCATCTGCCTGCAAGAGCTCTGACTGGCCTGGGCTCAAAGGGACCCTGTGCCTCCCACGCTGCCTGCCCCGGTGTAATTTATGATGAATTTTCCTTTGTTGTTCCTCTGCGCTGTTGCCTGGTCACAGGCCTGTCTGTCAGAGTGGCTTCCTGCCGGCTCTGTGGTCCCTCCAGGCATTTCTGTGCTCTATGCTTTCTGTGCTGTGGTGGGTCTTCCTCATCACATGTCCTTTTCAGGAACCTCCTTGATCTGTTTCTCTTTGTTTTAATACCCACATTGTGTGTGTTTGCAGGCGAAGTCCCTGGTGCGAGAGGAGGGCTGCACTTGCCCGCATGCCACACACTCCTCTTGCTTCAGACCCACAGGATGGGATGTGTGTGTGAGGCCAGGCCCTGGGTCCTCCCTCTTGGGGCAGGCCTGGGCACTGATCTGCCCAGGTCTGGGTGGGTCAGATGGTGGGGCTGGGTAAGCCCTGGGGGAAGATGCTGTGCCCCCAACTCGGCCAGTCCGGTCTTCTCACAAGTGCTGTTGGCCCTGTGTGCAGCCAGGCAGGCGTGTGGATGTGCTCAGATATTGATTTGATCATCTTATGCCTTCTTCAAATATAAAACATATTATTGGCCGGGGGTGGTGGCTCATGCCTGTAATCCCAGCACTTTGGGAGGCCTAGGTGGGTGGATCACAAGGTCAGGAGATTGAGACCATCCTGGCTAACATAGTGAAACCCCATCTCTGCTAAAAATACAAAAAATTAGCTGGGCGTGGTGGTGCGCACCTGTAGTCCCAGCTACTTGGGAGGCTGAGGCAGGAGCATCAATCACTTGAATCCGGGAGGCAGAGGTTGCAGTGAGCCAGGATGGCACACCACTGCACTCCAGCCTGGGCGACAGAGCGAGACTCTGTCTCAAAAAAACCAAACAAACAAACAAACTGCATATTATTTCTATAGTAGAACCTCAGATCAGGAATTTCCGTAAGATCAGATAGAACACAAACCAGTAACTGTTAGCTTTAACCACATGAGGTAAACTGCAGACATTAAAATAGTATCTTGGGGCCGGGCGCGGTATCTGATGCCTGTAATCCCAGCCCTTTGGGAGGCCGAGGCAGGCGGATCACTTGAGGTCAGGAATTCGAGATCAGCCTGGCCAACAGGGTGAAACCCCATCTCTACTAAAAATACAAAAAAATTAGCCTGGCGGGCACAGTGGCTCACGCCTATAATCCCAGCACTTTGGGAGGCCGAGGCGGGTGGATCACAAGGTCAGGAGATCGAGACCATCCTGGCTAACACGGTGAAACCCCGTCTCTACTAAAGATACAAAAAAAATTAGCTGGGCATGGTGGTGTATGCCAGTGGTCCCAGCTATTCGGGAGGCTGAGGTGGGAAAATGGCTTGAGCGCAGGAGATTGAGGCTACAGTGAGCTATGGTGGCGCCACTGCTCTCCAGCCTGGGTGACGGAGCAAGACTTTGTCTCTAAAAACAAAAATCTCTTGAACTTTTAGGAATCAAAAGTGACGTGTGCTTGCTAATAATGTATATTAAATTAAAGCCTCTATGTGAATCTTGCTCTTTGAATTTCTGCCGTCTCTGAATAAAAGTGTTTTACTATGATGGAAAAACCAGAGGAGATGTTCTTACGTCCAACTTGGGTCTGTCAGAGCTTTGTGATTATAAACGGCTCTGTGGATCCTGAGCACTGAATCAGGGGCCCCAGCTTGTGGGGTAACTTGAGGGCGATCATCTCATCCAGTTGTTGACTCCGCGGGCAGCCACCTTTCGGGAGGCAGTTCTGCGCCTCACCACAGCTTTGTTAAGGCAGCAATGACCTGTGTCACCTGCCCGTTTCTACAGCACGGTCCTCCCCCACCTTTTCCCCGCTGTGTGGATGTCACTGGCAGTGAGGGGGCAACAGGCACTGTGTCTGGTATCTGCAGGCTCCGTTGCAAATACGGATTAAGGCTCTCTGCGTGGCAGTGCTGTATGTGCTGGGTTACATGTGGCGAACGTTCTCTGCTCATCCCAAAGTGAGGCTGGCTCTGTGAGGGGCAGGCCGAGGCTATGGGGAGTTCGTGTGGCAGGAGGAGCGTGGAGAATTTCTGTTTGTGATTGTCATGGGAGCATCTCTTTCTTGTTTCTTTCCACAGGCACCAGTTTGTAGAAAATAATTTAATACTAAAGATGGGCCCAGTGGATAAGCGGAAGGTGAGTGGTCAGTGGTCCCGCTGCTCCGCACGGACACCTGCATCTTCCCCGACTCCAGCTTAGGGGAGGGCAGCTTGGTGGCGTGGAATCCTTCCATCTCTTGATTTTCATCAGACATCATCTCTAGATTTCATAGCTCGGGAAGGCTTAAGTCCCTTGAGAGAAGCCATGTGGAGCCACACGCGTAGGCGGTTAGGGCAGTGCAGAAGCAACCGCCCACACTCCTGGGAGCCTGGGGCTGCCTGTTTTGAGGTTTCCGTCAAGTTGAAGAGGCCACATGTGATATCTTAGCCAGTGGTCTAATATTTCTTTAGAAGTGTTTCAAAACCATTTAAGGGTTGTTCTTTATTTTTTTCTTTGAGATGGAGTCTTGCTCTGTCCCCCAGGCTAGAGTGCAGTGGCGCGATCTCGGCTCACTGCAAGCTCCGCCTCCCAGGTTCACACCATTCTCCTGCCTCAGCCTCCTGAGTAGCTGGGACCACAGGCGCCCGCCACCATGCCCGGCTAATCTTTTTTTGTATTTTTAGTAGAGACGGGGTTTCACCGTGTTAGCCAGGATGGTCTTGATCTCCTGACCTCGTGATCCACCCGTCTCAGCCTTCCAAAGTGCTGGGATTACAGGCGTGAGCCACGGCGCCCGGCCGGGTTGTTCTTTATTTTATGGATTAAATGGATCCAGCACTTAGCAAGTGGTCTGTATGGAGCCAGGCAAGTGTGTGGATGTGCTCAGGTATTTATTTGGTCATCTTGTACCTTTTTCAAATATAAATCATATTACTTCTACAGTAGAACGTCAGATCAGGAATTTCAGTATGATTAGACAGAACACAAACCAGTAACTGTTAGCTTTAACCCTTGGTTAGAAAATATTCAGCTCCAGGTGCTCACGGGGCCACTTCCAAGCGCAGGCTCCTGGCCTCTGTTCCTGGCCGTATGTCCTCCGCAGGCAAGGATCTCGGTGCAGGTGGGTGGAGGCCGGCTACCGAGAGCAGGCTTCTGTCCCAGGCAGAGCAGAGGGGCCAGGGGAGCCATGGGCCCGATCTGGATGGGCTGTCTGCGCCATCTCAGCAGCAGAGGCCTGTGCTGCATCCCCTGTGACCTTAGAAACTGGGCCTGGTGGGGCAGGAAGTCCCCTGCCCCTGGGTGAGTGCACAGGTGGTGGTGGTGGCCCTGTGTCCTGAGCAGCTCCGAGGGGCCGCCCAGCCCTCTAGGCTCCAGGAGATGCCGTCAGCACTGGCCTCTGAGGCCTGTTGTTTTGTGTTTTGGCGTCAGGGTTTATTTGCAAGACGACGACAGCTGTTGCTCACAGAAGGACCACATTTATATTATGTGGATCCTGTCAACAAAGTTCTGAAAGGTGAAATTCCTTGGTCACAAGAACTTCGACCAGAGGCCAAGAATTTTAAAACTTTCTTTGTCCACACGGTGAGTCTGTTCCCAGGGATTTCTGTGTGCAGGGTAATGGGAGGGCTTTGCACCACGTGGGAAGCAGCCACAGGCCTTGGCCAGAGGGAGCAGCGGGGATCGGGGCAGCTGCCTCGCCCTTTCCGACATCCCAGACGCCCACACTAGTGGCTCAGTCCTGAGGGGGCAGGGGACACCCTGTGCTTGTTTTTCAGTTTGGTGGTGACTGGGGGTGGTGGTCATCAGCCTGTGTAGTTGCTTACTGCTTGTGTGAATAACCGTCACACCCACGTGCTTTCAGGACTCGGAATGGCTGGTCGCAGGCAGCTCACCAGGTTGGGGTGGGGGTTTTGGTGGGACTCCCTGGAGAACACTAAACGGCTTCTGTCTTCGCAGCCTAACAGGACGTATTATCTGATGGACCCCAGCGGGAACGCACACAAGTGGTGCAGGAAGATCCAGGAGGTTTGGAGGCAGCGATACCAGAGCCACCCGGACGCCGCTGTGCAGTGACGTGGCCTGCGGCCGGGCTGCCCTTCGCTGCCAGGACACCTGCCCCAGCGCGGCTTGGCCGCCATCCGGGACGCTTCCAGACCACCTGCCAGCCATCACAAGGGGAACGCAGAGGCGGAAACCTTGCAGCATTTTTATTTAAAAGAAAAGAAGAAAAAAAACACCCAACCACACAAAGAACAAAACCAGTAACAAACACAAAGGAATTCAGGGTCGCTTTGCTTGCTCTCTGTGCTCCGTGGAGGCCTCCGTGTGCCCTCGTTGCCGTGGGGACCCAGCTCCATGCACGTCAACCCAGTCCCGCCCAGACTAGTGGACAGACCTGGTGTCACCAGTTTTTCCTAGCATCAGTCCGAACCATGCGCCCGCCCTGCCCCAACTGTGTGCTGGTCCTGCTGTGGCCGAGGGGACCGGGTGTGTTTGGCTCTTTATGCCCCTCCCGCTGTGGTCCTGGAACTCTTCACCAGGGAGGGAGCCCTGCGGGGGCCGCAGCTTTGTGGAGGGAGCCGCCGTGCTTCTGTCACCTGCTCCCTTTCTTGCGTCTCCCTGTGATGGGCCCTTAGGCCTGGCTGGGCCCATTACATATCCCTGTGGTGGCTCTGGTGGCAGCTTTCTGTGGCCCCTGCTGTGTTGGCAGGCAGGTTTGCGTGGTGAGGAGCGGGAGGGGTTGGAGTGGTGCGGGAGCAGGCTGCCGAGTGGAGGGTGCCATCGAGGGCTCCGGATCCCTTATCCTACTTAGCAGTGTTGGTCTCTGGGGCTGGAAGCCGAGCGCATGCTGGGAGCGGTACTGTCAGAAGTGAGCCCAGTTAGTACCCCGCTGGCTCACTGCACGAGAGAGTCCTGCCCCGAGCCCTAGGTGGGGCCAGGAGGTGCCTTGGAGAAGCCAGCCAGAGCAGAGAGGGCTGCTGACTTCCGTGTGGAGCAGAGAGGCCTGAGGGCCTCCTAAAAGGTTTAAATGTCCACGCCTCTCCAGTTGCTGAAGTAGGGTCTGAGAGAACCCTGGCATCAGCAGACCCAGGGTGCTTCTGTCTCCTGCAGACCACGCCAGGGAGTGCAGACACCACCGTCACACACGCCCCTTTTGTGTTTTGGTTCAAGTTTCTCAGAGCCCCTCAGAGCTTCTACATCTGTGCATCAGAAATCTCACAGCCTTCTCATGCTGCCGGCTCATCTGGGCCCATAGAGTGGGCTTTGCCAGTTGCTGTTGCACAGGAGGCGAGAACAGCACACTTCAACCCCAGCTTGCTGGTCGGCTTTCCTCTAGAGAGAGCCGGTTTTGGGGCCATTTCCCTTTGATGCTTTGGTGGCCTTGCCCCGCTCTGCAGCACAGACAGGCCAGATGCATTTGTCCTTTGCCTAGCTACTCCCCAGGTAGAGAGTGCTCCTGGTGGCCTGGCAGGTCTGGGCCCTTCTCTCCCTGCCCAGGTTGTCCCTGGAGGGCAGCCCTCACTCCCTTTGGGGGAGAGGCAGACATTGCTGCCCACAGACCTGCCTCTGACTCAACTGTGTCCACCCTCCCTGGTCCCTACCCCCAAGTCACAGGTGACTCAGCAGTGACCCTGTGTGCCAGGCCAGATCCAAACTGAGAGGGAAGGTGTCGTTTTTACACTGCTAATGACGAGAGTGGCTCTTTTTAGCTAGGCGAGTACAGACGGGGCCTGGGAGGGGGCAGAGATGTTCCCCAGGCCCTGCCTGTGGTTCCTGCCTGGGCCTTGGCTGCTGCTGTGTGAGAGCTGCATGTGAGCCTGTGACCGTGAGCTGGGGTGAGCTGGGCCGCACCTACCCTGGGGCCCCAGGGAGCAGGACGCTCCGGGGCCCAGCACGTTGCCCTGGGCCTGTGGCCGGAGTCGGAGTCCTCTCTCCTCCTCCTGGCTTTTGGAAAGGCTTGGCTGTGTTGGGGAGTCTCTCTTAGCCCTTTCAGGAATTTCTGTTCAGGCTTCCTCCTCCTCATCAGCTATTTTACCCATCTCAGAACGTCCTGTGTCTCCATGTAGGAGAGTGGCTCTCTCAGATCTCTCAGGGCGTCTGGTTATAGGGAAACAAGTGGAGCAGGGACGTGGCTTTAATTGGAGCACTCGGCTGGGCTGCTTGGGGAGACTCTTCCGTGCGTTCTTCCTCTGGATAGAACCACCACCTCCTGGGCGTCACTGACAAGCTCCATCTTAACCTCCAAAGCCACAGAACTAGGGGCTCAGAGCCAGAGCTGGCAGCCGCCAGCCAAAATGATGCCATTGCCTGAGCTGACAGCCAAGCCCTTCTGTGGGTCACCTTTCTCCTCACCCAGCCCCTTGCTCTTCCCTTTTGAAAGGCCCGTGTGTTTTCTTTCCTTACCCTGTGCTTGCTCATGTCTACTCCGGTTTTCTCTACCACATCCTTAGAGCCATCACCTGGCACGCAGGCGCCTTACATTCTACGGTAGAACGTGGGGTACTGTGTGTGCACATAGACACACTTACGTGGAATTACAGTTGTGGGTTTATCCAAGATGAGGAAGATTTCACCTGCTGTTTAATAGACTTGGGGCCATGTGCCTCCCCACACATGGGCAAGGACAGGTGGAATGTCGGGACCACACTGTGCGGCTTCTCGGCACAAAGCGGAGGGAGGCTGTGGTCGCTGCCGGCCTAGGTGTCCCAGGTGCCCCGCCTTTCTCTGGGACACAGTTGGGGGCTGGCTTCTGAGGGATTCCTTTCTCCCCTCTTTGTGTGGCCCCAGCCAGGGCGGTGGGCAGTCCTGGTGTAGAGCACAAGCCTCTCCACCCTAGAGAAATGCCTCTGTACCACGGCTACCATGTGGAACCTTAACTTGCAGAAGGCTTGTTAACAATTGTTTTGAGAGAGATGGCTGGTCATGCCACAGCTGCTGGGGACTCCGCCTACTCCAGCCCTCTTGGGACACACTGTGGGATTTGTGGCCCTTCCCCAGAGGAATTGTGGAGACTGTCCCATGGAACAAACCCTCAGGCACCAGCACAGGGCTCTGGGTGACTCAGTAAAACTAACGTTTGTCTCTGACAAGATCAGCTGTAGGCTCACCGGCCAGAGAAGACCACTGTGAGCATTTTGCCGTATATCCTGCCCTGCCATTTGTTCACTTTTTAAACTAAAATAGGAACATCCGACACACACCGTTTGCATCGTCTTCTCCCTTGATATTTTAAGCATTTTCCCATGTCATGAGTTTCTCAGAAACATGTTTTTAACAATTGTACTATTTAGTCATTGTCCATTTACTATAATTTATCTGACCATTTCCCTACTGTAAAATACTTAAGACGGTTTCTGATTTTTCCACTATTTAAATAATGCTGTGATGAATATCTTTAAAATCTTCTGATTTCTTACTTTTTTCCCCCTTAGATGCCTGGAAGTGGTATTTTGAGGTGAAAGAGTTTGTTCATTTTGAAGATATTTCTGTCTCTCTCTCGACCTGATGTGTAGACGCTCACTTCCAGTAGCAGAACCACCTTAGTTGTGTCTTACAGATTCTGAACAAATCGGTTTCTGATAAGCCATGTGTTCCAAAGAATGTCTGAATAAGACCGCTCTTTATTTAAATGCTAAGAGGATGTCACTACTGCAATCCATCTGTGGCCGATTTTTTCCAAGAGCCAATTTCCTTGTTTTGGTTGCAAGAACCTGGCTCTGCCTGCATGTCAGCTCTCTGCCCTCCCTGCTGCCGTGGCTTTCAAGCGCTTGGCAGAATCTTGTACTTCGTGTCCACAATGGTACTGAATTTGCATCTGCACAGTCAGCAGAGATAACAAGTGTTGAACTGACCTTGCCACATGCTTAGTGAGTGATTTGTAATTAAGTTTATAGACTCAGAAGGTATATTAGGACATTTGGAATCAGTAGCAGAGCAAAGCCTCTTTGAAAAAAACCACGTAGCTGATTGGGTTTTACAAGAGTGCATTTGTCTCCCCCTTCCACCCGTGGGGCCCCACCTTCAGGTCTTAGTGGTTCACAAGAGCCCAGCAGCCAGGCTGGCTTTTTCATTGTAGGGCGTGGTTGTCCCAGCTGGTGTAGATTTCAGGCCGCCCCCCCCAACTCCCTGCCCACAGTGTTGCAGATTGCCTGGCTGGCAGCAAGTCCAGACCACCCAAATTTGGTTGGATTCTTCATTTCTCCACTGTAGTTGGGGTCCATTGATTGTGCAGGGGAACGTGCAGGAGGTTTTTCTAGGCACCGTGTTCAGTGCTGCTTCACTCTACCAGAGATTATGGCCAAATTGCACGGAATTTGGTTTCTTGCCCTCTGAAGCCTGAGGGCCCCCCCTTGCCTGGCTGGTTGACAGACCCGGGGTGGTCACTGCTGAGACTTCAGAGATCGCAGCTGCTGTGAGAATACGGTGAAGGTACTTTGTTCTGGAAGATGTTGTCATACACTTTTCCCCAGTTATTTTCAAACTTGACATGAGCCTATGTTGACTCACTGGGTGGGGGTCCCTTCTTACGCAGCACACGTGGCAAGTGCCTGAATCGGGGCTGGAGGCACTTCAGAGCCTCTGAGGGGCCACCACTTCTGGCCCAAAATTGCAGGGTTGTAGATGAGGCTGCCTGTGGAGAACTGGTGTGAGGAGGAAGCTGTTTCCAACAAAGAGCACTTTCATCTGTTGAGATGGCTGTGGTGAGCAACTGAACGAGCCTACGTGTGTACCTGAATTTTCCCCGTAACTCATTTCTTCCATATGAAGAAACACCAAACTATGTACAGAGAACTTTTTACAAAAGGCAGACCTTTTTTAAGCTGTGTAACCCACATAGCCTAACCACCTGGCAGAATGACTACGAATAGGGGTCATTGTGCTGGTAAAAGCCTCTATTACGACTGTAAGTAAGTTGGATGTTGGCAAAATTAAATTGTTACAGTATTTAGAGCTGCTGTAGCTGTTCCTTCACAACATAAAATAGGATAAATGACTAGTACGTCTTTCAGGTGGGTGGCAAGCAGAACATGCGTAATATTCTCTACCTGGTCTGTAGCTGTAACTGTGATGTACAGACAAAGCAAAAATTAAAAGAACTTATGAAAACAAATGCAATGATACTAGGATATACACTTTTGTATTTTTATTCTTATATAAGGTTATTTGCTGGCTATTGTTGGCCTCTAGTTCAGTCTGTGTTATTTAAATTCTAATATATGAATTATTTGAATTGAATTCATGTTCGGGGCCACGTTGTTGTATGTATTGATGTACAGCCTTGAATGTGAATAATTATTGTAAACTATATTTTACAACTTTTTTTCTGGCTTTATTATATAAATTTTCTATTGGGTCAGTGATTTAATCATATAATTTAATGAATCTGTTTATCCTTTTTTTTTTTCCAAATACTTGTGCTTTAGGTGTAGTTACCAGATGATGAATTTTCCTCGTATGGTCAGTAGTCTTGTAATAAAAAGCATGTAGAGTGTAGAGGTTTGCTGGCGTGGCTCTTCCTTTGACCCCGCCACGGAGTGGGGGCGCGGTTGGGGGCGGGTGTCTGCCATTGCCCGCTAGCGTTGGCGCCCCAAGCTCGGTTTCACTCCCTCCGGAAGTGGGACCAGCCGGCTGCTTTTCCCGGATGGAACTTCCGCCTGCCATGTGACCGGCGGGTGTTCTACAAGGGCTGACCAGTGGGCGGGACAGAACGCAAAGGGCGATATTAAAAGCCGGACTCTTCCGGTGAAGCGGAGGTGTGGTGGGGCTTGCTGGGATCATGGCGGGGAATCACTGCGAGCTCCTGCCGCTGGCCCGTGGCAGGCTCGGGGCGGGGTTGGGGTGGCTTCTTGTGCCTCCCTTAAAGCGCGGGGCTCAGCGTCCTGGCCCAGCGCCCCAGCAGCAGGTCCAAGTGGGTCCGGCTCTACAGCGGCGGCACCTACTTCCTCACCACTGGGCAGACGCCGCTGTGTCAGGACCCGAAATCCTTCCTGTACCTCTTGAGCCAGGCCGACCCCGACCCGGACTCGGACAAGGTGAGGACCACGTGGGCCAGTCGAAAGGGCCTGGGCCATTTCGGCCTGTGGCCGCCGCACACGCCCTGCTCCACGCCGAGGAGAGCTCAGCAGGAGAGGGCGACTCTCCTCGGGCTTCGAGCCCAACACTCCCTTGTCGCCAGCTCATCCCCAGCTTGCCCCGATCCCCTATCCTGGGAGGGGAGGGCAAGGATGGCGCCCTGGTGTCCACTGCCTTTGAGAATCCTGAGTCGCTTCACCTTGGGGGTGTCTCTTCCTCGCCCTCTTTGCTCTTTGGTGGAGGAGGCTTCCGAGACCCCGGACTTTGCTGTGATTCTACTTTCTTTTTCTCACTAGGTTCTTTTGCCCAGGGTGTGTGAACGCCTTCTCTTCTCTGTCCCAGGGTACTTGCTGGCTCTGGAGACAGAACCCTTGGCGTTTCACATTCTGGACGTTTGAATTAACGCTGACGTGGGGGTTGATATGGGCGGCCCTTTTTTTCCCTGGTGACTTGTATTTAGAGAGTTGGCGCTCCATCCTTTCCATCCACAGCACGCAGCACCCACTCAGCACCTCTTAGAAGATGCGTCCATAGTATATACTGTGATTTTTCGAAGGGGATTTTGCTCATATTAAGGGTTGCTTTAGGGATGTCCAGGAAGGGCCAGGTAAGGAATCTTTCAATCTGCTTTCTAATTGGCTTAGTTTTCCCACTGTCTTCGCAAAAGGACAGGAATTTCCAGGTTAGTTTGCAGCTTGTCTTTCATCAAGCGAAATGCTCATGCTGTTGGGTAGATGGTAATAGAAACCTTTTGCTACCTTTATTTATCAAGAGTTGTGGAGCCGAGGAACCGTGTCTTGGGAGTTGTGCAGGATTGAAACTCACAAAAAAGCCTGTTTGAAGAAGTTGTTACCTATATTTATTCAAGGCAGTTCACAAGCCTTATACTAACTTTGCGGGGTCTTTCAGTTGAGCTTACATGACTGCGCTTGGCTTTGTGCCTTGGCAGCCAACATTTGCCATGCAGGAGGCTTCCCAGAAAGGTTCGGATCCCTCTTCAAGTTTGAGAAGCCTGACTGAGACCATTCTCAGCATGGCATGACCGTGATCAGGAAATGAGAATCTGGAGTTACTGCTAAGGCAGCCTTGTGGGTGGAAATGAGGGTTTGAGATGCCAACCCTCCTGTGCCTCCCCACAACTTCCAACTGTTTCCATTGCTCATTTGACCAAGCCCTCTACTCAGAGAATTGACCTCCCAGGAAATGACAGTCATCCCCAGGATAGAAATAGGCGTTTGTTAGCTGTGATTTTCCTTTTATAAGTGTGGGTGTGTGTTTTACTGTTTGGTTTTTCTTTTTAAATAACAGGGCTTAGTGGTCACTCCCTTGCCTTTCTACTCAAGCATTCCTGTTTTGTATATGAAATTAGAGTTTAAATTGCTCTTGTCCATTGGGTTCTTTGAGGCAATGGTTGTCTATTCAGCACTGGAGCACTTGATTCCCAGTTGATGAACTATAGCACAGTTAAGGTGGTTGATCCCTTTGCTTTACTGTTCCTTAAGACTTTGTTAAAAATTATGGGCCGGGCGCGGTGGCTCATGCCTGTAATCCCAACACTTTGGGAGGCCCAGGCAGGTGGATCTCGTTCAAAACCAACCGGGCCAATATGGTGATGCCCGGTCTCTACTAAAAATACAAAAAGGTGGGCGCGGTGGCTCACGTGTGTAATCCCAGCACTTTGGGAGGCTGAGGCAGGCGGATCACGAGGTCAGGAGATCGAGACCATCCTGGCTAACACGATGAAACCCTGTCTCTACTAAAAATACAAAAAATGAGCCGCGCGCGGTGGCGGGCGCCTGTAGTCCCAGCTGCTCTGGAGGCTGAGGCAGAAGAATCGCTAGAACCCGGGAGGCGGAGCTTGCAGTGAGTCAAGATCACACCACTGCACTCTAGCTTGGATGACAGAGCAAGACTCTGTCTCAAACAAACAAAAAAATGCTTTACGGTAGGAATCAATTCTTTGGGCGAGGGGTAATTAATCTTTCTGAATATATCTGTGTTATACTTGCTCTTTTCATTATCATCCATTTAACCAGGTTTGATTTCCAAATGGTAAAACTCAAATTCAGAACATGAAGGTAAAGTAGCAGATACAGTCGTCTCTGTCTCATACAATAATTGGAGTAGGGGCCGGGCAAGGTGGCTCACGCCTGTAATCCCAGCACTTTGGGAGGCCGAGGCGCGTGAATCACCTGAGGTCAGGAGTTTGAGAGCAGCCTGGCCAGCATGGCAAAACCCCGTCTCTACTAAAAATACAAAAAAATTAGCTGGGCATGGTGGCGCGTGCCTGTACTCCCAGCTACTCGGGAGGCTGAGGCAGGAGAACCACTTGAACCGGGAGGCAGAGGTTACAGTGGGCTGAGGTTGCGCCACTGCACTCCAGCATGGGCGACAGATCGAGACTCTGTCTCAAAAAAAAAGAAAAAAGAAAAGGAGAAAACAATAATTGGAGTAAATAAGGTTAGTTTTAGTGACAGATAATTTGCCAAAAGTGTAGTGCTAATTCATATTAGTCACGTTACTAAAGTGTTTTCCGGTGTTTTTCATCAAATGAGGAAATGTGTAAAATGCTTCATCTTAGTTTTGTCTCCAGTGGCTCTGATGAAAGAATGTCCCAGGAGATTCCTCCTAATTAAATGCTGACTGAGGAATCTGAGGAGGGGGGGAAGGGGTGTCAGGAGTGGGAGGCCATTAATGACACGTTGGAAGACAAACAGGATGTTGATTCACCTGTAAAGATCTCCAAGGCCTGACCTCAGAGTTGAGATTAAGGAAAGAATATTCCTCGAGTTGGACTTAAGCATGGATCTGGTGGAAGAGTCCCTGCCTGGATTATTAGACTTGTGTGGAGTGAGCACCTGGGCTTGCAGAGTGTGGGGGTCTGGAGAGGGGTTGGGTGGGGAGATTTAAGGGGGAGGAGTTCCCAAGAAACCATAGAAGCTTTGGGTGCCTGAGAGGTTGGGAGAGCACCCTGCTAAAGCATCCTATCTGGTAGGGAGGGGAGCTCTTGACAGACGGGTTGTTAGGGAGGGTGGTGAAAGCCACGCACATCAAGGGGCTGGCTTGATTGCCCTCTGGCCCCACATCTAAGCTTCTGGGCTGTGACTGCCCCCAACCAAGTCCTCAGAGCCCAGCTTGGGACCCACCACCCGCCATACTCCACGCTCCCAAGCCCTTACTCTGCTGTTCCAAGGGCCGACCTGCTGCCACAAAGTTCTCTTTCTAGACAGCCCGGTGTGAATTCTCACTTCCTCCTGGGACTTCCTCCAGCAGGACTGTGGCTGTGGTGAGCATTTCAGCATCTGCTCATCTGCTGTTCTGTCATCTTTCTCTTCCTTGGTGTCTTCGAGGGCAGGCCAGGTGGAATACGGCTTCCCAAAGACTCGATTCATTTTGGTTAGGTCTCTTGTATTGCATGGTCCCCGGCCCATAGGCATTGTTGAAAACAAAGTCGAGTTTGTTGTTTCCAGCTAAAGCAGCCCCTGCTTTAGTGTGGAGATACTTGAGGAGTTAAAAGGAAACAGGAAATACTACTGCTTTATGGTTGGAAACCACTCAGATGGAGGAGAATTTGGGGAGGCTTCGGTTCCTGCAGCTGAGGCAGCCTTGGAGAAAACTGCACGTGAACTTTTGCCCTTTGAACAGGGCCGTTGTCCCGGCTTGAGGGTTCCAGATGTGGTGGCATCAGATGGGTCTTTGAGGGGTGGGGCAGTCAGGGTGCCTCTAACAGTGTACTGGGTGTTGGCAAGACCTCGGGGGTGGAAAGTTATGGAAGGAATTGTTCAGACAGGGCCCAGTGATGGGGTGTGGGCTAGAGTACCGTCTTTGAAGCCGCTTGGCAAGAGAAGTGGGGATCACGTCTAGTGGAGATGGCAGATGATGTACTGTGTAGCCAGCACTGGTGAGAGACTGTGCCCATCCCGGGCCTGCCTTGTGACTTCGGGTGATTTCCCGTCCCCTGTGAGCTGTAGTTTCTTCCTCTGTAAGGTAAGGGTGACGTCCTCCCCTGAAGATGACAAATGTGGTGCCCCTGCCCCATGCCTGGCACCAGGTCAGTGCAGTCAGGAGAGGCTGTGCCTGGAGGTCTTCGTGTTTGTACTTGTTTTTTTTTTGAGACGGCGTCTCACTCTGTTGCCCAGGCTGGAGTGCAGTGGCGCGATCTTAGCTCACTGCAAGCTCCACCTCCCGGGTTGACATCATTCTCCTGCCTCAGCCTCCTGAGTAGCTGGGACTACAGGCACCCGCTACCACGCCCGGCTAATCTTTGTGTATTTTTAGTAGAGACGGGGTTTCACCGTGTTAACCAGGATGGTCTCGATCTCCTGACCTCCTGATCCACCTGTCTTGGCCTCCCAAAGTGCTGGGATTACAGGCATGAGCCACTGCACCCGGCCTGTACTTGGTTTTTGTTTTTAAATATTTGAGACAGAGTCTCACTCTATCCCGCCTCTATCTGGGCTCACTGCAACCTCTGCCACCTGGGTTCAAGAGATTCTCTTGCCTCAGCCTCCCAAGTAACTGGGATTACAGGCACAAGCCATCATGTCTGGCTGATTTTTATATATTCTGTAGAGATGGGGTTTCTCCATGTTGGCCAGGCTGGTCTCGAACTCCTGACCTCCGGTGATCTGCCCACCTCGGCCTCCCAAAGTGCTGGGATTACAGGTGTGAGTGTACTTTACTTTTAGGAAGGATATGCTAAGAACGCTTTTCCCCTCCCGCAGCCACACTTAATTTCTGTTAATGTCGACCTCTGGCCACACTCAGCCCTGTCAGCCTCGGGTGATGCACCGGAGGTCCCTGAAGGCAGCATGTATGGCCAGGAGTGGCTCGCCCTGCCAGTCCCCCTGCTGCCACCCAGAGCTCTGGCTGACCCTAGCAGCACAGGCCCCCGCTGAGTGGGTCTCCACCTCTGGGGACTGGACCCTGCACTGTGGGGAGGGCAGGGCTTCCTGGGCAGCCCCCGAGTTTTCTTGCAAGAAACCTGACACCCCTGCTCCTGAGAGGGCTCCAGTTCCTGCCGAGCAGAGCAGGACTCTCTGCAGCGACCTCGGCTTGGCAAGACCCCCCGTGGTTCACCTGAAGCATGTTTCTTCCCCGAGAAGCCGCAGGACCTCTTGTGAGGGGCCAGGTCGTGAGTCCACACACGTCTGCTTCTCACTAAGCTTTGAGTCATGTGTGGGGCAGGGACCTCCCAAATTCCAGTTTCTATGCTGGGTGAGGCCGAGAAGCAATGGAAGGGAAGGGTGGTGGGGAGGCAGCAGGCCTGGCGACCAGGGCACAGGGGCCCCACCCTGCTCTCCGAATCTGGCTGCCTTGGACAAGCCTCCTTGGTCTCTGGCCTCAGTTTCCCCATTAGTAATTGGTGACATCAAAGTCCTCTTGTGGGCCAAAGATATGCCACAGCTGCATAAAACAAAACAGAAGAGAGAGTAGAGGTGAAGGTTTTGTGTGCGAAATTGAAACAGAGTCACTTGAAATGGATAATTTCAGAGTAAAAACTAAGTATTTCTAATTAGGTTGATTGCAGATGTTGGTGCACAGGAAATTCTATGCCTTCGCGTCTAGATTTCTGTGGGGCAATTTGACAGAGTTTATCTCCTGGATTGGCTCAGGGCACTGCACCCTCTTGATTTCGTTCCCCTCTGGTGGCACGTGTCTCCGAGCACCGGGAATGACTGAGAGCCGCAGGGCCGACCCTCTTTGCAGAGCTCTGGGAGCTGCGGGAGGGTTGGGCAGCAGCAGGGTTATGTTGGGTTCAGAATCTGGCGTGAGAGCCTGGCAGTCTCCACCCTCATTCCTCACTGCCGTTTTTTTTTTTTTTGAGACAGAGGCTCACTGGATCGCCCAGGCTGGAGTGTAATGCACAATTTTGGCTCACTGCAACGGGGCTGTCAGGTTCAAGTGATTGTCCTGCCTCAGCCTCCCTAGTAGCTGGGATTAGAGGCACCCTCCACCAAGCCTGGCTAATTTGTGTATTTTTAGTAGAGACAGGGTTTCACCATGTTGGTCAGGCTGGTCTTCAACTCCTGACCTCAGATAATCCGCCCGCCTCGGCCTCCCAAAGTGCTGAGATTACAGGCGTGAGCCACCAAGCCCAGCCCTTCACTGCCATTTTCAAGGCTGGTGGTTGCATTAGGGACCTGTTCCTCAGGGGCTGGGGTGCCCCCATGTTGTCTCTGGTGCTTTGCTTGCTGGGTGACAGCATGGAGGGTTGAGGGCTGCAGCCGGAGTCTGGTGACATGAGCAGAGTGGGCAGGCTTCTCACCAGCCTTCTCTGAGTGCTGCTCTCCTAAACAGACTTCCCTCTGTGTTTGTCCTGTGGACTTGGGGAGGGGGCAGCCAGCTCTGTCTGTGGGATCTTCTTCTACCTCCTGAGACTGTGTGTGCCCTGGCTTGGCGCTGCCTCCCGTGCGCTCCTCTCCAGGAGACAACCTTGGCTCCTGCTCTTGGTGTGGCCAGGATCCCTCTTCTCCTCTATGGTTTGGAAACCGGCCTGCCTGGCCTGCGGTGGGTGGCTCCGGCTGAAGGCTGTGACCCCTGGAGATGGGTGGGTCAACCCAGCCTGCTGGGCCCACCCAATACCAGCTTGGGCCCGGCCCCAAGTAGGTCAGATGCCGGTTCAGCAAGGTGCGGGGAAGATGAGGGAGATGACTTGCTAAGAAAAGTCTTAATTATGGCTTTTTTTTTTCAGACGGAGTTTTGTTCTTGTTGCCCAAGCTGGAGTACAATGGCACAATCTTGGCTCACCACAACCTCTGCCACCTGGGTTCAAGCGAGTCTCCTCCTTCAGTCTCCTGAGTAGCTGGGATTACAGGCATGCACCACCACACACAGCTAAGTTTTATATTTTTAGTAGAGATGGTTTCACCATGTTGGCCAGGCCAGTCTCAAACTCCTGACCTCGTGATCCGCCCACCTTGGCCTCCCAAAGTGCTGGGATTACAGGTGTGAGCCACCACACCCAGCCAATTAGGGCTGTCTTACAAAAAAAAAAACCACCACGAACCTTTGCGAGAATCGAGCGCAGCCTGTGCTGGTTGTGTAAGCCGTGGGACACACGGGAAAGCCAGGAAGAAGAGGAAGAGCACCCCCACACCCCACCCGCGTGAAGAAGAGCAACCCCACTCCCCGCCCGTGGGAAGAAGAGCACCCTCACGCCGGGCCCGCAGGAAGAAGAGCACCCCCACGCCCGGCCCGCAGCATCCCGCTGGCTTCCTGGCCACCTCTCCTCACCCATCTTAGAGGCATGGCCGGGCTGGGGCATCTTTCCCTCCTTGGGCAGGTACCGCTGATGGCCTTGTGGGCAGCACAGGGGCCTTACCTGGGTCGGCTCAGGCACTGTTCTGAACATCCGTGAGGTGACCTTGCTCCCTTTGTCTCCGTGAGCCTAGGAGTATATCCTGAATTTTTTATGTTTTTGTACTCCCCATGTTCCATATTTTTGTTTCTGCATCAGGGTGGAGGCTATTGAGCCACATCCCTGACACAAGCAGTGAGCTGCCAAGGCCCTTGCGCCTGAGCTTGGCACTGTCTGGGCCTGGGCTGGTGCCATGAGTAGACCCTGCACGCACTAGGCCAATCTGGAGCACGTGGCTCACCCGAGCTCAAAGCACCGACACCCTGCACGTATATGGATGCGAGTCAGGCCTCAGCGAGACCTGAACCCTGGTAGGATTGAAGAGTGTTGGTTTCAGACCCCAGCACTTACTGTGAATGTGGAAATCAGCCACTGAAAGCCTCAAAAGAGCACAGTGGTGAGAGCAGCACCAAGCCCACTGCCAGTACACCCAGTACGCTGCTGGGTCCTCAGGCCTGTTCCTCTGTCCTGCTGTGTGGTTTTAACTGATGGCCGTCCTCGGCCCGCCCTCCTTCCCTCCTGCCTCCGTCCTTCCAGTTGCAGGGCTGGGGCTGCCCTGGTTGTCTGGGGGCACCCAGTACAGTTTCTTCTCCTCTTGCATCGGCCCAGGGCCCGAGAAGCGCATGGTGGGTTGTCTTGGCCTAGAGGTCACGGCTCAGTGCCCAGGTCCTGCCACAGGTTGGGTGCCCTGGCACTCATGGCGGCCCCGAGCTACACGAGCTGGTCTCCCCCACCTTTTGCTCGTAAAGAAACTGAGGCTTGGGGTGGCCTGGCTGTGAGCCTGCAGTCTGACCACTGAGGCCAGGCCTGGAGGCCTCCATGGCTGACAAAGGGGTTCTCTGGGGTTGTCCTGGGCAGAGGCGAGCCTCCGCCCTATCTGATCTTTCCTGACCTCCTGCCAGCGGTCTGTCGAGGTAGCAGTGAGCCGTGAATAATTCCTGAGCTGAGCGGTGTGCGGACGTCACGCGGCCAGCATTCTCTCTGTATGGGGGTGGGGCAGGGAGGAACCCTGGACTCGGGTGGCAGCACTGGCCGCCTTGCCAGACTTGGGCCCCTTTGTGGGAAATGGTGTCCATTTTTTAGCAGTTGCGCAGGACCGCCCAGCGTCCTCTTTCCGGGAGCTGGCCCTGTGGCCCCGGCCCTTGCTTGAGAGCTGTGGAGTCTGGAGGGCTGGGGAAAGGCAGGGCCAAGCCCAGGAGGCAGGGCCTGTGGGGTGGGCAGCTCTGGCTGGAGTGTTCCGGGGGAGGGTGGGGAAGGAGGATAGGGTCAGGTCTGTGTGGAGCTGGGGTCACCCTAAGGAGTAGGGGGGCCGCCGAGGCTCCGGGTCCAGCGCCCCCATGCCCGGAGCCCTAATTGATTTTATCTCAGCCACAAAACTCAGTCCCTGTGATCTAAAAAGAGCAGGTTGTTGCAGGTTTGCGGTGGTGGACTTTGGGAAAATCTCTTGAGACCACTAGGTCTTAGCACCCAAATGGCAGAATTTGTCCATGGATGAAAATAGGGTCCTAGCGTGGCCCCGTGCTTTGTGGTGGAGACACCTTCGGCCTCCCCATATCTGCGAGCCTGGCATTCCCGTGGCCAGCGCCTGCCCATGGCCCCACAGGAGCCACCATCTGGTGAGGGGGCTGCTCCTGCTCCGAATGGGGTGTGGGGTTGCTTCTCCAGCGCTTGGCCCTGGGCCTCGCCGGGGAGGCTGCCGGTGTTTCTGAACGGAGGCCTCAGCTCCCCGGCCTCCAGGGCACCCGCAGGCACCAGCCCCTGTGGGAGTGGCTCGCAGGTGGGAGCAGGACCCTTGCAGGCATGTGGGGGGAGGCAGGAGCTGCCCCAGCAGAGCCACACGGAAGGTCTGAGTCTGTGTAGAAGACAGGCTGTGCCAGCTTCGCAGTCCCCCCATCAGATGTGTAGCCGACAAGACAGAAACTGCCTCTTCCGTCTCCCCCATGGGGGCTGCCTGGGGCGTCTGAGCCCCCGTCCTGTGTTCACGGCCGGGCCACTGGGGCTCTTGTGCTTTGTGGAAGGGGCTGCAAGGTGTGATGTGTGGGGCACCCCGGGCCTCAGAGGGCATCTGCCCACATTGAAGTGGCCGTGGTAGCAGCAGGGGCAGTGCCTCTCAGGGGTCCCTCCACCCAGGTGCGTGAGGACACCTTCCGAGGGGTCTGTTTTGTAAACATCTCGGCCTCCGTGAGCGCTGAGCCGGGGCGAGGGCTCTGTGAGGTGAGTGATGATCTTGGGGAAAGCCCCGGATGCTGTTGAGTGCAGGTCACTGTGGCCTCCCTCGCTGCTGGCTCCCGGCCTGTTGGGCAGCCGCCCCTGCTGAAAGGTGCCCTCTCCACCCCTGGCAGGAAGCCCCTGTCACCCTGACCCCCCGTTCCTGCATGTAGGCTGCGGAGGACCCGGGCACGAGGAGCGCAGGCCCAGGCTGGTGGCCATCAGAGGTGTCCTTCTGAGGCTGAGCCCTAGGCCCCTGCCCTGCCCGCGAGGGCATCTCTGGGTGAGGTTTTCGTGTGTGTTTTCCTAGAGGTCTTGCAGTTGTGAGGACAGAGGTCCAGGGCACAGTGGGCTCACCTTGGAGTACGCAGAGCCAGGCTGCCTCCGTACGGAGAGACTTAAACTCACTTAGACCTGGGGTGGTGGCTGGTCAGGGTTAGGCTGTAGGCGGCAGGACGTGGCCACACCGTCAGGGGTTTCCTGAGATGCCGCAGGCTCAGGTGTGCTGGGGAGAGGCCTGGGTAACCTGGTGCCTCTGAAGCCTCCTGAGGTGGCCGGGCCTTGGTGGACCTGCAGGAACCTTCGGCTTCTCACGGAGGACTCACCGTGCTCTGCTCTCTTTAGGATGAAACAGGCGCCTATTTAATCGACAGAGACCCCACCTACTTTGGGCCTGTGCTGAACTACCTGAGACACGGCAAGCTGGTGATTAACAAAGACCTCGCGGAGGAAGGTAAGCCGAGTTTTGGGCACAGGTGCCTTAGCTTTGGGGGCAAGGGCCCGACAAAGGTGCCAAGGGCTCCACTTAAGACACAGATGCCTGCAGCCTGGGGCCCCAGGGAGGAGCAGGCCCTGTACTCTGAAGCTGGGGCCGACGTTCTGGTGCTGAGGCCACGGGCAGCGGCACAGCTGCCGGACAGGGAGGCCTGGGGACCCTGTGGGTGTGGGGTCCTCCCTGGCTGCAGCTCCTTGGAGGGCTCCCTCTGTCCAGGCTCCGGCTGGCGACACAAGGGGTGTGAGGGGTTCCTCCCTGCTGTGACTGAGGTGGTCTGAGCGGGTGTGTGAGGCACATGCCCGGTGATGCCCACGGCGTGCTTCAGGGCCTGGTTCCCTGGCCTGCTCTCCCTCAAGGACAGCCCAAGGGTGGTGAATGTCTCTGTGCCATCACCTGGACTGTGCCTGCTGCTGCCAGCTGCCGTGTTCCATTCTGAGTGATCGTGGTGCAGGGACGGTGCCCACACGCGTTGGGCCCAGGCTGGCCTGCCTGTGTGCTGCGGTGCTGGCTTGGCTCAGAACAGCTCGAGGCCTCGCCGTGAAGGCTGAGGGTTTCTGGGCACCTGCGTGCGGGCGTGGCCCTGCTCCCCCGGGTCCGTGTCTGCGCATCGGTCTGCACTGGGCAGCGTCTGACTCCGTTTCTGTTCTGGGCCTCTGGGCCTGGGCATCTGCCTGCCTCCTCCGAGTTCACGCGGGGCGTGGAGTGACGGGGGCTGTGGCCCAGCCCTGCCCCTGCTCTGAGGCTGTGAGCCATGATGCCCACTCCTGTCTCTTTGGCAGGGAATGTCTTTCACATGCACTCTCTCTGGGCAGCCGCTTGTGTTCTGTCGTGGAGCCACTCGAGTTGAGGCTTCGTTTTATCTCAGTCTGCCCCTAGTGGGATTGGCTCAGAAACAGGCACTAGACACAGACCAAGGCCCTGCCGCCCAGGCTCACCTCTAACCCACCCCTGACGCAGCCACTCACGTCCTCGGTGCTGGAGAAGGGGGCTGTGCGGGACCCATGCGGGGCTGGGAAGTCTGTGACACTGAGGCCCTCATCTCCTTGTCTCTATCCTGTGTGGCCCTGTCCCATGTAGGTGGCTGGGTGTTGTCCTGAGCTGCCATGTCCCATATGTGGGTTCCTCTGGGATCCTGGAGGAATGAAGACCACCCATGAGGAAGCCCTGAGGCAGGACCTGTGGAATCTGCTCTTAAGGCTCTTAAGGGAGGTTTGCAGTCCCTAAATGCTTCAGGTGGCCACGTCAGGCGGCACAGACTCCGCTCCCCAAGCCTGGCTCCCTTAGAGTTTGGGCTCAAAGGATGTCGGGAGGATGAGGGGCGTTACACAGCAGGTAGGGGCGTTGGGAAACTTTGACACTAGCAGAAATTTAGCTGTGGATGACTTTTAGATAAAATCTAGAATTCCCAGCTGGGTGCAGTAACTCATGCCTAAAACCCCAGCAGTTTGGGAGGCCGAGGCGGGTAGATCACTTGAGGTCAGGAGTTCCACACCAGCCTGGCCAACACGGCGAAACCCTGTCTCTACTAAAAATACAAAAATTAGCCGGGCATGGTGGTGCACACCTGCAGTTCCCGCTAGTCGGGAGGGCGAGACAGGAGAATCGCTTGAACCCACAGCGGCAGAGGTTGCAGTGAGCCGAGATCGCACCACTACACTCCAGCCTGAGTGACACACCAAGACCCTGTCTCAAAACAAACAAAATCTGGACTTCCTCAGTCATGGAAAGTGGAACTCCGTACACGGTGCCAGTTAGAATAAGCCATGGCGACAGAAGTCAAACCAGAAAAATGGATCTCATGATAACAGCACTTAAGTACGAGGGGGTCACGGGGGAGGTGGCAAGAGGAACTCAGAGGAAACAAGGCTGAAGTGGGCGACATGCCTGCCTCTCACAACACCCTCGGTCCCTTGGGCACATGGTCCACGCTCTCTACGAGAAGCTTAAAGAGCCAAGCGTGCTGAAGACCCCATGGCTGTGGTCAAGCTGGGAGACCAGCAGCCTCAGAGCCTACTCAGCACTGAAGAAGGTACCAGTGTCCCCACCAACGCCACGTCCCAAAAGTTCAAGCACACAACACTCGGGGGTTTCTGTGGAAAGACAGGCAGTGTTCTGGAGCATCTTGGCCGCACAGTTGTACAAGCACCAAGCCAAGCGCAGATGCGACAGGCCGGGCAGGAGGCCCCGTACGTGGGACCCCGGGGCCAGTGCCGGGGGTGCTCGGCGTCCGGTTCTAGCGGCACCCTGTGGGTGGAAACTCACTAGCCTGTCCACGGCCACGGAAATGAGGAGAAAATGACCCACCCAGCACCTCACCCGCCACTGCCTCACGGCAGCAAAGACTACAACCACCAGCAGGCCTGCCGCAGTGGCACAGACACCCTCCCCTTTCGGCTACAAATCACACGTGGGTCTGGCGCACGGGCATGAAGCCCAGTGCACGGAGGACCCAGTGCCACCTGCCTCGCCCGCCATCCCGGCCAGCTTACATTGCCATAGCAGTCCTCGTCGTCTTCCGACATAGCCGGCAGGTAAGCGGTGAGCTTCGGAGGCGTCTGCTGGTGCAGGTTCTCCCACGTGACGGACTCGAAGAACGGGTGTGCTTTAAGAGGTCCGTATCCTTCCATTTCCTCACAGCCTAACCGCTTTGTGGCATCTAAAACCTTAAGTAACAATCAAGACAAGTCACTGCCAGGGTGAAAACGTGATTCTGACCAAAGAAACCCAAACCTGGTAGCCGGGCACGGTGGCTCATGCCTGTCATCCCAGCACTTTGGGAGGCTGAGGCGGGCAGATCACCTGAGGTCAGGAGTTCGAAACCATCCCGGCCAACATGGTGACAACCCGTCTCTACTAAAAATATAAAAATCAGCTGCGCGTGGTGGTGCACGCCTATAATCCCAGCTACTCGGGAGGCTGAGGGAGGAGAATCGCTTGAACCCGGGAGGCAGAATTTGCGGTGAGCCACGATCGCACCATGGCACTCCAGCCTGTGCGACGAGAGCAAAACTCCATCTCCAAAAAAAAAAAAAAATATATATTTATCTCATCTCATCATAAGTCCCTTTCCATTTCCAAGTGCCTGATTCTTGACAGGAAATGACTGTAGCAGGAATAATAAAAGAAACTAAAATTTAGAAATCAACGGAAATTACTGTACCATTTAGCATTTGCTCAACACTGCACAGCATTTTAAGTTACTGGTGCTGGAGCGACTGGGGTTATGACAGCGCAGATGGCTGCAGACCCTAGTTCGTGACATCTGTACATTTCAGCTTTAGAGTCAGCTACATGAAAATTCGAACGACCAGCCCAGGTAAAACAGAGAAGAGAGGTTAGCCTGGGAAAGGTGTATCAGTTTATATTCTAGAAACAGAAGTCTCCTGACCTTCCTGTGCTTTTGGCCCTGGACGTCCCTCCTTACCACGACTCTGGGAGCGGGCTCAGTCCTGCCCCTGCAGGTGGCCCCGGGATCGCTAGGCTCCACAGCCACTGGCTTCTCCCAACCTGTCTCACCTCTTTCCCCTGGGCTGGGGTGTGGGCTTGATCAGTCCCTGGAGGAGACAGCTCTGCGGCCTTCGAGGGTCCCAGCGACACCCACTCCACAAGCGCAGGAGCGTGCTGGTCCCAGTGATGATTCGCTCCCTTTGTTAATTACTCAGTGTTTCTTGTTTTAGGATTTTTAACTATACACTGTAAAAGAATCCTTGCTGCTGTTCATTGTGTTTTGAGACTGAGATTCCTTTTCACCTGTGCGAGGAAAGGGGCCGAGCCTTGAGGGGCAGCACAGGATCCCAGGGCCTGCCTCCCCGTCCAGTTGCTCTGCGGTGGATGGAGGGGGCGGGGGGGCGGGGAACAGTACGGGGTGCTCTCCAGCAGATACTGAGAAGTGACAATAAGTACTCAAAACGTTTGGGTTTTGTTTGTTTGTTTGTTTGTTTGAGACTCTCGCTCTGTCGCCCAGGCTGGAGTGCAGTGGTACGATCTCGACTCACTGCAACCTCCGCCTCCCGGGTTCACACCATTCTCCTGCCTCAGCTTCCCAAGTAGCTGAGATCGCAGGCGCCCGCCACCATGCCCGGCTAATTTTTATATTTTTACTAGAGACGTGGTTTCACCATAGAGGCCAGGCTAGTCTCAAACTCCTGACCTCAGGTGATCCACCTGCCTCAGCCTCCCAAAGTGCTGGGGTGACAGGCGTGAGCCAATGTGTCTGGCGAGACTAGGTGTAATGATCCACACTCACTGTTAACCCTAAAAACACCATTTTTTGTGAACACGGGAGCCTCCAGGAAAGCCACTCAGAAAGCAGGTTCAGAGGACTCAGGGTGTCCCGGATCACCTTTCTAAAAGGAAATTCACGATATTTACCAAAAGTTTCTCCACGAGGTCTCTTGCCTTAGGGAAGAATTTTTCTGGAAAGTCATATTCCAACTTAATGATCTTCTGAAATATAAGATACTCGTTTCTGTAAAAATTTAAGAAAAAAAAAGTCATCCCAGGCAGGGTCCCAGAAGCCTCCACACGCAGGGATGAGCGCCCCGGACTCGCAGCACGGCAAACGCACCCCGGCCCCGCACGCCGAGAGCCCCCCACCTGGGCACGGCACCAAGTGCTGCCCTCCCCCACCCACCTCGAGGCTGGGAGGGACTGCCGGCCGGTGGGGTGCACCCCAACAGGCTCCAAGGCCCAGGCAACGCCGTCTCCTTACCCAGCTCGGAATGGTGGGAGTCCTGCCACAAGCTGGTATATTATGCATCCAAGAGCCCAAAGGTCTGAACTTTAAGGTAGGGGAAACAAACAAACAAACAAAGACATGTGTAAAATACAAGCGACAAGCCCAGTCCATTTCCCACTCTGTCTCCAAGGCCCCAGTTTCACCTCTAATGCGCTTCTATCCTTTCAGACCAGTTGGGTGTGAGGGTGGGGAACCCGCCCTCTGGAGAAGCCTCCCTGCGGCCTGGGCCCAGAGGGTGTGCACGCGGCAGGCACCGGCGGTCGTTCAGCTGTGCCCAAAGCTTCGCGGCTTCCAACAGGGCTTACCAACGTCCACACACGCCTGTCATCCTGAAGCAGAGCAGAGCTCACTCCTGGCACCACGTGGCTACAGACCAGGCAGGGGGCAGGATGGGAGGGAATGGGGCTGACCCTGTTCCAGTGAGACAACCCAGAAAGCTGAAGGAAGCGCCCTCCGGTCAGTGCTGGCGGAGGGCTCGCCGGGGCAGGAAAGTGCGGCACAGGCGAAATGAATGACCGCGACGTTCACACTTGACTTTCTTTAGTGTTTAGTTAAAATGGGGAGCAACAAAAGAAAACAGGCAGCAGAGCCTCCGCCTTTCAGTGTGGAAGCAGCAGAGAGAAGAGGGGTGCCGGGGGCAGAGCTGTGCCTGGACCCTCACGGGGTCCTCTCCAGAGCGTGGAATTCAAGCAGAAAGGGATTCTGGGGGTAGCTTTTCACCTCTGTGAATTATCGAATGTTTTATCATAAACACTTACTTTAGAATTTACGTATTTTTTAATACGATACAAAAATGGAAGGGGAAGCCAGTATTACACTTCTGGAAAACACATGTACCAAGGGCGTATCAAATAAACGTTCAGTTAGAACAAGTCATGCCACTTCCTGAAATCCACACCGAGGAATTCAGGGCGGCCTCTCACTCAGCCCAGCAGACCCCATCTCGCCCACTAGAGGGAGAACAGGGCACCCCCACCCCGACCCCAGGCAAAGAGACCTCCTCCTGCCCATGCAGGTTGGGTGGCGCATCAGACACACGCCAGTGTGTGAATCCATGGAAACCCCTTCAACGCACAACAGTACAGAAACAGGCCCATGAACCACAATCTGTTCATGCGACAGAAAACCACACACTGATCAAGACACCCACAAGTCATTCCAATGACCTGGGGAAGCGCCCATTATATAATCATGCAGGGCTCAAAACTGCTTGTCCAACGTGACTCGAATGGCATAAAAGCCACGCAAACAGCTATAAAATGCACAGAAAAAATGACTGGAAAGACATATACCTGTACGCCCAATTATTATCTGTGACTATAAGTGGGTTTGGAGATTTATTTTCTAAGACCTCTTCATAATTAATTTCTCTTTTCTTTTTTTTCTTTTTTCTTTTTCTTTTTTGAGACAGGGTCTTACTCTGTCACCTAGGCTGGAATGCAGTGGCACAATCTCGGCTCACTGCAACCTCTGCGTCCGCCTCAGCCTCCCGAGTAACTGGGCCTACAGGCGCTCGCCACCAGGCCCAGCTAATTTTTGTTACTTTTAGTAGAGGCAGGGTCTCGCCACGTTGGCCATGCTGGTCTCGAACTCCTGGCCTCAAGCAATCTGCCAGCCTCAACCTCCCAAAGTAATGGGATTACAGACGTGAGCCACCACGCCCGGCCTCTTTCAATTCTTTATAATAAAAGTTCTTAACTATGTTTAATATCACATGATTAAAAAATTCAAAAGCATAAAAAGAGATGCAGAAATGCCTTCCTCATAAACCTGTTCCCTCACCCCATAGACAACTACCATCATCCGTTCAGTGTCTATCCCTCCAGAGAACCTGAAACGCGCAAACGAGAAAACGTGAATACACATTCCTCCTTTTTCGAAGAGGGCAGGATCCTATGCGTATATTCGTAGAGCTTGGAGATCTTTCTGCACCAATGCTAAAGTGGCCCTCCGCCCTGAAAGTAAAATCTACAAACGAGGAAACGCTAGCTCTTAGGTGGCGACGACAAGCACTTTGAAAGCCGGGTACGTCGCGCCCCCCCCCCCCCCGCCCACCCCCCACCTGTGGGAGGGACTGTCCTCTGGGTCTCGGGATGCTGAGCAGCTCATCCTCGCCTCCCCCGCTGGATGCCAGCCGTACCCCTGCTCCAGCTGTGACAACTAAAACTGTCCAGACAGGGCCAAGTGTCCCCTGGGGAGCAGAATCACTCCAGTTGGGAAGCTCTGACCTAAAGCAGTGTCTGGCCATGCTAAGAACTCAGTATCTGGCCGGCCGCCATGTCTCACGCCTGTAATCCCAGCACTTTGGGAAGCCGAGATGGGAGGATCGCCTGAGCCTAGGAGTTCAAGATGAGACCGGGCAACACAGCAAGACCCCATCTCTGTTTTAAAAAAGAATTCAATAATAATGAAAAGACAACTCAGTATCTGCTGGTTGAAAAAAGTTAAAACAACAAAACCGAAAACGCCTGGAGACGGCCGAGACGCTGAGTGAGTGCTCAGAGCCTTTCCACCCTCCCATCACGTTTGTGCCACGGCCCCACCTCCCACAGTTTTTCCTGAAGCTGTCCAGCTCAGAAATCCAGAACTGCCGTCCCCAGAATCATTCATTCTCTCAGAGTGGCTCACTTCACTCCAGGAAGGTGGCCCCTTGTAACCTGGCGGAGCAGGAGAGTGGCAGCATGGGACTCCTGTGGTCCTGTCGACTCAAGAGAGCACCAGCAGCCGAAGCTGACCCCAGCCCTCAGCAGCACTTGACTGGCCCGGGGCAGGAGGAACCCCAGCCCCACCCTCATTCCACAAAACTGCTCCCTAGACTTGAAACTCCAGACTCTGATGCTGCCTCTCAGCCTGCCACCTGCCTCCCAGCCACCCTAGACAGCACCTCAGACTTCTCACCAACCCTTGCCGTCAGCTCCCTGGACATCCTCCCCCACACCGCCGGTGGTCCCCTGGCTGGGCTTCTCCACTTTCCCCTTCCTTGACCCGCACCGGCCCTGCAGCCCCTGTACCATCTGCACTTTTTTTCATTTTTTCACTATGGAGGCTGCCACCAAGACCCAGCTGTGTCTCTCAAAGACCCTCATGCCTGCTGGACGCCTCCTCCCTCCCACACCCGCACCCTCCAGGGCCTCCCTGCGCTCTGCGGGACGCTGTCCCACTGCAGCTGGTGTGTGGCCGAGCAACCCGAAGGCCGGGCTGCCTGCCCTCCACCCCGACGGGGGACAGCACCAAGGAAGCCTGGGCTCTGTGCACACGGCAGCCACGCTTTCCTCACTCAATAGTTTTTCCCAAAGAAACGATCAGGCTGGGCATGGTGGCTCACGCCTGTAACTCCAGCACTTTGGAAGGCCGAGGCTGGCAGATCACGAGCTCAAGAGATCGAGACCATCCTAGCCAACATGGTGAAACCCCGTCTCTACCAAAAATACAACAATCAGCTGGACGTGGTGGCGTGCGCCTGTAGTCCCAGCTACTCGGGAGGCTGAGGCAGGAGAATTGCTTAAACCCGGGAGGCGGAGGTTGCAGCGAGCAGAGATCGTGCCACTGCACTCCAGTCTGGAGACAGAGCGAGACTCCGTCTCAAAAAACAAAACAACAAAAACAAAAAAAACCCAAACGATTCAATCTGCAACCAGAAAGCATCAGCAAACCCAGGAAGCTTAGAACACAACACTAACGCATCACGTGTGTGTACGCCACGGAAAATACGCCTTAAAATGCGAAATGCTAATTTCTTCCCAAGTATGCTTAGCTACTTAAAGGCCACCAAATTCACTCTCTCAAATATTAATTTCTGTGTTAAAGAAAAGGGAAGTACGGCTTAGATGAAAGTGGTTACCTCTTACAGGCGGACTTCTCCGTGAGCAGCTCTGGAGAAACGTACTGCGCTGTTCCCACGAATGAGTTGGCCCTGGCTGCAGAGGAGAGAGAAGGTCACACTCGGACTCACGATCTGTGACAATCAAGGGCTGCGCGGTGGGTGTCGCACATGGCGGACCATGCACCCCCAGGAGCCAGACTTGTCCGGGGCGCACCGGGGCTGGCTCATGGCTCACCGGCTCAAAGACGCCTGCCTGACCCCTGGACACCGGCGCCCTGCACCCTGGCGCTCCCACCCGACACGCGCCTGGACAGTGAGCTGCACACAAACGGCCAGCACATTCTGCCGGTGGCGCCCGCTCAACGGAGGGCATGAGGACACGGCGCTGGCTGGCTCACTGCAGGACCTGGGGTATCCAAACGTGCCCAGGCACACAATAAACAGTTGCAGGCCAGAAAAACCTCCTTTCCATCACAAACAGCTTGGGAGCTGAGGCGCTACAAAGGGAACAAGACTCAGGCCTCCAGCCCAAGGGCCTTCCTCCACAGAGGAGCTGTGACGGAGCAGAGCCACAGCACGAGCTGGCCCAGGGCCACCACGCAGCTGCTGTCCACACCGGCCCTGCCCGTGGGCCGCTTCTGAGTGGTCCCTTCCACCTGCCCTCCTCCGGCCATGCTGAGAGAACCTCCCAGCCTCTGCTGCGGGGACTCAATCCCTTCAGTGAATGACTTTTCTGCGGACTTCATGACTGCCCAGGTGCGGTGGCTCACCCCTGCAGTCCCACTGCTTTGGGAGGCCGAGGCAGGAGGACTGCTCGAGGCCAGGAGTTTGAGACCAGTCTGAGCAACATAGTGAGACTCCGTGTCTAGAAAGAATTTCAAGAATTAGCCAGGCATGGTGGTGCACCTCTAGTCTCAGCTACTCGGGAGGCTGAGAAGGGAGGATCGCTTGAACCCGGGAAGCTGAGGGTACAGTCAGCCACAATGGCCCCACGGTACTCTAGCCTAGGCAATAGAGCCAGACCCTGTCTCAAATAATAAACAAAAAACAAACACTTCATGGCTGCATTTGCATCCTGCCAGGACCCTCAGTGATCCTGCCAAGAACACCAAGGACATCCGCAAACACGCACCCCGCCCCTGCCGGCCTAGAGGAAAGACAACCAAACCAAGAGCCAAAAACAAACGAAGCCATTCAACCCTGCAAAGAATCAAAGAAATGCAAATTAAAACACGACAGCCTATCACACTGGCAAAGGGAAAAAAGAATAAAAATACATAGCGCTGGCAGGGATCTGAGGGGACAGACGCAGCGCTAAGGGTGGGGCTGTCAAATGGCGTCGCTTCTGGGGGCAACTTTCCAATGAGCATCAGAAGTCACAAAGATGTTTGCCTCCCAGACCCTGCAGCTCCCTCTCCATGCTCTGTCCTTCAGGGTCCGGCGTGGCACAGCGACGAGGGCCGCGTCTGCTGGCGGGACGGGACGCCACTTGCTCCACCTACATATTCGGCGTTTCTGTTCTTTACTATCATCGAGTGTTGCTTTTGTGACTTGTACTTTTTCAAATGCCATTATTAAAAAGTCTAGGTTTTTGTCCTCTGGAGAGATGTATATAATGCATAATTAAATGACTGAGGTCGTCGTGCAGCACGCGGAGCCGTATGTGCTTTTAAACAGCCACAGCGTGCACGGAGCAAGTCCGTGAGGCCAACACCCACCCCATCTCTCGGATGAGCGCTACATAGTGACCTGCCGTGCTGTCGGGACCCTCGCTGCTGCTGCTGCTGTTCTAAGCTTCCTGCAAGCGAGCTACGGGCTCGGATCTCCTGGAATCCCTCCCTGCCCTCTCCAACCTCAGCTCCTCCTAGCTCCCCAAGGGTCTTCCCCCTCTCCCTTCTTTCCTCAGGGCTTGCCCACCCTCACCCTCGATTCCTCTGCCACACCTTCCTGAAGGTGGGACTCCGAGCCTCTGGGCATACGCAAAGTCACCCCCTTGGAAAAGGACACCTGTCCTTAGTTTAATCCAGAGACAGACAGCGCCGCTAGAGCGTGGAGAAGATGGCTACCCTCGGAATAATGTTCCAAATGCATAAAATACACAGGACTGTAGGAGAAAGCAATTATAATCCAATACACGTATCAAATTATTGAAGGAATGGATCTGTGATGTAGTACTATGTGACTTGCACGACACAGCAGCAGGTCACGCCGCAGGAACCCGGCAGCGGTGCTCGGCACAACTGGCATGGCGTCACTACCGTGACGTGACCCCTGCGGCAGGACATGGGAACACCTGTGACTTCTGATGACAGATGTTTGTTGCTGATGTTCATAATGGAAGGAAATGGTACGCTTTGCTGAAAGGTTAGTGAAAATTAGTAATTTCCTCCTATCCAGCCTCACAGATCCCCTGACTTCTATCTGTGACATCCGAGCTCAGAGTCCCAGACACAGCGTTAGGAAATCTCAGAGACCACCTAGTTACTTCTCCCTGGGAGCTCAGAGACTGGCCAAAGCTCACGCCCCTCCAGCTGCTGGAAACTCAGGCCCAGAGCCCCGCACTGGCTGCTGATGCCCCCGCATGCCACGGGACTACCGACGCTGGGGAAAGAGACAGTGGGATCTTGTCTGGGTTGTTGTCTCCACCCTCATCAAAGAAACTCCATGGACCACCCACAGTCCCCCAGATCTGCCAGTCATACTTGGAGGGGCAGTGGGAGGGACGACCTGAAGAAGTGATCCTGAGCTCACGAGACACCCACACTCTCTTCAAAGCCAAGGGTGCCGGCTGCCATGTTATCCATAAACCCACAAAGAAGCACAGAAAAACGCTCCGCAAAACGTGACTACCCTTTGGACGAAACACCAGCAAACCAAATGCAGCAACGTCTAGAAAGGACTAGGCATCATGACCAAGAGGATGTATGACACAGTGCAAGGTTGGTTCAAAATACAAAAAGCAATGCATTGCATCTCATTAGAATAAAGCACTAAGGAAAACACAGGATCATCTCAACAGATGCAGAAAATGCAGTTAACAAAAATTCCCCACCTCTACAGGACAAAAATATGGAATAGCCGAGGCACAGAAGGGAGGGCCCAGGGTCTGACAAAGGGCACGCACGGCCTACGGCCAACATCATGCTCGATGGTCAAAAACCGCACGCTCTCCCTAAGACCAGGGCGCCCGGCTCACCACATCCAGCCAACACCGAACTAGAGGTCTCAGCCAGGACAATTAGGGAAGAAGACAAAAGGCAGCCAGGTTGAAAGGGAACAAATAAAACTAGCTCGAATCACAGATGACAGGATCCTGTGTGCACAAAGTCCTGCGGACTCCACTGAGAAGCTATTACCACTAACGAGAGCTCAGCAGGGTGCGGGGCAGGGAAAAACCAACTGCATTTCCGCACAATTTCCAGGAGCAACCCAGAAATGAAATTCACAATCCCAGCACTCTGGGAGGCCGAGGCAGGCGGATCACCTGCGGTCAGGAGTTCAAGACCATGTTATCCATAAACGTGGTGAAACCCCGTTTCTACTAAAAACACACAAAATTAGCCGGGCGTGGTGGTGGGCGCCTGTAATCCCAGCTACTCGGGAGGCTGAGGCAGGAGAATCGCTTGAACCCGGGAGGCGGAGGTTGCAGTGAGCCGAGATCGCGCCACCGCACTCCAGCTTGGGCAACAAGAGCGAAATTCCGTCTCAAAAAAAAAAAAAATAAAAACAGAAAAAGGAAAAAAAAGGGAAGAAAATTCACAACTCTATTTTTTTTTTTTTTTTCTTCCCGAGACAAAGTCTCGCTCTGTTGCCCAGGCTGGAGTGCAGCGGTCTGAGGTCAGCTTACTGCAACCTCCTCCGCCTCCCGGGTTCAAGCGATCCTCCCACCTCAACTGGTCTCCGACTCCTGACCTTAGGTGATCCACCCACCCCGGCCTCCCAAAGTGCTGGGATTACATGTGTGAGCCACCGTGCCCGGCCAATAACTCTATTTAGAATAACATTAAAAACAAATAAGAATAAATGTCACAAAAGACGCATAAAGCTTATACTCTGAAAACTACAAAGTGTTTTTGAAAGAAAGATCTAAATAAACAGAAAGACAGCCCATGGTGATGGCTCAGAAGACTTAACGTGGGTTAACAATGGTAACGCCTCGTAAGCTCATCTCTAGACTCGATGCCATCCCTTCTCAGATCCCGGCAGGCTTTCACTGAGGGCAGTGTTTTCAAGGCCCATCTGCATGGCAGCGTGCATGGGCGCCTCATCCCTCGTTAGGGCTGGAGAACATTCCCCCGTCGTGTGGACACGCCACTCGTTCATCCACTCATTCGATGACACGTGCGTCGTTTCCACCTTTTGGCTACTGTGCATGATGCTACGGGCATTCTAGCACCTGTTTTTGTCTGAATGTGTGTTTTCATTTCTTGTGGGTTCATACCTAGGAGTGGGACTGCAGGGTCATATGGTAATTCTGTTTCCTTCTGAGGAGCTGCCAGCCTGTTTTCCAAAGTGGCTGTACTTTCTGGCATTCCCACCCACAGCATACGTGGGTTCCAGTCCCCTACGTCGTTGCTAACGTTTGTTATTATCTGTCTTCTCATCACAGCCCTCCTGGTGGGTGTGAGGTAGTATCACCCTGTGGTTTTGATTTGCATTTTCCTAATGACTAATAACGTTGAGGAACTTTGCATGTGCTTATGGGCCATTTGTGTATCTCTCCCTTGGAAAAATGTCTACTCATACCCTTTGTTCCGTGCTTTATTTTTTTTTTCTCCCTCTGAGTTCCTTACATTCTGGATACAAGTCCCATATCAGGTAGATGATTAGCAGATCGTGTCTCCTGTTTGGTGGGTCTCTTCACTTTCGTGATATCACTTGAAGCACAAAAGTGCTTAAACTTGATATAAATCTAACTCATCCTTTTCTTGGTCGCTTATGCTTTTTTTTGGCAGTGTATCTAAGAAAACACTGCCTAACCCAATTGTCACATTTAATCCTATAATTTCTTCTAAGAGTGTCATAGTCTTCGCCCTTACATTCAGACCTCTAACGCATTCGGAGTGAACTTTTTTTTTGAGATGGAGTCTCACTCCGCCGCCCAGGCTGGAGCGCAGTGGTGCGATCTCGCCTCACTGCAACCTCCGTCTCCCAGGTTCGAGTGAGTCTCCTGCCTCAGCCCCCACTCCAAATAGCTGGGATTACAGGCGCACACCACCATGCCTGGCTAATTTTTGTATTTTTACTAGAGATGGGCAGCTGGTCGCGAACTCCTGACCTCAAGTGGTCTGCCCGCTTCAGCTTCCCAAAGTGCTGAGATTACAGGCGTGAGCCACCGCGCCCGGCCTGGAGTCACCCTTTTTTTTTTTTTTTTTTTTTTTTTGGTGAGGCGGGGAGATGGGAGGCACAGGGATGGAGTTTTCCTCTGTTGCCCAGGCTGCAGCACAGTGTCGTGATCTTGGCTCACCGCAACCTCCGCCTACCAGGTTCCAGCGATTCTCCTGCCTCAGCCTCGCAAGTAGCTGGGATTACAGGAGTCACCTGGCTAAGTTTTTTTTTTTGGTTTTTTTTTTTTTTTTTTTTGAGATGGCGTTTCGCTCTTGTTGCCCAGGCTGGAGTGCAATAGTGTGGATCTCGGCTCACTGCAACCTCCGCCTCCCAGGTTCAAGTTATTCTCCTGCCTCCTGAGTAGCTGGGAGTACAGGCATGCACCACCACACCTAGCTAAAAACACACCTGTATTTTCAGTAGAGACAGGGTTTCGCCATGTTGGTCAGGCGGGTCTCGAACTCCTGATCTCAGGTGATCCGCCTGCCTCGGCCTTCCAAAGTGCTGGGATTACAGGCGTGAGCCACCACGCCCAGCCATAAATTTTGTATTTTTAGTAGAGACAGGGTTTCGTCACGTTGGCCGGGCTGGTCTCGAACTCCCGACCTCAGGTGATCCACTCGCCTCAGCCTCCCAAAGTGCTGCGATTACAGATGTGAGCCACCGCGCCTGGCCCTGGAGTGAGCTTTTGTGTATGGTGTGAGGAAGGGTAATAACTTTTTTAATGAATTAATCATCATTGGAAGAGAATGGAGAACCAATGTGTGGTTTTCAAAAATGGCATGAAAAGGGGAAAGAAGCATTTATCCTACTTTTCTTTTACAGATGATACCACGAGTCAACCCAAAAGTTGCTGGGGAGAAGTTGCTCTTTAATGAATTGCATCTCATGAATGTATCAGGCTGTGACCTTTCTGCACTCTCTAATGAGTTCATGAATTTAGGCCAATTATGGCCACAAATGCTGCTGCTGTCACAGAGAGATGCCGGATAAAGAACACCCACCACCAGTCTCTGAACAGGGAGGGGAGAATCAACTCTGAATGTGATGTAGTGGCCAGGAGAGAGGACCATGTTCAACAACGCCACACAGATGCAAATGACTTGTTTCTTCAACAAACTGCAAGGGAAAAAATAAAAATGGGGGAAGCTACAGATTAAAATACATGTGTTTGGATAGGAGAGTATTTAATGGCAAAAGAAAAAGAAAAAATTTAAAAATGAAATTGTGCAAAACTTATTTGAATCCTGTTCAAGTGAGCAACAAAACATTATGATGTACATGAGACAACTGGAAATATAACTCTGACTGGACACTTTGAGATATTAAGCAATTACCGTTCATTTTTACATATCAAACAGTATGGTATTGTGGTTACGCTTTTAAAAAGATTTGTATTTTAGCGACACATACTGGAATTTTTACAGGGAAAACCCACTGAGGATGCTGGGCATCAGGTCACTAGCACCGAGTGAATTTTTTACAATAAGCAGTAATTCTCCCCAGCCCCATGCATCATAGCCAATCCTAAATGAATGCCAATCTGGAAAAGACCAAAATAAACCACGTGAAGATGGGAAGAGCTGCTCTTGGTGATGGGAGAATGGGGACTCTCTCTTTTATTGTGCAAACTCCACTTTCCATCATGCAGGAAAATCCGTCTTGAAGGCAGCTCCTCTCTGTGCCGGGGGTGGGTGATCCAGCCTAAGCTAGAATGGCGGCAAGCTCAAGGCAGCTGTGGCCCTCAGGAGAGCGTCTGGAGTCCACAGCACAGTGGGAAGCGCAACGGCAGCTAGTCTGAGGGTCTGGACGATGGCCATGCACAGATGAGGACAGAGGAGCCACTGTAGTGACTGAAGCCCACGGCATCCACCCTCTCCAGCCAGCCCCGCCCACACCTGAAGCCCACAGCGTCCACCCTGTCCACCCAGCCCTGCCCACACCTGTGGCCTTCCTCTCCTTCCTGTTTGGTGAGTGCTGCCTCCACACCTGGCTGCATGCCAGAAAGGCCTGCACAGGTCAGAACACAGGTTTCCAAACCCTACTCCAAGTCTGAACCTCCAAGGACACCCCGAGCTCCCCAAGGTTCTTGCATAGAGGGCACAGGCCAGAGACAGCCCAGGTGGGAAGCTTACTCTGAGTCAGCTGCCCTCACCAAGATACATCCACAGGCTCCTGTACAAGGAGAGGAGGCAGAAGTCCCTCTCTGCCAGGAGGTCCTCCTCAATCTCCCAAGCCCACACCACTGCCCTGCTCCATCTCCCACCACCTCCCCCTGCAGATACGGGGGCCACCCTACCCACCCCACAGGAACGATGGGAAAACCTGCCTCCCTCTAGGAGGAGGGCGTGGCACAGCTGCTGCGCGGGTAAGGAACCTCGCTATGCCTTGCTCCCATCAACACTTTTATTCTAGATTTGAAGGTGTTTTGGGGAAGCCATCTCTGCACAAAAGAAGTCAACGCAGGAATAAATTCCAAGATACTGAACTACCTCAAACAGAAAATAAGTTACTAAAATTAATCCGCCACATAAATTATAGTTTTTTCCTTTTCCTCAAACAAGGGGAAAAGAACCACCAACTCATCTATACGCACAAGCAACTGGCCCTGGTTTACAATGATGTAAAGACTTTTAGCCTCCTGCTATCAAAAAGCAAAGGTTTATTTCATGATTTCTTCTTTCTTTTCCAGAGGCAGGCTCTTGCTCTGTCGCCCAGGCTGGAGCGCAGTGGCAGGATCACGGCTCACTGCAGCCTCAATCTCCCAGGCTCAGGTGATCCTCCCACCTCAGCCTCCTGAGTAGCTGGGACTACAGGCACGCACTAGCACGCCCAGCTAATTTTTGTTTTTTATCTTATATAGAGACAGGGTTTTGCCGTGTTCCCCAGGCTGGTCTCAAACTCCTGGGCGCAAATGATCGACCTGCCTCGGCCTCCCCAAGTGTTGGGATTACAGGTGGGCCACTGTGCCCAAGCTATTTCACTATTTCATCAGCGCACTTAAATGCCCGTTTTTTTTAAGTGGCTACAGGGCAACAAGACTATCCCTGTGCCAAATACCAGATTCCAAAGAAACTCTACCCACGTCACAAACCTGCACGTGGATCCCCTGAATCTAAAATAAAAGTTGAAATTATGAATAAATAAAGCCTTGCAATAAGGGAGGGGAAAAAAAAAGAAAGAAAATCCACACGAAGGGAAAAATGCCCAGAGCACAGCCCAGGGAGGTGGTTCCTGAGGCTGGCTGTGGGCACAGCCCAGAGAGCGGTTCCCGGGACTGACTGGGGGCAGAGCCAGCCCGCAGCGCTCCTGACCCCACGGAATGTTGTGGGCTCATCTCTGGGCAGGAAGTCAGCACAAGGACAGCAAGACACTGACAGATCCTAAGAAAGCTTACGAGACAGAAGTTCCTGTTTGGTTCAACTTTGTCACAGACAACACTGAGGGAGATGAGGTTACACTGTGTACACAGAAACAGGATTACCAGTCAGTAAGACGGTTACTATTTAACAGGAATGAGTCAAACAGATCAAGGTTTCAGGGCATGTCTGAAACGCCAGGAAGACCGCCCTGGCTCTGTGCAGCTTTGGGCGGGAGGTGCGCACTCTGGCATGCCACTGGACGGGGAGGGGAACGGGGCTACAAAAGGCAGCGGACGGCAGCAGGACTAAGCCACCTTAGACAACAAGAGGCTCCGGCTTGATTGCTAGTTTCGATCTTAGCCCCAAAAGGGTGATGTTTTTTATTTCTTTATTTATGAGACGGAGTCTCACTCTGTTGCCCAGGCTGGAGTGCAGTGGCACGATCGTGGCTCACTGCAACCTCTGCCTCCCGGGTTCAAGCGATTCTCCTGCCTCAGCCTCCCGAGTAGCTAAGACTACAGGCGCGCACCACCACGCCCAGCTAATTTTTTATATTTTTAGTAGAGACGGGGTTTCACCATGTTAGCCAGGATGGTCTCGATCTCCTGACCTCGTGATTTGCCCACCTCGACCTCCCAAAGTGCTGGGATTACAGGCTTCTTTTATTTTTTATTTATTACTACTATTTTTTAACAGTTGATCGCTCTGTTCCCCAGGCTGGAGTGCAGTGGGATCATCCTAGTTCACTGCATCATCCATCTCTCATTTCAGCCTCTCGAGTAGCTGGGACTACAGGTGTGTGCCATCACACCAGGATGATTTTTGGCTTTTTTGTAGATATGGAGTCTCACCATGTTGCCCAGTGGCTGGTCTCAAATTCCTGGCCTCAAACGATCCTCCTGCCTCAGCCTCCCAAAGCCCTAGGATTACAGGTGTGAGCTCCCATGCACAGCCAGGGTGATGTTTGAGGATTCTGAGAGAAGTTCCCAGATCCAAGACAAGGTCTTAGGGCCTCCATGACTGTGCAGAGATGAAAGCACCAACTGACAGAATCTCAGCCAGAGCCCTGAGTGTGAAAACACAGGGCTGGAAACGCCCAGAAGGGAAAGATAAGGCCCGGTGGAGGAAACGAGCAACTACCTCAAGGTGCCAAGAGAGGCCCCACAGGCACCAGCTGGGTACCTCCCAGCACACAGAATACAGGGCCAATTCCTAAGAAACAGAAAAGCCGAGCTGAGTCCAGAGTGCCTGCCTTGCTGAAGGGCCTGCTCTCCACCCAGCTGTGCTCTCCTCCAGCTACTGGGGGCCGGCTGGCCGTCCATGGAGACGAGGCCAGAACCACCACTGCTCTGTGCTCACGGTTCCCCTTTTCCACACGAGAGCAGCTACAACAACACGGTCACTTCTGTCTGAATCTTTCCTCCACCAACAAACCTGCACTCGCGTCCCTCCAAACCGGGCTCCAGCACCTCTCACCCCCACAGAGCCCTCTATGGAGGCCTTTCTCTGACGGGCACCCCAAGCCCAGGCAGAGGCCCATGCACCACTTGGAGGCCCTTGGACCCAGCCTCTTGACCCAGACAGACTCCAGCAATCACCCGAGGTTCACCTTCAAGGTCACTTATAATGCACACAGCAGCCTTCAGCTTCCCCAAACCTCATCCCAAGGCTTTATCTTCTCTCTACCCAGCACTCGGGAGCACTCTTCAGAATTTCAGCTGCCTTTCTTTACACCTCCAGAGTTTGTGATTTCTACCCAATAAGCACCTGAAGGGCATCGAGATACCCCCGGCCGGCTAAGACAACCTAGGCCACTTCTCTGGCCCGAGTGGACTTTCAGCAACATCTCCGATGGAGTTGTCACAACATGGTCCGAGGCTAGAAACTACCCTTGGGAACAGGACTCGGAGGCTTTGTGATGACAAACGTGCACGTGGCCAGCAGGGAGACAGACGGACAGCTAACGGAGGGAGCGCACCGAGGTACAGGGATGTGCGCGCCCGGATACTACCTGCAACACAGGCAGGAGGAGCCAGGAGCTGACCACACCGGCTCCACATCCTGCACGCGGGTGGCTGGGTACGAATGTGGCCCCCCACACTGTCCAGAAGACGAGTAGGGAGGATGAACCAGAGCAGGCGCCGAGGAGAACCAGCGACCTCCCACTCTACACCAACACACACTGCCTGGGGCCCCCCCAGGAAGACCTGCTGGCGTGGCAGGGTCTTGCCCAGAGAAAGTTCAAGATCTGTTTGAGAACGGCCAAGGTATCCCCACCTCAGTCGTTGATGAAGATGACACAATGCAAACACTCCTCAGAAGTCGCTTTCCATCTGAAGCACAGAGCCAGGCTCTGCTAGAAATAAAACTCACACACCTTGTTTGCTCTCTGGGGATAAGACTTTTGCTGTTCCAAAATCTGTGATCTGGATGTGCATATCTTCATTTAACAAAATGTTTTCCGGTTTAAGGTCCCTGTAAAAGCAGATTTTCACATTTGAGAAGAAATACTTAAAACAGCAACATTATTACGTACTCTAAATTTTGCTGAAAACAAAATGAACGAATGAATGTATATGATCCTTACAGGCTGACAACCAGGGCTACAGGCCTAAAGCTCACAAGCAACAAGTGTTGGCTGGACACAGTAGGGATTCACCACCTCACATCTCCATGTCATTCTAAGTCGTTTTTTAACGAAGTAAAATCTATCATTTTTAACGCACAAAATGAAAGCTATGCACACTTCTGAGCTGACTTTATCAGAAAGTCATGAAAAACGAGACCAGAAAGAAGTACACACAGAAGCTACAACTGAAAAAGATAAAAAGCATCAGTCAAGATGGTGAAAAGAATCATTAGCTCGCCAGGAAAGACACGCAACCATTGCATGTGGTATTGGCAGGAGAGCCTCTCCACGTCAGCGCTCCGTGGACGTGTGGCCTCGCCTTGGCACTCAGGCTGTGGCACAGGCAGGCATCTCAGTCCCACCCATCCAGGGAGCACTCCAACCTGGCTGACCTCAAGGGCGGGGGCCATCTGGGCATCAGCCGTGGCCTGTGAGCCAAACGGTCACTGGCCCTGATCATCAAACTGACGTCCTGCAAACCCACCCAGCCACCCCCGCGGTTACCTGTGAATGATGCCCTTGCCGTGCAAGTACTCTAAAGCAGACACAATCTCAGCCGTGTAAAATCGGGTACAGGTCTCATCGAATGAACCGATTTTGCGAATATATTTAAGTAGTTCTCCATTTTTGGCATAACTAAGGCCGAAATCTGAATATCGTGCAGTTAAGGAAGTGTAAAAATCTCTTGTTTCGTTTTGGAGCAGGTTTACTCCGTTGCCCAGACTGGAGTGCAGGGGCACAATCATAGCTCACTGCAGCCTCAACCTCCCTGGCTCAAGCGATCCTCCCACCTTAACCAACCCAAGTGGCTGGGAACGTAGGTACGCGCTACCACGCCTGGCTCATGTGTTTTATTTTGTAAAAGTCATTTTTGGAAAACTAACCTTAAAAGTCTGATAAGAATTTTTAATTCAGTGCAAACTGAAAGTACCTGTGGCCCAAGACAGTCATGTCACTGGATCTGCCGGGCATCCCAGGCCCCAGCTCCAAGACGAGGCACCAGCATGATGAGGGCTTTCTCATTAAGAACGCCATTACACGGTCTCGAGGAAACAGGAACAGAGCCTCTCAGCCCCGACTGCCCCTCTGGCCCCTGGCCGTGTCCACGGCCTCAGTGAAAGGGAACCGCTGGTGACAGGGCCTACAGACCCCGACCAAAAAGCGCATATAACTCACGTGCAGGCTTCGATGCACAAAGACCCCGGGGGCCGGCGGAGCAGGGTCGGAGAGCGCGACAGCCCCTGCCCTGAGACCCCGGCTTTATGTGCTACGCATCCACGCGTGGCACTGCCCCTTCCATGCAGTCTCCTTCCGTGGATAAAGTGACACATTTTGTTTTGTTTTTTTTTTTTAAGATGCAGTCTCGCTCTGTCGCCAGGCTGGAGTGCAGTGGCGCTACCTCGGCTCGCTGCAACCTCCGCCTCCCGGAGTCAAGCAATTCTCCTGCCTCAGCCTCCCGAGTAGCTGGGACTACAAGCACGCGCCACCATGCCCCCCTAGTTTTGGTATTTTTAGTAGAGACGGGGTTTCCCCAGGTTGGCCAGGATAGTCTCCATCTCTTATCCTCGTGATCTGCCCGCCTTGGCCTCCCAAAGTGCCGGGATTACAGGCGTGAGCCACCGCACCTGGCCGAGTGACACACTTTGTAAGACAAAAGCCATCTCATGAACTTCTACACCCATGAAGTGTGTCTGGGAGGCCCCCTCCTCTGGGCACCACTGCCCTACGATGGCTCCATCTGTAGCCTCCTTTTCCAAGAGGACTTAAGACCGACAATAAATGGATCCCAGATACAGATTCCCCTGCAAGCGGCAAACGTCCATCCCCATTACCGGAAACCTCCAGATACTTCACACTTACTGGCAGCCCAGGACACGGGGACCCAAATCCTTGCCTGCCCTGAGCAGTGGCTCTCGAGGCCAGGAAGGGGGGCTCGTGCTCAGAGCCAGGCTGGCCTGCCTGCTCACTTCTGTTTGCCAGGGCACCATCATCTCCCACCAAGGATGAACCTGAAGCTTCAGGGCAACGAAGAGAAACCCAGAAGCGAAGGGACTTGCAACCAAGGCTGCCCAAAGTGGCCCCTGTCCAGGCCCATCTCTAAATACAACCCACACCGAGGATGCCTGGTGGGGCAGAAGTCCCTGGGTCTCGTTCCCGTCAGGGGCGAGTGAACCTTCACAACCTCCCGGGGCTTTGGAATTTGACTTAATGATGAAGGGCAACATGGACCACTGGACAAAGACCTGGAGTTCCCACTACCTGCACCGCTCTGGCCAATCCCATTTGGAAATCAGTCAGCAAGATTCACTCTCCTCTGGACTCTGAGCCCCCGGGAGGAGAGGATGGGAGAGGTCAAGCGTGTGCAATTCTGTTGCAGCCTCACAACCAACAAGCAGCCGTGTTCCGACGGCTCTGCGGGAAGCCCAGAGGGACTCCCGTGGCTCATACGGGGGCAGAGACGTGCAGGGCCCCGGGGAACGTGAAGGTGAGAGACAGAACATACCGTGAAGAAGCCACTGAGAGTGGGAGACAGAGGCAGGAACAGGGATGACACTGGAGGACAGCAGGCCTGCCTGGAGGCCAGCATTCTCTACAACCTTCCACAAACCAACAGCAAAGCCCGCTCCGGGCCACGTGCCTGGCAGCTGCTCGGCCACTGCCCCGCTCCTCCCTAGGCAAAATCCCAGGGAAGCACCTTGCGTCGTTTCCATTTCCTCACCTCTTACTCTTCCTTGAACAGTCCCCCCAAGAAACTGCCTACCCACCATCAACAACTGGCACAGGGCAGATCCACGGGTCAGGCTGTGTGCACCTGACCGCTTCATAACCCCTGCGTGGGCAGCCAGCACCCTCCATCAGAAATCGTTTGATCCCGTGGCCTCTGGGTCTCCATCATTCGAGCTCGGGAGCAACATCCCATCACCATCTCCTCTCCTCGGTGGGCCCCTCCTCGTGTTCACCCCTGCACTGGGGGGAACCCAGGCTCCACTCACAGAGGAGCCAACCTCTGGGCAGCCTGCCAGCTCGCTGTGAAAGTCCTCACGGCCCTGACTCCTCCTGGAGCTCTGCTGGCAGCACCTAAGTGCCCACTCAGACCTGAATGGTGGCACCAGCGGATGCATGAAATGCCAGCCCAGCACCCGCCCCGGTCTCTCCCAGCTCAGCAGCAGACACCGCTGTGCACTAGGCTTGAGGGCCACCTCCCAGGAGCTGCCCCTGACTCCATTCTCTTGACCGGTCTGTTCATCAGACCTCGACCACGGCCCCTGCCCCTGCTCTCCTGCCCGTTCTCCCGCCTGGCCTAGGAGAAGCCACAGCAAACCCCACGTTCCCCGCCACAAAGAGAAGGAAGTCCAGAGTCAGTGCCAGGCTGCCACGGCTCAGGGGCCCAGCCCACCACAGCCTTTCATGCCCCCCCACACACTCCTGCCCAGGAGCTGAAAGAGCCCCACACTGCCGCCAGCCCCTACCCAGCCCTAAGACTCTTGGCAGCACATCTTGCTGCCGGGAAGCCTCTGACACGGATCGTCAGTGCACGTCCAGCTCCTCCACCAAAATCGAAGCTTCTCGTGGGCAGAGACGCCACCCGGCATAGCAGCGCATCCCCATCACCCATCAACCTGCACTTGGCAAGCACCTCCAAACAGAGAGAGCACACACACTCCGCCGGCAGCCGAAGGAGCTGCAGGATGGTGCTGAGAGTGGGAGCAGGCCAGAACGAAGCTCTAACACAGAAGAGCCGGGTGCTGGGGAGAGACGGGGAGGACAGGTGGGAGGACTCAGGCCCCTCCCCAGGCAGGATGGGGAGGCCACGACACTTGGGCCAGCTTGGAGGGTGGCGGGGGAGGAGAAGAGCAGATGCAGACTGCACCTGCTGGGGGTGACGACGGTGTGGCGTGGCCAGCCCAGCCACTGGCAGGCCCACAGGTCAGCTGGATGGGGCAGAGGTGGGGCCCACCCCAACTTCCACCGGGCCTTGCCTCCCAGATTCCTGAGCCAAGGTTTAATAACAGAAAAGATGGAGCTCTAGGGGAGCAAGGGACGCCGACCAAGCAAGCCGCAGCAGAGAGGACTGTGCTGGAGCCACATCGGTGGCTTCTCCGGGAGGTAACGTCCTGTGCAGACTCCCAGCCACACCCTGGCGCTGCCTCGGCTGCCTCCCTGAATGTCAGCGGCCTGAGGGACCCCACTCGGCAGGGAGCGGGGGCTGCTTGTGGGAACACACAGGGTCTGATTCCAAGTGAGAGGGGTGACTGGTGTGGCTTCAGACGGCACCAACCACGCAAAGGATACACAGCTTCTCGTCGTCCTGAAATGTGAAGTAAAGCTTAACAAAGAAGGGGTGATCCAGGCGCGACATGACATCCCGCTCTCTGGTTACATAGGGGACCTTGTTCTCTTTTATGATATGTCGCTTCTCCAGAATTTTAACTTCAGGTGAGAGAGAAGTGAGTTACTATCAGAAACAACAAAAAACACTAAAGACATGACTCACAAAGGTAACTGGTACAAATTAAAGTCTTTCAAACATTGTACACAACAGCCTGGTGGTCTCTAAAGCCAACAGTGTCCTGTACCCTGAAATCAGCACAGAAACACCGGCCCTGCCACCCCAGCCGCCCTGCACGGAGCCGCTTGCCCTGCTCCCGGACGCACAGCTCCCTGCAGCCCATACTCACTCGCATATTCTCTGGAGGTTGCCAGTTCTCGAGCCAGGACAACCTGGTTGGGAAAGAAAAGGAGAAAAAGAAACACACAATGTAATAACCAGGACACTGGGCCTGACGAGTCCCTCTGCCCCACACGCACGCTTCCTGTCCCCACTGAAGGCTTGAGTCTACAGTGAAATATTTTGGGTCTTGTACTGACAAGTAGAGCTAAAAGCCAATGCTCGTGTTGATGTGTTCTAACAGCTAAGAGAAAACATATCCATCTCTCCGTTGTTTCCAGAAGCTTCTGGATCAGCTGCTAACAGCCCTAACGGTGCAACACAAGTACAAACTCAGGAACCTCTTCGACTGCCACGCCCTTCACCAACAGAAGGAAGACAGTGGCGCCACCACAAGTGGCAGGGCACAGGGGCTTCTGTGACAACAATATGTCCTTCTAGTATACATTCATTGCAAAGGCTGCCCTGAAGTTTCGTTTTTGGAAATAACTGTTATCATACATTTTGTATGATGTTGCTTGTGGGCACCATGAAGAGAGCCTGGCTGTAAAGGACAGAGGGAGCTAAACCAACAATGCATGGCCCTGCGTGCCCACAAGAGGGAGCCACCTGCCCGGGATGCAGCAGGCCTCCTGCCCTGTCCTCTCAGCACCCCTGAGCCCTGCACTCAAACCCCACCTCCGAGACAGAGCACTCCAGCAGGGCAGGCATCCCAAACAGGGGAGAGACCCTCCACTCGGACTAGCCTGGGGCACACCCTGAGGCACCAGACTGGAGATTCCTGGTGGGCCCACGGTTTAGCCAGAGAGCATGAGGCAGCTGTGCCAGGGAGGCCCCACCACCACCAAGTGGGACACAAGTGTCTCCTAAGACACCCACAGGGGGACGGCCTGAGGAGCAGGGAGCAGAGGAAACCTGTCCCGTGACATTCCTGGGGGCTGGCAGGAAGACCTTCAGGAGGCCACAGGGCCAGGTCCACCTGGCCCCGGGCTGTGAGCCGCAATCGGGGCAGGACTCCTGATGGGACACGTCAGAAGAGATCCTGGAAAGCACCATGTGAGACGCCTTGTGGCACTCAAGAAGAATGAAGTTGGATTCTGGGGACTCTACATACTCAAGATCTTCCCAGAGGAATACGCCACGCATGGATGGCTCTCAGCTGCCAGGGAGAAAGGGGAAGTGGGCCGGGCAGGGCTCCCCTCTCTAGCTCATGTGTTTCTGTGAGGTCACGTTTCTCCACAAGAGCACGTGCTAGCTTCATAAGTAGAAAAGAGGAAGAAAGAATTGTGAACGAACACCGATATTTAGTGGAACCCTTTCTAAGGGGATACTGATGTGATCTTTCCGTTGTCTAAACTCAACACTTCACAAGCAGGTTTCCTACAAGAAGGAAGGATCCTCTTCCAGAGAATGGCGCGTGACGTGTCCCTCCCTGGAGGTTGTGACCGTCCTCAGGGGGCCTCCCGGCTCTCCGGTGCTGCAGCTGGCTCTTGCCCAGCCTCCTATCACTGTCCTTTCCCCCTCCCCTGGAAATCAACTTTTATGTGATCTCCATTTCAGGAAAGCTGAGAAAGAACTGAGGGTAACACATGTAATCTGAGACCCAGTACTGTGGATTCCAAACAGCCCCATGGAGGAGCCTCCAGCTCACCGTGCTCTCCCGGGCACCTCCCTGGTGCAGGTTCAGAAAGACACGGACCACAGCCCCTGGAGGGACAGTGCCTGCTCTCCACCCATCTCCAGAACCCAGGGAAACAGGCAATTTCACAGATGAGTCTTCCTTTTTCAGTCAAGATAAATGTTAAGGGCCATGTATGGTGGCACATGCCTGTGGTCCCAGCTACTCAGGAGGCTAAGGCAGGAGGATCGCTTAAGCCCAGGTGGTGAAGGCTGCAGTGAGCTATGATCACACCGCTGCACTCCAGCCTAGGTGACAGAGCAAGACTCTGTTTCTAAAAGGATAAATACATACATAATAAAATAAAGTTAAATTAAAAAGAGACATATAAGGAAGTAAAACTGAGGCCAAGCACAGTGGCTCACGCCTGTAATCCCAACACTTTGCAAGGCTGAGGAGAGAATCACTCGAGCCTAGGAGTTCAAGACCAGTCTGGGCAACAAAGTGAGACCCTGTCTCTACAAAAAATTTTACAATTAGCTGGGCACGGTGGTGCATTCCTGTAACTGCAGCTACTTGGGAGGCTGAGGTAAGAGGATCACTTGAGCCCAGGAAGTCGAGGCTGCAGTGAGCTATGATCATGCCACTGCACTCAAGCCTGGGCGACAGAGCAAGACTCTGTCTCAAAAAACAGGTAAAGCTGAGAAAAGAGGAGGCCTGTTCTTTCACTGGGTGGTTGTAAGCAGCCATGCAGAATGCCCAAGGTTTTCCAAAGAGTTTCTTCTTTCTGAAAGGATCTGAGTCCCCAAAACTTTGGGGACTAGTCTCATGGTTGAAGGCATTTTTCATGAGGGCATAATCCTTTTATAAAAAAATTATTTCATAAAACCTGCAATTTAAAAAATCTAAAGTGTAAGGGCAGCAAAAGTTAACATTAATTAAAACAATATGTTGGGAATATGGGTAAGCTATATTTCATGTTTTTCTTTGCATTGTGAAATATTTCCTATGTGTAAAAAAGAGAAAAAAGGAAAATAAACCTCACCTACGGTTTCTTCACAAAGGTCAGGCAAGAAAGAATTATTCAGGAACTCACCCAGGCCCTCCAGAGTGAGGTGCCCCCAGGGCTCCCTGGAATGGCCCTAGCACGCACACGGCGGCCACCTTGGCGACCACAGTGGCGGCACGGGACTCTGTCTCTTTAGAGGCCCAGATGGAGACAGTGCACCCCGAGTTGCTCAGGCCTCCCCTGAACCTGTTACAACCTTCACTAAATCCACAACCACACACGGCTTCATGGGTCCCACGTCAGCAAAACGTCCCATGTCAGCTGCTTTCGACCTTCATTTCTTTGCTTTCAGAGGAAAAAACACCCCAAAGACAGGTAACAAGTGTGACTTGACAGTACTGCGACAATACTCCTGTTTGTGAAACTCGGAACACAAGAATCTGGAGGCTGTGTCTCCAGCAAATGTCCAGAGCGTACTGTTTTATGTATTCAAAAAAACAAAACAGAGAAATAAGAAGAGGTCAATAAATGTCCCCAAAAACCCTGGAGAGATACTAACTTTCAATCTAAGAAAAAGAACAGCTTCCCAGGGCCCTGCCAGTGAGACACAAGGACACAGAATGTAACTTGCTGATGCCAGGTTAAAATGAAATTAACTACATCAGAAAAAACCTCCGCAGACCATCAAGAGATGTGTCTAACGTTCTCATCTACAAAACCAGGTTAAATATTTAGCCACACTCATCACGTCATCTGCTTGGGGGGTACCCAGCCCCCAAAGACTCAAGTGGCCTTCACAACAGGTGACACCCCTCAAGGGGCCTGAGACCTCCTGCCTGGAAGGACACCAGCCTTGCTTGGAGTCTCCGGCAAGCCCTGAGGAAGGTGAGCCTCCCCAAGGAAATCACGTACGTTTGACACACAGCAGCAGCAAATACTCACCGTGGAAAAAGAGCCTTCCCCAAGAATTTTCCCAAACTTGAAGTCCTCAGGCCGCTTCTTCCGAGGCTGCGGCGGAGGCTGGGCATGCTGCAGGGAGCCGGCGCCGGGCCGAGGCTCGGCTGCAGTGCCGTCCATGGCGGGGCCCTGCCTGCTGCCACCAGGAATGCCAGGGGGCGTGCTGGACTCAGTCTGGGTCCTCACCATTGATGGGGATGGGCAGGAACATAACACCACGCTGGACTGGATGGGCACGGCGTCATACTAGGCGACAAAGAGGAAAAGGAAGTAAGGCTCAAGGCAGCTGCCTTGCTCTCAATGCACGGACTAAGGTTTAAGGACCTCATTTCAACGCTCAAAAACAAACCCCAAGCACAGGGCAGGCCAGCTGAGCCCCGCGGTCTGCTGTGAGCTGCCGGCCTCCTCTCCTGAGTCCTGCCCGTGCCATGGCTCCCCGCTAATCCACCAGGCAGCGCCTCGCCCTCCTCCTGTCCCTCGCGCTGCCTGAGCCTCCAGCCAACTCATCCCAAGGCCAAGGTAACCTGAGCAGAGATAGCACGGCACATCTTTAATTGTGGGGGGGATGGAGAGATAAGAGTGATGATCGCATGTGTTTACAATACACAGAGACGCCCAGTGCTGGCAAGACTATAATAAAGCGAGCGTACTCACACCACTGCGGCTGGCACCAAAAACCGGGATTGCAGTGGAAATGTTTTTGGAAAGCAGTTTGGCAACTGTCAACAAAGCGACTACAGAACAGTTGTCAATGAGACACAGAAATACGAAGGAGAGGAGGGAGGGCAGAAACCCAGTTAACAATGTAAGCGGGCACGGAGGGAAGATCAGCGTGCAAAGCTAGGTCGGCAAGACGTGCAAGGTGCACCCACAGCCATAACAATCCCTCCCCAGACCCCAACGTGTCCTCACGGTGGTGGCAGTGGCCCCCCGCACTACAGAAGAACAATGCGAGGCGAGCTCAGGCGCGCTGATGGTGGTTTCCGATACAACTCCCCACTCAAAGAACCCCGGAGAGCTCTTGATTCCATCTCTCAGTAGGGTCCTGAAGTCCATGCTGTCTGAAGACACAGGGTCTCCCCCTGCGTCTGTGCCAGGACAGAGGGACTGCCACCAGCCAAGCTGCAATCCTTTTAAACGCTAAAAACGGCCGGGCTTGGTGGCTCATGCCTGTAGTCCCAGCAGTTTGGGTGGATGAGGCGGGTGGATCCCCTGTGGTCGGGAGTTCAAGATCAGCCTGACCAACACGAATAAACCCCTTCTCTACTAAAAATACAAAATTAGGCCGGGCACAGTGGCTCAGGCCTGTAATCCCAGCACTTTGGGAGGCAGAGGCGGGAGGATCACCTGAGGTCAGGAGTTCGAGACCAGCCTGACCACATGGAGAAATCCCGTCTCTACTAAAAATACAAAAAAACTAGCCGGGCTTGTTGGCGCATGCCTGTAATGCCAGCTACTTGGGAGGCTGAGGCAGGAGAATCGCTTCAACCTGCAAGGCAGAGGTTGCAGTGAGCTGATAGCATGCCATTGCACTCCAGCCTAGGCAACAAGAGTGAAATTTCGTCTCAAAAAAAAAAAAAAAAAAAAATAGGCCGGGCGCAGAGGCCAAAGTGGGTGGATCACTTCAGCCCATGAGTTCAAGACCAGCCTGGGCAAACACAGCAAAACCCCACCTCTACTAAAAATATAAAAATTAACCAGGTACGGTGGCATGTGCCTGTCGTCGCAGTTAATTGGGAGGCTGAGGTAGGAGGATTACCTAAGCCCGGGGAGGTCGAGGCTGCAATGAGCCAAGATCACATCACTGCACTCCAGCCTGGACGACAGAGGGAGATCCTGCCTCAAAAATAAAAAATAATAAGTAAATAAATAAAAAGAATATATTCACTATTTTGCTTATCAAAGTCTCTTAAAGGAGGTGACTTACCTACGCTATGGACCCAATTACTCAGCCAATAAGAGGACACGGTCCCTGCCCATAGAAAGCTGATGTCCAGCCTGACCTCAATACAAAACCATCCAGTTAAAGTGGTGGGGGTGGCTATGCAGAGACGGGCGGGTGCCGGGAGAGTCAAGGGCAGCCCCTTGGCTGGCCAGGGGCTCAGACAGACCAGCTGGGGAGATGCATCACTCGCCCAGGAAAACTGATGACAGCTTAGATGGCACTGCAAGAGCAGGGAGGATCACACTCATGTCCAGAAAGTGAAACATAAAACAGCTAAACATGTACCACACAGCTTTCATACAAAAATTTTATATACACAAATTTTGAAAAAATAGAGATGGGGTTTTGCTTGTTGTCCCGGCTGGTTTCGAACTCCTGAACTCAAGTGATCTGCCTGCCTCAGCTTCCCAAAGTGATGCAATTACAGGCATGTGCCACCATGCCTGGTGACTTTTTTTCTGTTTTGAGACGGGGTCTCACTCTGTCTCCCAGGCTGGAGCTCAGTGGCATGATCATAGCTCACTGCAGTCTCGACCTCCTAGGCTCAAGTGATCCTCCCACCTCAGCCTCCTGAGTAGTGGGACCACAGGTGTGCACCACCGTGTCCAGCTAATTTTTGTAGAGATGGGGTCTCATCATGCTGCCCAGGCTGGTCTCAAACTCCAGGGCTCGAGTGATCCGCCATCCTTGGCCTCCCAAAGTGCTGGATTACAGACCTGAGCCACCACACCAGGCTGCCCCACACATTGTAAAGTTTCGCTTCCCTCTAATGTCAGATTCCAAAGACAGCAGCCTTCATGAGTCAGAAAGAAACATCGGTCATTTTGAAATCAACATCCAACTGAAGTGTAGAAAGGCCTCTGGATTTTTGAAACGGCAACAACAGATGATGTAATACAAAGACGCCCCCACCCCACTGCTTTCCCACTGCATGCTTTACATGACATGGCACAGCTTCCACGCCAGCAGCTTCAATCATGTAAAGCGAATGCAGTCCCATCAAGACCACAGCATTGGCTGAGCAGCTACTCCATGCTGGGCACCGTCCTGGGCACTGGAAGTACAGCAGAGAACGAAACCAAGACCACACCCTCCAGAAGCCTGCATTCCAGCAGGACAGACAGACTTCCATACACAGAGCAGGAAAATGCACAGCGTGTCAGATGATGATGATTACTATGAGAAAAATAAAGCAGGCAAAGAGAACAGGACTATTTGGATGAGGGTGGTGCAAATTCAAATAATCAGACAGCCTTTGCTGGGAAGGTGATATCTGAGCAAAGATTCGAGAAGGTGGGGAGAGCCCCGGAGCCTTCCCCGCAGAGCAGAGGAGGCCCGGGAAGCTCTGGACTCATAGCGGTTCAGCACGGCCACGACACGGCCACTTCCAGACAGAGCCCCTGGCTGCTGGGTAGGGACCGCAGCACCTCAGAGAACCCTTTCTGGGGTCACTTCTGGCACCCTCTGCAAACCTCAAGGGGGAGCGTGAGGCTGGGGGCTGTCCATCAGGGTCCAGGCACCTCCTGAAGGAACCTCTCAAAGCCAGCCGATCACCGGCTCCAGACCCACGCTGTCAGACATCTCTGTGGCCACCAGACCACTGCCACTCTCACGGGTGTGATGACATGGGACCTGCCTACTGGTAGTCTTCTGCCTTCGTGGAATTCTGCAACTTCCTTCCTGCCTCGGCCACAGCATGTCAGCCAAGCACCTGTCAGGGTCCCTCCCTGGCAGGACGATGTTTAGAAGCTCAACACCGTGCTCCTGCCTCCTCTTCAGACCCATCAGAACTTGCTACCATGGGTGTGTTTTAATAAATAACTTCATTTCTGCAGCAAATAAATAAATAAATAAATGTAGTTGCAATATTGCCTTTAAAAGCACTTTTAAGCATCAATTGTGAAATAAAAAGCCCGAGCAAAAGCCCTCTTTGAGCGTGAAGTGTCTAAACGTTTATTTGTACTACTATTGTTGTAAAGGGTAGATTTTGTAGCATTTTGAGGTGGTGATTCAACTGCATTAACAGCATCCCGAGACCGCCTGCCACGATCTGGAGGAAACGCACGGCCAGGGCCCACGTGCAGGGTAGGGTCCTGCCAGGCTCCCAAAACGCCCCGTCCCAGCACTCAGTCCCATGGAGGCAGCACAGCCTCAGGGAGGCCAGCGACTCTGGGCCTGCGGGTGAGTCCTTCAGCCCCTGCACAGCCCAATCCATCTGCCACCCACTTGGTGACCCCAAATTGTAGTAAGACAACACTTCCAGTTACTCAACAGCTTCTGAAATTTAAATCTCTGGAACAATTTACAGTAATAAGACCCTAGGTGCACCTGTCTACTATCCTTGTCCTCCCTAATGAAATGGGCTAGGCGTGGTGGCTCATGCCTGTAATCTCCCATTTTGGGAGGCCAAGGCAGGAGAACTGCTTGAGCCCAGGTGTTGGGAGACCAGCCTGGGTAACATGGCGAGACCTCACATCTAATAAAAAAAAAAAAAATCTGCTGGCTGTGGTGGCGCACACCTGTAATCCCAGCTGAAGTGGGAGAATTACTTGAGCCCAGGAGGCTGAGGCTGCAGTGAGCCGTGGTCATAGCACTGCACTCCAGCAGGGGTGACAGAACAAAACCTTGTCTCTTTTTAAAAAAGAAATTAAAAAAAAAAAAAAAAGAGCCAGGCACGGTGGTGTGCACCTGTGGTTCCACTTCCAGCTGAGGTGGGAGGATCACTTGGGCTGGGAGTTCAAGGTTGTGGTGAACTATCACCGAGACCCTGTACTCCAGTCTGGGCAACAGAGCAAGGCTCTCTTTTCTTTTTTTTTCTTTTTTTTTTTTTAAAAAAAAAGCTCCTCACAAGAGAAGTCCACCAAAAACACCAGTGCCCACCTCACAGGTGTGGGGTCACCATGCAAGCCCCCCACTCCCTGGTTATGACCTGATCACTGGGCTTTGCTACACACACACAGGTGCACGCACCACCCCCAAGGGAAGGCGGGGAGCTGTGGCCTGCCTCGCCAGCAGCCTCGCACGCTGGCTCCCTGGGGCTCCTTCCTCATGACCAAGGCCTGCCCAGGTCAGTGCGGCTTCTTTCCCACCAGGAGCCTCCTGCCAACCACGTCTTTCCACACCCCCTTCTCAGTCCTGGCAATCAATCAATCTCCCCACTCAGGACAGGACCCCCTCTGTCCTCTTCTACCTTCTACTGCACTGTCGAGACAAGCTTCTGTGACTTCATCAGTGCTGAGAAATGTGAAAGACGTGCCACGGCACAGGTCTACTGAGAACAGGGAAAGGCCAATGTTCTCAACAGAATGTGGCTGGGAGAATAAGCACCATCAACAGGTTAGGTCCTTAAAGCTACCAGGTGCCATCCCCCAAGTCCCTGGAAGAGGGGCTCTCACATCCCCCCGCGCCACTCAATGACGAGTCACTGCCCCCTACTTATTCCCACAGGCAGATGGGACCACCAGGTGCTGGTCCTGTTGCTACTTTCCACAGCAGGCACTCAGGTTTCAGCCAGCCCCAGCCCGAGCCCGAGCCCCCAACCACACCTCTGATAGGAAAACAAACCCTGAGTTTTAAACAAATTGAAACTTGTAAAAATGTAGCCCATGGGTAAACTGGGCATTTTCTGAGAATTTTGTTTCATAAAATATGTATATAAGAACTTAGAGTTTCAATTTCTTTAACTTGTCTGGGTATGAAGTTCAGCAGTCTCCATCTCTTAGAAGTAGAAACCAGGCAGGGTGCAGTGGCTCATGCCTGTAATCCCAGCACTTCCAGAGGCCGAAGTGGGAGGATGGCTTGAGTCCAGGAGTCCAAGACCAGTCTGTGCAATATAGTGAAACCCCATCTCTACAAAAAAATATATAAAAAGTAGCCAGGCATAGTGGCGTGTGCCTATAGTCCTAGCTACCTGTGAGGCTGAGGCAGGAGAATCACTTGAGGCCAGGAGTTCAAGACCAGCCTGTGCAATATAGTGAGACACCCCCGCCCCATCTCATTTAAAGAAAAAAAAGAGTAGAAACTCTCTTTGCCGGGCACAGTGGCTCATGCCTGTAATCCCAGCACTTTGGGAGGCTGAGGCGGGCAGATTGCCTGAGGTGAGTAGTTCAAGACCAGCCTCGCCAACATGGTGAAACCCTCTCTCTACTAAAAATACACCACATTAGCTGGGTGTAGCAGCGCCATAATCCCAGCTACTAGGGAGGCTGCGGTAGGAGAATCACTTGAATCCAAGAGGCAGAGGTTGCAGTGAGCAGAGATCACGCCACTGCACTCCAGCCTGGGAGACAGAGCAAGACTCCATCTCAAAAAAAAAAAAAAAAAAAGTAGAAACTCTCAAGGGAAAATTAATTTGAGATCTAATTACGTTTTCATAACCACCAAAAACAAATCCAGGCTCAACTGAAGTATGCAGCACATTGTTTAGTCACTAACAAGTGTTTAGAAAAATGTCAACATCCAGCATCCCACACTCAAAACTGCTAAATGTAGCAACCATTTAATTAGCAAATAGATTAAAATGCAAATGAATCTGGTAGCAAAGGAAAGCAAGTGGCCTGTGGGTTTCTCCTCCCATCAAGTCTCTCATCAAGAGTCACCTCGAGTCTTCCAGAGCTGCACACAACAGCTTCACTCGCGAGACTGTCAGGAAGACAAAAACTGATTTTTTAAAATGCAGAGCCACATTTTTTTTTTTTTGAGACAGATTCTCGCTCTGTCCCCCAGGCTGGAGTGCAGTGGTGTGACCTCGGCTCACTGCAAGCTCTGCCTCCTGGGTTCAAGCCATTATCCTGCGCCTCAGCCTCCCGAGTAGCTGGAACTACAGGTGCCCACCACCACATCCGGCTAATTTTTTGTATTTTTAGTAGAGACAGGGTTTCACCGTGTTAGCCAGGATGGTCTCAATCTCCTGACCTTATGATCAGCCCGCCTCGGCCTCCCAAAGTGCTGGAATTACAGGCGTGAGCCACCGCACCTGGCCAAGCAAGAATTTTATAGAAGAAATGAGCTTGGGAAGCTGGAAGCTTCTAAAGACTCAGGGTTAGTGCAATGAGGAACAGTCTTTCAGCCTCAGGGGGAGGCCGCTGTTCTCTACACATCCAATATTTGAGCAACTGCAACTAGCTTACTTAAACATGTCTTGACTCCTAAGAAGGTTCCTTTTTCCCCCTACAAACCTGCTGCAGAAGAATAAAATCCAAAATATCACCTGAGTAAATAGATCCAAAAGAATAGTCATTAGCTACTAACCTGTCTCAGCCTTTTGCACTTGAACTAGTCCTGGGCCTCAAATAGACATAGCTGTTCCAAGTGCCACGTCAGAACGCCCGCTCTGCCACTCACTCGCAGTCAATCCCTTGGCACATTACCTCAGCTTTCTGTGGCTCAGATTCCTCATCTGAAAGTCAGGGAGCCACAGGGCCGACCTCCCAGATTTGCCATGAGGATTTATTGAGTTCACCTACAAGATTCACCTGAGCAGGCCTTGAAGCCAGCTGGAAGCACTTTCACAATGAAGTAACACAGAAGACACAAAGTTTTCTCAACCAACGGTCACTGGATCATAGAATAAGCCTTTCAAAGCTAAATGAACCGTGTCCCCTTTTCCAAATGCCTTAAATATCTACTGGATTAGAAGGCCCAACTCTAACTTTGAGGACAAAACTATATAGAAAGGCTGAGCTCCCTCACACACGGGAGATAAATCAAGAAAGAAATCAGGCAGGGCACAATGGCTAACACCTGTAATCCCAGCACTTTAGCAAGACAAGGTGGGAGGATTGCTTGAGGCCAGCCTGGCCAACATGGTGCAACCTCGTCTCCAATAAAAATACAAAAAAGTTAGCTGGGTGTCGTGGTGGCCACTTGTAATCTCAGCTACTCGGGAGGCTGAGGCAGGAGAATCGCCTGAACTCAGGAGGCGGAGGTTGTAGTGGGCAGAGATTGGGCCACTGCACTCCAGCCTGGGCGACAAAAGTGAAACTCTGTCTCAAAAAAAAAAAAAAAAGGCCGGGTGCTGTGGCTCATGCCTGAAATCCCAGGACTTTGGGAGGCTGAGGCAGGTGGATCACAAGGTCAGGAGATCAAGACCATCCTGGCTAACACGGTGAAACCCCGTCTCTACTAAAAATACAAAAAATTAGCTGGACGTGGTGGCGGGTGCCTGTAGTCCCAGCTACTCGGGAGGCTGAGGTAGGAGAATGGTGTGAACCTGGGAGGTGGAGCTTGCAGTGAGTCGAGATTGCGCCACTGCACTCCAGCCTGGGCGACACAGCAAGACTCCGTCTCAAAAAAAAAAAAAAGATGGAAATCAGGGCGCCTCCTATGGTCAAGATGCTGTCACGCAGATGAACACTTCAACCAGCAAGAGAAAGGATCCCGAACAGAAAGCTAAGCTACCTTTAAATGGCAGTGTGTGCTCTGGAGCCTGGGAATGCAGTGCGACAGGTAGAGCCAGCGCCCGCACACTCTCACACGCGGCAAGCAGGAACTGCTCTCTCCAGGCCCCCGGACCAAAGTTGTGGGAGGCTGCCACAATCCACCTAGCTCATCTCCAAAGGGATCCTGCCCTCAGGTCAGCTGTGCTCACTGGCAAAGAGCATTCTGGTAAAAACCTCCTCTCACCTCAGAAAACTCCACAAAGCTAGGCCCAGCACAGAAAACCAGGTGGAGGAAGGGGGTGTTAGGGAGGGACAGCCGCCACCTTCCCCTACCCCTCAGGCTGCCACCACCAAGGACAACTGTGGTGGACTAGCAAAACCAATGCCCCAGTTGAGTTCCAGATTTACAGCTTACCTGTGGGTAAGCCACCGCTCTCCGACCCATCAAGACTCTTCTCTAAAATGAGGCTAATGACATGGGCCCACCCACAAGGGCTGCGGGACCCACACCAGACAGGAGTGTGAAGCACTCCGTGGAATCTGGTGGGCAGCTCACAGGGCAGGCCCTATGGCGGAGGGGATTCTCGGTGTGCTCGTACCAGCAACCCGTGCCCGAAGGCCCTGCCCACGCTGGTCCTTGGCCACGGGGAGCTGGCCCACAGCAGGCAAGTGGTCACCAACGCTCTCCCACGGTGCAACTCAGCAAAACGCAGCTCGCCCCCACCAGCGTGGAGCCCTGGCAACAGGTGAGGGCCGGAGGAAAGCTGTTTCTATTTCTCCACGAAGGGAGGGAGGAGCAGCTCCAAGGACAGCTACTCAATCTGTCCTCCCACAGCCATCTCCACTGGCCTCCCAAGGAGCCTCTCACTTACCCAGGGCAGACAGAGGGCAACGAGGCGCGGACTGCCAACTGCCTCAAGTCTGGTCCTCAGGCTCAACCGGGCTGCCAGCCTCAGGAAGCGCCAGGTCTCAATTTCACTAACCCACATCTTCAACATTAACGTTGTATATTTGTCACACAAACAGATGATGAAACACCAAAGTACAAGATTTCTCTGCAAGGAGGCTTTGTTCCCTTCCTGCACTTTGGAACTTCCTACAGGTGTACTTTAAACACCACTGATCAACATGAAAACCAGGATGCCAGTTACCTCTGAACGGGAGGGGCCAGAAACTACAATCTGGAGGGCCACTCGAGCCTTCTGGTAAAATCCTGTTTTTCAAGTAGGGTGGTGGGCACGTGTGAGTTTATTTTCATTCTTTAAACTCTCCATATATCTTCTGTGTGCCCCTTATAGGTATAACTTTAAATGCTGTTGTTTAAAATAAATAAAATGCCATTTTTCTCTACTAAAAAAAAAATTTATTAAGTGCTTGCTGTTTGCCACACATTCTTCTGAGCATTTTACATGTATTATCGTGGTTAGTCCTCAAAACAACTCTGGGGGTGGGTACCATCGGCATCCTTTCTACAGATGGGGACACTGAGTATACAGCAGGCTTTTGTCCAGTCAAACACTCCACAGTGAGGTCACACGCAATTCTGAAGCAGAATCCAACTACAAGGCCCACACTCCCAGCCCTCCCATGAGTAGGGGGTCGCCCATCTGAGGCTGATGTGTGTTCACCAGGGAACCAGGAGGGGCCGGAGGAAAACTGCAGCACCTAATCCTCAGTGCCTCGCCACAGCGCAGGCCACACCCTCTGACCTGCCCATTCCCCTACATGGCATCTAGGCGACACAGTCAGAAATTCAGACTAAGATTTATATTATTAAAATATTCATTAAGAAGTTACTCCTAGGCCAGTTGCGGTGGCTCACGCCTGTGATCCCAGCACTTTGGGAGGATCACCTGAGGTCAGGAATTGGAGACCAGCCTGACCAACATGGAGAAACCCTGTCTCTACTAAAAACGCAAAATAAGCCAGGTGTGGGGGCGCATGCCTGTAGTCTCAGCTACTTGGGAGGCTGAGGCAGGAGTACCACTTGAACCTGGGAGGCAGAGGTTGCAGTGAGCTGAGATCGCGCCACTGCACTCCAGCCTTGGAAACAGAGCGAGACTCCGTCTCAAAAAAAAAAAAAGAAAAGAAAAAGAAAAAGAAAAAAAAAGACAGGAGCAGCAGGCAGAAGGGGAGCAGACTCATCTCAAACCTGCCTCACATCCCCTGGAGGGATGCGGCCCCACCCGACTGGAAACCAGCCCTGTCAGTCTGCCTTGCTGGGGATGGCTCTGTCCCTGCAGAGTGTCCCAGGAGCATGCATGCCTGCAGAAAGCAGGTGCCTGGACTCCATGCCAGCTCTGACCCAAAAGTCAGAAGGCCTCCAGGTCCCAAGTGTCTTCATCTAGAAACTGGAAGGATCCAACTGGGTGAGCAAGAAGGTCCCTTCTGAAATTAAATTACCACCAGTGTCCTACAATCTATGACACAAAACCCCCAAGTAGCAGAGAGCAGAGCAGGCCTATGTGCTTCCTTTTGGTAAAGTAAAACTAATTTTGCCAGACACAGTGGCACGTACCTGTAGCCCCAGCTACTCAGGAGGCTGAGGTGGGGGGGTCGCTTGAGCCCAGGAGTTGGAGACTGCAGTGAGCTATGATCCCACCACTGCACTCCAGCCTGGATGACAGAGCGAGAGCTCATCTCTAAAGCAAACAATAATAATTTTTTAAAAGTTTTGTAAGTAATTTTGTTGAACGTCACCAGCGATGAGTCACGTGGATGTCCTGTACCCCAATACGACGCACTAAGGGCACCTCATCTCTGTGGGATTCTTCCTAACCCCACAACCTGTCCAACCACAAGACATCAAACAAACCCAAATGAAGGCACATTCTGCAAAATACCTGACCAGGACTCCTCAAAAGTACCAAGCTGATGACAAACAAGGAAGGACGGCAGCTATCCTACACCAGAGGGGGCGAATGAGACAGGACAACGCGATGCGATGTGGCACCGGGGCGGGGTCCTGGGACAGCAAGGACATCAGGAGGAAAACTGATAAAATCCAAAACAGGCCTGTCGCTCGGTGAGTAGTGTGGTGCCAGCGCGAACACCTCAGTTTCGACAGAGTGACAGAGGTATCACGGTCATGTCATGGCATTAGGGGAAGCTGGCTGGGGGAAATTATGGAAATTCTGTGTCGTCTGCAATTTTTCTACATACCTAAAAGTATTCCAAAATAGTTGATGTTTTCAATAATTTTTGTTAGGAGGCTACTTTGAGAGCTTCAGGTAAACTCAGGATCTGAAAACATCCTGTGTCATTCAAAACCTGACCCTGACTCAACGCTGAACGTTAACTTTTAAAATGTAGGGCTACTGAAGGGAAATAATATACCTGGAAGGAAAAAAACCCTAACAGAACAAGTTTAGTATGAATTTCTTACTACCACCAACTTCTTTGGCATGTTTTGTCCAAAAGGTCTCAGAGTTTGGATGCAAACCCAGCCTCCCAGCAGAAGCCAGCTGTATCAGGCGAGTGCAGGCCGCCTAGAGGTCCTCCAGGCCCACACGAAGAGCGCGTCCCACTCAGAACCTCCCCCACTGGAGGCCGATTCCCTGCTCAGGCAACCCAGACCTCCCCGAGTCGCCACCCCAGCCAGGAGAGCTCCTCCCCTGCTAGTCCACGTTGGGGCCCAGACTCTGCCCGGCTCTCTGAAGCAGCCCCACAAAGGCCGGTCACCCTCTCCTGCTCAGACACTAACTACCCTCCCTCTATGGGCACCATCTGCAACGGCCGTGCTATTGACTGTTTCCCTTCTGCCCCTGGGGCTCAGAGAGGGACAGGAGCATCAGGTGGACCGTCCCCCTTCAAGCTGTAGAAGCCATCTTTTTCACACAACATTTCCTCAGGCCAGGAGCATGGGGCCCGTTCTGTTCATAACCACTTTTCCTAAACCAACCGGGGCCGTCCTCACCCTTTCTGCCCCAGGCACAAAGCTCAGCGCCAGCAGCATCTGCACAGGAGAGCTTGCTAAGATTTTTTTTTAAGCATCATTTTGAGCTTCCGACTTTTTACGGAATGAGAACGCAATGCGTTCACCAAGAAAATCTATATTCAGATGCACATTTTAAACTAGATATCTGATAATAACCAGGTACGTACATACAATCAAAAGACTGTAATTCTGACCGATGGAAAAAAGCCATGAAAGACAAATGCCAGCCTGCAGGAAGAACATGTGAGTTACCCATGGAAAAGCAGCCGGAAGCGCTCCGAGCATCTGAGCGTCTGAGCCCGTGCTCTGAAGGAGCTGTGTACTCCCTCAGCCTGGCGTCCAGAGTCAGGCCCAACTGGGAGAGAGAAACGCAGACGAACCTAGCGCTCGCCCTCAGGAAGGACCCCCGATGAGGTCCACATGGGGGGAAATGAACAGCCGTCAGCCTTCCTAGCTCGTAAGTTGGGAGCCTGCTCACTAACCTGCCTCCCCAGGGTCTGGCTGCTGCGGCTCTCCAGATCAAACCTTCCCAAGAACAGGGCTGAGCAAAGCCAGCGCTCCATTCTTCCAAAGACTGATCTGTCCCCATCCTTTCCCACAGGGGAAGTCCAAGCAGTGCTGTGTGCCAGCCAGCACTGGCACACGGTGGGTCTGAAGGTCAATTAGCCCCGCCCCCACCGAGGTCGGAGAGCTCTCACTCACTGAGCCCTGGGCCTGGGTGCACAGCGGGGACTCTGAGACAGGTGGGCTGCTGAGATCCTCACTGCTGGGCTCCCCAAGGACCATCAGTCACACAACCATCCTGGGGATATAGCTGCAGCTCTACAGGTGGCTGCACCCACCCACAGAGCACACGTCCCTTTTGCCGCCACAGGACACCTTAGAAGCTACAGCAAAGTCAAGGCCTAGGAAAAGCCTCATGGCACCTTGCTCAAGCAGGATACAGACCACGAAAGCAGGGCCCCGCTGTCAGGAGGGAAAAGCAGTGTAAAGTCAGAAGGGCCACTAAGGGATACTGGGCATGGTGCAGAGATTGGGCATGGTGGCTCATGCCTCTAATCCCAGCACTTTGGGAGGCCAAGTTGGGTGGATCATGTGAGGTCAGGAGTTCAACACCAGCGTGACCAACATGGTGAAACCCTGCCTCTACTAAAAATACAAAAATTAGGCTGGGTGCAGTGGCTCACGCCTGTAATCCCAGCACTTTAGGAGGCCAAGGAGGCTGGATCACGAGGTCAGGAGTTCAAGACCAGCCTGGCCAATATGGTGGAAACGCGTCTCTACTAAAAATACAAAATTAGCCAGGCATGGTGACGCATGCCTGTAATCTCAGCTACTCAGGAGGCTGAGGCAGGAGAATGGCGTGAAACTGGGAGGCGGATGTTGCAGTGAGCCAAGATCGTGCCACTGCACTCCAGGCTGGGTGACAAGTTTGAGACTCCATCTCAAAAAAAAAAAAAAAAAAGATTAGCTAGGTGTGGCGGCACAGGCCTGTAGTCCCAGCAACTCAGGAGGCTAAGGCTGGGGGATGGCTTGAGCCCAGGGGAGTTCAAGGCTGCAGTGAGCTATGATCACACCACTGCATTCCAGTTTGGGCAACAGAGTAAAACTGTCTCTATAAAGGACTTTGAGGAGGACTGGGGACCACTGAGGAAGGCTGCATGTCACCTTTGCATTAGAAAATGCCATGTTATGATAAAACTCCATCTCTACTAAAAATACAAAAATTAGCCAGGCACGGTGGTACACACTTGTAGTCCCAGCCACTTGGGAGGCTGAGGCAGGTGAATCACTTGAACCCAGGAGGTGGAGGTTTCAATGAGCCAAAATCAAAGTACTGCACTCCAGCCTGGGCAACAGCATGAGATTCCATCTCAAAAAAACAAAAAAAAAAAAAAAAAGAAAATGCAATGTTAATTCTATCTCGGATGTGATAATGATGAGGTTGTAGAGGAGACAGCTTCTGAGCTCAGAAGGCACCTGGAGAAGGATTCTGGGGTGAAATGCTATCATGTGTGTGACTTACTTTCAAATAATAAAAATAATAGAAAAAAATTTGGGGAGGTGAGAGGGTAACATATACAAGCAAATATGGAAAAGGTTAACAACTGGTAGAATCCAGGTGAAAGGCTAGGGATATTCATTGTACTATGCGTTCAACTCTTCTTTAGTTTTGAAATTTTTCAGAATAAAAATTAGTGGAGAAAGGTTCATCTTCAGTCCAGTAAGCTCCAGGAGACAGAGCCAGACCTACCTTATTCACCACTGTTTCTCCACTGCTAGCACAATGCCTGGTCCTTATCCCACTGGCCCAGGAAACCACTGCTAATGTTTCTGTGGGAACCTCCCTCCAAGCTTTTCCCTGGGCCTGAGGAAAGTTATACTGGGCATGCTGCTTTGCAGCCAGCTCTTTTCAGATAGAAATACTTTGTAACCACCTGTCAGGAGAGTACAGTCTGCCATCCCCATCCATAGGTTGACTCCACATGCATGGATTCAACCAACAGTGGATAGAAAATATTAGAAAAACAAGAAATTGCATCTGTACTGAACATGCACAGACTTTTTTTCTTGTCATTATTCCCTAAAGAATATAGTAAAGCAACTATTTACATAGCATTTACATTACATTAGGCATTATATGTAATCTGGTGATGACAGAGTACACAGGAGGGTGTGCACAGATTATATGCAAACACTATACCACTTCAGAGCAAGGGCTTCAGCACCCTCCGACTCTGGTATCTGAGAGAGGTCCTGGGACCAATTTCCCACAGATCCTGAGGGACGACACAGACTTCACCACAATGTTTCTACCTATCTCTGCCTGAGGGAAATTCAAGATATTTCCAGTTCTCCCCTATTTCAAAGCTGTGACAAATATTCTAGTAGCAAAATCTTTGCATACACTTTAATTATTTTCCGATCTTAAATTCCCAGAACGGGAACTGTTGAATCAGCCTGTGTTTGAACACGCGCTGGCAACTGACTGCTGCCCCACCTCAGCAACGACAGGCGCTTACGTTCCCACCTGTACTGAGTTCCAGCTTCCATCTACAAATGCCAGATATTGCCACTTTCACTGCAATGCACTCCAGCCTGGGCGACAGAGCAAGATTCTGTCTCAAAAACAAAAAACAAAAAACCCAGCAGATTGGTCAGAAAAGACTGTACAGCCACAGGGGTTTCCATGTAGGGAAATTTCTCTAGGCAAGGAGGAAAAGCCTGAAGAAGACAAGAACTGCTGAGAACAGGGCAGCAGGGAACATCCTGGACCCACCTGGGCCGCACAGGCTGGAAAGAGAGGCCGTGGCCGGGCATCCGAGCCTGGGCCCCTCACAGAGGAGGAACAAAGTGACAGGCCAGGAGAGGAGGGGAAGATGCAGGAGTGCTGGCATCTGGGGACCAGCCAGCAAGTCCTTGGAGCCCTCCCTCACCAGAAAAGGGGAAGCAGGAAGGACAGCGGCAATGGCCAGAGTGAGGAGAATGCAGCGTCCTGCAGCTCCATGGAGTGAGCGCCTCCTTCACGGAGCAGCCCTGGCCGCCCTGCAACTGAGGCCGCGGCACCGAGGGTCCCGCCAATGCAGCAAGGGGCGAGAGACACCACACCTAAGACTCAGGAGCAAGGTCCTGTCCCCGCTCCCAACCCCGGGGCTCCTGGAATCACCGAGGCAGAACTGAAAAGTGAGTGCGGGCCCCTTTCCCACATGTTCCACTGCAAAGGTCAACACACGCCAGGCGCATTTCAGTGAGGCTTCAAGTCTTCCCTGCAAATCTCATCAGCCTTTTCTGATGGCATTCAATGCACAGCGGTCACTTTCAGCTACAACCCCTTCCTACTGCAGTCGAATTAATTCCAAAAGGGAAAAAACAGGTTAAAGAATGGGACTTTAACGATGAATTTATTGCAAAAAATAAGCCCATAGCCAGAAGAATCCTGACTGGCATCCTGCTGAGACACACAGCCTCTCCTCAGCCCTCTCCAGCACGGGGAGAGGGCACTGTCACCAGCTCCGCAAACACGCAGGAGACGGGGACCTCCAGAACTAACGTCCTTGGTCTCCAGACGTACCTTCAAACCTCATCTTTAAATATTTTGAATCCCTGCGTGCTACAAGCTGATTTGAAACACAGATTGGGCCGGTCCCAGCACGGTGGCTGGTAGAGAGGGCATCTGATCTTGTCTGTGGAATGATGGAAGTCACTGGACTGTCCAGGAACTACATGCCCACCTTCATCAGATGGAAACCACACACTTGTTTATTCTGCAGGGGGCCGTGTGCTCAACAGTGAGCTGCTAATGTCAGGCTTGTCCATCTTTTTCATACACAGGCTCTACAGTACTGTCAGTTCCCAATTCTGTGGGTCCCTGTATAATCCAACTCTTTAAACAGAAATCAGGCTGTGTGCGGTGGCTCATGCCTGTAATCCCAGCACTTTGGGAGGCCGAGGCGGGAGGATCCCTTGAGACCAGAAGTTTGAGTAGCCTGGGCAACATAGTGAGACCTCATCTCAATAAATAAATTAAATAAATAAATAATGTAGGTGGTGCGCACCTGTAATCCCAGCTACTTGGGAGCCTGAAGCACGAGAATCACTTGAACCCATGAGGCAGAGGTTGCAGTGAGCCAAAATCATGCCACTGTACTCCAGCCTGCGTGACAGAACGAGACTGTCTCGAAAAAATAAATAAATAAACAGAAACCAGAATCGGGTGCTCTTATAAGGATGTGTAGCCCAGAAACTCAATCTTAACACATTCTAAATGACCTGGAATTTCTTGGAGCAAAAATTCCAGTTTAAATATCAGGAAAATTGTCTAGACTAAGAGAATGGAAACGGACTTTGTGCAACCAACATCAGGTACAGAAAAGAGACCCCAACAATCATCATGAACCCAAACAGGCCTTTCTCCTCACTAAGAGAAGAGAACACACACAACCCATGCCTTGTTACTCTTTGAGAAGATGTGCCCTGCCTGTGATCTAGCAGCTAGAGACGGAACATACAACCTGTTCTCAATATTCAAATAATTTTTTAAAGGACATGGTATCACACTGAGCAAGTGAATAATGCAATTCTGTTGTAGAAGAATGAACGGCTGAAAAGACCTGAGCAACTCATGTCCAAAACTTGCAGTTTCCACAGCAGCACTTCCTCCCAGCACACTGCCCTTTGAACCTGCTTTCTAAACAACTGTGCTGGGCAGCCCGGTGACCACATGTCATCGCACGGCAGGTGTGGAGCAGCATAGAGCACCCTGACCCTCGCACCTGCTTGGGGGACTGTTTCTGCACCCAGTGCTTCTCTGCAGCCACAACCTGCCCCACACAGAACTGCAGCACTACGTGGCATCCTGTCCAAGTCCATTTCCACAGAAGGGGAAAGTGCCACGCCAGTGCCCACTCTCTTCCAAACACATCCTCTCAGAAGGGACTGGCCACGCTTGCCCCCTCATTTCTGCAGCGCTTCCCAGTTCATCACCTGCTTGCCAGACTCCATCTCCCACCGGTGTCAATCAGCTGCCCTGGAGCATCTAAACCCTGGGTCAGGCGGCTCAGGGGATGAGCGCATAGATTGAAAAAGGAACACTCCCTGTTTCTCCCCAAAACTGTGCTGAAGGCAGTCTAGAGGGCCAAGACCTGTTGAGAAGAGCTGCCCAAGGCCTCTTTTCAGGCCCCACATCTCTGCAGGCTGCTGCTGGATCCTTCTCATAAGAACACATCTCAGAAGAGCAGAACAAACCACTTCCCTCTTGTAGGGACCAGCCCCACAGGGTCGGTGGGTCTCTCCCTGTGTGTGGCGATGAGAGAGTGTAGAAATAAAGACACAAGACAACGAGATAAGAGAAAAGGCAGCTGGGCCCGGGGGACCACTACCACCAATGTGCGGAGACCGGTAGTGGCCCTGAATGTCTGACTGCGCTGTTATTGGATACAAGGCAGAAGGGGCAGGGTAAAGAATGTGAGTCACCTCCAATGATAGGTAAGGTCACATGGGTCATGTGTCCACTGGACAGGGGGCCCTTCCCTGCCTGGCAGCCGAGGCAGAGAGGGAGAGGAGACAGAGAGAAAGACAGCTTATGCCATTATTTCTGCATATCAGGGACTATTAGTATTTTCACTAATTTACTACTGCTATCTAGAAGGCAGAGCCAGGTGTACAGGATGGAAAATGAAGGCAGACTAGGAGCGTGACCACTGAAGCACAGCATCACAGGGAGACAGTTAGGCCTCCGGATAACTACGGGCAAGCCTGACTGATGTCAGGCCCTCCACAAGAGGTGGAGGAACAGAGTCTTCTCTAAACTCCCCCGGGGAAAGGGAGACCGCCCCCCTTTCCCAGTCTGCTAAGTAGCGGGTGTTGACACCTTTTGCAAAAGGTGTTCCTTGACACCTTTTGCTACGGCTGGGCCACGATCCGCCTGGTAACGGGTGTCTTCCCAGACGCTGGCGTCACCGCTAGACCAAGGAGCCCTCTGGTGGCCCTGTCCGGGCATAACAGAAGGCTCGCACTCTTGTCTTCTGGTCACACTTCACTATGTCCCCTCAGCTCCTATCTCTGTATGGCCTGGTTTTTCCTAGGCTATGATTATAGAGCGAGGATTATCATAATATTGGAATAAAAAGTAATTGCTACAAACTCATGATTAATGATATTCGTATATAATCATATCTAAGATCTATATCTGGTATAACTATTCTTGTTTTATATTTTATTATACTGGAACAGCTCGTGTCCTCTGTCTCTTGCCTCGGTGCCTGGGTGGCTTGCCGCCCACATCTCCCCCCTTTTTATTAACTAGAATCGCCATCGCCATCATTGCTTGTTGTTGACTTCGGACTTGGTTTCGGACTCCTTAGAGGCATCTGCAGACTAAAAGGAGACAACATAAGCATACCAATATTAATAATGCCAGTAACAACAATGATCCTCTGACGGGTTTGAGCCATTTGAAGGGATTAAAATCAGGTAATTGTTTAGTTATGCCTTCAAAAATGTGTGAGCCAGGAACTGTGGATAAATGGGCTTGTGAAGCCTCAAAGATTTGCTCTTTAAGTTGTGAAATATCCAAGGTTAAGTTATCATCCCAGGCTTTTAAATGTCTTGAGACATTTTCCCAGCTATGTTGATCTTGATTATAAGCATAAGGCGTTATGCAATAATCAGAAGTATTCCAATCACACTGTAATTGCATACGGTGTTGCAAGTTCATAACTCTATCTCCCAGCCAGGTTACACTTTGGCGGAGATCATTAATCTGATTAGCTAATTTTTGATCAATTTGCGCCTGAGAATTCCAAAGTCTGGAGGAATTTTTCTGGCATGCTTCAACATAGTGAGCAGTTTGAACAGAACTGCGGATGGCAACTCCAGCAGTTGCTGCTGTTGCAGTAACCGCAAGTAGTCCTGCAAGGACTGCAATAAGAGTAAAAATAAATCTCTTTGTTCTTTTGAGGATGTCTTTAAGAACTTCATTGACTATGTGAATAGAGGGGGAAGACTCCCATGGACGATGTAGAGAAACTGGTATCCATACCCCCTCCCTAGCCCTTACCAAGAGAATACTTGTAGTGGGATTAAAAGTTGCATCAATGCAAGTGAACAGCTTACAGTTATGACATTCTATAGTTTGTGCATCAGGCATCATAATTATATTTCCAACCAACAGCATGTAAGGGGGTTTGACACAGCTCCTAATGGGTATCACCCATTCAGAAATAAGGGTGATGTTGAATGTGGGTGTTTTGGTTTTAGTACGAAGGAGCTGATAGGTAGTGTTCCATATCTTTATTCCCGACAAAGCTGCAGCTAATTTCCATAGTTCAGGATGTTCTGGGGTAAAAAAGGGATGAATAATTTTTGGTCTAGGAGGAGCAATACCTGTGTCCATCCATTTAAATGGGTAAGGAGACACCCGTTGTCTCATCGTGTAAGACTGCCACCCATGCTCTATATAATCTAAGGAATAAATAAACTCCGAGCATAAGGTATTTTTGCTGGAGCAATCTTGCCAATAATGTCCTTTTGGAGCCCAATCAATAACAATACCCATGGCTAGAGTTTGGAGTACAACAGCCTTGGGAGCATTACAATTATCCCATAAAATTGAAGTCACTATAAAAGGCCCATTTGTAGGTTTCTTTGGACAGTCCGGCAGTCCTTTTGTTTTATTAGTTTTGGTAGTGAGAGGAACTCTCCATGCCTCATGTGGGGTACGTTTGACAGTGAGAAGTTGAAAAGAGTTAGTACTGAACACATTATATACTTGATAAGAATCATTTGTAAAGGACGGTACAGTCCACATCCAATTCTGTTAAGAATAAGCTAAACAACCAGGCGACTTCCCAATACATAATGGTGGATATTTATAGCCAATTGACAGATTAAAGTGCATACCTTCTTCTTCCGGTTGAGCTGGAAACCGATCATCATTAGGGATCGGCATGAATGCACTATTATTAGTGTAAACTTCTACTGGAGAGTCCCTCCAGGAGACAGACCGAATTAGAAGGGGAAAAGGAACATATGCCCAATAAGTATAATTTTGAGTTGCCCCGACCGGTGGTATACTTACCGCTGCACTGACTACCATAAAGGCAGCCAGAATTATATTACCAGTCATTTTTGGGATTCCTTTTTCTGTTAAGAATTTTTCTGTTTGATGAGATAAAATCTGTATTCGACCCCAAGTAGGTGGGGTTGAACGAGAGGTGTTGTAGGTCACACGGCGAGATTTTGTCTCAATGTGGATGTCATGAAGTGTATGTATCAGGCGGTGAAAGTTGCTCTTTTGTTTCCGATGGGTCTTTGCCTTTTCTTTCTGGGAGCGTTTCATCTTTGGAGTTATGGTGCAATTTTAATTGTCGGGAGGGGACCCACACAGGCTGTAGTTCTTTTCCTGGGGAAACACAAACAAAACCCCTACCCCAAGTTATGACCGTGCCTAATTCCCATGTGTTAGTTTTTACGTCCTTCCACCATACCCGCATTCCTTTTTGTGGATCAAATTTATTTCCAGTGAAATGTTGTTCTGCGGCTGTGAAAGGTTGATTTCTTGTTAAGTTTAAGAAATTTAGTGTGAAAAGAGCCAGATTTAATTGGGCATGAGGAGTAATAGCATCTCCCTTTGATTTAGTATCCTGTTTACGAAGTTGATCTTTGAGTGTTTTATTGGCTCGTTCAACCAAGGCCTGTTCTCCAGAGTTATAGGGAATGCCCGTTGTGTGAGTAATTGCCCATGTCTGAGGAAACTTTTTAAAAGCAGCACTAGTGTAGGCGGGGCCGTTATCAGTTTTTAGTTTCTCAGAACAGCCCATAACCGAGAAACAGGAAGGCACATGTCGTTTACCATGAGCTGTACTTTCGCCCGTTTCACAAGTGGCCCAAATAAAATGAGAAAAGGTATCAATAGTTACATGTATAAAAGAAAGCTTGCCAAAAGGAGGATAATGAGTCACATCCATTTGCCAAAGAGCATTCTGTGAAAGTCCTCTAGGGTTAACTCCTGAAGACAGTGGTGGTAAAATTAACACTTGACAAGTAGGACAGTGACGCACAGTAGTTTTAGCTTGCTTCCATGTAAGGGGGAACTTGTTTCGGAGTCCCGCAGCATTGACGTGAGTTAAAGCATGAAAATTTTCTGCATCTGTAAAAACGGGAGTAACTAATGTATCAGCTCTGGCATTTGCTGCCGAGAGGGGTCCGGGGAGGGGTGTGTGGGCCCGAATGTGAGTACTGTAGAAAGGAGAAGACCTTGCTCTGAGCACAGACTGAAACTTTTGAAAAAGAAGGAATAGGTTATCATCAGGCAGAAATTTGATTAAGGCAGTTTCAATGTTGCGAGCAACATGTACGACATACGCTGAGTCAGAGAAAATGTTAACTGGCTCAGGAAAATCTTCAAGGACAGCCATAACAGCAGGCAGTTCAGCTCGTTGTGCTGAAATAGCCCCTGTGTTAAGAACACGTTCTCTGGGTCCTGTATATGCTGCTCGGCCATTAGAGGAAGCATCAGTGAAAACAGTGACAGCTTCAGGTAATGGGGTGTTTCTAGTAATGTTACGTAAAATCCAAGACGTGAGTTTAAGGAACTGAAATAATTTTACATGAGGATAGTGATTATCAATTATACCTGGGAAACGTGCCAAATGCACTTGCCAAGCAATGCAAGTAGCAAAGCCTGTTGAACTTGTAATCGGGTAAGGGGAACAACGATTTTTTGAGGCTCTGTTCCTGAAAGACGAAGGAGACGAGAACGAGCCTGACCAATTAAGGTAGAAATTTGATCTAGATAGTTAGTGTACGTAAAGAGCTGTGTGGGAGAAAACACAATTCAATTAAATTATGTCCCTGAATAATGAGTCCTGTTGGTGAATGTTCAGTGGGAAAAATTAGTACTTCAAAAGGTAAATGTGGATTTACTCTGGTAACCTGAGACTGTTGAATGCATTTTTTTATAAGTCGTAATTTAGAATCTGCCTCAGGAGTCAAAGACCTTTTACTGCGTAAATCAGGATTGCCCCGTAATATTGCAAAAAGATTAGACACAGCATAAGTAGGAATGCGTAGGGAGGGACGAATCCAATTAATATCTCCAAATAATTTTTGGAAATCATTTAGAGTTTTTAAAGAGTCTCGTCTGAGTTGAACTTTTTGAGGCTTAATGACCTTATCCTCTAGCTGCATCTCTAAATAGTGATAAGGAGATGAAGTGTGAATTTTTTCTGGGGCGATAACCAAGCCAGCTGCTGTGACCACTTGCTGTAATGCAGAAAAACAAGATATTAATACAGAGCGTGAAGGTGCTGCACAAAGAATATCATCTGTGTAATGAATAATATAACATTGGGGAAATTTATCTCTAACTGGCTTTAATATGCATCCCACATAATATTGACAAATAGTGGGGCTATTGAGCAGACCTTGAGGTAGGACTTTCCAATGGTAACGTGCTGCAGGAGCAACGTTGTTAAGGGCTGGAACAGTGAAAGCAAATTTTTCAAAGTCCTGAGGGGCCAGAGGAATGGTAAAAAAGCAATCTTTAAGGTCAATGATGATAAGTGGCCAATACTCAGTAATCATACTGGGGGAGGGCAAACTGGGTTGTAATGTCCCCATAGGCTGAAGGACAGCATTTACTGCCCTAAGATCAGTAAGCATTCTCCACTTACCAGATTTCTTTTGAATAACAAAAACAGGTGAATTCCAAGGAGAAAAAGAAGGTTCAATGTGTCCCAATTTTAACTGTTCAAGAACCAAAATATGAAGTGCCTCCAGCTTATTTTTTGGGAGCAGCCACTCATCTACCTAGACAGGTTTTTAAGTTCTCCAGGTCAAAGGGATGGGTTCTGGAGGCTTGATAGTGACCACTTCTAAAAAGAATAACCAAGTCCTGTAGAGTCTGCTTTAGGAGTAGGTATGATATGCTCAGTGATGCCTTGTGCTGATTTTTCTAAACCCAGACCTTGAACAAATCCCATTTTGGTCATCATATCTTTACTCTGCTGGCTGTAACTGCCTTTAGGAAAAGTAATCTGAGCCCCCCATTGATATAAAAGATCTCTTCCCCACAAATTAACAGGAATGGGTGTAATGAGGGGGCGAATAGTTCCAATCTGTCCTTCAGGCCTGTGCAATGTAAAATTGTGGAACTTTCATATACCTGTGAAGCCTGACCAACACCCACGAATGCTGTGGAGGCATGCTCCTTTGGCCAGTGTCGGGGCCATCGATGTAAAGCGATAATGGACACACCAGCGCCCGTGTCAATCATTCCCTCAAACTTTTTTCCCTGAATATGCACGGAGCACACAGGACGAGTGTCAGAAATTTTGCTGGCCCAGTAGGCTGCTTTACCTTGATAATCTGTGCTACCAAAACCTCCCTTTCTTGTACTAGAACTAGATCCCAAAGGAATGTAAGGAAATATCAAGAGTTGAGCAATGCGGTCCCCAGCTGCTGCATTCCAAGGGACTGCAGAGCTAATGATAATATGAATTTTACCTGAATAGTCAGAATCAATTACACCAGTATGTACTTGAACACCTTTTAAATTTAAACTTGAACGTCCCAGTAGCAACCCGACACTGCCAGTCGGCAAGGGACCAAAAACACCTGTAGGAACAGCAATACGTGGCTCTCCAGGCAACAAAAGAAATATTTCTGGTACAACAGAGATCTACTGCTGCTGAGCCTGTGGTGACGGGGGACAAGCATTGTACTGAGATTGGTGTTGGGGCTGAGGCATTAGATCCTGTGGCACAAATTGCTGAAGTGGGAATTGGGGTGGAGGTTGAATGGATTAAACTGGGAAGGCTCCTGTCTGGCTGGACGCCAGCGGCTGAGAGTTGAGGAATGCCCCATTGTTTAGAGGGGGCTGGGGCCGGCCCCTCATCCCGTTTCCCTGATTTTTAAAAGGCCGTACAGGATTGCCATCAATATCAAATCTGGAATGGCATTGAGATGCCCAGTGAAGACCCTTTTGGCTTCGTGGGCATACAGCAGAAGGTGGGGTGTCTTGTTGCTGAAAAGTTTCTTTTTGTTGTTGGTGGTGATGTAAAGGACGGCCACCTGCACGCCGAGGGCAATTTCTTTCTGCATGTCCCTTCTGGCCGCATATGAAGCATTGGCCAGAGAATTGTCCAGGCATTCGAATAGAGGCCATAGCTTGTGCCATAATCGTTGCTGTATGGAGAGTTCCTCCCACCCCTTCACAGGCTTTAATGTAGGAGGTGAGTATATCACCACCCGGTGGAATTTTACCTTTGGCGGGGCAAACAGCCGCCTGACCATCTGGATTTGCTTGTTCATAAGCCATAAGTTCTACAACAAGTCTTTGGCCGTGGCTATCAGGAATAGCCTTTTCTGCTGCGTCTTGAAGACGAGTAATAAAGTCTGGGTAGGGCTCATGTTGTCCCTGTCTGACGGCTGTGAAAGATGGGCATACTTTACCATCATCTTGAATTTTGTCCCAAGCATCTAAGCAACAATTTTCGCAGTTGTTCAATAACCTCATCATTTAGTATAGTTTGGTGTCGGATTGCGGCCCATTGACCCATTCCCAGTAACTGGTCAGCCATAACGTTAACAGGAGGATTAGTGCCCTAAGACAAATGCGTTCCTGGACAGCATCAACCCACCAAGTCCTGAACTGTAAATATTGGGATTTAGATAAGACTTGATTTTGCCAAAATTTCCCAATCATAGGGTACCAAACGTTTATCTTCTCCTAAGGCTTTTAATGTGGAACGGACAAAAGGAGAGTTGGTGCCATATTGTTTCACTGATTCTTTAAAATCTTTGAGGAATTTAAAAGAAAAACTTTCCCATGTAGCAGGGCGTAGCTGAACCTGGCCTGGATGGATGGGGTCAGGCTGAATTACCACCTGAACAGCGGGAATGCCAGGTATTGGCTGTGCCCCAGGAGCAGGCAACTGCGGAGGCTGATTATTTACCTGAGCAGCCTGAGTTTCGGGCTGAGGGGCTTGATTATCAGCCTCTTGATCTTGTTGAGCTGCGGGGTCAGCCGCCTGCTGGGCAGGATCAACAACAGGCTGTGGGTGGTTTTGTACTGCTGGGGTGGCAGGTACTGGAGGTTGTAAAATTACAGGAAATTGCCAAGTTTCAGGATCCCCATATTCCCTTGCTTGAACTATAGCCCTCATAAGCGGAGTGTCATCTTCAGGGATGTATGTAATTTGTTGCTTATGAGCGGCAATGGTAGTATTGGCAACAGCAGTTGCGACCGGACCAGGAGCAGAAAAAGAGGTAGAATTTTGAATAGAAGGAGAGTCAAAAAACTGAAAGCCAGGGTGACAGCAGATTACCTGCTGAGCAGGTCTTTCATGGGCCTGAAAACCAGGCTGCCACGGCAAGTGTGAACCAGGCTTCAAGGGAGTCTGTGACTCTGAGTCCGATTTGCAGGAAAGGAACCAGGCTTCAAGGGAGCCTGTGACTCTACCCAAGTCTGATTTATAGGAAAGGGACCAGGCTTCAAGGGAGCCTGTGACTCTGAGTCCGATTTGCAGGAAAGGAACCAGGCTTCAAGGGAGACTGTGACTCTACTCGAGTCTGATTTATAGGAAAGGGCTTCAAGGGAGTCTGTGACTCTAACTGAGTCCGATTAGGAGAAATAGGATTGAGGGCCTCATTACCGGGCCGAGAATTGGAAGCCTCTTTTCTGAGCTGTTCATATAGCGGAGCCTCTGTACCGGGCTGCATAGAAACATAATTTATAGACTCGTTTACAGGCTGCCTGGTCTCATCTGCTATTTGCACAGCGGCAGCGTTGAAACAGTGAGGAGAGACAGGAGGGTCTGGCTGCAATGGCTGTTGATATGTTTCAGCTGAGTTTTGCTGATTGGGGGAGATTAGTATATTTAGGTCAGTTAAAAGATCATCATAAAGCGGCAATGGGGGTGCAGTAGCCTCTGGTGTAGGTGGAAGTGGTGCAGGCATGTCAGAGTGGAAGTCCTCCTTTGAAATTACGTTCTCAATTTGTGTAGTATCCTCAGGGGAAAGAGAGCTGAGCGCTTCCTCGACCTCCCTCAGAGGAGAGGAAAGAGGGATCAGTCTCCATATTGTCCTCCTGAGTCTGTAAGGAGTCTAAGACAGAGTGAACCGAAGCCCAGATTGACCAAATGGTGGGTGGGATAAAATGTCCCCCTTTATGAGCAATTTTGAATTGTTTGCCAATCTCAACCCAATCTTTAAGTTCTAGAGTTCCCTCAGTCGGAAACCAAGGGCAAAGAAGATCTACAACCTCAAATAGTTCAATTAACTTTTCAGTAGAAACTTTAACACCTCCTTCTTTAAGAAGAGTTTTTATAAAATTTAAATAAGCCAAATACTTTGTACTGGCCTGTCCCATGGTGTCCCCAGAAAACTGAGTGCTCAAGCTTACCACCAAGTTTATAGACTGCAATCCTCAGGAATCTCTCGTTGAACTCCTCCGCTGATCCCGCACTCAGGGTGCAACTTCACACAGCGAGGGAGAGCCCCACGTCAGAGCGCCAGATGTAGGGACCAGCCCCACAGGGTCGGTGGGTCTCTCCCTGTGTGTGGCGATGAGAGAGTGTAGAAATAAAGACACAAGACAGAGAGATAAGAGAAAAGGCAGCTGGGCCCGGGGGACCACTACCACCAATGCGCGGAGACCGGTAGTGGCCCCGAATGTCTGACTGCGCTGTTATTTATCGGATACAAGACAGAAGGGGCAGGGTAAAGAATGTGAGTCACCTCCAATGATAGGTAAGGTCACGTGGGTCACGTGTCCACTGGACAGGGGGCCCTTCCCTGCCTGGCAGCCGAGGCAGAGAGGGAGAGGAGACAGAGAGAAAGACAGCTTATACCATTATTTCTGCATATCAGGGACTATTAGTATTTTCACTAATTTACTACTGCTATCTAGAAGGCAGAGCCAGGTGTACAGGATGGAACATGAAGGCAGACAAGGAGTGTGACCACTGAAGCACAGCATCACAGGGAGACAGTTAGGCCTCCGGATAACTACGGGCAAGCCTGACTGATGTCAGGCCCTCCACAAGAGGTGGAGGAGCAGAGTCTTTTCTAAACTCCCCCGGGGAAAGGGAGACCCCCCCCCCGCCCCTTTCCCGGTCTGCTAAGTAGTGAGTGTTGTTCCTTGACACCTTTTGCTACCACTGGGCCACGATCCGCCGGGTAACGGGCGTCTTCCCAGACGCTGGCGTCACCGCTAGACCAAGGAGCCCTCTTGTGGCCCTGTCCGGGCATAACAGAAGCCTCGCACTCTTGTCTTCTGGTCACACCTCACTATGTCCCCTCAGCTCCTCTGTATGGCCTGGTTTTTCCTAGGCTATGATTATAGAGCGAGGATTATCATAATATTGGAATAAAAAGTAATTGCTGCAAACTCATGATTAATGATATTCATATATAATCATATCTAAGATCTATATCTGGTATAACTATTCTTGTTTTATATTTTATTATACTGGAACAGCTCGTGTCCTCTGTCTCTTGCCTCGGTGCCTGGGTGGCTTGCCGCCCACACCCTCTTACTACTGGGAGCTCACCTTGCCAGCTCTAGACTCAGCTTGGACTGGCTGTCAGGGCAACGTTGCGTACAGGAATACATCACACTATGCACCAGACCAGCCACATAAGGAGGAACTCCCCAAAAGGAGAGAGAAAATCGAAAGCCACTTCTCTCCATGCTCCCTGCTTCTCCCCTCACCTTCCCCTAAGGATGCAGCCACCTTTGCAAAAGACAGAACCACCCCAGGGAGGGCAGGAGGCCACTCTGCCTAGTCCCCCAATTCTACCTTCAGCAAAATCATTATGTTTCTTTGTTCCAAAGGGAGGATTCCAAGCCTCACCCATTCAGAGTATCGGCCCTCAAACAAGGCCGAATCACAGCCTCTTCCCAAACAGCTGCTTTCTGACAGCAGGAGGCTGAAACAGGCCCCGGGGTCACAGAGTTCAGCCATCTGCCAAAGAAATATGTACAGTTCTTCCATATGAAGACACCCCTCCTACCTCCAGCACGGCATGGTCAAGACATTCAGGCCCAATCCCCGGGAAGACATCCTGGGCAGTGGCACTGAAGATTTCCTTACAGAGTGCTGGGCTGAGCTGCCCGGCAGACCCTCCCTCGGGGGCTCCGAACGTGAGGGGCAGGGTGACACTGGAGTCTCTACCACTTATGAGGCAGGTACCTAACGCCTCTGCAGCTCAGCTTCTGCACCTGTAAAATGGGAACAACACGTACCTCGCAATGAGGTGTGAAAGTACCTAGGGAAGCGCCTGTCTTGAGTAGTCAGATCAAGAAATGGTACTCACTGCCTCTGGCCCACTTACCATCAGACTGGGCCAGGCCACTGTCTGCCTTCACGCTCGCACTGCTCCCCCTGTTGGCTGTCCACGCGGGCACACAAGGGAAAGTTCACTGGGAAGGGGGCTTCTCACACAGGGCCTACAGGGCCACCCTAAAGTCCAGATGCAAACCCACTTGAACCCTGAAGATCTATCCATCCTCAGGTGAAAATCCAGTATCAGGGCTGCCTCTACCATTACAGACAGGAAACACGGCATGTTCTCACATACGTACACATGGGGGAATCCAGCTGACAGAGATGCAAAACGCTTGTTCGTGACACTTCCTCATGTGGAAATCCATCTTGCATTCTATCATTCTTGCTCACTGGATTCCAGTGTTTTTGTGCAAAAAAGCCATCTCATGCGAAGAAAACTGCAGATATGAAATGTCCATCATGTGGAACTGCCAAGGCCATGAGAAAATTTGCTGTTTCCTCTTCCCGTGGATGACACCAAATACACACCTTGCATTGGAACAGCGTTACTGGGTGCGAGTTAACCTCACAAACTTCGCCATGACTGTCACTGGGTGCAGGTTAACCCCACAAACTTTGACATGACTCTCGGCCCCAGCCTCCACTGAGCCTCGCCAAGCCGCCTAATTCATGGTTTTGCGTGTTAGCCAGGGCACTCTGGGGTACAGCCACACATGTCGAAATAGCGAAAGGCATCCCTTTCAGCCCTCCAACTTTTTCTCAACAGAACCTTCTTCCTTAACACTTCGGATTATTACGCATCTCTACAAACTCCACGAGTGAGCTGCAGAAGGTTCAAGAGCCTCCTGATGTAGTTACAAAATTCAGTGTCACTCTGCATTTTTCTCAAAAGAGGGCCCATACCTTCCCCGGTCTCTACTAAAAACACAAAAATTAGCCGGGCATGGTGGCACACGCCTGTAATCCCAGCTACTCGGGTGGTTGAGGAAGGAGAATCGCTTGAACCCGGGAGGTGGAGGTTCCCGGGTCAAGATCGCGTCACTGCACTCCAGCCTGCGCGACGGCAGCGAGACTCCATCAAAATAAAATAAATAAATAAACAAAAGTCGCATCCTGGAAGATAAGGAATCAAGTAAACTTCTTGGGTTTTCCTTCATTTAAAATATTTGCCTTTTAAATCCAATTTTAAAGCCATGTAGACGTTCTTCCATCACCCACTGCACATCGCATGCAAGGCATAAATTTTTAAACCGTCGTCCCCAGACTGTAGAACTTAGCATATGGAAAACATAAAAACACGAGGGATACTTTTAGCGACAGAGAGAAAATAAACACCAGCGATACATTTAGCAAAACATTTCACCCAACAAGTGGTTTGTTTTGATCCTTCCCCTAAAATCCCTCCTACCTGTCAAGCTCACTTTCCCCTCGGTGATCCTGCACATTCGGCCTCCCAGGGGCTTCCCACAACGCTGAGCACAGCCACGGGCAGCAAAAGCACCCAAATGCCCCTTGGCCGGGCCGTGAAAGGCGAGTTTTCCCGACCAATGTCATCAAGAATCTGGAAAAGGGGGCCCAGGAGCATCAGGTGCTTTCAGCAAGAACTTGCACCTTCTGCTTCTCTCGCAGGCGGAGGCGCCAAGGACCCCGTTCCAGGTGGAAGCCCAGGGCGGTTCCTCTACAGACAGAACCGAAAGGTAACCCTGGAGGCTCGGCTCCAGGCTGCGCCAAGCCGAAAACAAACTTTCCAGGCACTTCCACCCCGCTGGGCCGGGTGACACCTCCCGGCCTCCCCCGCCCTCCGCGCGTCTGTCAGCGCCCCCGGCCAGGCCGCCGCCCGACGCAACCCAGGCCCGGTCTCCCCGCCGCAGCCAAGCAGCGCCCTCGGCCGGCGCCCGCCATCCCCGGCCCGGCCGCCCGGCCGCAGGTAAGGCGGCACCCGACCCTCGGGACCCCGGGCCGCCCCGCCTCGCCGCGCGCTCACCAGCTAGGTGGTGGTCCTGGCTATGGGCCTCGCGTCTGCGCGGGCGCCTCCCCCGAAGCGCTCCGCCGCTCGGGGCCTCCTCAGAGTCCTCCTTCCCTAAGCTGAACTCCAGCAACGGCGGCCCTCACGCTGTGCCCGCGACGCCCCGCCCCCCGCGATGCCCCCGCCCCCCGCGACGCCCCGCCCCCGCGCGACGCCAGGCAGGACTTCCGTCGCACCGCCGCCGCCGCCCGCGCCCATTGGCCGCGCCCATCGTCCCTTCGCCGCGGTCTGAGTGGGCCCCGCCTCTGCCCCAGCTGCATTTCCGGGTTGGGGCCTGGCGGGCGGGAGAGGCCCGGCCCCGCCTGGGCAGGGGGACCTCGCGCGAACCAATCCCAGGGCCCCGGGGGCGGGGCTCTGCGGGGGTGGGGCGAGCTGTCATTCCCAGCTCCCAGACCGGGAAACTGAGGCTCAGAGGGGACCTGGCTCCGGCCAAGGTCACGCCCGAGGTAATAGCGGGGCTGGGCTCGAACCCGGGGCTCGGACTCCGGAGCCGGCTCTGCGTAAATGCGGAGGCGCAACTTTGCTAGTTTCACAACTAACAAGCGTTCACGGAAGGAAATCTGGGCTATAAGTCACATTCATAAAGCGGAAAACAACCAATCCTACCACTGTCCATAGTCCTGGAGGCAGCCTCAGAACTTCTGTCCTTACCTATAAATGATTTTGTGGCGGTTTTTTTTTTGTTTGTTTTTCTTTTTGTAGTTGTTAATGTCAATCATGATTTTTTGCTTGTGTTTTTTGTATTTTAGGTTTTTTTGTTTGTTTGTTTTGAGACGGAGTCTTGCTCTGTCGCCAAGGCTGGAGTGCAGTGGCTCGATCTCTAGTCACTGCAACCTCCACCTCCTGGGTTCAAGCAATTCTTTTTTTTTTTTTTTTTTTTTGAGATGGTCTCGCTCTTTCCGCCTGCCTCGGCCTCCCAAAGTGCTGGCATTAGAGGCGTGAGGTACTGCACCCAACTGAAATGGGTTAACTTTTTTTTTTTTTTTGAGACGAAGTCTCGCTGTGTCACCCAGGCTGGAGTCAATGGCAATTTCACTGCAACCTCCACCTTCTGGGTTCAAGCAATTCTCCTGCCTCAGCCTCCTGAGTAGCTGGGACTACAGGTGCGTGCCACCACACCCAGCTAATTTTTGTATTTTTCGTAGAGATGGGGTTTCACCATATTGGCCAGACTGGTCTCGAACTCCTGACCTCATGATCTGCCCACCACGCTTCCCAAAGTGCTGGGATTACAGGGGTGAGCCACCCCGCCCGGCCAACTTTATTTTTTTTTATACTGACACATGGCCATGCAGATCTTGAGTAATGAACAGAGAAAAGGGAAGCAGTGAAGGAGAAACAACTTGAGGAAATTGTACACGGTGAACTTTAGAACACAGAGCCTGGGGTGGAGGAGCCTCGGGGCAGGGGCCAAGGGTGACAAGAAGGCTGTCCTGTGAAGAAAGCAGCTGAGCAGGCACCAGGGGCAGAGAAGACAGGGGCAGCTGAAGGGCAAGGAAGAAAGGACAGTTCTCAGTTGTCCTGGAGGCCTCAGTGGCAGCCAGAATGCTTGGCCAAGCCCAAGGGAAGCCAGACCAGGCAGCCCCTCTGCCCTCTGGAGACACAGAGAAACCTCCCCACTGGTCAGGTCCAGCTGCCCATCCTAGGACACCACACAGGGAGCGGATGTCTCACCTGGCCCAGCAAGATTCTCCGGACCCAGGCTGGAGGAAGGAGACTGACCCCACTCTTTATCTCATCCTTTCCTACCCAGAACCTCTGTCCATGACCAATGGATGACCTCAGGACAAGAATGCAATAACTTGGCCTGATGTTGTGAAGTCACGGTCCATCCAGGGATGGGCAAGAGGATGACCAGAACCATCTCGAGAGGGGCTGGAAAGCTGCCTCACGTATGTGGTCCTGTGCTGTGTCTACATGTTCCTCACTCACCTCTACAACGCTCATGGCACGAGGGAGGAAATGGGGTGCAGAGGCTAAGGAACGTGCCCAAAGCCCTACAGCTGGTGTATTAGTAATCTACTGCTGTGTAACCAATTGCCCCAAAATTTAAATGTGTAAAACAACAAAGACGTCTAACTCATGGTTCCTGTGGGTCTGGAATCCAGGAGAGGCTGGGCTGGGTGGTCTGGCTCAGTGAACTTGCCATCAAGATGCTGCCAGGGCTGGCCAGGTGCAGTGATTCACACCTGTAATCCCAGCACTTTAGGAGGCCGAGGCGGGCAGATCAGGAGGTCAGGATTTTGAGACCAGCCTGGCCAATATAGTGAAACCCCGTCTCTACTAAAAATACACAAAAATTAGCTGGGCATGGTGGCAGGCACCTGTAATCCCAGTTACTCAGGAGACTGAGGCACAAGAATCGCTTGAACCCAGCAGGCGGAGGTTGCGGTGAGCTGAGATCACACCATTGCACTCCAGCCTGGGCAATAAGAGCAAGACTCCGTCCCCCACCCCCCGAAAAAAAATGCAGCTAGAACTGAGTCATCTAAAGGCTAGAGCACGGCCGAAGGATGCACGTAAAGCTTCATTCCCACGTTCCCACAGCTATGGGCTGGAGGCCTCTGTCCCTCACCAGTGAGGCCTCTTCCCAGGCGTGTGTATTTTGAAGCCCCGACAGCTGGCTTTCCCCAGAGCGAGTGGCCCAAGAGAAAGAGAACACACACAAGATAGAAGCCGCCGCGTCTTTAATGACCTAACCTCGGAAGTGACACATCATCACTTCCAACACATCTGCTAGTCACACACAACAACCCTGGTAGAAAGTGAACGGGCGTGTTTTGGGAGGCTGAGGCAGGAGCACTGCTTGAGGCTAGGTGTTTGAGAGCAGCCTGGGCAACAAAGTGAGACCCTGTCTCTAACCAAAAAAAAAATTTTAAATGTTATAAAAAGTGAAACGGGACTACACAAGGGTATGAAATCCAGAAGGGGCCATTCCTGGGGGCCCCCCTTCAAGCTAGTTGAGGACAGAGCCAGGATTCCAATCTCAGGGAGAGACAGAGAGAAGCTAGAAGGGCAGGCCCAGCCTGGACCCTGCAGGTGTGCACACCAGAAGGCCCTGAGTTACAAAGCCAGGGAAGGAAGGGCTCTCCCAGCAAGGATCCCAACCTGGTTGGCATTTCTAGACTGACCCTGCAGCTACTCAGTAGCGTCTGGAAAGGAGACTAAAGGGGAAAATAGGGGGCAGGGAGATCAGGTGAGAGAAAAGGGGGCTCTCAAAAGACAAGAGCACTGGCCAGGCCAGGTGGCTCACACCTGTAATCCCAGCACTTTGGGAGAGTGAGGCGGGTGGATCGCTTGAGGTCAGGAGTTGGAGACCAGCCTGGCCAACATGGTGAAACCCCGTCTCTACTAAAAATACAAAAATTAGTTGGGAGTGGTGGTGCATGCCTGTAATCCCAGCTACTAGGGAGGCTAAAGTGTGAGAATCACTTGAACCCAGGGAGGCGGAGGTTGTAGTGTGCTGAGATTGAGCCACTGCACTCCAGCCTGCGTGACAGAGGGAGACTCTGTCTCAAAACAAAACAAAACAAAACAAAAACAACAGCATGGTCTCCCGCCTTCTTCTGGCCCACAAGGCCCTGGTCACATGTCTGAGGCTCCCAATATACATTTGCTGGGCTGCAGATAGAGATACATGGATGGATAGAAGATGACAAAGTCATTCAGTGGTTTCCAAGCCACCAGGTAAATATCCTCCCATATAAGCCACGCCAAGGGAGAATCAAACTTGACTGGGAGTCAGGAAACAGAAAGTTGCATGAGATCTTAGGCAAGTAATTTCCCCTCCTTAAACCTCAATTATCCCCGCTGTAAAATGGGCTGGCTCCAGAACTGCTGAAAGTCCCAAAGGTGGAAAATATCCAGTGTTGGTAGGAATGCAGAGAAAGGGGCACCTTCATGTACCGGTGATAGAAACATTGTATTTCCTTTAAACCTGAGCACTGGGAATTCCTGTCCTAGGCCCTTCTCTCTAAAAGTCAGAATAATGGCCTCTCCACAGATGTTCTCATCCTAATCTCCCAACCTGTGCATATGTTATTATATAGAGAGATGAATTAATCAGCTGACCTTACAACTGCATAATTATGGCCAGGCATGGTGGCTCACACCTGTAATCCCAGCACTTTGGGAGGCTGAGGCAGGAGGATCGCTTGAATCCAGGAGTTCAAGGCCAGCCTGGACAACATTAGCAAGACCCTGTCTCTAAAAAAAAGAAAAAAAATTAGCCGGGCATGGTGGTATGTGCCTGTGGTGCCAGCTACTTGGGAAGCTGAGGTGTGAAAATGGCTTCAGCGCAGGTGATTGAGGCTGCAGTGAGCTGTGACGGTGCCACTGCTCTCCAGCTCCCGTGGGGGAGAGGCAGACATTGCTGCCCACAGACCTGCCTCTGACTCAACTGTGTCCACCCTCCCTGGTCCCTACCCCCAAGTCACAGGTGACTCAGCAGTGACCCTGTGTGCCAGGCCAGATCCAAACTGAGAGGGAAGGTGTCGTTTTTACACTGCTAATGACGAGAGTGGCTCTTTTTAGCTAAGCGAGTACAGACGGGGCCTGGGAGGGGGCAGAGATGTTCCCCAGGCCCTGCCTGTGGTTCCTGCCTGGGCCTTGGCTGCTGCTGTGTGAGAGCTGCATGTGAGCCTGTGACCGTGAGCTGGGGTGAGCTGGGCCGCACCTACCCTGGGGCCCCAGGGAGCAGGACGCTCCGGGGCCCAGCACGTTGCCCTGGGCCTGTGGCCGGAGTCGGAGTCCTCTCTCCTCCTCCTGGCTTTTGGAAAGGCTTGGCTGTGTTGGGGAGTCTCTCTTAGCCCTTTCAGGAATTTCTGTTCAGGCTTCCTCCTCCTCATCAGCTATTTTACCCATCTCAGAACGTATCTCTCAGGGCGTCTGGTTATAGGGAAACAAGTGGAGCAGGGACGTGGCTTTAATTGGAGCACTCGGCTGGGCTGCCTGGGGAGACTCTTCCGTGCGTTCTTCCTCTGGATAGAACCACCACCTCCTGGGCGTCACTGACAAGCTCCATCTTAACCTCCAAAGCCACAGAACTAGGGGCTCAGAGCCAGAGCTGGCAGCCGCCAGCCGAAATGATGCCATTGCCTGAGCTGACAGCCAAGCCCTTCTGTGGGTCACCTTTCTCCTCACCTTGCTCTTCCCTTTTGAAAGGCCCGTGTGTTTTCTTTCCTTACCCTGTGCTTGCTCATGTCTACTCCGGTTTTCTCTACCACATCCTTAGAGCCATCACCTGGCACGCAGGCGCCTTACATTCTACGGTAGAACGTGGGGTACTGTGTGTGCACATAGACACACTTACGTGGAATTACAGTTGTGGGTTTATCCAAGATGAGGAAGATTTCACTTGCTGTTTAATAGACTTGGGGCCATGTGCCTCCCCACACATGGGCAAGGACAGGTGGAATGTCGGGACCACACTGTGCGGCTTCTCGGCACAAAGTGGAGGGAGGCTGTGGTCGCTGCCGGCCTAGGTGTCCCAGGTGCCCCGCCTTTCTCTGGGACACAGTTGGGGGCTGGCTTCTGAGGGATTCCTTTCTCCCCTCTTTGTGTGGCCCCAGCCAGGGCGGTGGGCAGTCCTGGTGTAGAGCACAAGCCTCTCCACCCTAGAGAAATGCCTCTGTACCACGGCTACCATGTGGAACCTTAACTTGCAGAAGGCTTGTTAACAATTGTTTTGAGAGAGATGGCTGGTCATGCCACAGCTGCTGGGGACTCCGCCTACTCCAGCCCTCTTGGGACACACTGTGGGATTTGTGGCCCTTCCCCAGAGGAATTGTGGAGACTGTCCCATGGAACAAACCCTCAGGCACCAGCACAGGGCTCTGGGTGACTCAGTAAAACTAACGTTTGTCTCTGACAAGATCAGCTGTAGGCTCACCGGCCAGAGAAGACCACTGTGAGCATTTTGCCGTATATCCTGCCCTGCCATTTGTTCACTTTTTAAACTAAAATAGGAACATCCGACACACACCGTTTGCATCGTCTTCTCCCTTGATATTTTAAGCATTTTCCCATGTCATGAGTTTCTCAGAAACATGTTTTTAACAATTGTACTATTTAGTCATTGTCCATTTACTATAATTTATCTGACCATTTCCCTACTGTAAAATACTTGACGGTTTCTGATTTTTCCACTATTTAAATAATGCTGTGATGAATATCTTTAAAATCTTCTGATTTCTTACTTTTTTTCCCCTTAGATGCCTGGAAGTGGTATTTTGAGGTGAAAGAGTTTGTTCATTTTGAAGATATTTCTGTCTCTCTCTCGACCTGATGTGTAGACGCTCAGTTCCAGTAGCAGAACCACCTTAGTTGTGTCTTACAGATTCTGAACAAATCGGTTTCTGATAAGCCGTGTGTTCCAAAGAATGTCTGAATAAGACCGCTCTTTATTTAAATGCTAAGAGGATGTCACTACTGCAATCCATTTGTGGCCGATTTTTTCCAAGAGCCAATTTCCTTGTTTTGGTTGCAAGAACCTGGCTCTGCCTGCATGTCAGCTCTCTGCCCTCCCTGCTGCCGTGGCTTTCAAGCGCTTGGCGATATTTTCAGAATCTTGTACTTCATGTCCACAATGGTATTGAATTTGCAACTGCGCAGTCAGCAGAGATAACAAGTGTTGAACTGACCTTGCCACATGCTTAGTGAGTGATCTGTAATTAAGTTTATAGACTCAGAAAGTACATTAGGCCATTTGGAGTCAGTAGCAGAGCAAAGCCTCTACTTGAAAAAAACCACGTAGCTGATTGGGTTTTACAAGAGTGCATTTGTCTCCCCCTTCCACCCCCCCACCTTCAGGTCTTAGTGGTTCACAAGAGCCCAGCAGCCAGGCTGGCTTTTTCATTGTAGGGCGTGGTTGTCCCAGCTGGTGTAGATTTCAGGCCGCCTCCCCCCATCTCCCTGCCCACAGTGTTGCAGATTGCCTGGCTGGCAGCAAGTCCAGACCACCCAAATTTGGTTGGATTCTTCATTTCTCCACTGTAGTTGGGGTCCATTGATTGTGCAGGGGAACGTGCAGGAGGTTTTTCTAGGCACTGCGTTCAGTGCTGCTTCACTCTACCAGAGATTATGGCCAAATTGCACGGAATTTGGTTTCTTGCCCTCTGAAGCCTGAGGGCCCCCCCTTGCCTGGCTGGTTGACAGACCCGGGGTGCTCACTGCTGAGACTTCAGAGATCGCAGCTGCTGTGAGAATACGGTGAAGGTACTATGTTCTGGAAGATGTTGTCATACACTTTTCCCCAGTTATTTTCAAACTTGACATGAGCCTATGTTGACTCACTGGGTGGGGTCCCTTCTTACGCAGCACACGTGGCAAGTGCCTGAATCGGGGCTGGAGGCACTTCAGAGCCTCTGAGGGGCCACCACTTCTGGCCCAAAATTGCAGGGTTGTAGATGAGGCTGCCTGTGGAGAACTGGTGTGAGGAGGAAGCTGTTTCCAACAAAGAGCACTTTCATCTGTTGAGATGGCTGTGGTGAGCAACTGAACGAGCCTACGTGTGTACCTGAATTTTCCCCATAACTCATTTCTTCCATATGAAGAAACACCAAACTATGTACAGAGAACTTTTTACAAAAGGCAGACCTTTTTTAAGCTGTGTAACCCACATAGCCTAACCGTCTGGCAGAATGACTACGAATAGGGGTCATTGTGCTGGTAAAAGCCTCTATTACGACTGTTAAGTTGGATGTTGGCAAAATTAAATTGTTACAGTATTTAGAGCTGCTGTAGCTGTTCCTTCACAACATGAAATAGGATAAATGACTAGTACGTCTTTCAGGTGGGTGGCAGTCAGAACATGCGTAATATTCTCTACCTGGTCTGTAGCTGTAACTGTGATGTACAGACAAAGCAAAAATTAAAAGAACTCATGAAAACAAATAATACAATGGTATTAGGATATACACTTTTGTGTTTTTAATCTTATAGAAGGTTATTTGCTGGCTATTGTTGGCCTCTAGTTCAGCCTGTTATTTAAATTCTTTTTTTTTCTTGAGACGGAGTCTCACTCTGTCGCCCAGGCTAGAGTGCAGTGGCCTGATCTCGGCTAACTGCAACCTCCGCCTCCTGGGTTTAAGCAATTCTCTGCCTCAGCCTCCGAGTAGCTGGGATTACGAGCGCCCACAACCACATCTGGCTAATTTTTTGTATTTTTGGTAGAGACGGAGATTCACCATCTTGGCCAGGCTGATGTTGAACTCCTGACCTCGTGATCCACCCACCTTGGCCTCCCAAAGTGTTGGGATTACAGACATGAGCCACCGCGCCCGGCCTAAATTCTAATATATGAATTATTTGTATTGAATTCATGTTCGGGGCCACGTTGTTATATGTATTGATATACAGCCTTGAATGTGAATAATTACTATATATTTTACAACTTTTTTCTGGCTTTATTACAAAAACTTTCTTTTTTTTTTTTTGAGACAGACTCTCGCCCTATCACCAGGCTGGAGTGCAGTGGCGAGATCTCAGCTCACTGCAACCTCTGCCTCCCGGGTTCACGCCATTCTCCTGCCGCAGCCTCCCGAGTAGCTTGGATTACCGGCGCCCACCACCGCGCCAGGCTAATTTTTGTATTTTCAGTGGAGACCGGGCCTCACCATGTTGGCCAGCGTGGTCTCGATCTCCTGACCGCCTGATCCTCCCGCCTCGGCCTCCCAAAGTGCTGGGATTACAGGCGTGAGCCACCAGGCCCCGCCCTTATTATATAAATTTTCTATTGGGTCAATGATTTAATCATATAATTTAATGAATCTGTTCTTTTTTTCCCCCCAAATATTTGTGCTTTAGGTGTAGTTACCAGATGATGAATTTTCCTCCTATGCTCCGTAGTCTTGTAATAAAAAGCATGTACAGTGTAGACGTTTGCTGGCATGGCTCTTCCTTTGACCAGTTCATGAACTGGAGTCAGGGTGGGGGTGAAGGCTAGGGTCGAGGTCTGGGTCAGGCGCTCGTGCACCGCTCGTGGGAGGTCGAGGCTGATGTCCGCTGCTCCCCATCAGCGTTAGTGCCCAGATCACCCCGTGCTCCGCTCCCGCCGGAAGCGGGCCCAGCCTCCTGCTTTTCGGGACCGGAACTTCCGCCTACCGCGTGACGCCGGGGCGGGCGCTCTACCAGGGCGGACCTGTGGGCGGGACAGAACTCAGAGGACGCTATTAAAAGCCGGACGCTTCCGGTGGAAGGGAGCTGTTGCGGGGCTTGCTGGGATCATGGCGGAGAATCACTGCGAGCTCCTGTCGCCGGCCCGGGGCGGCATCGGGGCGGGGCTGGGGGGCGGCCTGTGCCGCCGCTGCAGCGCTGGGCTCGGCGCCCTGGCCCAGCGCCCTGGCAGCGTGTCCAAGTGGGTCCGACTCAACGTCGGCGGCACCTACTTCCTCACCACTCGGCAGACCCTGTGCCGGGACCCGAAATCCTTCCTGTACCGCTTATGCCAGGCCGATCCCGACCTGGACTCAGACAAGGTGAGGGCCTCACGGGCCAGCCCGGAGGGTCCTGGCCTTCCCGGCCTGCGGCTCCTGCACACGCCCTGCTTCGTGCGGAGGAGACTTCAGCGGGAGCGGGCGACTCTCCTCGGGCTTCGAGCCCCGCGCTCCCTTGTCGCCAGCTCCTCCCCAGCTTGCCCCGATCCCCTACCCTGGGAGGGGAGGGTGAGGATGGCGCCCTGGCGTCCACTGCCTTTGAGGATCCTGAGTCGATTCACCTTGGGGGTGTCTCTTCCTCGCCCTCTTTGCTCTTTGGTGGAGGAGGCTTCCTAGACCCCGGACTTTGCTGTGATTCTACTTTCTTTTTCTCACTAGGTTCTTTTGCCCAGGGTGTGTGAACGCCTTCTCTTCTCTGTCCCAGGGTACTTGCTGGCTCTGGAAACAGAACCCTTGGCGTTGTTTCACATTCTGGACGTTTGAATTAACGCTGACGTGGGGGTTGATATGGGCGGCCCTTTTTTTCCCTGGTGACTTGCATTTAGAGAGTTGGCGCTCCATCCTTTCCATCCACAGCACGCAGCACCCACTCAGCACCTCTTAGAAGATGCGTCCGTAGTATATAGTATGATTTTTCGAAGGGGATTTTGCTCATATTAAGGGTTGCTTTAGGGATGTCCAGGAAGGGTCAGGTAAGGAATCTTTCAATCTGCTTTCTAATTGGCTTAGTTTTCCCACTGTCTTCGCAAAAGGACAGGAATTTCCAGGTTAGTTTGCAGCTTGTCTTTCATCAAGCGAAATGCTCATGCTGTTGGGTAGATGGTAATAGAAACCTTTTGCTACCTTTATTTATCAAGAGTTGTGGAGCCGAGGAACCGTGTCTTGGGAGTTGTGCAGGATTGAAACTCACAAAAAAGCCTGTTTGAAGAAGTTGTTACCTATATTTATTCAAGGCAGTTCACAAGCCTTATACTAACTTTGCGGGGTCTTTCAGTTGAGCTTACATGACTGCGCTTGGCTTTGTGCCTTGGCAGCCAACATTTGCCATGCAGGAGGCTTCCCAGAAAGGTTCGGATCCCTCTTCAAGTTTGAGAAGCCTGACTGAGACCATTCTCAGCATGGCATGACCGTGATCAGGAAGTGAGAATCTGGAGTTACTGCTAAGGCAGCCTTGTGGGTGGAAATGAGGGTTTGAGATGCCAACCCTCCTGTGCCTCCCCACAACTTCCAACTGTTTCCATTGCTCATTTGACCAAGCCCTCTACTCAGAGAATTGACCTCCCAGGAAATGACAGTCATCCCCAGGATAGAAATAGGCGTTTGTTAGCTGTGATTTTCCTTTTATAAGTGTGGGTGTATGTTTTACTGTTTGGTTTTTCTTTTTAAATAACAGGGCTTAGTGGTCACTCCCTTGCCTTTCTACTCAAGCATTCCTGTTTTGTATATGAAATTAGAGTTTAAATTGCTCTTGTCCATTGGGTTCTTTGAGGCAATGGTTGTCTATTCAGCACTGGAGCACTTGATTCCCAGTTGATGAACTTTAGCACAGTTAAGGTGGTTGATCCCTTTGCTTTACTGTTCCTTAAGACTTTGTTAAAAATTATGGGCCAGGCGCGGTGGCTCATGCCTGTAATCCCAACACTTTGGGAGGCCCAGGCAGGTGGATCTCGTTCAAAACCAACCGGGCCAATATGGTGATGCCCGGTCTCTACTAAAAATACAAAAAGGTGGGCGCGGTGGCTCACGTCTGTAATCCCAGCACTTTGGGAGGCCGAGGCAGGCGGATCACGAGGTCAGGAGATCGAGACCATCCTGGCTAACATGATGAAACTCTGTCTCTACTAAAAATACAAAAAATGAGCCAGGCGCGGTGGCGAGCACCTGTAGTCCCAGCTACTAGGCAGTCTGAGGCAGGAGAATGGCGTGAGCCTGGGAGGAGGAGCTTGCAGTGAGCCTAGTTAGCGCCACTGCAGTCCAGCCTGGGTGAAAGAGCAAGACTCCATCACAAAAAAAAAAAAATAAAAAAAAAATAAGCCAGGTGTGGTGGCGCGTGCCTGTAGTCCCAGCTACTCTGGAGGCTGAGGCAGAAGAATCGCTTGAACCTGGGAGGTGGAGCTTGCAGTGAGTCAAGATCACGCCACTGCACTCTAGCTTGGATGACAGAGGAAGACTCTGTCTCAAACAAACAAAAAAATGCTTTACTGTAGGAATCAATTCTTTGAGCGAGGGGTAATTAATCTTTCTGAATATATCTGTGTTATACTTGCTCTTTTCATCATCATCCATTTAACCAGGTTTGATTTCCAAATGGTAAACTCAAATTCAGAACATGAAGGTAAAGTAGCAGATACAGTCGTCTCTGTCTCATACAATAATTGGAGTAGGGGCCGGGCAAGGTGGCTCACGCCTGTAATCCCAGCACTTTGGGAGGCCGAGGCGCGTGAATCACCTGAGGTCAGGAGTTTGAGAGCAGCCTGGCCAGCATGGCAAAACCCCGTCTCTACTAAAAATACAAAAAAATTAGCTGGGCATGGTGGCGCGTGCCTGTACTCCCAGCTACTCGGGAGGCTGAGGCAGGAGAACCACTTGAACCGAGAGGCAGAGGTTACAGTGGGCTGAGGTTGCGCCACTGCACTCCAGCATGGGCGACAGATCGAGACTCTGTCTCAAAAAAAAAGAAAAAAGAAAAGGAGAAAACAATAATTGGAGTAAATAAGGTTAGTTTTAGTGACAGATAGTTTGCCAAAAGTGTAGTGCTAATTCATATTAGTCACGTTACTAAAGTGTTTTCCGGTGTTTTTCATCAAATGAGGAAATGTGTAAAATGCTTCATCTTAGTTTTGTCTCCAGTGGCTCTGATGAAAGAATGTCCCAGGAGATTCCTCCTAATTAAATGCTGACTGAGGAATCTGAGGAGGGGGGGAAGGGGTGTCAGGAGTGGGAGGCCATTAATGACACGTTGGAAGACAAACAGGATGTTGATTCACCTGTAAAGATCTCCAAGGCCTGACCTCAGAGTTGAGATTAAGGAAAGAATATTCCTCGAGTTGGACTTAAGCATGGATCTGGTGGAAGAGTCCCTGCCTGGATTATTAGACTTGTGTGGAGTGAGCACCTGGGCTTGCAGAGTGTGGGGGTCTGGAGAGGAGTTGGGTGGGGAGATTTAAGGGGGAGGAGTTCCCAAGAAACCACAGAAGCTTTGGGTGCCTGAGAGGTTGGGAGAGCACCCTGCTAAAGCATCCTATCTGGTAGGGAGGGGAGCTCTTGACAGACGGGTTGTTAGGGAGGGTGGTGAAAGCCACGCACATCAAGGGGCTGGCTTGATTGCCCTCTGGCCCCACATCTAAGCTTCTGGGCTGTGACTGCCCCCAACCAAGTCCTCAGAGCCCAGCTTGGGACCCACCACCCGCCATACTCCACGCTCCCAAGCCCTTACTCTGCTGTTCCAAGGGCCGACCTGCTGCCACAAAGTTCTCTTTCTAGACAGCCCGGTGTGAATTCTCACTTCCTCCTGGGACTTCCTCCAGCAGGACTGTGGCTGTGGTGAGCATTTCAGCATCTGCTCATCTGCTGTTCTGTCATCTTTCTCTTCCTTGGTGTCTTCGAGGGCAGGCCAGGTGGAATACGGCTTCCCAAAGACTCGATTCATTTTGGTTAGGTCTCTTGTATTGCATGGTCCCCGGCCCATAGGCATTGTTGAAAACAAAGTCGAGTTTGTTGTTTCCAGCTAAAGCAGCCCCTGCTTTAGTGTGGAGATACTTGAGGAGTTAAAAGGAAACAGGAAATACTACTGCTTTATGGTTGGAAACCACTCAGATGGAGGAGAATTTGGGGAGGCTTCGGTTCCTGCAGCTGAGGCAGCCTTGGAGAAAACTGCACGTGAACTTTTGCCCTTTGAACAGGGCCGTTGTCCCGGCTTGAGGGTTCCAGATGTGGTGGCATCAGATGGGTCTTTGAGGGGTGGGGCAGTCAGGGTGCCTCTAACAGTGTACTGGGTGTTGGCAAGACCTCGGGGGTGGAAAGTTATGGAAGGAATTGTTCAGACAGGGCCCAGTGATGGGGTGTGGGCTAGAGTACCGTCTTTGAAGCCGCTTGGCAAGAGAAGTGGGGATCACGTCTAGTGGAGATGGCAGATGATGTTCTGTGTAGCCAGCACTGGTGAGAGCTATGGTGGCCTCAGTTTGAGGCCGTTAGTGGGTGTCTGCGACGCTGATGGACTTTGTTTCACGCTTCAGTTGAGGATGTGGCTCTGAGCACGATCTTCGCTCTGACCACAAGTCATCTTCTATTCTGGACCTCTGCGATGGTCCCTGCGGTGCTGGGGGCTCCCCGCTCCTTCCCCACTGCAGCAGGTGCTGGTCCTCAGCAAACCTGTGCTCACCTCTTTATCAGGTGCCTCACCTGAAGCCCTTTAGACCTTAGGCCACGAGTCAGTTCCATAAATTCCTGAGAAAAGGACTCGACTCTGGTGATGAAATGGAACGTTTCTGATGGGTTCAGTCCTACCTAGGAAGAATGAAAGAAAACAGTTTTGAGGCTTTCTGAGAAGAGCTTGTTTCGGGGCACCTGACATGGGCCCGCGGTCTTCGGCATTCTCGCCTCCAGACTTCTGCGGGTGGCTGGGAGGAAATGCTGTCGCTGCAGGGCAGTTCCTCTTTCTGGCCCTGCAGATACAGCCTTCAGTGGCTGTCGTCCAGCAGGGCAGTGACTAGTCTTGGTTTAGAGCAGGAGTCAGAAAGCTGGTCCACCTGCCTGTTTTTGCAAGTAAAGTTTTACAGGAATGCAGAGATGCCCATTTGCTTACGGATTGTGTGTGGCCGTTTTTGCTCTGAAAGGTCACGGAGTGAGGTCTAAAGCCTCGCCAGGGCTGTGGCCGTGATGGGGGCGCCTGCTGCCTGGTCTCGCCCCGGCCCTGTCGTTAACCACCAGGCATCCCAGGGACTCCTTTTCAGACACTTGTAGGCACTTTGGTTCTTTTAGCAGCCCCCCTCCACGCCCCAGGTAAGCAGTCCCCAGGCATGGTCTTTAAAGCCTGGGGAAGAACCTGCCTGCCTGGCGCCATGGGAGGGGTCCTTGTAGCAAAGGTGCCAGCAAGCCATCTCTCTCCCAGGACATGCTTGTTCTCCCTGGGCGTCAACTCGGCAGTTCTCCATGGACTGCAGAATGTCTAGAACATTCTGGCCTGGGGTTGATGTGACAGAGCATCTTCCTTGGAGTTGGGGAGCCTGGGTTGGAATCTGCCCACCTCTGGCCTGCCTTATGACTTGGGGTGATTTCGTGCCCCTGTGAGCTGTGCTTTCTTCCTCTGTAAAGTCCTTACTTTACTGTGACGTCCTCTCCTGAAGATGACAAATGTGATGCCCCCGCCCCGTACCTGGTGCCAGGTCAGTGCAGTCAGGAGAGGTTGTGCCTGGCGGTCTTCATTTCATGTTTGTACTTGGTTTTTATTATTAAATAAATAAATAAATAAATATATATATATATATATTTATTTATTTATTTATTTATTTGAGACGGAGTCTTGCTCTGTCCCCCAGGCTGGAGTGTGGTGGGGTGATCTCGGCTCACTGCAACCTCTGCCTCCTGGGTTCAAGCATTTCTCCTGCCCCACCCTCCCAAGTAGCTGGGATTACAGGCACGAGCCACCATGTCTGGCTGATTTTTGTATAGTCAGTAGAGAAGGGGTTTTGCCATGTTGGCCAGGCTGGTCTCGAACTCCTGACCTCAGGTCATCCGCCCTCCTTGGCCTCCCAAAGTGCTGGGATTACAGGTGTGAGTGTACTTTACTTTTAGGAAGGATATGCTAAGAACGCTTTTCCCCTCCCGCAGCCACACTTAATTTCTGTTAATGTCGACCTCTGGCCACACTCAGCCCTGTCAGCCTCGGGTGATGCACCGGAGGTCCCTGAAGGCAGCATGTATGGCCAGGAGTGGCTCGCCCTGCCAGTCCCCCTGCTGCCACCCAGAGCTCTGGCTGACCCTAGCAGCACAGGCCCCCGCTGAGTGGGTCTCCACCTCTGGGGACTGGACCCTGCACTGTGGGGAGGGCAGGGCTTCCTGGGCAGCCCCCGAGTTTTCTTGCAAGAAACCTGACACCCCTGCTCCTGAGAGGGCTCCAGTTCCTGCCGAGCAGAGCAGGACTCTCTGCAGCGACCTCGGCTTGGCAAGACCCCCCGTGGTTCACCTGAAGCATGTTTCTTCCCCGAGAAGCCGCAGGACCTCTTGTGAGGGGCCAGGTCGTGAGTCCACACACGTCTGCTTCTCACTAAGCTTTGAGTCATGTGTGGGGCAGGGACCTCCCAAATTCCAGTTTCTATGCTGGGTGAGGCCGAGAAGCAATGGAAGGGAAGGGTGGTGGGGAGGCAGCAGGCCTGGCGACCAGGGCACAGGGGCCCCACCCTGCTCTCCGAATCTGGCTGCCTTGGACAAGCCTCCTTGGTCTCTGGCCTCAGTTTCCCCATTAGTAATTGGTGACATCAAAGTCCTCTTGTGGGCCAAAGATATGCCACAGCTGCATAAAACAAAACAGAAGAGAGAGTAGAGGTGAAGGTTTTGTGTGCGAAATTGAAACAGAGTCACTTGAAATGGATAATTTCAGAGTAAAAACTAAGTATTTCTAATTAGGTTGATTGCAGATGTTGGTGCACAGGAAATTCTATGCCTTCGCGTCTAGATTTCTGTGGGGCAATTTGACAGAGTTTATCTCCTGGATTGGCTCAGGGCACTGCACCCTCTTGATTTCGTTCCCCTCTGGTGGCACGTGTCTCCGAGCACCGGGAATGACTGAGAGCCGCAGGGCCGACCCTCTTTGCAGAGCTCTGGGAGCTGCGGGAGGGTTGGGCAGCAGCAGGGTTATGTTGGGTTCAGAATCTGGCGTGAGAGCCTGGCAGTCTCCACCCTCATTCCTCACTGCCGTTTTCTTTTCTTTTTTTTTTTTTGAGACAGAGGCTCACTGGATCGCCCAGGCTGGAGTGTAATGCACAATTTTGGCTCACTGCAACGGGGCTGTCAGGTTCAAGTGATTGTCCTGCCTCAGCCTCCCTAGTAGCTGGGATTAGAGGCACCCTCCACCATGCCTGGCTAATTTGTGTATTTTTAGTAGAGACAGGGTTTCACCATGTTGGTCAGGCTGGTGTTGAACTCCTCACCTCAGGTAATCCGCCTGCCTTGGCCTCCCAAAGTGCTGGGATCACAGGCGTAAGCCACTGTGCCCAGCCCTTCACTGCCATTTTCAAGGCTGCTGGTTGCATTAGGGACCTGTCCCTGAGAGGCTGGGGAACCCCCACGTTGCCCCCGGTGCTTTGCTGGGTGACAGCATGGATGGCGGAGAGCTGCAGCCGGAGTCTGGTGAGATGAGCAGAGCGGCCAGTCTTGTTACCACACTTCTCTGAGTGTTGCTCTCCTGACCAGACGTCCATCTGCGGCTGCCCTGTGGACCTGGGGAGTGGGCGAGCAGTCAGCTCTGTCTGCGGAGTCTTCCTCCGTCTGCCAGGGCTGTGTGTGCCCTGGCTCGGCGCTGTCTGCCATGTGCTCCCGTGGCCAGGGTCGCCCTCTCCTCTGTGGTTTGGCAACTGTCCTGCCCGGCCTACGTCCTGTGGCTCCGGCTGAAGCCTGGGACCTCTGGAGATGGGTGGCTCAGCCCAGCCTGCTGGGCCCACTCAATGCCAGCTTGGGCCCGGCCACAAGTAGGTCAGATGCCAATTCAGTGAGACGCGGGGAAGATGAGGGAAATGACTTGTCAATAAAACAGTCTTAATTATGGCTGTTTTAGAAAAAAACCACCACGAACCTTCCTGAGATCAAGCGCAGCCTGTGCTGGTTGTGTAAGCCGTGGAACGTATGAGAAAGCCAGGAAGAAGAGCACCCCCACGCCCAGCCCGCAGCATCTCACTGGCTTCCTGGCCGCCTCTCCTCATCCCAGTCGTAGAGGCGTGAGCGGGCCGGGGCATCTTTCCTTCCTCGTGTCATGGGGGCTTGGGCAGGCGCCGCTGATGGCCTTACGGGCAGCACAGGGGCCCTGCCTAGGTTGGCCCAGACGCTGTTCTAAACCTCCCCGAGGTGACCTTGCTGCCTTTGTCTCCATGAGCCTCGGAGTATATCCTGAATTTTGTATGATTTTGTGTTTCCCATTTTCCCATGTTCCATATTTTTTTGTTGTTTCTGCATCAGGGTGGAGGCTGATCCACATCCCCAACACCAGCAGTGAGCTGCCGAGGCCCTCGCGCCTGGGCTGGGCACTGTCTGGGCCTGGGCTGGCACCACGAGTAGCCCCCGCACACATTAGGCCGATCTGGAACATGTGGGCTCACCCGAGCTGGGAGCACCAAGACCCTGCCTACATGCTTGGAAGCGAGTCAGGCCACAGCGAGACCCGAACCCTGGTGGGATTTGGGGGTCCTGGTTTAAGACCCTGGCACTTCCTATGGATGTGGAAATCTCTCATTGAAAGCTTCAAAGAGAGCAGTGGTGAGAGCAGCACCTCCACACGCCACTGCCTCCCCGCCCTGGTGCGGATGTCCCTGACCTTCCGCTCTGCCCAGACAGGGCCTGTTTCTCGAGGAAACCCACCAGTTAGAAGGAACCCATGGGAAGAAACGGCCGGAGAGCTGTGAGGCCAGCCACAGAAGAGCCAGTTTTGGAATTTCCCACCAAGGGTTCAGCCTACTGCTCGCCCTTCAGCCTCTGGTGCCCGGCGGCTCAGCTGGGTTCTAGGGCCACGCAGGGCTCTGCAGTGTCACTCCGGGAGAGGGCTGTGGGGGCAGCTGCAGGCCCGGCGCGCCGAGTCCACGCAGCCTGGGTAGGTCCTGCATGGGCCCAGAGGTCGTGGGGCTCAGAGAATTGAACCACGTGGGAGGAGTGTACTGTGGCGGGGGCCCCATAGGAAGCCCACTGTCCTGGAGGCACTGGGGCGGCGGGGGTGTGGAGCGGCTGGCAGGTTCTTGGTAGACGCAGCTGGGGTTCTCTGCTCCTCTGCCCTGCAGCCTTGGCTCCCAGCGAGGTTGGCAACAAGCATCTGGACTCCTGGAAGTCTTCCAGAGGCTGCTCCTTTCAAGTCTCTTCCTAACTGGATGCACGTGGGGTCCCCCGCGGTGCCTCAGCCTCCCCTGCCTTTGATGGCTGGGTATTTTGCACCCAGGCTGCTGGCCCCTGAGCACAGGGATGGGCTGGAGCCACAGGCTGCAGGGAAAGCGCATCAGGAAGGTTCCTGGGGCGTGCGGTTCCCACACAGGTGCGTCCGGGGGCTTCCTGGTCCCTCTGTCAGGAGCCTGAGCTCCAGGGACTGAGACGAGCTGGGCAGAGCCTAGCCACTGTGGCCAGAGCTCTCACTGCCAGCAGGATCTCTCTTCAGGCACCCTGGAAAGGTGCCATGGCTCCGGCTGGTAAACTTGGCCTTGCAAAGCTCCACGTCCCTGTGTCTGGATGTGCCCAGCCCTGCTGATACGGTGTCTTTAGGGTGTCGCTTTTCTGGCCAGAAACGTCTCTGGCCGGCAGCACCTTTGTCCAAGTTCCTGTTCTGCGTCCAGGAAGAATGAGGTAGCAGACAAGTGGAGGGTGAGCATGACGAAGAGAAGCTTTACCAAGTGTTGGGACAGTGCAGAGGAGACTGTGGGGGCAGCTCCTCTCTGTAGGCAGGTCGGCTCATTCAGTTGGCAGCTCTCAGCAGAGAAGCGGCCCCGGACTGGCTGGCTCCTCTCCATTGACTTCCCAGCTCTCAGCAGAGAGGGTAGCTTCCCTCTGCAGCTGGTCTTCCACTTGCCAATTGTCTCTGTCCTCTTTGTCCTCTGCCCTGCTCTGGCTGAGCCCAGGGCTCTTATGGACCCAGAGGGAAGGAAGTGCATACTAATTGGTTCATGGGCAGGCCCGGAAAACGCACCACAAGTCCCCACTTTGGTCCCCGGGACTGGCAGCCCGGCCCCAGCCTTCATGCCCTCCCTGGCCTGAAGGTGGGGCCTTACCGGGGACCTACCCCCTTCTTCCCAGGAATCTATCTGCCTCCTGCTGCCATACATGGCGCCTGGGCTCGGCCCCAACTTTGCTCCAAGATCGGAGCAGGCACCAACAATAGGAGTAAGCCAGGCAGTGAGAGCAGGCACTTCTGAGCCTGCAAGGGCCCGGCAGAGGGGCCTTTCTGGGCCCCCAAGAGTGCAGGGATGCCTGAGGCTGTGGTTTGGGCAGCTGCAGTTGTGGGCCTGCCTGCTCCGTGGAGCGGGAAGCCCGGGTCTGCAGCCATAGTTTGGGTGGGGCGAACCCCAGGGCTGCAGCCCCAGGCAGCCCCACGCAGATCCTCCTCCCGAGGCCCGGGAACCTGACATCTTCAGTGGGGTGGGTGTGATGGCTGTGCCACTGGCTGGGTCCTCACCGCTGGTGCCACTCTCACTACCCACCCCAGGCCCCCGAAGCACAGCCCCAGCTCTGCATCGGGGCCCCTCTCCACCCAACCATGCTGCTCTCCTGCCATGCTGAGGGCAGTGGGCTATGGTGTGGGGAGTGGGGTCTGTTCGCCTCCTCCCTGTTCCCTCCCTGCAGCGGCAGGTATCACGTGATGGCAGCAGCTGCACCAGTTGGCCTGCTGCTGGCATCACCGCACTGGGCCAGCTGTGGCCAGACTGAGGTCAGGAGTTCCTTCAAAGCATCAGCCACAAAAGCTGCCTCCTAAAGGGGGTGTTTAATGGAAAAGCCAGCCCCGCCCAGTGGTAGGAGTGGCCAAGACACGGCAGCGGCCTACCCCTGCCTGCCCGTCTTGAGGCCGAGCCCAGTGCCAGCACGCTCAGTGCCCTGCCGGCTCCTTGGACCTGTCTGTGTTCCTCTGTCCTGCTGTGCAGTTTCCGCCGATGGCCGTCCCCACCCTGCCCTCCTTCCCTCCTGCCTTCATCCTTCCAGTTGCAGGGCTGGGGTTGCCTCGTGTGTCTGGGGGCGCCCAGCACGCTTCCTTCTCCTCTTGCACCGGCCCAGGGCCTGAGAAGCACATGGTGGGTTGTCTTGGCCTAGAGGTCACGGCTCAGTGCCCAGGTCCTGCCACAGGTTGGGTGCCCTGGCACTCATGGCGGCCCCGAGCTACACGAGCTGGTCTCCCCCACCTTTTGCTCGTAAAGAAACTGAGGCTTGGGGTGGCCTGGCTGTGAGCCTGCAGTCTGACCACTGAGGCCAGGCCTGGAGGCCTCCATGGCTGACAAAGGGGTTCTCTGGGGTTGTCCTGGGCAGAGGCGAGCCTCCGCCCTATCTGATCTTTCCTGACCTCCTGCCAGCGGTCTGTCGAGGTAGCAGTGAGCCGTGAATAATTCCTGAGCTGAGCGGTGTGCGGACGTCACGCGGCCAGCATTCTCTCTGTATGGGGGTGGGGCAGGGAGGAACCCTGGACTCGGGTGGCAGCACTGGCCGCCTTGCCAGACTTGGGCCCCTTTGTGGGAAATGGTGTCCATTTTTTAGCAGTTGCGCAGGACCGCCCAGCGTCCTCTTCCCGGGAGCTGGCCCTGTGGCCCCGGCCCTTGCTTGAGAGCTGTGGAGTCTGGAGGGCTGGGGAAAGGCAGGGCCAAGCCCAGGAGGCAGGGCCTGTGGGGTGGGCAGCTCTGGCTGGAGTGTTCCGGGGGAGGGTGGGGAAGGAGGATAGGGTCAGGTCTGTGTGGAGCTGGGGTCACCCTAAGGAGTAGGGGGGCCGCCGAGGCTCCGGGTCCAGCGCCCCCATGCCCGGAGCCCTAATTGATTTTATCTCAGCCACAAAACTCAGTCCCTGTGATCTAAAAAGAGCAGGTTGTTGCAGGTTTGCGGTGGTGGACTTTGGGAAAATCTCTTGAGACCACTAGGTCTTAGCACCCAAATGGCAGAATTTGTCCATGGATGAAAATAGGGTCCTAGCGTGGCCCCGTGCTTTGTGGTGGAGACACCTTCGGCCTCCCCATATCTGCGAGCCTGGCATTCCCGTGGCCAGCGCCTGCCCATGGCCCCACAGGAGCCACCATCTGGTGAGGGGGCTGCTCCTGCTCCGAATGGGGTGTGGGGTTGCTTCTCCAGCGCTTGGCCCTGGGCCTCGCCGGGGAGGCTGCCGGTGTTTCTGAACGGAGGCCTCAGCTCCCCGGCCTCCAGGGCACCCGCAGGCACCAGCCCCTGTGGGAGTGGCTCGCAGGTGGGAGCAGGACCCTTGCAGGCATGTGGGGGGAGGCAGGAGCTGCCCCAGCAGAGCCACACGGAAGGTCTGAGTCTGTGTAGAAGACAGGCTGTGCCAGCTTCGCAGTCCCCCCATCAGATGTGTAGCCGACAAGACAGAAACTGCCTCTTCCGTCTCCCCCATGGGGGCTGCCTGGGGCGTCTGAGCCCCCGTCCTGTGTTCACGGCCGGGCCACTGGGGCTCTTGTGCTTTGTGGAAGGGGCTGCAAGGTGTGATGTGTGGGGCACCCCGGGCCTCAGAGGGCATCTGCCCACATTGAAGTGGCCGTGGTAGCAGCAGGGGCAGTGCCTCTCAGGGGTCCCTCCACCCAGGTGCGTGAGGACACCTTCCGAGGGGTCTGTTTTGTAAACATCTCGGCCTCCGTGAGCGCTGAGCCGGGGCGAGGGCTCTGTGAGGTGAGTGATGATCTTGGGGAAAGCCCCGGATGCTGTTGAGTGCCGGTCACTGTGGCCTCCCTCGCTGCTGGCTCCCGGCCTGTTGGGCAGCCGCCCCTGCTGAAAGGTGCCCTCTCCACCCCTGGCAGGAAGCCCCTGTCACCCTGACCCCCGGTTCCTGCATGTAGGCTGCGGAGGACCCGGGCACGAGGAGCGCAGGCCCAGGCTGGTGGCCATCAGAGGTGTCCTTCTGAGGCTGAGCCCTAGGCCCCTGCCCTGCCCGCGAGGGCATCTCTGGGTGAGGTTTTCGTGTGTGTTTTCCTAGAGGTCTTGCAGTTGTGAGGACAGAGGTCCAGGGCACAGTGGGCTCACCTTGGAGTACGCAGAGCCAGGCTGCCTCCGTACGGAGAGACTTAAACTCACTTAGACCTGGGGTGGTGGCTGGTCAGGGTTAGGCTGTAGGCGGCAGGACGTGGCCACACCGTCAGGGGTTTCCTGAGATGCCGCAGGCTCAGGTGTGCTGGGGAGAGGCCTGGGTAACCTGGTGCCTCTGAAGCCTCCTGAGGTGGCCGGGCCTTGGTGGACCTGCAGGAACCTTCGGCTTCTCACGGAGGACTCACCGTGCTCTGCTCTCTTTAGGATGAAACAGGCGCCTATTTAATCGACAGAGACCCCACCTACTTTGGGCCTGTGCTGAACTACCTGAGACACGGCAAGCTGGTGATTAACAAAGACCTCGCGGAGGAAGGTAAGCCGAGTTTTGGGCACAGGTGCCTTAGCTTTGGGGGCAAGGGCCCGACAAAGGTGCCAAGGGCTCCACTTAAGACACAGATGCCTGCAGCCTGGGGCCCCAGGGAGGAGCAGGCCCTGTACTCTGAAGCTGGGGCCGACGTTCTGGTGCTGAGGCCACGGGCAGCGGCGCAGCTGCCGGACAGGGAGGCCTGGGGACCCTGTGGGTGTGGGGTCCTCCCTGGCTGCAGCTCCTTGGAGGGCTCCCTCTGTCCAGGCTCCGGCTGGCGACACAAGGGGTGTGAGGGGTTCCTCCCTGCTGTGACTGAGGTGGTCTGAGCGGGTGTGTGAGGCACATGCCCGGTGATGCCCACGGCGTGCTTCAGGGCCTGGTTCCCTGGCCTGCTCTCCCTCAAGGACAGCCCAAGGGTGGTGAATGTCTCTGTGCCATCACCTGGACTGTGCCTGCTGCTGCCAGCTGCCGTGTTCCATTCTGAGTGATCGTGGTGCAGGGACGGCGCCCACACGCGTTGGGCCCAGGCTGGCCTGCCTGTGTGCTGCGGTGCTGGCTTGGCTCAGAACAGCTCGAGGCCTCGCCGTGAAGGCTGAGGGTTTCTGGGCACCTGCGTGCGGGCGTGGCCCTGCTCCCCCGGGTCCGTGTCTGCGCATCGGTCTGCACTGGGCAGCGTCTGACTCCGTTTCTGTTCTGGGCCTCTGGGCCTCGGCATCTGCCTGCCTCCTCCGAGTTCACGCGGGGCGTGGAGTGACGGGGGCTGTGGCCCAGCCCTGCCCCTGCTCTGAGGCTGTGAGCCATGATCCCCACTCCTGTCTCTTTGGCAGGGAATGTCTTTCACATGTACTCTCTCTGGTCGCTTGGGCAGCCGCTTGTGTTGTCGTGGAGCCGCTCGAGTCGAGGCTTCGCTTTATCTCATTCTGCCCCTAGTGGGATTGGCTCAGAAACGGGCGCTAGACACAGACCAAGGCCCTGCCGCCCAGGCTCACCGGTCTGCCTCTATCCCGCCCCGATGCAGCCACTCACGCCCTGGGTGCTAGAGAAGGGGGCTGTGCGGGACCCATGCGGGGCCGGGAAGCCTGTGTCTCTGAGGCCCTCGTCTCCTTGTCTCTATCCTGCGTGGCCCTGTCCCATGTAGGTGGCTGGGTGTTGTCCTGAGCTGCCATGTGCCATATGTGGGTTCCTCTGGGGTCCTGGAGGAATGAAGACCACCCATGAGGAAGCCCTGAGGCAGGACCTGTGGAATCTGCTCTTAAGGCTCTTAAGGGAGGTTTGCAGTCCCTAAGTGCGGCACATTACGGATGGCAGTCTTTGGGAAGAGCTGGAAGTGACCCTCTCAGCCAGCCACAGTCTTCCCTTTGAATGGGGTCAACTGAGGTGCCAGGTGACTGAGACATATGCACAAGGCCGCAGGCCTGAGCCCCACACAGCACCCCACCCAGTGGCGTGGCCATGAGCAGGTTCCCAGCAGGAAGCGTCGGCCTCCAGGCTTGGAGGGAAAATGCCAGATCCAACCCCCAGCATACCATGGCCTCGGCGTAGACATACGCTGAGCTGCATGTAAGCAGCGGCTCCATACCTGGCGGGTCACTGGAGGTCACTCAAGGTTACCTGGGGTGACCTGAGCTGGAGGTGTTCAGTCCACACATCGGCCCTCTCACCACGGCCCCTCCGCCCATTATCCCAGGAGCCCTGCTGGGCTGACACGTCTGCAGGAAGCCTGTTAGGTCGGGGCCTGAGCAGCTCCCGCTGGGCCGAGCCATGGGCCCTCATTGCAGGGGCAGGGGCAAGGGCAGGGGTGGGTGTAAAGCGTGGATTCTTTGGTTTAGTTTGGTCTGGTAAAGACAATTTATTTTTCCTTATTCCAGGAGTGTTGGAGGAAGCAGAATTTTACAATATCACCTCATTAATAAAACTTGTAAAGGACAAAATTAGAGAACGAGACAGCAAAACATCGCAGGTGAGACAAATGACTGAGGCTGGAAGCTTGTATGGCTGGTGTGAAGGAAGGGCTCCCCTTTACTCCCCCGACCGGCTGCCTCCCAAATAAGTCCTGCGGTCTGGGGCTCTCCTACCCTGAGACCCTTGTCCTCTGTCACTGCCCCAGTGCCTGCCAGCTCCGTCTACCCGGCTCTCCCCAGGGTCCCTTGAAGGATCCATTCATCCTGCCCGGCCCAGACTCTGGGAGCCCCCAAAGGATGGCTCTGAGGAAGTTGGGCACGGGAGACGTGTGTAGGGAAGGAGGGCCCCATGAGGGCCGGTCGGGGAGACCCTGAGGTGGATGGCATCTGGTAGGGAGCAGAGGGTGCCAAGGGCCTGCAGCCAGCATGGCTGGAGGGAGACAGCAGATGGGTCGTGTGGGTCTGCGCAGGCGCCAGAAGGACCTTGGTTTTATTGGGAAGAGGGGCGGCTCGCCACAGACACACCTCTCACAGCTGGCACGGCCCTTCTGCAGCCAGGGGAGCCCAGGTTGTTGGTGGGCTCTGCCCAGTACCTCCTGTGGAGGGGCCACTGCTGGGCCTTGGGCATCAGTCCCGTCCCTGAGAGCTGAGCCCGCCCCCCCCACCCAAGCTCAGCTCCCTTGAGAAGGCACCAGGAGTGGGGTGTGTGCCGCACTGTGGCCGCGGCTGCCATCAGAAGTCTCGGTCCACGTAGAGCCCTGGGCCCTGTGCAGACGCTCCTAGCCTGGCCGCTCAGGGCCGCTGGCCACCTAGCGACTTGCCCAGTTCCCCCTCCTGCTGGAGCTCCCTTGGTGCCACTGAGGGATCTGGAGGGGCTCCTTGTCTGTGGGGCAGGAGCTGCGTCCCGCGCCCCGGGTCACCTTGTCCAGTCTGCTTTTTTCCCTGTTGTGTGACCGGGCTGTGTGGGCACTCCCTGCCTCAGTCTACCTACCTGTATGACGCAGGTGGGCAGGAAATGGTGCAGGTGGGAGAGTCTGCGGTCCAGCCTTGCTGTGACACAGTAGCATCTCACTGTCTTGCAGAATAAAGCAACTCGGGCATGTGACCTCGAGGCCACTGTGTGCCTTTGTCACTCAGGCATCCCTGGCATGAGTCACCACCTTAAGGTCAGGGACCCAGGACCTCTGAACCCCTTCTCACTGCTGCGTTTCCGTCCAGCCCCGTCTGCAGCCTGAGTCCTCCGTAGTGACTGTCCAGGATGTGGGGCCACCCCGCCCACTGGGGAGCAGCTCCATGCAGGCGGGCGGCCCTGGTGGCTCACCATCACTCCCAGGACCACAGCTGCCTGGAGGGGCACAGCAAGCGTGCCAGGCAGGTGGGGGATTAGGAGGTGGATGGAGTTTTAGGAAGCAGCTCAGCCTTCGGGAGGCCCAAGTCCAGGCTGCCGCGCAAGTTCAAGAGCCTTTTTCTGGTAGCTGGGAGCGAGCTTCGTCTGGCACTGGCTCTCAGGGCCCTGCTTGCCAGAGCCTTTCCCGACCGATGAATTCAGGGCTGCACGGTTGCTGCGTGCGGAGCAGACGTGGACGCTCTCGTGTCGTCATGTCGAGCCACAGGTGCTCTTGGGATTTCAGGAACATGACTCATTTTATTTTGGAACTTAGAAATAGAAATATTTTTGGAGGCGAACGAGGAAGCAGAAAACAGCAGCTGTTCGGGCCGCGTGTTTTGCTTTTGTGGATGTGCTCAGGATTGCTTTGGGCCTCGTGCCCTGTGCTGAGAACTGCAGAGTGGACCTCAGCCTCCCTGGGTCACCTGGGCTGGGGCCACAGGCAGCAGTGGGACATGGGTGGCCCGCCCTTACCTGTGCCCATTGTCCTTGCAGGTGCCTGTGAAGCATGTGTACCGTGTGCTGCAGTGCCAGGAGGAGGAGCTCACGCAGATGGTGTCCACCATGTCCGACGGCTGGAAGTTCGAGCAGGTGAGGGGCCCTGGCCAGCCTGGTGGCAGCCATGCTGCAGCTGAACTTGTGCTCACAATGGCTCAGGGCTCAGTGCTCCTGGAAATGCAGACTTTGCTGCTGGCGTCTTCCTGCAGTTCTGGGGGTGCTCACGGCAGCGACCTGTGCCCTGTTTCCACTGGAGGAGCCTTGGGAGTTCGGGTGGGGTGGGCAGAGGTGTCTCAGGCTCTGCCCCGCACCTTCCCCTCCTCCCTGGCCTGCCTCTTCTTCCCAGCGCTGCGCTTTCTTCGCATCATCTGGCACCTCTGTGTGAGGGAGGGGACTGGCGTCCCCAGAGCCTCCTGGCCAGCCCACTATCCAGCGCAATCCCCGTCCCCCACAGCTCACTCCATCGGAGCATATGGAGGCCCTGACGCCTTTCCCAGGCTGCCTCCCCTTCCCGCCCATGCTGGAAGGTGCTGCCAGGCCCTCGTTGCCTTCTCTCTGGTTTTGGCAAGCTGCGGCGGGTGGGGTCTGATGGGTCTGTGCAGGGCATGCCTTCTTCAGCAGCTTCCACGGAAGCCACCTGAGTGCTGCATGGGCCACTGTGCCATGGCATTGTGGCTTGTCATCGGGGACCTCAGGACACGTGAGGCATGGCCTCTGACCGGGGGGCCCTTGCCCACGACCTGGCTGCCACTGTTCCTGGTGCTAGACAGACACTGAGGGTGGGGACAGTGACCTCACCCAGCCCTCCCTGTCCTGAGTTTCCTCTGTCACTTGCTTCTGTCTGGGGCAGGTTCTGTCCATGGCCCAGTGCGCCTGCCAGGTTGTGGGAGTGACAGGCTCAGCCAGTGTCCCTCTGAATGAAAGCTACCTTTTCCTTGGAGTCTTTCAAAATAATAGATCACATTGTAGGGTACTTGGAGCCCCCCCCCCCTTAAAATGTCACTAAAAACATTTGTGTCCCACCGTCCACCCTGGACCCCTAGGCCGGGGGCCGGGGTGACTCTGGGTCTCTGTGCTGACAGGGCTGCTGACCAGCTGCTTGGTCCCTGCCCTGCACCTCATCAGAATCGTGCCAGAGCCTCCCACGGGAACAGAAATCTTTGCTGCTGGGCGAGCCCCACCTCCCAGTTGTCCCTTGGTGGGGCTGGGGCCCTGGGAAGCCGTGTCAGCAGCTCGGGGTCCGCGAACAGGGCTGTCCCCATGTGGCACCTGTGCTCTTCTGCCACCGTCTTGTGACTTCTGGCTGGGAGGGAACAATGTCTCCTGCCCGTGGTGGGCACCTGCCTCCCGGGGCAGCTTCAGGTCTTCGACCTTAGCACTTCTGGGTGGATTCCAAACCCATTGCAAAGAACGGGTGTCCTCCCCCTTCCTTGATTACGACCTGCTTGGCACGCTTCATCCCTTGGGGACCCCTTCTCCCAGTTCATGTAGGGAAGCCGCTGGGCTGACCAGCTGTCCCGGCTGTGGGGTGGGACCCTGCGGGGTGCTGGGAGGTGGCCAGACCGGACCCAGGGTCCCCAGTGGTCAGCAGGGGATTGCAAGCAGGGCTTGGAAGTGGCTGTGAGGACACAGGGGCTCCGGGGGGCATGGCCGTGAGTGCTCCCAGGGGTACCCTTAGCTGCTTGGGCCCATGCCGGCACCCCTGTGGCCGCCTCACTGGGCTGGGTCCACTGCTGCCCACTGGGTCAGCCGCCAGCTATACAGGAGCAGCAGGTAGCTGCGGGCTGCTCTCCCGGCCGTTGGTCCAACTGCGCAGGTCTTAGAGAGGCCAAAGTGTGAGCCTCGTCCAGCTGCTTTTTGGCTTGGTCATCTGCTGCTGTCATGCTTATTGTGATTTGCGTATTGCCTTTTAATTTTCCCTTTAAAAGCACAGAAGTGCCTGGTGGCCCAGGGTAGCCAGCCATGGGCCAGATGCCTGGCCAGAGAGACAGGTTGGCCCTGGACCTGCATTGGCCTGGCCTGCCTGGTGACCCGGAGGGAGGCAGGTTGGAGTGGCCTAAGGGTGTGGCCAGCAGGCTGCAGCAGACCCGCCCTGGCCGAACTCCTGGACAGCACAGCTCCTCCAGCGGCTTTCGGTCCAGTCAGCTGGTCCCAGGCTCTTCCCTCCAGGTTTTCAGAGCCGCCCTCCACTCTCCTCCCGCTGCCCCCCTCCCTCCGCCCCAGCTCAGGGACCCGTCTGTGCTCCGTCCCCCTGGGGCAGCAGCCCCTTTTGGCCCAGCTGGAAGCGCCAAGGAAAGCTCAGGGTCCTCACAGAGGAAGAGCTCGCCCCATGCCATGCCACGGCGTGGGGTGCCGCCCCGTGTGCTCGTGCAGGTGTTCCGGGGATTTGTTTTCCATCCATTTCCTGAAGCGTCGGCAGTCTTTGCTGTGGCTTTCGCGGTGGCAGGCGCGTCCTGAGGCTGGTCATGTCAGCCTGGCTGGGTCTCTCAGGCTTCACTGGGCTGCGTCTCAGGCTATGTCTCCTTGCAGTTGGTCAGCATCGGCTCCTCTTACAACTATGGGAACGAAGACCAAGCCGAGTTCCTCTGTGTGGTGTCCAAGGAGCTGCACAACACCCCGTACGGTACGGCCAGCGAGCCCAGCGAGAAGGCCAAGGTGAGTGCTGGGCCGGCCCTGGCCTGGGGCAGTCTTGGGTGGGGAAGGCTCTTGCCCTCTCAGACCTTCCTCCTTTTCTGCCATTCTCATCAAGCTCCCGGTGTCCGCCCCTGGTGGCCTTGCTGACTTCTTGGACACACGGTCTCCCGTGGGACAGGTTCTCTCGACACAGGCTCCCAGTAAGCCCCTGCGGCCTCCCAGCCTGCATGCAGAGCTGCTCCTGGAAGGGGCCCCAGGCCTGCTGCAGGGGCCATGCTCTTAGGAATGCCACTGAGGGCTGTGTCTCAGGGGACCCAGGGTCCTCTGTTCCCCGGGCCCAGCCTCTGCTGTGTGAGTGAGGACTTGGGATGCTGAGGCCTGGCTGTCATAGGGGTCTGGGCCATCCCTGAGTGCAGGGACATGGGGGTCCAGTTGTCGTGGTGGGGGTCTGGGCCATCCCTGAGTGCAGGGGTGGGTACCCTGGCTCAGCCACTACGTGGGCCTCATCTTTGTCGAGAGGAGGGTGTCCTGCAGGCCCTGGGATTCTCAGGCTGCACAGAGTAGGCCCTTTGCGGCACCCAGCCTGGCAGCACCGGCGCAGACTCTGCGGGGGCTCAGGCCCTTCTGTTTTCTGCGGGGCAGGCAGCTGGGGTGAAATGCAGGGACCCCTGCCTCGTTTGCTTTCAGGTTGGCCCTGTGGCCCTGCCCACAGGTGACCCATTCTGGTGGCATTTCCTCTAAGCACGTTCTTAAGGTTGAGGCTCCAAGATGGACAAATGCGTCCATCCAAGCAGAATCTGACCTTGGCCTGGGCCAGCTGCACCTGGCAGGACTCCCGGACCTCAGAGCCAGGTGGTGGCTGGAGAGCTCTTGGCTGGGGTCTGCGTGGGTCTGGGAGAGCCTGGGTGGTGGGGCGGGCTCTGTGGGGAGCCAGCCTGGGGCGAAGGCTCGGGGCATTGGCAAAGGGTGTTGAGTGGGTGCCATGAGAGGCCAGAACCGGAAGGCTTTTAACTGGTGGCATTAAACCAGGGACACCTGGGCAACCGCAGACTCTTGGCTGGGGGCCTCTGGCCGGCCACCAGCAGCCCAGGACTGTCCCCGTGAGCCTCTCCGAGTAGGCCTTTGGAGGTATGCCCTTGGGAACAGAGGGGTGGGGCCGCCAAGCATGTCTCTCGGAGGCCTGCGGCCAGCTCACGGCAGCCTTTCCACCTCAGGCGACTGTCCTGGCCCAGAGCCTCCCTCGCTGGCCACCCGTTGTGCTCTTGCTGTGGGCAGAGGCCAGTCCTGCTCCACTGCCGTTCCTCGAGGCCGAGGCAGTGTAGGCTGGGGCAGGCCCTGGTGTGGGACAGCCGGGGTGGAAGCTGGGGTTCCACCGCCAGGCTCGGAGATGCTCTTCCATTTGAGTCTCGGATCTAGGAGGCGACCCCTGGCTCCCTGAGAGCCCCAGCTCAGTCACAAGGAGGCACTTCTCTTCCTCTTGGAGCAATCGTAGGGCTCTTTTCTAAATGGTTTTATTTTTAGAAGTTTTTTATTTCTGAGCTGAGTTTTTATAACCAAGCTCCCCTGGGCTCCTATCCCTCAGGTGGCTTGGCAGCTGCAGAAAGGACACGCTCTGTACTGTGAGGAAGCTCCAGGCATGACCCCAAATCCCTTTGTGGTTGAGAATGTGGCCCTATTTCATTTTCCAAAAATACCTGCTCTGAAGTGGGGCAGCTATGGCGGCTTCTTGATGGGGGTGGTGTCAGCAGTGCCCCAGGAGGCAGAGCTCAGGCCAGAGCCTCAGGAGGCCGTGGGGGATTGCGGGGGCCAGAGCTGGAGGACCGTGATGGGGGCACCCCTGGCTGGGCTGCGCAGGGCCGCATGGGCTGTGGGCCCTCGTCGCTGGTGTCCCTGCAGCATGTGTGGCCTGGCCCTGCTGGGCAGCTGTCCCCCACTTCAGTCAGCGGCGGCGGGAGAGCCTGGGTGGTGGGGCGGGAGGGGTTGCACCTGTAGCAAGTGAAGGCGGTCCACACATGAGCACACCTGCTTCCCACGCCAGTCCCTCAAGAACTTGCTAGAAGGACTCGCAGAGCTCACTGAGAGCGCTTAGACTCAAGGCCGCCATTTATTCCCAAGGAACAGAGAGAGACAGGCTCAGATCAGCAAGGGCGGGCACCTGGGCAGAGGCCGGGGTCTCCCAGTGCCTGGGCGGCTGAGGAGGGGGTTCCTTGGTGGTGTTGGGGCTCCATTGCGTAGCCATGCTCGATGGGTGCATCCACCGCCTGCCCCCGTGGCTGATCCCTCCTGTGACCCAGGGCCCCACCCTCCCTCCTGCAGCAGTGGGGCCAATGCAGTGGGGTCCACAGAGCCCACGCAGCAGAGGCCCTCCTATCAGGCCGAGATCTGTGGGCTAGCGCCGCCTGCCAGGAGTGGGGCCAGAGGCCAGGCGCCTCTGGACAGGGTTCAGCCCCTCAGCACATGGTGGGACAGGACCAGCCCCGGATCGCAAGATGCAGCCGCCTCACACGTGGAGGTTTCCACCTCTGAGATGTGGCAGAGCCCCTGAGCCTGTGTGTCCCCTCGTGGCGTGGCCTCACTGGAAGGTCACCGGGCGTGGGGGTTTGGGCCCGGGGCACCCGCCCACCCGCACTGTCCTGACAGCCTGTCTTCTCCCCCACTGCGCGCTGCACGCCGCCAGAGTGACGACGAGGACCAGGGGCACCCAGGGAGTGGCTCAGATTAAGTGTGAATGTCATGGTGAGCTCCGTGGCCTCCTTGACCCCATGGCCCCAGCTGACCCTTGCCACAGACCCTCCCTGTGTGTCTGTCCCTGCCTGTAGTTGACGAGAGCCGTCCGCACTCCATGCCAGCTGTAGATCCTCAGTAGCACTGTCTTGGTGGTGGGGCTGTTGCTGTGAGGCAGATGCCCAGGGGCAGTGTTGGGGCGTTTGTTGGGATGACTGGAGGGTGCCCGTGCCAGGCCAGGCTGTGGACATCAGTGGTCGTGAACCCAAGAGCCCCTCCTGGGGGCTGGGCAGGGAGTGCCACTCGTGCCGCCAGCCCTAGTGGGTGACCTTCCTGTCTGGCTTAGGCCACAGGCTCAGGGCCAAGGGGTCAGGACCAGTGCGGCAGACAGCAGACCCCTATCTCAGCTGCCAAATCCTGCGGCATCCCTGATGCGCTTAAGCCTCCCAGGCCAGCCGTGTCCTGCAAGCCCCTCAGCCACCCGGGCCTGCCTGCCTGTGGGGGTGTCTGGCCATGGGGTACAGCCTCAAGGGCCCCCTGGTTGGTGTCTGCAGTTGGACCTTCCTGTGGAAGATGGCCTAGGGAGACAGTGTGTCCAGAAAAGATGGGTCTCACCCCAGGCTCTGTCTAGAGTAGCCCGTGCTGCTCCCGGCCTTGGGAGGGCGAAGGACAGCACTTTGGCTGCAGGTCTCCAGGGTGTCTCCTGCCCTCATCAGGAGGGAGCTGTTGGGGCTCCCGGATGCTCAGATGCCACACTGCTCCTGGCCTGTCCGCTGCGCTACTTAGTTTTACACAGGGCTGGTGGGGGCTTGGGGGCTGCACTGTCTCCCCAAGTCAACTCCAGACATCCCAGTAAACTTGGGAATCACCCTGGCCCAGGGAGGGACGTGCTGCCCCTCGCACAGGGGGATGGGCTCCTCCGAGGCACTGGAGAGTGAGTGGGAGCCTCGAGCTAGAAGTGGTCCAGGGCACTGAGCCTGGGGGGCACCCGCCTGGGAACGGCAGAGCTGTTGGGGGGTGGAGTATTGGAGTCAGGCTGAGCAGCTCAGGGGACGTGGCCTCCAGGAGCCTTCGGAACAAGCCTGGGGTGGCATGCACCTCTCACCACTGCCCTCTCTCCGGTCAGTGCGGCATGGCAGTGACCTCTGGGAGGCTGTGCCCGGCGAGGGCGTGGGCGTTGCTGCCCTACCTGGTGTTGGGCAGCCCTCACGTGACACATGGAGACAGCTGTTGTGGGCCACGCACAGTGAGGCTGGCTGGCTCCGAAGCTCTCTGCTCGGGAGCGTGGGGTGATTTCCCCTCCACCTGGTCTCTGGAGCTGCCATGGCTCATTTTGGGAGTTCACCTCAGCAGCATTGGCCAGCGCCTGAGCCTGTCCTCAGGGGAGCCCAGGCCGACTTGGGGGTGGCCTCAGGGGGTTCCTGGACACTGGTGAGGGAAGTGGGGAGGGTACCTTGAGGAAGAGTTTTGAGGAGATTGGAGGGTGGGGAGGGCAGGGGGCCGAGGGGCCGTGGGCTCTGCAGGGCTGACGTGGTACAGATGAGGAGGGGATCCCCGCAGCGTGATCTGCACTTGGGGTAGGGCCCTCTGAGGGCTGGTGGTTGTTCCATGGGGCAGTCGGGAGGGGCCAGCACATGAGGTGGGCTGGCCAGGCTGAGGTGCAGGGCCGAGGGCTTGGGTGAGGGGCATCTCCAGGAGGGTCCGGGCGTCGGGGTGGGGGTGGGGGCTGCAGTGGGCATGGAGGAACAGAGGGAGAGACTTAATTGGGGAGGGGGGACTGGACTGCTGAGGGACCCGCGGGCCGAGTTGCGCTTCATGTCTGAGGCCCAGGACTGAGTGGGCTGAGAGGCCCAAGAGTCAGCGCCTTTGGGTGGGTCTGGGAGGGGCTGCCATGCACAGTGAGCGCTCCCTGTGTGGGGCCTGGAGATGTGCCAGACACCCCGGTGAAGGTCCTGGGCCTGCCAGCTGAGTCCCCAAGACCCTGGCCAGTGCCGCTGGGTTCCCGGGGCTCCCCGAGCTAACCCCAGGCCTGTGGGCTCTGTTTTCTGGAGCAGGCGCCTGGTCAGGGACACCTCCTCAGCCCAAGTCCTCATTTTATGCATTTGGTGTTTTTCAGATTTTGCAAGAACGAGGCTCAAGGATGTGAGGGACACAGTATTGACAGCTGAAGAAATGATTTACGTTTTCCCGAGATGTAATGAACTGCCATGTCCAGGAAGCTTGGCTGTGAGAAGAAACCTGCTTTTGATCATTTTTCTAGAGATCTGGGTGTGAATCCTTTTTTGCCTCTGAGGTGGGTGGTGAGAGACGGGCCCAGCTGTCCAAGGCCAGACGTCCCCAAGTTGGGGGAGCACGGCGGCCGGGTGGGCGCTGCCTCTTGGGGGGGCCTCGCTCTGTTTTTTCCAAGTGCCACGTGGGACTGAGGCAGACACTCCCAGTCAGCCCGCTCGATCCTGAAGATCGTGTGAAGGAAGCGTTCTTGGTGCTACACACAGTCTGGAAAAGCAGCCTGGGCTTCACTGGCAGGAAGCGGCCGCAGCCGCGTCAGTGTCCAGCACGTCGTGGCCTCTGGTCCGACCACCAGGCCCTAGTCTCGGTCAGGGAGTCTGCTCTGCCTCCCAGGCGGGATCGCTGGTTTCTCTCGACCTCGCAGAGCTCCTGACAAAGGCGGCTTCTGCGTCGTCACTGCTTCCCGGCGCCATTCCGAGGCCGGGCCTTCTTCTGACACGGGCTCCAACCCCACCTGACCAAGCCCGGGACAGTCAAGGCTTCTCAATTTGTATTTTCCAGGCAAGAGAACTTTGTACCCCTTCTCTGTGTGGATAGACTCCCCAGCGTTTTTCCTCTGGAAATGCCCACAGGGCTTGCCGCGTGGAGACTGATCTGTTCCATCCGTTAGCGCGAGGTAGCAGTGTCGCCTCGCCCCTCCCACTGCGGGCTCACGGGGAGCTGGCGTCTGTCAGTGCCTTGTCACGCCTGGCATAGAGGTTGGGCTGGAGGCCTGTCCACTGGCTTCTGGAGCTGAAGGTCTGCGTCACGGTGAAAATTCGGGATGTTTACAGAGCATCACAAATGCCTCTCTCTCGCCGCTCTCTCATTTTCTTTGTATAACTATGCAGCCTTCCCTCTCTTTCTGGGATGTTTGGGACTTCACTCGACCTGCACGGGCTCTGCCCGACATGCCGTGGGAGCTGCTGGGATTCCTTTAGAAACCGCTGCCCGCATGCTTTGAAAACAGACCTTTCTCAGCTGGCTGTGGGGACCTGTCAGAGTCTGGGGACTCGGCGTGCAGGGCGGGCTCCAAGCGCTTTGCTTCCGGAACTCCGGCTTCCCAAGGGGTACTGTGCAGACTGACCACCGGCCTCCCGCCTGCAGGTCAGAGGCTCTGACACTGTCTGGTTTCCAATGCTTCTGGAGACTTCCTGCCTAGGCCTCATCCTCCTCTTTGCCAGTCACCTGATTAACCAATTCTCCAGCATTAGGACTTACCTCCTTCTTTTTGTAAGGTCTCTTGTATGTTGTTAAATGTTTGGCTTAAACAATTTATAAAAGCCTTTCTAGAAGGCAGACTTAGCCCCAGCAGAGCCTGGGAGGAAGGCGGCCGCTGGGGCTCCTGGGCATCCTCTCTGGGGAGCTGCTGGCCGCTTAGCGTTGTTTGATTTTTGACCTTGACATAGTAGATAGGCTTGTGGTTTTTTTAATTTAAAGATATTAAGACTTAATTCACTAAAATTTATTCTAAGGGGATATTTATACTTTTATACTTTTTTAGGTATCGTATTTTATCAGCTTACAGTTTAATGCCTAAGTTTCCCCTGGAAATAGCAAATAAAATTGTGTATTTATGAATGCGCGTAGTAGCTGTTTATGGTCTTAAGATGCAGGGGAATGCCACCCCGGGTCGCTCGGACCAAGGTGCTGCCCCTCCAAGCCGCCCAGCCCCACTGGCCGCGGCGGCTCACTCAGGGCTCTGCCTCTGCCTCTCAGTCGATGGCCAGGGCGGAGCTGGGCCATCCACGGGGTGCCGGCTTGGCCAGGGTCACTGGATCAGAGCTGCACGGCCCATCCCTGCACCCCACTCTGCCTGGACCCCTCACCTACCTCCAGCAGATAGCATACCCCCATCCCGGGAGACCGGAGACCATGTACAAGGGCCTTTTTTTTTCCTTAAGAGACAGGGGTCTTGCTATGTTGCCCAGGCTGGTCTTGAACTGCTGGGCTCAAGTGATCCTCCTGCCTCAGCCTCCTGAGCAGTTGGGATTACAGGCGTGAGCCATTGCGCGCGGCTCAAGTGATGTTTTTTTGAAAGTCCTGATACCTCAAGTTAGCATCCACCTCTCTTCCCTCACTTTAGCCTGCAGCCTGGGTTGTGACAGCAGGAGCTTCCCGAGAAGGTCCTGGGGTCCCGGCACCCCCTCGCCAGCTGCTGTGACTCCTCCTGGTGGCTGCTCCACGAAGCCTTGGCTGTTGGACTCCCCGCCCCCCCGCAGGGAGATTCCCATTCACGGTGTCCCCCAGGGCCTGGCTGTCTGAGGTCACAGAGCCTCAGGCTGTAGTGGCCTTGTCCATCCTGTTTCCAGGTGTGTGGCTGGCCCAGCCTGACCCCAGGGCCCTGGTGAGGGGTGGAGTGGGTGACTGGGCTTCTGGGTGCCCAGCATGAGGCCGGCACGGGGCTTGGAGTAGGGGAGAGACCCAGTTTCTGCTCCAAGGGGTCTTCCCGCTGCCCGACTCCCACCAGGAGCCTGGCTAGGCCTTACAGCCCCTTGACCAGGTAGAGTTGTGGGCACTTGGGAGAAGCCTCAGCGTGGCAGGCGTCCCCAGCCAAAGCCCGGAGCAGGTTTCCCATCCAAGCAAAAGGCTGTAAAGGAGACAGGCCCTGCAGTTTGGGTCCTGAAGCCGAGGATGCTCAGGGCCGCTGGGTCTGCTGGGCAGGGAGGGAGCCCTGTTCCTCCTCAGACCTTGGGCTCCAGCACAGCCCGCCCGCTGTGGGGACTGGGGCCCAGCCCTGTGGCTCCAGGAAGCCAGCGTGGGGGCAGAAGAGGAGGCAGGGGCGGGGCACATGCAGGTGCCCTGCGTGGGTGCCCGTCCTCCCCAGGCTTCCTGTAGAGCCCATGACTGGAGCCCTCCAGCGGCTGGCACCACCCTCCTTGACATCCCTGCATTTATTGGTGTCCACTCAGCAGGGACTTCTAGCACCCTCCTTCCTCCTAAAGCTCGTGGCAGTGGCCGGCTGGGGCGATGAAGAGCTGACCCCACAGTGCAGCCACCAAGGCCCTGACGTGGCATCTGTGTGAGGGACGATGACTTCCGGCACCTCTGCACTGAGCCGTGCCCCCCAAGATGGGTCACTTTGCCCTCAGACCACCTCTTCCTCCCCAGTGTTCCCAGGCCTGGGGCTCGGCACAGGGAGGCCTGGCCTGTGGCTGACCCCTCACCGCAGTTCTGGCCCGAATGGAGCCCACAGACTTCTTTCCTGGGGCTCCCGCTCCTGCTCTGTGTGTGTGTGTGTGTGTGTGTGTGTGTGTGTGTGTGTGTGTGTACCTACTGGCTGTACATGGTGTGGGTGTGGTGTGTGCCTGTGTGCACATGGTGTGTGTGGCATGCACATGTGTGCTGTATGTGATGTGTGGCATGTGGTGTGTGCTTGGTATGTGGTGTGTGCCTGTGTGTGGCATGTGACATGCATGTGTTGTGTGTGCCTGTGAGTGGCATGGGAATGGTGTGTGTATGTGTGCACATGGGCCAGCTGAGCCTGGGGATGAAGGCTGCCGCCCGCTCTGCCTACCTCCCTGTGAGCCACAGAATGTGCGCGGGCCTGTGCCAGGCTCTCCCTCGAGTCCCTCCTGGAGCTGGCAGGGGCCCTGCTGCCGCCCACCTGGCAGATGGCTCAGAGCCCTGCTTGGCAGCAGCGTGCAAAGTCTGAGCTGCACCCCCGCCCCAGGATGGAAAAGGGACCTGTGGCAACCTGGACTATTCCCTTCCTAACGTCCTTCTCACGGCATGCTTCGTGGGAGCTGTTAATTGCATGAAATAGCCCTGTTTTCCCTTCTCAACCCCTAGTCTCTGTAGAGAGTGTTTTCTGCTCCTCTCCCACGGGCATCTGCCTGTTGACATCCTGGGTCTGGGTGGGGTCTCAGCACAAAGACAGCAGGGGCTGCCCTCCCTAGACCATCTAACCTGTAGCCTCCCCTCTGACCACGGGGGCCTGGGGCTCCTTGCACAGCCCAGAGCAGGGTGCAGGTTCACCCAGGGCTCTCCGAGGCTGGGAGGCCTGGCCAGTCCCTGCTTGGCTAGGACCACCCAGTGCTGCTCCCTGGGCCTGCCTCTCCCTCCACCTGGGCTTCGTGCATCTGCTCCCCCATGGGGCTGTGCGCACAGGCCCCCCAGACCTGCCCACCCACCCCTGGGCTGGAGGAGTGCAAGAAATGGCCCACGGGGGCCACTGGGCAGCCGTTGGGGAGATGGGTCGGGCCCAGCGGGGAATTCCTTCTGTTTTGCTCCCCACGGTGTCCCCAGCAGCTGCTTGCTGAGTGGGTGTTGGTTTGATTCCTTGGTGGACACTCAGGGCCTGATTTCTTCCTGCCGCTGTACAGGCCACGGTGCCTGTGTGTGTGTGCACGGGTGCGTGTGGGTGTGATGTGCATGTCCAGCCTAATCCCCTTGCCACCACGCACTGCTCTGGACTCCTGCATGGGGGTGGAGACTGAGGGATGGGGCGGAGGAAGAGGAGCCAAGGGTCAAGGGGAGACGCCGGGGCACAGGGAGACGAAGGGTGCCAGGAGCAGTGGAGCAGGAAAGCACAGGTGTGGGCACCCACTCCTGCCGAAGTGGTTTAGAAAAGTTGGGTGGCCCCGAGACACGGGCAGCCGGAAGTGCAGGCTTGGGAGGCTGAGGTGCCCCCGCCCAGCCAGTCCCTCCATGCCCTCCTCTCGCCCCGGCACAGCTCCTGCATGGCCCTGAGGCTCTTTCCACCTGTGTCCGTCGCTGTCCCCAGTGCCAACCCTGGGGCGGCCTTTAAGGTGAGAGAACAGAGGCACAGGTGGCAGCAGGTGGCCTCCTGTGCGGGGCCCGTGACAGGGGTCCCATACTCTGGTGCTGTCCTCGCCTCGGGCACCAGCTGCAGCTCCCTTCTGCTGATTCAGAGATGACCAGAGCACTCCGCATCTCCCACCTGGGCTTCATCCTGCAACTCACAGCTCCTCACCCGCCGGGGTCCCCCAAGGATCCCCACGTGGGCAGCTGGCACACAGGCTGGGTTTTTATTGGGAGAAACATAAATAAAATAAGGGTATTTGAGAGGGGAGGAAGGAGCGCTATTTACAAATGAGTCTGGTGGGGCTCACAGGTGCAACAGCAGCGCTGGGAGGACCAGCAGGATGGTGTGGGCGGGCAGGCTGGGTGCAGAGCTCTGCTCAAGGGGCTCCTGGCCCCGGGGGTCTCACTTCTGGCCGCCCAACCTCGCTGGCTGGAACTGCAGTTTGGGGATGATCCGATGGATCCAGTTGTGGTGGGCGGTGACACGGATGTAGACACCTGGGCGGTTCTGGCGGGCACAGCCCTCACCCCAGCTGATCACCCCCGCCTGCAGCCACGACTGACCCACGAGGCACACCAGGGGGCCGCCCGAGTCGCCCTGCGGGGGACGCAGAGTCACCGTCAGAGCCCACCTTGAGTTCCCAGAGACTCAGTTGCAGCCGCACAGGAGGTGTGTAGCTCCGCAATGGATTCCTTCTCTCCATCCCAGAGCCTCTCTGCCCGGCTCCCCATCCCCTGCCAGTCCGATTGTCTAAAGTGCCTATTCTTTAGTGTCCCCAGATCAACTAGGGTGTGTGTGTGTGTTGAAAATGCAGTTTCTTGTGCCCCACCCCAGACCCACTGACTCTGATCCTTCTGGGGTGGGGTCCAGGAATCTGCTTTTTCTTTTTTTTTTTTATTGAGACGGAGTCTTGCTCTGTGGCCCAGGCTGGAGTGCACTGGCGCGATCTCGGCTCACTGCAAGCTCCGCCTCCCAGGTTCGCGCCATTCTCCTGCCTCAGCCTCCCAAGTAGCTGGGACTACAGGCGCCCACCACCACGCCTGGCTAATTTTTTGTATTTTTAGTAGAGATGGGGTTTCACTGTGTTAGCCAGGATGGTCTCCATCTCCTGACCTTGTGATCCACCCTCCTTGGCCTCCCAAAGTGCTGGGATTACAGGCGTGAGCCACCACACCCGGCCCTGGAATCTGCCTTTTCAAAACAAGCTGCTCAGCTGGTTGAATGCATAGCCCATGGAGCGGGGCATGATCCCACCCTGCCCTGGGCCTGGCGGTGGGGACTGAGTCCCCATGGACACCACATTGCTCCCACCTTGCAGGCATCCTTCTTGCCCTCCTCGAAGCCGGCGCACAGCATGTCATTCTTGATGGTTTTGGGTTGGTAGCCAAACTCGGTGTCTTTGCTGTAGAGCAGGTTGCACTTGGGTGTGTCGATGATGGGCACAGCGAGTTTCTGCAGGATCCGCGGTTCGGGCAGGAGGTCTGGAGAGGGGCGGAACAGCCCAGGGCTCAACGGACTTCCTCATCAAGAACCCACGGCCCCGGGAACCACCACTCCATCCTGCCTGTCGTTTCCTCATGTTTAGACCATCTCTGGCTTAGGGCACTGTGGGGCAGACATCCTCCCTCCTTCCAGGCAGCAGGCTGGGCCCTTTCTGTCCCCCTCTCCCTTCACCCCCTCTTCCTTCTGGGTCTGCTGCTGCTCCCCTCGGCCCCACCTGTGTGAACAGAGACCGTGTGTATGTATTAATATAGCAACAGGAAGATTGTGGGTTCAGAGTGGTCCCCAAGCCGTCCTGGGCCTTCTTGAGGCATATCCCCCATTCTTTCCCAGCCCTGTCCCCTTACCTTCCTCACTGGGGCTGCCCCAGCCAGTGACCCAGCAGTTCATGCCCGTCTCAAAGATCACCGAGGGGTCAGGCAGGCACACGGGGAGGATGTAATTGGTGAAGGGCACTGGTGCCTCCAGCTCCACCAGGGCCACGTCAGCGCTGGAGGCCGTGCCCTGGTACAGGGGGTTGCTCTCCACCTGCCTCACCCGGGCATACATAGCGTGTGGTCCCGGCTGCACTAGCTGCCTTGCCCCCAGCAGGACCTGGTACAGGGACGTCTCAGAGGTGCTGGCGGGAGAAACAGAGAGGCGGCGTGAGGCGGCCCCTCGTGTGGGGACAGGCCCGGGAGGGGCTGGGGCTCCTCTGGCCACCACCGTGCCCCACACCTCTCTCTGCACAATGTCTTCGAGAGTCATCTCTAGGACAGCCAGGTGCAGCGGTGATGCGTGTTGACATTGAAGCCAGACCGCCCGACTCAGATTTCCACCTCCACCCCTGGCCGCTGTGTGGCCTTGGGCAAGTCACTTAACAAGTTCTCTGTGATGCAGCTTTCTCACCTGTGCTGTGGGGACAGTCACAGTGCCTACCTGAAAGGCTGGCTCGGAGAGAACCACCCTCCAGGTGCAGCAGGGCCAGCCCCACCTGCGGGCCTCTGGCAGGTGACCTGCCCTCTCTCAGCCCGAGTTTCCGATTTTTTTTTTCCCCTAGAGACAGAGTTCTCATTCTGTCACCCAGGCTGGAGTGCAGCAGTGCAACTGTAGCTCACTGCAGCCTCCAACTCCTGGGCTCAAGCCATCCTCTCGCCTCAGCTTCCTGAGTACTTGGGACCACAGGCACCACTGCACCTGGGGTTTTTTTGTTTGTTTGTTTTTTGTTTTTTAATTTTTTTTTATTTTTAGTAGAGACAGGGTCTTGCTGTGTTGCCCGGGCTGGTCTTGAACTCCTGGGCTCAACTGATCTGCCCGCCTTGGCCTCCCAAAGTGCTGGGATTACGGGTGTGAGCCACCGTGCCTGGCCGTGAGTATCTGAATTTAAGATGTGGGGTTTTTTTTGTCATGATATTCTTTTAAAGATCAAGAAGAAAAAAAAGAAAAAGATGTGGGGTTTAAAATAATTAGAGCTGCGGTGTTGAGGTGTGAGGTGAGGGGGCCTGGGACACCCGGAAGGTGTGGGACCAGGTGGTTCATACATGGCAGAGGGCTGGGTGGCCTGGCCTCTGCTCAGGGCTTTCTGGGGTGGTTCAGGTGGGTGAGGGGAGGAAGGGCCGTTCTGTCTGGTCCTTGGGCTTTGTGAGCAGAGTTCCTCCCGGGAAGAGTGTCCTGGAGCTGAGGTGTGTGCGGGATGGGGAAAGGCCAGGAGGGGCCGGTGGGCAGAGCCTGCCGGGCCGCTTCTGCAGGGACCCACAGGGAGTGGGTGAGTGGGTGGAGGGGATGGAGGGGGTCGGGGGGCGGTGCGAGGCACCTCCCGCGGGCGGGAGCAGCGGTTGCAACTGGAAGTTAGCCCTGGAGTTGGACCTAAGGGAAGCATCTGGGTGGGAGGGGCTGGACCAGGAGCCCCCAGGGAGGTCACCCGCAGGATTTGGCGCGGCGGGCGCTGTCCACGGTGCTGAACCGGTCGCGCGCGGGGCGCTGTCAGCGCTATGGGCGGGGGCAGGGGCGGGCGGACTCACTTGCGGAAGCAGTGCGCAGCCGTCAGGACCCACTGCTCCGCGATGAGGCTGCCCCCGCAGAAGTGGCTTCCGTTGCGCTGGATGCTGACTTGCCAGGGCCACTCGCCCTCCTGCGTGTCCTGCCCGCCCACCATTCGGTTCAGCATCCTGGGGCGACCACAGGCTGGGGGAGCATGGGGAGCGGGTGGGGGCGCTCACTGGGGCTGGTTCCATGGCCGAGGCCCAGCTCTCAGCCTCACACTCCAGTCCTCGGCCCTCCTGCCCCTGACCTGCCCGAAGACCTTGGGGAAGTCGGAGGCCTGGGCTTCGGGGCAGTCTGGGATACAGGCAGACCCTCCCCAGCTGCCCCCCAAAGTCTCACTCTCCTCGCCGAGAAAGGCAACCTAACACCTGCCTCTTGGGGGCCACGGAGGCACTGAGATAACCCAGGGAAGGGTCTTGTCCCAGGGCCTGACCCAAACAGGTGCCTGGAAGGATAGAACAGGTGTCAAGCCCTCTGCAAGGGAGCCACCCAGAGGGGGCCAGTCACGGTTCAGGGTGATCCTCAGACCCTGCCGCCCTCATCCTGCACCGCGCCTCAAGGCTCTGTGCTGCCCGTCCTGCTCTTGTGTGGACCTTCCTCCTCCTCTCCTTTCTGGGCTCCAGTTCCACACAGCCCCCACTTTCCCCTCCTCTGGAATTCCCCAGTGTCCTGTGCGTTCCAAATTCCCTCTGGCCATGAGTGTCCCTGGCTCAGTCCAGCCGGCTCCTGTCCCTCCCACCCCAGGGCCCTGGGTGCTTACCTGTTGCTGCCTTGGCCCTCTGAGACCCTGGAAGTGAGGAGAGGGTGATCAGCCAGGCCAGCTGCAGCCTGGCCTGCCCTCCCCAACCCTGCAGCCCCTCTCCACTGACCCTCCCCAGCTCCTGAGGACTCCAGAGGGACAGTCCACAGAGGGACCTCACCGGAGAGCCCAAGGGCCTGCAGTTTCCCCCCCAGGGCTGGCTCTGCCGTATGCTCAGGCCCAGGCCCATGGGCCACAGCTTATCTGCAAGGGTGGATGCTCCTTGCCACATGGGGAGCCGGTCAGGAGATGCCAGTGAAGGGATCCCCAGGCTAGATGTCCCCTTCTCATCCTGGAAAGGGTCCTCTCCCTCCACACTCCACACCCATCCTTGTCTGGAAGTTTCTGGGGAGGGTCCAGCCTCCAGCCCTGGCACTGTAAGGTTGGCCTTTCCTCCCGGAACAGCTCAGAGCGGAAGAGGCCCGGGAGCTGTCTCTACATTTGAGCTGCCCAGGGCTCTCTCACAGTCTGCTCCGGAATGAGCTCCTTCCCCAAGTCTCACTTTGGTCCCGAGGCTGAGGCCCGAGCCCCACAGGCTTCTCCCTGGCCTCAGGGGAGTAGAGAAGGTACAGTGGTCTGCATTGGCCACCAGGGATCAGCCTTCTCAAGATTCCAGAGTCCCAAGAGCTGACCCCTCTCCCAGGCATGCAGCAGGCTTGGCAGACGAGGCCCAGGACCCCCTGCTGGGCTGTGCAAGGGGGCTTTGGAGCGGATAAAGTGAGGGGCCCGGAAGAGAAGCAAGATATGGGGTCGTTCGGGGGAACCAAGGATGGGAACATATTTTCTGCTGTCCATTGCCTCCCACACCCCAGGACACAAAGGGCCTCTTGCTGGGCCTTTAACCAAACACTGGAGCCTCTACCCCAGCTTGGAGACCCCAGCCAGGACCATAGTGTACAGCCCCAGGGTAGCAAAGCCTGGAACTTCCTGGCCTTGAGAGAGTCCTCTCACCACCCCTGCACTCCACGCGTCTGATTCTGTGGGGGCAAGATTCGCCCGTAGCTGGGGAGGGGTTAGAACAGCCACCTCCCCACACCTAGGCCCTCAGCTTCCCCTTAACCCCCAGTGCCTTCCGGTGCCCGGGCCAGCTGCTATGGACCATGTCTTCACTCTGCCCGGAAAAGATAACCAGTCCCCTGGAGTTGAGGGGCTGTGGGGACAGGAAGTGGCCATGGAGGGCCCAAGCACCCCCAGGGTTTTTACGGCATCCTCTTCCTTTCTGTCTGCCTCACAGTCTGGGGGGCACCCTCCCCAACACCACTGGTGGGCAGAGACACCCCGGGGGTTGCTGGACGATAAGGCAGCGGGCGGCGAGGGGGCAGCTGTGGATGGGCAGGAGGAGGAGGTGGAGAAGGTGCAGGGCAGGCAAAGGGGTGCCCTGCAGAAGCGGGGTCAGGGGCAACGGGAAATGGAGAGTCTGCCCTGGATGCTCTGCTCATTAATTTGTGCTAATTAAGTGCCCTTTAAAATGCAAACACTACCGGGAGGGTTATTCCCTGGCCCCCCGACCCCTTGCTCCTTCCAAGCCTGAGGATCCTGCTTGCAGAAGGGCGCGCACTGTCAGGCCTTCTCGCTCTCTGGGAGTCTGCAGGAGCTGTGTCTCCATGCTCCCTGCCTGAGCACTGCCCCTTCAGCGATGCCTCCTCCCCATGCAGATCCTTCCTTCCTAAAGTAGCCCTGTACTTCTCATTTAGGCAGAGTCTTCTGGTCTCTGAGTGCTTGCTCCCCTCACCCCACAATCTGGATGCCCTTCCCCCAGTCTCCATAAGTCCTAGTCTTTTTTTTTTTTTTTTTTTTAAGATGGAGTCTCACTCTGTTGCCCAGCCTGGAGTGCAGTGGCGCGATCTCAGCTCACTGCAAGCTCCGCCTCCTGGGTTCACGCCATTCTCCTGCCTCAGCCTCCCGAGTAGCTGGGACTACAGGGGCCCGCCACCAAGCCCGGCTAATTTTTTTGTATTTTTAGTAGAGAGGGGTTTCACCATGTTTGCCAGGATAGTCTCGATCTCCTGGCCCCGTGATCCGCCCACCTCGGCCTCCCAAAGTGCTGGCATTACAGGCGTGAGCCACCGCTCCCAGCCAAGTCCTAATCGTGATCTAGAGATCAAGGCCCAACTGAATGCTGCCTCCTCCAGGAAGCCTTCCTTGCTTGCTTGCATTGTCTACCTTGGAAGCCCTATACTCTCTCTTGAGCTCTCTGTCCTGATGGGAGCTCTGTCTACATCACCCTGGAGCCAGAATCAAGTCTTATCTTAGCCCAGGAGCTCCGAGAAGGCAAGGGCTGCATCTGGGGGGCCTGATCTCAGGGAATGTGTGGATGGACACAAGTGTGGCTGTGGGGGCTGATGGGAAATGGGGGATGTGGACAGCTGAGCCCTTCAGGGTGGGCGCCCTGTGGGGGCTGGAAGCAACAGCCAGGGGTGCCGGGGGTGTCAGGAGCATTGTTTGGGGCCTGGGCCTGTGATTCGCTGGTAGCTGGTGGGGATGGTGAAGCTTAGTGGGTACCACCAGCCAGAGACCTGGTGGGAGTGCCACCCTCGGGCTGGGAGTGAGGACGTGTCCAGGAGTCCAGCCTCTGGTCACAGCTGTTAGTGAACCGACTGCAAAACTCATTGCCAAAGAGTTTTGGCAATGACCTTGGTTCCTCACCCCGCTCAGGGGCAGTCACAGCCTTCCACCTCCTGTGCACATGGCTTGCTCAGAGGGCACCATCCTTGTGCTGGGAGACTGGGGGCATGGGGTGGGGGAGGCCGGGCCACTGAGGGGCCACTGGTGCCCTCCCACCCAGGAGAACAAGGAAGCCTGGAGTACTGGCTAAGCTGCAGCCTGGGATGACCTGACCCAGCCCTGGGAGGTGACTTGAGGACAGGGAAGTGTGGTGGCTGCCAGACTGGCTAGGCTAGCCCAGGAATGTGAGAGGTTTTCCCTGACAGAGAGTGTCCCGGCCCGCAGGGAGGGGCCTGGCAGGTGGGGCCCCCTGGCTGGCACCTGCTGTCCCTGACCCAGGACTGGGAGAGGGCACGGTGGCGCATCACCGGTTCCTCTGTCAGCAGGAGACAGGGCCCTCTGCCACCTACACCCCCTGCCCCCAGCTCTCTACTGAGCCTGCAGCCAGCCTGCTGGGGCTTCCGGGCACAGGCAGCAGCCCTCGGCTCGGCCACCCTCCCACCCCGAGTATGATGGTCCAGGCACTTGGAGCCTGAGTTCACATCCTGCACGTAGGAGGCCCCTGTCCTCACCTAGAGAATGGGGGGAGAGGCCGAGGTGGCAGGAAGCAGGGAGCCTGGCCAGAGCTGGCACACCAGTGCCCGCGGAGAGGCATGGGAGGAGGTGCTGCCCAGTTATGCCGGTGGGGTCCTCTGGGGCCTGTGCGCACACCTCCCACCCTGCCTCCCCACTTTGGACTCCCCACTTGGCACATCTGGAGCCTTCCCACCTGCTCAGGGGCAGGAGGGATGATGGCCTGTCCCACAGCCCCAGCCTGTCCCAGGGAGTAGGGGGCTGAGCCGGAGCCCCAGGCAGTGCAGCGGAGCCTGGTGGGGGACTGCACCACCAGGACCCTGCACCTTCACGACTCACCAAAACACAGCAGCAGCAGGAGCGGCACCGCCGCCGGCCGCCTCATGTCCTCAGGCCTGGCTGGGGCGCAGGGCCGTGGTCGGCGGTGGCAGAAGCGTTGGAGCACGAGCGAGGTGCAGGCTCCATGAAGTGGAGTTTTATGCTGGAGATGAGCACAGGCCCGGCTATGCGGCCCAACCCGTCGGCCCGGCCTGCCCAGCTCCTCTCCTCAGGAAGGAAGCGCCCAGAGCCGACTCCTCCGTGACCTAGCCCTGAACCCCGAGACCCCAGGGCAGACCCCTCACCCCAGCGCAGCACGGGGTGCCGTTGGCCTCGGTTCCTGGACCCTGAGCTGACCCAGACCCCCCAGCAGACCCCGAGCTGACCGCGGTGCACGCGAAGTCCGTCCAGCTTCATTCATTATTATTATTATTATTTTTTTTAATTTTTTGAGACAGAGTCTCGCTCTGTCGCCCAGGCTGGAGCGCAATCTCGGCTCACTGCAAGCTCCGTCTCCCAGGTTCAAGCCATTCTCCTGCCTCAGCCTCCTGAGTAGCTGGGATTACAGGCAGGTGCCACCACGCCCGGCTAATTTTTTGTATTTTTAGTAGAGACGGGGTTTAACCGTGTTGGCCAGGCTAGTCTCGATCTCCTGACCTCGTGATCCGCCCTCCTCGGCCTCCCAAAGCGCTGGGATTACAGGGGTGAGCCACCGCGCCCGGCCTCATTCAGTATTTTATTGAGCGCCGATGGAACACAGTGGGGCTGGGCCGCGCTGGTGGGAAAGTCAAGGCCAGGGGTGTTTGCGGGGCCGAGGGCAGGGGAGGCGATGGGACATGGGGCGGGGTCCGGAGTTGGCCGCAGCGACCCTCCTCCCGGGACAGCAGGCCCCAGAAGTTCCTCAGGCGCGCGCCAGCGCGGCCCAGGCGGCCGACCCGGGCCCCGGCTGCCATCCCTTGGAAGGGGCGGGGGCTTCCTGGCACCAGGCGGGGCGGAAGCGGCTCCGGGAAGGCCGGGCCGGGGTTACCGTTTCGGTGTCCCCGCCTGGCTCTGGGCGCGGCGCCGCGGCGGAAGAGGCTCGGGGAGGAAGTTATTTGGGGCACGGCGCTGACGTCAGAGACAGAGTGGGGCCGGGCCGTGGGGTCGGGGGCGCCGGACCTGTTTCCCCGCCGGCGCCGGGGGTCGGTACTCGCGGGCGGGGCGGGGCCGGGCGGCTCCGGGCGGGGCTGGGGGTGCGGCCGTTCCCGCCTCAGCCTTGTCCGCGCGCGTCGTGGTGCTGCCCTCTGGTGGGCGCGGGGCGCGGCGCGGGCGGCCAGGGGTGCAGAAGGGGCGCTCCCAGCCTCATGGTCCGGGCTCCGGCTCCCCGCATCGCCCTCCCTAGCCCCGCCCTCCCGCGTCTCCGCCTCCGCCTCCACCGCCTCCTCCCACCCTTCCCTCCCCGTCCAGTCCCTGGAGTTCCCGGGTCGGGGGTGGGAGGCGGGCTGGGCAGCCCCTGGGGGTCTGGAGGGAAGGAGGGAGGGCGAGGAGTGGGAAGAGGGGACTCCAAACGTATTCATTCATGTATTGATTTATTCATTCAGTCAGTCAGTCATTTCTGAGCAGATTTGAGCCCAATACTGTCCCCGGTTTGGGGAATACAAAGGTGACCCAAACAGACCTCACCTCAGTGTGAGAGAGAGAACATCATTTAGCAGAGAAATCTCTAATTATAAACCGCGACGGGCTGGGTGCAGTGGCTCACACCGGGAATCCCAGCACTTTGGGAGGCCAAGGCAGGCAGATCACCTGAGGTCAGGAGTTCGAGACCAGCATGGCCAACATGGTGAAACCCCGTCTCTACTAAAATACAAAATTAGCCGGGCTTGGTGGCGGGCACCTGTGATCCTAGCTACTCAGGAGGCTGAGGCAGGAGAATCACTTGAACTCGGGAGGCGGAGATGGCAATGACACGAGATTGCAACACTGCACTCCAGCCTGGGAGACAGTGAGACCCTGTCTCAAAAAAAAAAAAAAAAAAAGGAGAATAATAATTATCAACCACGGAAAGTGTTTCAAAGTGTCTGGGTGACCACATTTCTCCAGCACCCTATGGTCAGGTCACTGATGGGATCTCAGAGGCAGTCTTAGAGCCTCGCAGGTAACTATTTCCTCTTGGCACCTTTCTGTGTGTTCCTTGGTGTCTGCTCCCCAACCCTCCTTTTAAGCCCATTCCTCTAAGGGTGTCTCTGCCTTAAAATCAAGAAAGTGACAAAAGTCAAGATGCAGATCAGGGCCAGGTGCAGTGGCTCACGCCTGTAATCCCAGCACTTTGGGAGGCCGAGGCAGGCGGATCACGAGGTCAGGAGATCAAGACCGTCCTGGCTAACACGGTAAAATCCTGTCTCTACTAAAAATACAAAAAATTAGCTGGGCGCGGTGGTGGGCGCCTGTAGACCCAGCTACTCTGGAGGCTGAGGCAGGAGAATGGCCTGAACCCGGGAGGCGGAGCTTGCGGTGAGCCAAGATCTCGCCACTGCACTCCAGCCTGGGTGACAGAGCGAGACTCTGTCTCAAAAAAAAAAAAAAAAAAAAAAAAGATGCAGATCAGAAAGCGAGGACGCCAGGGAAACTTGGGCTCCTGAAGAACAAGGCACAGCCACGCCAGCGATTAGAGGATCGGGAACCCAGACCTCGCCTCCATGTCCCTGTACCTGGAGCCCACGGACCCAGGGCTGAGAATGGGCCCCTTCCTCATACCACCCACCAAACAAATGAAGAGGGCATTACAATCCAGAAAGATTTTTATGTTTTGTTTTGTTTTGTTTTGTTTTGTTTTGTTTTTTGAGACACAGTCTCGCTCTGTTTCCCAGGCTGGAGTGCAGTGGCACGATCTCGGCTCGCTGCAACCTCTGCCTTCCAGGTTCAAGCGATTCTCCTGCCTCAGCCCCGCTAGTAGCTGGGATTACAGGCCTGTGCCACCATGCCCAGCTAATTTTTGTATTTTTAGTAGAGATGGAGTTTCGCCATGTTGGCCAGGCTAGTCTCGAACTCCTGACCTCAGGTGATCCACCCGCCTCGGCCTCCCAAAGTGCTGGGATTACAGGCATGAGCCACCATGCCCGGCCATGTTTTTAAAATAATCAGTCCCTCCCTTCAAAAATAGAATTGGGGCGGGGTGCCATGGCTCATGCCTGTGAGTCAGAGGTTGTAGTGAGCCGAGATCGCGCCACTGCACTTCAGCCTGGTGGCAGAGCGAGACTCTGTCTCAAAAAAAAAAATTGAATTGGACATTTATCAACTCTCTGGAAGGGGGACAGTTTTCTAAGGTTAGAAGTCATGGCTGGGCATGGTGAAAGGAAGAGGGAAGGGTGCTGGTCAGTAAGCAGCAATAGCCACACACTCTCAGTCAGGTGTGAAAGTGAAATACAGACATTTTTGGCCAGGTGTGGTGGCTCACACCTCTAATCCCAGCACTTTGGGAGGCCGAGGCAGGCAATCACTCGAGTCCAGGAGTTCAAGACCAGCCTGGCCATTGTGGTGAAACCCCGTCTCTACTAAAAATACAAAAATTAGCCAGGCATGGTGGCACACATCTGTAATCCCAGCTACTGGGGAGGCTGACGCAGGAGAATCACTTGAACCTGGGAGGCAGAGATTGCAGTGAGTTGAGGTTGCATCATTGCACTACAGCTTGGGCGACACAGCAAGACTCTTTTTTTTTCTTTGAGACAGAGTTTCACTCTATCGCCTCCCAGGCTGGACTGCAGTGGTGTGATCTCCGCTCACTGCAACCTTCGCCTCCTGTGTTCAAGCGATTCTCCTGTCTCAGCCTTCTGAGTAGCTGGGATTACAGGCAGGCACAGCCATGCCCAGGTAACTTCTTTTTCTTTTTCTTTCTTTTTTTATTTTTTATTTTTTGTATTTCAGTAGAGATGGGGTTTCGCCATGTTGGCCAGGCTGGTCTCAAACTCCTGACCTCCTGATCTCTCCACCTCGGCCTCCCAAAGTGCTGGGATTATAGGCGTGAGCCACCGTGGCAGCCCTGACTCTAAAAAATAAAAAATAATAAATAAATAAATAAATAAAACCAGACATTTTCATGCTTGAAAGTTCTCAGAACATTTGGCCAGGCATGGTGGCTCATGACTGTAATTGAAACACTTTGGGAGACTGAGACAGAAGGAATCCTTGAGTTCAGGAGTTGGAGACCAGCCTGGGCAACACAGTGAGACCCCATCTCTACAAAAGAGAAAAAAATGTACTCCCTATGCGTGATTGTTGGAAAACCACCAGAGGAAAGATGCTCTTCAGCTAAAAGAGTAAAAAATCAAGAAAGCACAAGCTGTGGTCTGTGAAATGCAGACGTGGAACATGGCGGAGTACTGAAGGAAAGCTTGAGGCTGATGGTGAGGGACATTCTGGAAGGATAACTGTGCGCCAAGTCTAGAGGGCAGTCAGTGCTCATTGTGACACTGTGACTCAAGAGATAGGAAAGCTGGGACTGTCGTGATTGTGCTGTCATTGCACTAGCTCTTTAACCTGGCCAGATTACTGGAAGATGTGTTTCACCTAAACAAGGTGTAAACTGAGGAGGAGGAAGACAAGAGATCCAGGATGTGGGGAATCCAAATCAGGAGAAACCCAAGAGGGATTACAAGGATGACAGCTGGGGGATGTCCCAGTGATGGCAGCAGTGGCCCGTCTGGAGTGGTCGCTGTGAAGACACCAGCTGCAGTGGGGGAAGCATGGCCGGGTCTGTGCCCTTCATGGACCTGGAGGGGCTGGGAACAGACGGGAGCCCTGCCCCTTCTGAGTTGGCAGGGTGGGGAGCCCTGCCTTCCCAGGCACATCAGCAGCCACCCAGCTGTAGCTGCAGACCGGGGCATCCCTGTGCTCTCGGGGGGCCTGGAAGGCCCCCGGCCCCCACAGGCTCAAAGCGCCTGCTCCTGCTGCCTGGCTTCTCCCTGTTTCCAGCGCCCACTCCAATTTCAGAGCAAAGTTGAGGTCGAGACCAGGTGCTGTTGGAACCTGGCTGGGTGTGCCCGTGTTGGGGCAGTGCTGACGTGCCAGTCCCCTGCCACACTGGCCATCTCCGGACTTTGGGCGCTGATGAGCATGGGAGGGAGGCTGAGGGGGTGCTGAGGGCAGTCTCGAACTCCTGACCTCAGGTGATCTGCCTGCCTCGGCCTCCTAGCCCTGTCTGTGTTCCTTTATTTATGTTCTAGGAAAGAACGTATTTCCTGATCATTCGGGTTGTTGGCAGAATTCAGCTCCTTGTGTTTTAGGGCTGAGGTCCTGGCTTTCTCATTGGCTGTCAGCTGAGGGCTGTTCCCAGCTTGTATGTGCCACTGTATTCCTTGGCTGTGGCCCCTTCCTCCATCTGCAGAGCCAGCAATGGTGGGCTGGATTCTCACTTTGCATCTCTCTGACTCTTCATCTATCATCACATTTCTCCTTAATCACAGCTGGGAAAGGTTTTCTGCTAAAAGCCAACTCCTATGATTCGATCAGGCCCACTGGGATGGGCTGGGATAATTTCTCCACCTCAACGTTATTAACTTAATCACACCTGTAAAATCTCTTTTTGCCATGTAAGGTCATGTACTCACTGATCTGGGGATTAGGACATAGACATCTAGTGGGGCTGTTACTCCACCTGCCACGCTGGGCTTCTTCCATGCCAACTCCAATGACAATTTTATTATGATATTATTGGAGTATTGGCATACATATTTAGAATACTCAAGATATTCTCTGTGCCAATATTCTGTCACTTCTTAGTGTATTCTTTTTTCTTTTCTTTTTTTTTGAGATGGAGTCTCACTCTGTCTCCCAGGCTGGAGTGCAGTGGTTCGATCTCGGCTCACTGCAACCTCTGCCTCTGGGGTTCAAACGATTCTCCAGCCTCGGCCTCCCAAGTACCTGGGATTACAGGCATCTGCCGCCAAGCCAGACTGATTTTTTAATATTTTTAGTAGAGATGGGGTTTCTCCATGTTGGTCAGGCTGGTCTAGAACTCCCGACCTCAGGTGATCCGCCCACCTCGGCCTCCCAAAGTGTTGGGATTACAGGTGTGAGCCACTGCTCCTGGCCTGTTTCCACCTTTTGGCTATTGTGAATAATGATGCTTGAACTTGGGTGTACAAGTATCTCTTTGAGACACTGCTTTCAGTTCTTTTGTGAATATACCCACAAGTGGAATTGCTGGAGCAAATGGTAATTCTACATTTAATTTTTTGAGGAATAGGCAAAATGTTTCCCAAATTTTTAAGAGAAAATTAATGACTAAATATTGAAGATAATCCAACTTCTAAAAATACCCTTAATTATTATTATTATTATTATTATTGTTTTTGGAGACACAGTCTTGCTCTCTCACTCAGGCTGGAGTGCAGTGGTGTGATCTCGGCTCACTCCAGTCTCTGCCTCCCAGGGTCAAACAATTCTCCTGCCTCAGCCTCCTGAGTACCTGGGATTACAGGCGCCCACCACCACACCTGGCTAGTTTTTGTATTTTTAGTAGAGACAAGGTGTCACCATATTTCCCAGGCTGGTCTCAAACTCCTGACCTCATGTGCTCCGCCTGCACTGGCCTCCCAAAGTGCTGAGATTACAGGCATGAGCCACCGCACCTGGCCGGTGGTCCTTAGTTAATAATATTAAAGTCCATTCTGAAGAAAATGCCATTTTGATTGTTATGCAAGCAATCAAGTAAGTCTTACTGATTTCATGCCATTGATATTTAATCTAGCGTCTGAAGGAGAAAAAGTGCTCCTACAAATAAAACAAATTGGCTGGGTGTGGTGGCTCACACCTGTAATCCCAGTACTTTGGGAAGCTGAGGTGGGAGAATCACTTGATCTCAGGAGTTTGAGACCAGCCTGGGCAACATAGCAAGACCCCATCTCTATAAACAATAAATTTAAAAAAGTTAGCCGATTGTGTGGCATGCACCTGTTGTCCCAGCTAGCTGCCGACCAGGGCATCCCTGTGCAGCCTCCCAGTGTTAGGAGGCTGACATGGAAGGATGGCTTGAGCTCACGAGTTACAAACCAGCTTGAGTAATATAGGGTGACTCCATCTGTAAACAAACAAACAAACCTCCTACTAACTGAACAGACAAAACTGTCTCACCCACTCTGTGTTGCTCTACATCTGCTTCAGGATGAAATCCATATTCAAAACAAGCAGAACAAGGCCGGGCGTGATGGCTCACCCCTGTAATCCCAGCATTTTGGGAGGTTGAGGTGGGCGGATCACCTGAGGCCAGGAGTTTAAGACCAGCCTGGCCAACATGGTGAAACCCCACCTCTACCAAAAATATAAAAATCAGCCGGGCATGGTGGCACGTGCCTATAGTCCCAGTTACTGAGGCAGGAGAATCGCTTGAACCCCGGAGGCGGAGGTTGCAGTGAGCTGAGATCTTGCCATTGCACTCCAGCCTAGGTGGCAAGAGCAAAAACTCTGTCTCAAAAGAAAAAAAAAAAAAAAGCCAGCACGGTGGCTCACCCCTGTAATCCCAGCACTTTGGGAGGCCGAGGTCAGCTGATCACCTGAGGTCAGGAGTTTGAGACCAGCCTGGCCAACATGGCAAAACCCAGTCTCTACTAAAAACACATAAAAAATTAGCTGGGCATAGTGGCAGGTGCCTGTAATCCCAGCTACTCGGGAGCCTGAGGCACGATAATTGCTTGAACCTGGGAGGCAGAGGTTGCTGTGAGCCAATATTGTGCCATTGCACTGCAGCCTGGGCAAGAGGAGCGAAATTCCATCTCAACAAATAAACAAACAAAAAAACAAAACAAGCAGAACAAACGATAACCCAAATGACAAGGGAAAATGAGTTCAGGTCGGGCGCAGTGGCTGACGCCTGTAATCACAACACTTTGGGAGGCTGAGCCGTGGGGATCACCTGAGGTCAGGAGTTTGAGACCAGCCTGGGCAACATAGTGAAACCCTGTCTCTACTAAAAATACAAAAATTAGCTGGACGTGGTAGCGGGCACTTGTAATCTCAGCTACTCGGGAGGCTGAGGTGGGAGAATCACTTCAATCTGGGAGGCAGAGCTTGCAGTGAGCTGAAATTGCGCCACTGCACTCTAGCCTGGGCGACAGAGCGAAACTATGTCTCAAAAAAAAAAAAAAAAAAAGTTCAAACATCACAGAGATATTGATAGGAAAAATTTCACCCAAGACATTCAATGAGTCAGCTGACCTCACCACATCTGTAATTGTCATATTCCCCCAAAACGTGTCAAGGGAAGTCAGGACTTCAACACCCACTTCAGGAACCATTTTTATTTTATTTCATTTTATTTTAATTTATTTTTTGAGACAGGGCCTCACTCTGCTGCTCAGGCTGGAGTGTAGTGGTGTGATCTCGGCTCACTGCAGCCCCAACCTCCTCAAACTCAGGGGATCCTCCCACCCCAGCCTCCCCCGTAGCTTGGACTACAGGCACTCACCACCATGCCCAGCTAATTTTTGTATTTTTTGTAGAGATGGGGTTTCACTATGTTTTCCAGGCTGGTCTCGAACTCCTGAGCTCAAGTGATACACCCATCTCGGCCTCCCAAAATGCTGGGATTACAGGCATGAGCCACCGTGCCTGGCCAAATTTTAAAAATTTATTAAAAATAAATTTATTTTTCTTTATTTTACTTATTTATTTATATTTATTTATTTTTTGAGTGAGAGTCTTGCTCTGTCACCCAGGCTAGAGAGCAGTGGCAAGATCTCAGCTCACTGCAACCTCCGCCTCCCGGTTTCAAGTAATTCTCCTGCCTCAGCTTCCGGAGTAGCTGGGATTACAGGCGCCCACCACCACGTCCTGCTAATTTTTGTATTTTTAGTAGAGATGGGGTTGCACCATGTTGCTCAGTCTGGTCTCAAACTGCTGACCTTGTGATCCGCCCCCCTCGGCCTCCCAAAGTGCTGGGATTACAAGCGTGAGCCACCGCACCCGGCCTATTTTTCTTTAAGAATTTGTGCCTGACTCTGACTCAAATGAGAGAGAAAACAGTCAATTTATCGATTTTTAAAAGCCACTTGGAAAATTAAAGCTAACCAGTCTAATCCCTGACACTTATTTCTCCATGTGAGACGCAGGCTGACTGAAAGATTGTCCTGCCTGTTTCTCACGGGGCCTGTGATGGGTCTCAAGCGGTTCTGCTCTTCCCCATTGTCTGCTGTTCTGTGTTGCCACAGAGCCTTTACTCCAGGCTGACATCCAGCTCAGCACAAGCATCAGAAAGGAGGCTAGGCCAGGCGCAGTGGCTCACACCTGGAATCCCAGCTCTTCGGGAGGCCGAGGCAGGCAGATCTCTTGAGGCCAGAAGTTCAAGACCAACCTGGCCAACACGGCAAAACCCCGTTTCTACTAAAAATGCAAAACTTAGCTGGGCGTGGTGGCAGGTACCTGTAGTCCCAGCTATTCAGAAGGCCCAGGTGGGAGAATCAAATGAACCCGGGAGGCAGAGGTTGCAATGAGTCAAGATCATGCCACTGCACTCTAGCCTGGGCAACAGAGCAAGACTTCTATCTTAAACAAACAAACAAACAAACAACAACAACAATAACAAACAACAACAACAACAAAAACCAACCTGGGAAAGCAATGTTAATACTGAACATAGGCTGGGCACAGTGGCTGACGCCTGTAATCCCAGCACTTTGGGAGGCCGAGGCGGGTGGATCATGAGGTCAGGAGATTGAGACCATCCTGGCTAACATGGTGAAACCCCGTCTCTACTAAAAAATACAAAAAATTAGCCAGGCGTGGTGGCGGGCGCCTGTAGCCCCAGCTACTCGGGAAGCTGAGGCAGGAGAATGGCGTGAACCCAGGAGGCGGAGCTTGCAGTGAGACGAGATCGCACCACTGCACTCCAGCCTGGGCGATAGAGCGAGACTCTGTCTCAAAAAACAAAACGAAACAAAACTGAACATAGCATAACTTAAAGAAACAAGACAAAACAAAACAAAAAAACCACCAGGCGCGGTGGCACATGGCTGTAATCCCAGCACTTTGGGAGGCCGAGGCGGGTGGATCACCTAAGGTCAGCAGTTCAAGACCAGCCTGAGCAACATGGTGAAACCCTGTCTCTACTAAAAATACAAAAATTAGCCGGGCGTGTTGGTGGGCACCTGGAATCCCAATTACTCAGGAGGCTGAGGCAGGAGAATTGCTTGAACACGGGAGGCAGAGGTTGCAGTCAGCCGAGATTGTGCCATTGCACTCCAGTCGGGGTGACAGAGTGAGACTCGGTCTCAAAAAAAAAAGAAAAAAGAAAAAAAGAATGAGGGAAACTATGCAATGATTAAAAAACAACTCCCCAAGAGACGGAGTCTCGCTCTGTCGCCCTGGCTACAGTGCAGTGGCGCAATCTCGGCTCACTGCAAGCTCCGCCTCCCTGGTTCACGCCATTCTCCTGCCTCAGCCTCCCGAGTAGCTGGGACTACAAGCGCCCACCACTACGCCCAGCTAATTTTTTGTATATTTTAGTAGAGACGGGGTTTCACTGTGTTAACCAGGATGATTAGATAAGTTTTTATAAAAGTTAGGCCTTCAGATCAATCAGGTCTGCTATTGATTGATTGACTGGGACAGTGTCCTGCTCTGTCACCCAGGCTCGAGTGCAGCAGCAAAATCATGGCTCGCTGCAGCCTCAATCTCCCAGCCTCCTCAGTAGCTGAGACTACAGGCATGCATCACCACATCCAGCTAATTTTTTAATTTTTTTGTAGAGATGAGGTCCCATTATGTTGTCCAGGGTGGTCCTGAACTCCTAGTCTCAAGCAATCCTCCTGCCTTGGCCTCCCAAAGCTGGGATTAACAGCATGAGCCATGACGCCTGGCCAAAGTGGGCTTTTTAAACACCCTGTGCCTTGGTCAAAATCTTGAGGTCACAGCCATAACGAAAGGTATCCTGCGTGGCATAGGAAATGCTTCATCAGCCCCATTTGTTAATGGGTTATATCCTGAATTTAGTAATATAAACACATGTTGATAGAATCTGGAGATGCTCCAAGATGGATGTACGAGGAAGAATAGTATCACTTCTGAAGATAAAGATAATATCTGTAGTCATGAGACACCATATGGTCAATTTATAGACCAGAAAAAAGCCCCAAAAATGGCAAACTTTTTTTTTTCTTTTTGAGACAGAGTCTCACTCTATCACCCAGGCTGGAGTGCAATGGCGTGATCTGGGCTCACTGCAACCTCTGCCTCCTGCGTTCAAGTGATTCTCCTGCCTCAGTCTCTCAAGTAGCTGGGATTACAGGCACCAGCCACCACGTCCCACTAATTTTGTATTTTTAGTAGAGATGGGGTTTCATTGTGTTGTCCAGGCTGGTCTCAAACTCCTGACCTCAAGTAATCTGCTCGCCTCGGCCTCCCAAAGTGCTGGGATTACAGGTGTGAGCCACCGCGCCTGGCCAAAAATGGCAAACTTTTGAAAGCCATTTCTACTGTTTCCTACCTGTGCTGACTGGTCAGTGAACCAGACCTGCAGATGAAAGAAGGATGAACCCGTAACTGATGTCAAAGCCCTCTTGGAGGTTTTTTCTTCCAGCATTTGAGTCAATTCAGCCAGCCCTCGCTACTCTCTTGGCAAATGAACTCTACCTGCACATTAGTAGATACATAAAAGAAAGAGAAAAAAGATAGGGAGGGAAGCTACAGACTCATCTATGTTAGCTGAACATTTTCAAAGGACCTTAGCACAAGATACAAAACAAAAATGCTTCTAAATGCACAGTCTTGCAGTGACAGCAATGTCAGGGCAACCAACAGCCTAGAATGACCTTTGGATTTCTCCTAATAAGTAACTCTTAAATCAGCGTTTGTCAGCTTACGTCTGCATGTTTGAGCATCTTTCTGTGAGTGTATGTAGGTTTATATGTTAATTTATATGATATTTTTGGATGGCGTTACTAAACCAATTTATACAATCCTTTAAGGGACGTGTATTCAAATTGGCTTGGGGGTAAATGAGCACTCTTATAAGTTACTCTGAAAATGCACAGAAATGTTGAAACTAATCCAAAATGTGGAGTTTTTTCTAAGTTCACATGAAGGAGATCTTTGGTAAATATAGTTTTACAATTGTTAGTGAAATAAAAATAGGAGTGTTTTCAGAATTGCTGGTTTTTCCTGGGTTGGGGCGAGACAAGTTTGTGCTGTCTCTGCTAGATGCTTATGACCATTCAACCATAAATCTAACCTAAGAGTAAAAAAATGAGCAGTAAAGTCCTGGCGCGGTGGCTCACGTCTGTAATCCCAGCACTTTGGGAGGCCGAGGCAGGCGGATCACGAGGTCAGGAGTTCAAGACCAGCCTAGCCAAGATGGTGAGACCCTGTCTCTACTAAGACTACAAAAATTAGCCAGGGGCGGTGGCAGGCACCTGTAATTCCAGCTACTCGGGAGGCTGAGGCAGGAGAATGGCTTGAACCCAGGCGGCAGAGGTTGCAGTGAGCTGAGATCACGCCACTGCACTCCAGCCTGGGCAACAGAGTGAGGCTTCGTCTCAAAAAAAAAAAAAGCAGTAAAAGGAATCATTTGGTGCATGAGTCATGGAAGGTAAGCCAAAAACACCTTGGAAAGAATCATGGGTAACTTTTAAATTACTTTGCTTCTGTGATATTTTTGAAACTTGCCTGATGTATCAACAAAAATAAAATAGCGTTAGTTGATGGTGTCGGGCAGGGGACTGGGTTCCTGCGGAGGATGTGTTTTTAGGCCGAGAAAGCCTCTCTCTGCATTTGTTATTTTTCCAAGTGCTTTTAGCAAGAAATGATCAGTGTACCAAAGCATCATATCTTTGGGTGATATGGGGTGGCATTTCTTGAAATCCATCAATGGCTACCTTTGGTTAACGTCTCATGAAACTTTTCACGGGCAATCCATGCACAATTATGAAGAACAAGTGAATTAGGTAAATGTAAATGAAATAAAGGTTTATAAATAGGGCCAGTTGTGGTGGTTCATGCCTGTAATCCCAGCACTTTCGGAGGCTGAGGCAGGAGGATCTCCTGAGCCCAGGAGTTCAAGACCAGCCTGGGCAACATAGCAAGATCCAGACTCTGCAAATAATAAAATTAGCTGGGTGTGGTGGCATGCATCTGTGTCCCAGCTACTTGGGAGGCTGAGGTGTGAGGACTGCTTGAACCCGGAAGGTTGAAGTGGCAGTGAGCCATGATTGTGCCACTGCACTCCAGCCTGGGTGACAGAGGAAGACCCTGTCTCAAAAAAAAAGACTTTATAAATACACTTTTCAAAATAGTTATATTTTACAAAATATGTCTACATAAAAGTAGCTTAAAAACATTTTTGCCAGGTGCAGTGACTCACACCTGTAATCCCAACACTTTGGGAGGCCGAGGCGGGTGGATCACCTGAGGTCAGGAGTTTGAGACCAGCCTGGCCAACATGGCGAACCCCGTCTCTACTAAAAATACAAAAATTAGCCGCACGTGGTAGCACATGCCTGTAGTCTCAGCTACTGGGAGGCTGAGACAGGAGAATCACTTGAACCCAGGAGGCAGAGGTTTTGGTGAGCCTAGATTGCTCAACTGCACTCCAGCCTGGGTGACAGAGTGAGACTCCATCTTAAAGATAAATAAATAAACAAATAAAATTTAAAAAAAGCAGTTTCTGGTAAATTGAAATCTTTTTTTTTTCTCTGAGACGGAGTTTCGCTCTTGTTGCCCAGGCTGGAGCGCAATGGCGCAATCTCGCCTCACCGCAACCTCCGCCTCCCAGATTCAAGCACTTCTCCTGCCTCAGCCTCCCAAGTAACTGGGATTACAGGTATGCACCATCACGCCGGGCTAATTTTGTGTTTTTAGTAGAGGTGGAGTTTCTCCATGTTGAGTCTGGTCTCAAACTCCTGACGTCAGGTGATCTGCCCGCCTGGGCCTCCCAAAGTCCTGGGATTACAGGTGTGAGCCACCGTGCCAGCCCTATTTATTTATTTCTTGAGGCAAAATCTCACTCTGTTGCCCAGGCTAGATGGAGTGCAGTGGTGCAATCTCGACTCACTGCAATCTCCACCTCCTGGGTTAAAGTGATTCTCGTGCCTCAGCCTCCCGAGTAGCTGAGATTACAGGCACCTGCCACCATGCCTGGCTAATTTTTGTATTTTTAGTAGAGATAGGATTTTGCCATGTTGGCCAGGCTGGTCTCGAACTCCTGACCTCAGGTGATGCACCCACCTCAGCCTCCCAAAGTGCTGAGATTACCACACCTGGCCATGTTTGGATCATTTTCTAAAAGCAGTTGATATCTACATTCAAAAGTTGTTTCTTGGCTGGGTGCAGTGACTCACGCCTGTAATCCCAGGACTCTGGGAGGCCGAGGTGGGCGAGTCACCCAAGGTCAGGAGTTCGAGACCATCCTGACCAACATAGAGAAACCCCGTCTCTACTAAAAATACAGAAACTAGCCAGGCTTGGTGGCGCGTGCCTGTAATCCCAGCTACTCAGGAGTCTGGGGCAGGAGAATTGCTGGAACCCAGGAGGCGGAGGTTGCAGTAAGCCAAGATCGTGTGTCATTAGAACCACAGTGAGGCCGGGAGCGGTGGCTCACGCCTGTAATCACAGCACTTTGGGAGGCTGAGGTGGGCAGATCATGAGGTGAGGAGTTCGAGACCAGCCTGACCAACATCGTGAAACCTCGTCTCTACTAAAAATACAAAAATTACCTGGGCGTGGTGGCACACGCCTGTAATCCCAGCTACTCAGGAGGCTGAGGCAGGAGAATCGCTTGAACCCAGGAGGCAGAGGTTGTGGTGAGCTGAGATCACGCCATTGCACTCCAGCCTGGGCATCAAGAGCAAAACTCCATCTCAAAAAATAAAAAAAAAAAAAAAAAAAAGAAAAAGAAACCACAATGAGATGAACAATAAAAGAAATCTCTCCTCAAAGAGCCTCACGCTGTGACCTCAAGTCCCTGAATGAGACAACCACCACCCGTCCACGATGGTGACAGAGTGGTGCTCATGCCTACGTTTTGGCCAATCTCTCATCACGGACAGGCTGACTAGAAGGACAACACTGTCTGTAAAAATCCTCTTTGGGAAGTTCTTGGGCTGGGGTGGCTCCAGTCCTTCAATTTCTCCATGAAGAAACCATGCCCTATGGGAACCACACAGTTAATCCAGAAATGGCGCCAGCCTGAAACCACCAGCCCTAACGAGAGACTTTCCACTCTAACCGTCGAGTTGTTTTCCTGGGTTTGCTTCTGCAAATGCTTGGTAAGTGTCCCCCTGGCTCTCCCTGAGAGTGCTAGTCACCCACAGTCTTGTGATAGGAGGGTTCATTGAGCAATACATGCTCAAATAAACTTTTTTTCTTTTTAAAAAATTTTTAATAAATAGAGATAAGGTCTCACTCTGTTGCCCAGGCTGGTTCCAAACTCTGAAACTCAAGTGATCCTCCCACCTCAGCATTCCAAAGTGCTAGGATTACAGGTCTGTGCCACCACACCTGGCCTCAAATAAACTTTCTTATTTTTTAAATTTTTTCAAATAAACTTTTTTTTTTTTGAGACGGAGTCTTGCTCTCTTGCCCGGGCTGGAGTGCAGTGGTGTGATCTTGGCTCACTGCAACCTCCACCTCCCAGGCTCAAGTGATCCTCTGGCCTCATCCTCCTGAGTAGCTGGGTCTACAGGCACGCACCACCATGCCCAGCTAATTTTTTGTATTTTTGGTAGAGATGGGGTTTCACCATGTTGGCCAGGCTGGTCTCAAATTCCTGAGCTCAGATGATCCACCTGCCTCAGCCTCCCGAAATGCTGGGATTACAGACATGAACCACTGCACCCAGCCCGTTTGCCTTTAAAAGCCTGCTTGTGGCCAGGCACGGTGGCTCACGCCTGTAATCCTAGCATTTTGGGAGGCCGAGGGAGGCGGATTACTTGAAGTCAGGAGTTCCAGACCAGCCTGGCCAGCATGGTGAAACCCCGTCTCTACTAAAAATACAAAAAAATTAGTCAGGCGTGGTGGTGGGTGCCTATAATCCCAGCTACTCGGGGGGGCTGAGGCAGGAGAATCGCTTGAACCCGGGAGGCGGAGGTTGCAGTGAGCCCAGATCCCACCACTGCACTCCAGCCTGGGGAGACAGAGGGAGATTCCATCTCAAAAAAAAAAAAAAAAGCCTGTTACAAAGGCTGAACGGAGCTCATATTCCAATTCTGAGTCTCCCCGGTGGTTGTCTTCACCTTGGCCCAGGCGAGCTCTACTTACAGGGATTTTTGCCTCGCTTTCTTCTTTGGGGGCCCCTACCTAACTCATGACGTTCCCTTCTCTCAGAGCATAGGAACTAGGCCCTGGCTGCTTCAGGCTGTTCTCCCTATCTCAGGATGTTGCATTTCCAGCACGTTCCACAGTTATTCTTGGGAAACACAAGCAGGAAAGGGATTTACCTGGGTGGAATCGCAGTGGCTGAAAAACTGTGGCGGCCCCTGCAAGGAGACCCAGGCTTCCCTGGCTTCCGAGGGCCCATGGTGGGCATCCACCATTCACAGCAAGGTTGGGGGATGCTCAGTGCCTGGGAGCCATCAGTCTGGAAGGCTTCCTGGAGGAGGCGAGACTTAGGCCAGTGAGGTCAGTGACTGGGGGGCATCCCGGGAGGGCCCAGCAAGAAGGGGACAGGGCCCTGGAGAACAGGATGAGGCAGAAGCAAAGGTACAGCCTCCCAGAGGCCCAAGGCGGGGTCCCACTGACCCCTTTCAGGCCAAGGGCAGCAGGAGGTGGAAACCTCAGGGGCCCCCATAGTGTCCAGGCTGGTTTCCAGGCTGAGGGGCTCAGGGCGTGAGGCCTGAGGGGCCCAAGTGGTCTGAGATGACCCAAGCTGGGCAGCCCTGGTAAGGTTACGTGGTGGGGGTGGAGAGTGCTTGGGTGAGGTGGGGTTGGAGCTGGGCCTCAAAGGACCCAGAACCCTGAGGTTTGAAGCCTGGATATGGCAAAGCGTCAGGTATACCATAGGCACTCAATCATTGTGTGCTCGACAAATTTTTGTGTTTTTTTTTAACCCTGAAGTTTACTTTGTTCATACTCAAAATTTAAAATGTGCTGAGCCTGCTGCCCCAGGATGTTCCTGTGCAGGGTGAGCCTCTCATTCTGTGGGGTCCAAGAGCGGGTTCTGCCAGGCCATCTCACAGCTCCCTCCCATGGATGGGTACAGGAGAAAAAAGCAGCATCAGCAGAGGCCTTGCCTGCAGGAGGGCGACAAAAGGCAACAAAAGGAGGGAGGGGGCCTCAGGGTCTTAGAGAGCCGAGCTCCAGTCCTAGCCTTGACCCCAGCCTCCCACACCCATCCTGGGCCTCCCTCTAACTCTCGGGCCCTGCACTGCCCTAGGGACCCCCAGCCAGGCCCTCCCCAGCTGAGGCAGTGCTCTCTCCTGACCTGCAACTGGCTTCTTCCTGATGCCCCACCTATTCCTCGCAAAGCAACCTTGGAGGCAGTAATGCCTGGCACCCAGCTCTTCACAGCCATGTCAGCGTCAGGAGTGACCTCAAAGGCTCTAGAGACGGAATCTGGATGGGGGAAGAATGAACCAGGTGACCTTGGTGACCCCATGCCCACCCCACAGATTGGGCACGTGAGGGACTGTGGGGATCTAGGTCCCACCTGAGAAAAACACCCAGACCCTCAAGATGGCCCCATCCCACCAAACTCAGTGGGGAGAACAGGCCCTGAGCCAATCCCCAGTCTCAGCAGGGGGATGGAGGATAAGGGGTCTGTTGGGTGAATGTGGGAGGAATGAGCCAGGGGATGTCAGTGACCCATGACCTCTGCCCCCCACAGACTGGGGATGTGAGGGGCTGTGTCCCATTAAACACTGGGGCAGGGACCAGAAAAAAACACTGGGACCCTCGAGATGGCCCTGTCCCACCGAGCTCAAGGGGAACAGACCCTAAGGCAGGCCCCAACCCACTCTGCCCTCTGTAGGGATCTCCTGGTGGCCTCAGGGTGGTGACTTTGCCCCTCTGGGCCCTCCCTCCCACAAGCCATGGGGACCACACCCTCCACCCCCAGGCTGGCAGGACAAGCCAGGGGGACACGAGGAGGCTCTCAGAGCAGGACTGGCTGGTGCGGGCCTCACAGTGAGAGCCAGGCATGCTCCAGAGGGGTCTCCAAGCTCTGGGGTCAGGGTCCCTCTGAGTCCCCAGGCACTGCCCCCACTAAACCTGAGAACCCAGCACGGGGATGGAGGCTGGGGGCCTGTTGGGTCCCGTAACATCTCCAGGCCTGTAGCTGGGGACACAGCCTCCTCCATCCATCCTAGGCCCACCTGGTACTCTTCCATCCAACCCCACCCGTGTCCCACTCCCAGCCTAGGCCCTCCCCAGGAGTCTCCTGGTGACCGGAAGCCTCTTTCTGATCTTCTTCACTGGGATGCTGGCCCTTTGGCTGAGCAATATCCCTGGAACCAGAGCGATAGCAAAACACATTATTGACTCCGATGACATACAGATTAGACATTCTCATGGGACAGCCTGGATGGGGGAGGAATGAGCCAGGTGATATCAGTGACCCCATAACCTCTGCCCCCCAACAGACTGGTGACATGAGAGTATGGAAATCAAGGTCCCACCACATGCTGGGGCAGAGACCAGAGAAAAACAGTGGGACCCTTGAGATGGCCCCATCCCACTGAGCTCAGCAGGGAGAACAGGCCCTGAGCCAGGCCCCAACCCCCTCTGCCGGGACCTCCTGGTGACCTCAGGGCGGTGACTTTGCCCCTCTGAGCCCTACTTCCTACAGGCCATGGGGACCGCACCCTCCACCCCTAGGCTGGCCGGAGGAACCAGGGGGACACGTGGAGGCTCCCTGAGCAGGACCAGCTGGTGGGGGGCCTCACAGTGAGAGCCAGGCACAGAGGGAGCTCCAAGGTCTGGGGAACAGTGTTTCTCTGAGTTCCCTGAAATTGCTACCACCAGGCCTCTGTTCTCCCCAGTAGGGGAACAGAGGCTGAGGGGCCCTCCAGGTTCCCTGAGAGCTCTAAACATGTGGCCGGGGTCCCCCCATCTCAGGTGTCCTGGAATCTCAGCCCAGGGGGAAGCATTTTCATCCCCACGCCTTGTCACAGGGCATGTTATTCTTATGTGACCTGGAGCCCCCCGTCCACTGGGGAAATAACCACTGTCCTGCTCCTGTCCTGGGGGCCTGGTGGCTGGAAGTAGTCAGGGCCCGGCTGGTTGTAAGGTGAGATCTTGACCTTCACCCTGGGGCCCCTGAGGACAGGTCCTCTGAGTGTCTGCATGTCCTCACAGGCACAGCTCAGCCACACTGGGAAGAATGCCCAAGACACCTTCCTTTCCTCACATCTGCAATCTTTGCAGGTCCCAATCTTGGAAGGAACACAGCTGGAGGGGTCACCTGGGACCTGAGCCTCCAGGGAGGGTAGCCCAAAGCCTTCTGGCTGCCCCCAGCCCCTTCTCCTTGTGTCTGGGGAGCCTTCCCTTGGCCTCAGCTCCCCGAGTGTCAGAAGTTGCCTCTGCAGGCCTGGGGGAAGCTGCTCCAAGGCCCCTCAGGACCAAGTGCTGGGAGCCATCGTCTCCCAGCTCCCAGCCCTTCCCATCCCCAAGGCCCCTCACCCCAGGCTGCAGCACACCAGGGACTATCACAGAGGCTGTCCTTCACCTGCCCCTCCCACATCCTGCTCTCTGATGGCTCCGATGGGGGAGGCAGCCACAGAAGGCTGGGGCTGAGACCAGGGAAGGCAGCCGGTCCGACCTGGCCCCACCTGGCCAGTGGCTGCAGTCCTTGAGTGCCAGCCCCTCTTACTTCTTCCAGCTTCAGCCCTGCCTGGACTCCTCCCAGGGCCCCTCTGGACCTGGGGGATGGCAACTGCTCTCCCTGGAGTCAGGCCCTGAGCCTCCTCAGCCCCCCTGGCTCCCTGTCACCTGACCTACCTTGCAAACAGTCTGTCCTCTGTGAGTGCCTGCTGCAGATACCAGACCCTAGGCCCTCTTCACTGGCCCCACTGGCCCCCTCACCCCCTGCAGCTGCCCCCATACTGAGCCCCAAGCCTTGGCCCCTCACCCCTCTCCTCCACTCCCCGGGCCTTCAGAAAACAGCTGTCAGTCCCCCAACCCCCGTCCTTGTCCCCCAGACCATTTCTTCTGTGGCCCAGGGTCCTGACCTCACCACTCCCTGCTTCTGCAGAGCCCAAGGCAGGACCTGTGGGTGCTGAGGACCTGCTGTAGGACAAGCTGGGACAAGCCTGAGGCACCTGTCCTGCAGGGGACAGCAGAGCAGGGCCAGGGCCACCCCAGGGAGAGCTGGGTACAGCGAAAGGTGCGGCCTGGCCCTCACCCTGCTCTTGGCCACTACCTCCCCAGGATCCCTTCTTGGGTCCCCTCCAGCCTCACCTTCCTCACCTGCCCTTTCCAGGGGCTGTCCCTGCCCTCTCCCTTTGGTCCCTGTCACCCTTTCTAGAAGGAAAGCTTGATTTCCTCCCTCCAAACAATTCTCTGCTGCACCTAGGCCTGCCCTTGCCTGAGAACCCCAAGCCTCAGCCTCCATCCCCAGAGACTCCTCATCCTTGCCGACTAACCCCGATGTCCAGCCCCGACCATGCACCACCTGTGCTGTCCCTGCTGGAGCGGCTCACCTGTCTGGGGCCCCTGGTGGTCTCCCCACGCTTGCCCTGGGCAGGAGGCTCCCTCTGTTCCATGACTGGCCCCCACACACTCTGACTTGAGTCAACCTGGAGGGGCTGGATAGCGGCTGTTTCCTGGCCCCACCCTTCCCTATGCCAGCAATGGCTTCATAGGGAAGCTGTGGATTCTCTGGAAACACGTGATACGGGCCTACTCTGAACTTTCTTCTCAGGTGATCATGATATTTCATTTTATTTTATGTGTTTTTTACCTACTGTGACATAGAAGCAGTGAGAATCCTCCTGGTTCTAAGGCTCAGGGAGAGAGTGCTGGCCCCTGGGCAGGCTCTCCTCATGGCTGGTGGAGAAGGAACTTGGTGGAGTCCCAGGTGGCAGGGGCAGTACGAGGGACAGAGAGGAGGAGGCATCCAAGACCCCATAATGTCACCAATCAGGAGTGTTAAGAGGAGTCCGAGCTTGTTGTGTGAACCCAGTTTCAGGTCCAGCCCCTGCACCAACCCCTGCCTCAGGGTCTGCAGCCCTCTCCAAACTCATCATTATCGCTGCAGCTGGACTTTTAGTGGAAGAGCCTTCCCTTGGGAGTTCTGTGTCTGGGGCCAGCAGTCCTGGGAGGCCTTCTGGAGGAGGTGAGACTTGGACCTGGGAGGGTAGTGAACACAGGGCAGCCTACGAAGGGCCCCTCGAGGGAAGCTCTGGGAGGGTTGGGGTCAGGCTTCTCAGAGCTCAGGCCAGGGGCAGCAGGAGGGGGAAACCTCAGGGACTCAGGTGAGTTTGTCCCAAGGACTGGGGACCACACCGTGACAGAAAAGCAAAGGAAGCTCCAGCCAATGTCCTGGAGCTCAGATGAAGCCACCTCCTCCCTAACCTAACCCTGACGCTAGCCCCTAGCAGGCGGGTCCCAGGTGGAGTCTCTTGGTGCGGAGAAGCAAACAGTGACACCACAGCAATGGACCCAATGGCCACCCCTCACACCACAAGCCAAGCCACGTGCCTGGGGCTGTTCCATCAACAGAGAAGCTTCAGCTACCTGGGAATGCTGTGTGGCCCACAACCTCCACTGTCCTGGCCCTAGGCACAAAATGAAGCTGTAGAATTCTCAGACATGCCTGGCCAACATGGTGAAACCCCAACTCTAATAAAAACACAAAAATTAGGGCTGGGTGCAGTGGCTCACACCTGTAATCCCAGCACTTTGGGAGGCCGAGGTGGGCAGATCACGAGGTCAGGAGATCGAAACCATCCTGGCCAACATGGTGAAACCCCCATCTCCACTAAAAATACAAAAATTAGCTGGGTGTGGTGGTATGTGCCTGTAGTCCCAGCTACTTGGGAGGCTGAGGGTGCAGTGAGCTGAGATTGCACCACTGCACTCCAGCCTGGAAACAGAGTGAGACTCCATCTCAAAAAAAAAAAAAAAAAAAGAAAAAGAAAAAGAAAAATTAGCTGGGTTGGTGGCGCACCTGTAGTTCCAGCTACTCAGGAAGCTGAGGCAGGAGAATTGCTTGAACCCGGGAGGTGGAGGTTGCAGTGAGCTGAGATCGCACCACTGCAGTCCTGCCTGGGCAACACAGTGAGACGCTGCCTCAAAAAAAAAAAAAAAAAAAAAAAGATTCCTCAGACCCAGGAGGCAGACACCGGCAGTGGGGAGTCCATCCCATGGGGCTGCTGGCCTGGGCTTAGCAGGTGCCATGTCCAAACCAGACTCTAAAGGGCTGGGTCATGGGCCTTGGTAGAGGGCTGGGACACCTGGGGTTGGGGGAGGGCACCATAATCTAATCCTCACAAAGATGCCACTGGAGTGGGGGCCAGGAGACCCAGGGCCTGGACAGACTGGAGCAGTGAGCAGAGGTCTCAGACAGGCTGGCCTGGACCCTCACGATGGCCCCATCCCACTGAGTACAGGCTCCACACCAGATACTGCCCACTCTGCCCTTTGCAGGGACCTGCTGGTGGCCTCTGGGCAGGGACTCTGCCCCTCTGAGTTCTGTCTCCCAGAGGCCTTGGCATCCCACCCTCTACCCCTGGGCTGGTGGAAGGAGCCAGGGGGACACATGAAGGCTCTCAGAGCAGAAGCGGCCGGCGTAGTCCTCACAGTGAGGGCCAGGCACACCGCACGGGGGGTTCTAGGCTCTGGGGTACGAGGTCCCGTAGAGTCCCCCAGCACTGCTCCTGCTGAGCCTGGGATACCAGCCCGGGGATGGAGCCTGAGGGGTCCACAGAGGCCTTTCTCGTGGGAGTGGAAGGGAGGCTTTGCGTTGTCTGTGTTGGAGATCATCCCTCACTCTAGAGCTGTGCTGCAGCCAATACTAGGGTATGGGGTGGCTGTGTTAGGAGGGAGGAGATGATTTCACTGTAAGTGTGCAGCTTATTTAGGAAAAGTGTAAAGCGTCCTCGAAAACTTGCCAGCCAGCTGGACGCTGGGGGAGGCTCTGCTTCTCCAGGCAAGGATGTGGCAATGCCCGACAGGACGGCGGGCCTTCTCCTGAGGCGCGTGGTTCTGCCACCGGCACATCCCCAGGCCTTCGCAGAATGGAGGCCCAGGGTGCACAGAGCAGGGAAAGTGCTGCTGGCCACACCCCCTTGGCCAGGATACCCCCACCCCAGCCCTCTGTGGGTGTCTGGACCAGGATCTGCTCCTCGGAGGACCCCCACAGGGCTCCCACCCTGCTAGTCTGAAATCTGCTCCCTCCTGTACGACCCTGTGACCCTGTCATGGGACTTCATCCCAAGTCACCTCACCCTGGCTCCTCCACCATTAAGGTCCACGGTGTCCCCATGGGCAGCCAGAAGCCATCCAGAGGGTGGGGCATCTGGAGAGTGTTTGGAAAGCCGGGCCCCATTCCTCATACCTCACCAGGTGCCGGCAATGGATACAGATGGAAGCATCCACAGAGCGGCCATCCAGACAGTGGAGGAAAATCTGGATGGATTCCTTTCTGGTTTGGGAGCGGGGAAGGCTTCCTGAGCACCATGCAAAGCCAAGATCATTGCTCTCACTACTTACAAACTGAAATCTTCTGCAACAAAAACAACAAACATCGTTGGTAAAGTGTAAACGGATGCTGTCAACTGGAAAGAAACATTTGGCAGGTCACATGAGAAACAGACCCAGTTTCCTGGATATTTGCAGGCGTCTTGGAAAAAGAGAAGAGGAAGGCCAAAGACCCCAAAGAAACAGAGTGAAGGGACCTGTGATTCCTTTGTGAACACCACTACCCCATGATGAAGGGGAATCGAGGTAGAAGGGAGGATGCCACTGCTGGTTTTCAGATGGAGAGAGTGTCCTGAGGATCTGGGGCCCAGTGTGATCACAAGGGTCTTGAAATGTGCAAGGTCAGGCAGGAGCCTCAGAACATGGAGAGGCAACAGGGGAAAGCCTTGTCCGCCACTACTGGCTTTGGGGATGGAGGCAGCTATGAGATAAGGGTCTCAGGCAGCATTTGAAGCTGAAGGCAAGGAGATGGATTTCTCATTGAGAGCCTCCAGGCAGCAACACAGTCCTGGGGCACATGCGTTCCAGCCGGTGAGACCCCTGTTGGACTTCTAGCCGCAGAACCGTCAGGTCCGATACTGGAGTTTATAGCCACTTGGTTTGTGCGAATTGGCTGCGGCAACCACAGGAACCTCACGTGGGGTCTGCACACACAGTTCACAGGAAGGGAAATTAAAATGACCTCTCATGTACAGAGGATCCTCAGTCTCATAACAGGGAAACGCAAACTTCTTGGGGAGAGAGGCAAAAAGCAACACACCCTGGGCCAGGCATGGTGGCTCATGTCTGTAATCCTAGCATTTTGGGAGGCCGAGGCAGGTGGATCACTTGAGGTCAGGAGTTTGAGACCAGCCTGGCCAGTATAGTGAGACCCCGTCTCTATTAAAAATACAAAAATTAGCCGGGTGTGGTAGCATGTGGCTGTAATCCCAGCTACTCAGGAGGCTGAGGCATGAGAATTGCTTGAACCCGGGAAGCAGAGGTTGCAGTGAGCCAAGATCACGCCACTGCACTCCAGCCTGGGCAACAGGGTGAGACTCAATCTCAAAAAAAAAAAAAAAGGCAACACGCTCTGGCGGCAAAGTTTTGTTGAACAGGCATCTGGGCACTACAGGCAGGGAACAATTAGTACCTGGCTGCAGAGGGCAGAGTGACCCCATTGACCAGGTCACAGATGCATTTATGCTGTGACAGAGATGTCCCTCCGGGCCAGGGCAGCGCAGCATGCTCCTGACACAGCTTGGCCTGTGCCATGAAGAAGGCAGACAGCCACAGGGGGGTTTGTCCAAAGATACACAAGGCATGGGAGAAACCAACCCCAGGCTGACCCACTGGGGTGGGACAGGTAAGGGGGGAAGGGCAGCAAGCCAGACTCCTCCCAACACGCTTTGTATTTTTGAACTATTTGGAGTCGCTCTGTATTGGAACATTTTCTGCTCAAAACACAGGGACTGGTCTGCCATCAAGTAACGGTATTGGAGCCAACCTTCTCTGGGGGCAGATTGGGCCACTCAGGAGCTCACAAGCCCTCCTCAGCCCTGCAGGTACCTGCCTGGAGGGGCCTCTGCACAGGGCATTCCTGGGTGGGCAAAATCAGCCACACTGGCCTGGAGGGAAGCTGGGGAGGGGGGAATTGCGGCTGTGTATCACAGAGGAAGACAGCAGCACTGCCACTGGGGCTGACCTGGAAGGTGCGTGGGGCTCTGGGGTAGACCCAGCCCTGGCACACAGGGCTTCAGGCACTGGAGACCTCACCTAGCAAACCCCGCACACACAGATGGAGACGGAGTCTTTAGTGTACAGGGGTCGATGAGACCCCTGCAGGAGAGGGACTGCATCTTGGCCACCCGTTGCGTCTCAGCCCCCTACTTCCTGCCCCTGCCTGGCTGTGCAAGCTCTCCTCTCCCTACATCTGCCTCCCACTGTTCCTACACCCCAAGTATGGAAAGGTCCCCTCTCCAGGGCCCCCGAGGACTGGAATCCACATTCGCACCTACGGCCTTGAGTGGTGCTGGGCATACAGCCCACTAGACGATCTTCCTCCCTGGTTTAGGCACCTCGGGCACCCAACCCTGCAGAGAGCAACACGCTCAGCTGGGGGACTGAGGACTCCCCTGAGGCTGTGGGTGCTTGTCACTTGCAGAAGGGCACCTGGAGGGATGGGCGTGGGCCCTGTGCCTCCTTGACAGGCCCATAGGTGGGGATTTGTGTGTTGGGACCATAAGCTCTGACTGCAAACAGAATTTTAAAAACCCCACTCACAGAGAGCTAAGCTGACAGCTTCCTAGCTCCCAGAAAGAAGAGCTGAGCTGTGTGAAGGCTGCAGGCACTGTGCCGAGCACTGTCCCTGCTGAGGGGAAGTGCATCGTGTCCTGGCCCACGAGCCGAACCTGGGTCACAAAGGTTTCCACAGGCTCCCGGTGCAGCATTGAGGAGTGGGCGCGTCTGGCTGCGGTCACCAAGCTGGAGCAGGGAAGCTGCTAGGGCTCCTGGATGCTGCCTGGATTTGTCTGCCACCTACCTGCCCCTGGATCTCTGCACCCACCTACTAGCCTGATGACAATGTTGCCTGACATGGTTGGTGCCTTGAGCACCAGGAGAATGCAGAGCTCCATTTTTTTTTTTTTTGGAGACAGAGTCTCACTCTGTCGCCCAGGCTGGAGGGCAGTGGCACGATCTCGGCTCATTGCAATCTCCACCTCCCGGGTTCAAGAGATTCTTCTGCCTCAGCCTTCAGAGTAGCTGGGATTACAGGTGCCCACCATCACACCCAGATAATTTTTGTATTTTTAGTAGAGATGGGGTTTCACCATGTTGCTCAGGCTGGTCTCAAACTCCTGACCTCAGGTGATCCACCCGCCTTGGCCTCCCACAGTGCTTGGATTACAGGCATGAGCCACCGTGCCGGGTCGCAGAGCTCCTCTTTATTCAGTGATTCATGAGTTAAATTAATCATGTCATCAACCAGGTGGGCCCAATTTCATAATTAATGAATTTCAAATGAATTTAACTCATTTCCTGTAGATGGGCATTTAGGCTTTTTTTTGGGGGGAGGGGACAAGAGTCTCACTCTGTCACCCAGGCTGGAGTGGAGCAGCACGATCACGGCTCACTGTAGCCTCAACCCCCCAAGGCGCAGGTGATCCTCCTGCCTCAGCCTCCCGAGTAGCTGGGACTACAGGTGCATACCACCATGCTCGAGTAACTTTTGTATTTTTAGCAGAGACAGGGTTTTGCCATGTTGGCCAGGCTGCATTTTTTTTTTTTTTTAAGACGGAGTTTTGCTCTTGTTGCCCAGACTGGAGTGTAATGGCATGATTTCGACTCACTGCAACCTCCCGGGTTCAAGCGATTCTCCTGCCTCAGCCTCCTGAGTAGCTGGGATTATAGGCATGCGCCACCATGCCAAGCTAATTTTGTATTTTTAGTAGAGATGGGGTTTCTCCATGTTGGTCAGGCTGGTATCGAACCCCCAACCGTAGGTGATCCGCCCGCCTTGGCCTCCCAAAGTACTGGGATTACAGGCGTGAGCCACCGTGCCCAGCCTGCATTTTTAAAATCTGATGAAGTTGTGCCAATAGTGCCTGAACACGGACGTCTCTGAGTGGCTCCAGTCCTGCAGGGACACTCTGCAGAGGCTGCACTGGAGGGGCTCCTGTTACGGCTCCGGGCGCTCTGCAGAGTGGGCTGAGACGTCAGGCACTTGAGGAAGTGTGTCTTTATATATTCATTACTTTATAATTATTAAGTGATGTGTTTGTCTGATGCATCTTTTATGTGTTTTTTTTTTTTTTTTTTTTTTTTTTTTTTTTTTTTTGAGACGGAGTCTCGCTCTGTCGCCCAGGATGGAGTGCAGTGGCGGGATCTCGGCTCACTGCAAGCTCCGCCTCCCAGGTTCACGCCATTCTCCTGCCTCAGCCTCCCAAGTAGCTGGGACTACAGGCGCCCGCCACTACGCCCGGCTAATTTTTTGTATTTTTAGTAGAGACGGGGTTTCACCGTTTTAGCCGGGATGGTCTCGATCTCCTGACCTCGTGATCCGCCCGCCTCGGCCTCCCAAAGTGCTGGGATTACAGGCGTGAGCCACCGCGCCCGGCCTTATGTGTTTTTTTTTAAAGAAGTACTTTTAAATACAAAAGCGTCAAGCTTGGCAGTCATAATTCAATTGGATTTTCATAATTTACTTACTTTTTGTAGTGATGGGGTTTTGCTATGTTGCCTAGGCTGGTCTCGAACTCATGGGCTCAATCAAGTGATTCTCCAGCCTCAGCCTCCCAAGCAGCTGGGATCACGGGTGTGCCATTGTGCTAGGCTTTGAAATTCTGTAAATTTCACTTTGGGAGGCCAAGGCGGGTGGATCATGAGGTCAGGACACGGAGACCATCCTGGCTAACACAGTGAAACCCTGTCTCTACTAAAAAAACACAAAAAATTAGCAGGGCGTGGTGGCGGGTGCCTGTAGTCCCAGCTACTTGGGAGGCTGAGGCAGGAGAATGGCATGAACCTGGGAGGCGGAGCTTGCAGTGAGCCAAGATAGCACCACTGCACTCCAGCCTGGGTGACAGAGCGAGACTCCTTCCCAAAAAACAACAACAACAAAAAAGAAACTTTGTAAATTTATGACTGTAACCTCTTTCAAAGAGACTAGGAATCTTAAGAAAATAAAATGGTGCTTGGCCGGGCGCGATGGCTCACGCCTGTAATCCCAGCACTTTGGGCGGCTGAGGCGGGCGGATCACGACATCAGGAGATCGAGACCATCCTGGCTAACACGGCGAAACCCCCTCTCTACTAAAAATACAAAAAATTAGCCGGGCATGGTGGCGGGCGCCTGTAGTCCCAGCTACTCGGAAGGCTGAGGCAGGAGAATGGCATGAACCTGGGTGGCGGAGCTGGCAGTGAGCCGAGATCGCGCCACTGCACTCCAGCCTGGGCGAAGGAGCGAGACTCCGTCTCAAAAAAAAAAAAAAAAAGAAAGAAAATAAAATGAGTGCTTTTCTCTGTTTGTTTTTCAGAAATGGGAGGTGGTGGGGGGAGTCTCACTATGTTGCCCAGGGCTGGTCTTGAACTCCTGGGCCTCAAGCATCCCAAAGTGCTGGGATTACAGGTGTGAGCCACCACACCTGGCCCCAATTAGTGCTTTAAAAGCTCTCTAAACCCTTACATCACAAAGAATATCCCTCCTCCCCCTCCAGAAAAGAAAGGGGTGGCTGGACAGTATCGACCTCACCAGATGTGCTACACCAAGGCCAGAAAGAGCCGCTGAAGTGGCTTGGACATGGGCCATGCCAGCTGCACGTGGAAGGCCATTCCTCCCGGCACTCATTTCCAGTGTTTCATATCTGCTTGTCCTGGGTACAGGAACCAGGGCATGTTTCAGAGGTTCAGAGCCAAGTACTTTTGGGGTCTGGGTACTGCACAGAGAGGGCCCAGGCACTTGTTCTGCTTGCCGTGTGCCCCACCATGCCTGCGCTGAGGACCAGCCTCAGTCCATCCTGCCCAGAAGGCTGGGAGCACACATGGGGCCTGGAAGCCAGAAGGCCTCTCAAGAGACCCTGCTTGCAGCCCTGTGGGAGGGGTTGGATGGGGGCTGGGGTCTCCAGATAAAAAGGTAATTCGAGAAACCCTCCCAGGCAGCTGGGAGGTGGGAGGCTATGGCATTAACCCCAGGGATTGTCCTTCCTGAAGGTCTGGTCTCCCTCTGGAGGGCAGGATGCTTTTGCAGACATCATCCTCACCCCCCTACCCTGTTCCCATCCTCCCTAGCACCTGTCCTGGCTGGTAATTGTCTAGTTATTTGTAATGTAAGCTCCAGGAAGCCAGTGTGCAAATGGGAGGTGCTCCACTCACCAAAGGCTTCCCAGTCTTGGGCCCCAGGCCAGGGGGGTCTGGAGGAAGGCTTGCACCACAGGGTCCTCCACCAGGCCATGGAACTGGAAGCTGAAGGCCCACACAAGGCCACTGCCTGGGAGAACAAGCATAGGCAAGTGTGCCCGTCATGGACTGTCACAGAGCGGAGGGAAAAGAGGCCACGGGAAGGACCAGCCTTGGAAGGCCCAACAAAGGAGTTGTGATGTCAACCTGAGGGTGTCTGGAAGAGTTTTAAGCAGTTCAGAAGTTTGCATTTTAGGAACATCACTCCGAGGTGACAGCCGCTAGGATGTCAGCCATGGCTGTCTCTGGGGGTGGTGCCCCTGTGTGCTTTTTTTCTTTTTGCTGATTTGTATATTTCCTGCAGTGAATGTGGTTTACCTGTGCATGTCACTTTCCTAGGGCTGCCATAAGTCACCACGAACTTGGTGGCTTCAAACCACAGAAGTGGGTTCCCCTACAGCTCTGGAGGCCAGAAAGTGGAGACCAAGGTGTGGACAGGGTTGTGCCTCCTCCAAAGGCTCTGGGAGAGGATCTGCAGGGCCTCTCCCAGCTTCTGGCTCCTCCTGGAGATCCCTGGCATGGGCACCGCTCCGAATCTCTGCCTGGGTCTCCTACGGCCTCTTCCCCCGGGTGCCTGTGTCCTCTTGTCTTCTTGTAAGGATGTCAGTCATTGGATTTACGGCCTACCCTAAATTCATGATGATTTCATCTTCAGATCTTTAACTCAATTACATCTGCAAAATCTCTTATTCCAAATAAGGTCACCTTCCGAATGTCTAGGTGGTTGTGAAGTTTTGGGGCACCACCGTCCACCACACTACAGTGAATAAAAAAATAAAGTTTAAAGGGAAACTAAAAAATCATTCTAGGGCTGGGTGCCATGGCTCACACCTGTAATCCCAGCACTTTGGGAGGTTAAGGGGGGAGGACAGTTTGAGCCCAGGAGTTCAAGACCAGCCTGGGCAACACAGGGAGACACAATCTCTACAAAAAACTCCACCTCTACTAAAAATAAAAAAATGAGCTGGGTGGTGGCGTGCGCCTGTAATCCCAGCTACTTGGGAGGCTGAGGTACAAGAATTGTAGTGCGTGGAGATCGTGCCACTGCACTCCAGCCCGGGGTTAGGAGTGAGACTCTGTCCCAAAAAAATAAAATAGACAAAAGACACGAAGAGAAATTTCTCCAAAGATGTACAAACGGCCAACAAGCACATCAAAAGATTCTCAGCATCATCAGTCATTAGGGTACTGCAAACCATGTTTTGTCACTATTCACGGGCATTAAATGTGCTGACTCACGCACAAAACATTCCATAAAGAATATCAGTGGGGGTACAGGAAAGGGTCTCACTGGAGGTGCTGGGGTCTTTAACCAGAAAGGCAAAGCCTTTGCCACTTTACTATGCCACTCCAGAGTTGCGGCCGGCTTACAGAAGCACCGTCCATAGATGCAGAGTTCAGACACTCCAATCTGCGATCAGAGCTCCTGCAGGAGATGGGGGTGGTGGGGGGGAGGGTCTCCCGGCTCTAGCATCTGAGATAAGTACATCCTCCCACGGGCAAGTGAAAAACAAATCTTAAAGCCGGATACGGGCCGGGCGTGGTGGCTCACGCCTGTAATATCAGCACTTTGGGAGGCTGAGGTGGGCAGATCACCTGAGGTCAGGAAATCGAGACCAGCCTGACCAATATAGTGAAGCCCCGTCTTTACTAAAAATACAAAAATTAGCCAGGCGTGGTGGCACACGCCTGTAATCCCAGCTACTCGGAAGACTGAGACACGAGAATCACTTCAACCTGAGAGACAGGTTGCAGTGAGCCGACAACACACCATTGCACTCCAGCCTGGGTGACAAGTGCGAAACCACGTGAAAAAAGAAAGAACAACAACAACAACAAAAAACAAGGGCCAGATAGGGTGTCATGCACGGGTAGTCCCAGCTACTTGGGAGGCTGAGGTCGGAGGATCGCTTGAGCCCCAAATTCGAGAACAGCCTGGGCAAAACCCTGCCTCTTAAAAACACCCCCAAATCGTAATAACAAATATAAATCCTTGCACTCAAATGGACAGTTCATTACGTGGTACCGCGTCCTGTTGCGGATCAAGGCCACCTGAGTTGGTTAGGACAGCTAAGCGGGACGTCCAGGGCTGCTCGCCAGCGGTGGGTCTAGATATGAACTTGTGCTTGAGCAGCCCAGCGTCTTACAACTCTGCTGTGAGGACGGCTGGCTGATTATCAGGCCCAGAATCACGGGCTTAGAAACATTAACAGGAAGTACGGTACCGAAAAGTGGAAACTTTAAGGTGCTTATTATTTTCCTCCTGCCTTGTTCCTGTATGTGCCGCTTCACCGGTATCACGTCCTGGGTCTGGTGGGACCCCGGCCTGGCTGCCCTACCGGAAGCTAAGAAAACTCCTCCCCCAGGGGTGGCCGTCGGGCCTCAGCCCGGTCTACAGCGGGAGAACGTGGCCCATGCTACGGGTAACTGGTTGGGCCCCTGGTGCAGGTCTAGGGCCTGCAGCCAGGCTCGGGGCCTCCGGGGGTGCCCGCTGGCTGGGGTCTGAGGCGGCTTCTCTCGGGTACGGGAAGGCGGACTGCTGTGCAGCTGCGGGCTCGCTCGGGAAACCCAAAGTCACACGAAAGCGGCAGCACCACCGCGGCTGGGATATCGTCTCCCAACATGGGGAGACAAAATGGCCGCCACGCCCCGAGCCGAAATTACATCCGGGCTCCGCGACACGCCCGAACCACAACTCCCAGAATGCTCTGCATCGACAGCGGGAGACGAGACGCGCTCGGGCGTCGCTTTGCTGCCGCTAGGCCCTGTGCTCCTCCCCGCAGCGGAAGGCCTACGAATACGCGGTGTCTTACGTCGCTTCCTCCGTTCTTCGTTGCACTGGCCAACGGGACGCTTAGTCTTTCGGCAACGGGGTGAAACCTTCCTTGTGCCTGAAAAAACGGTACTTCGCGGTGTGGCTTCGGCGCCTGCGCAAAAGGCCGCGGGGCGCACTCCAGTTCCCGGCAGGCCCCGCGACGCGCGTTTGCGTGCTGACGCACGCAGTTAGTCGTGCTGACGTGCAGCGCGGCCCAGGCGGGGTGCGAGTGGCGCAGTTGGAGCCCGTTGCGGCCCCTGAGGAAGCGAGGAGGCGTCGGCGTCGGCTGAGGCGGGCGGACCGGCGAGGCGAGGCGGCGGCCCCAGGCCCGAGGGACTCGGGAGCTCGAGCAGCGGCGGCGGCAAGACCTCTCCCCCTCGGAGGCGGCGGGCGGAGGCGGCGGGTGAGAGGGTGAGGGAGCCAGCGAGCCGGGTGGGGGAGGGGCGGCGGCCCCGGCGCGAGGCCAAAGCGCGCGGAGAACTGCCCAGGCCGCCGAGCTCCTCCGCGCGCACGCGCGCTCGACGCCCTTCGCTGGCGCGGACGCCCTCGCCTCCCTTCCCCCTTCCCGCCGTTCCTGTCGCGCGCGGGCTTCACCCCCCCCCGCCCCTCCCCCATGACAACGGCGTTCGCAGCCGCCTGTACTCGGGTTCGCGAGCGCCCTTGGTGAGGGGGGAGGGCGCGCGCCTCGGCTTCACTCCTCCCCCCAACATGTGCCGCCGAGGTGGCCTTCCTGCAGCTGCCGTTTTCGGCCCTTAAGTGGCGGGGAAGGGGCGGCGGCGGGGGGCTTGCTCCTGGACCCTTGCCCCCGGTTCCAGATCTCCTTTCCTCGGGCTTCTCTTCGGCGTTGGGCTGCCCGTGTCGGGGGCCTCCCAGACTGCGGGACGCCGCGCAGCCCCCTCCCCCATTCCGCAAGGCCGAAAATAGGCCCCCGGCGCTGCGGGGAGGGCCTTGAACTTCGTGGGCCGGATTTAAATGGTTTAGGATTCCCGGCTATCAGCCTTTGAGTTGTTAGTGGCGGGGAGAAACCCCAAATCTTAAAAACTGTGAAGAAAGTGAACGTGTTCAGTTTACATTTGTAAGGTAGACCGTGCGTTCCCTTTTTACACTTTTTCAACGTCTCCCGAGAATTCGTGTTCAAACTAAGGAGGCTTTTGGAGACCTTCGTTGGGAAGAAAACGCCAGACTCATATATAAGTTTTCTGGTTGGTTTCAGGCGTTCTTTGGCACACAGCTCTTCTGAAGCTTGGTTTCCACTCGGCTTCAGTTAGGACGAATCTGGATCAGAATTTCAGAGTGTTGTGTTGTCTTTCATCCTAAGTGCGTGGGCTTAGGGCTCTTCTAAAGCTACTATTTTAGCTTTCTGGGTTCTTTGTGTCCACTCAGCCGCTCTGGAGCGCCCCGGTGCTGAGCTGGCTGTGCTTGCTGATGTCCATTTTTTTCGACAACCCTTGTCTCCCCTTTTTCTCCCCTTTTGGTACCGTTTTCTTTTTTGCATATTTTACTGTTGAATTCAAATATATCTTTCTACTTCATTGTTAGCTTACCACTCGGATAATTTCCCAACAGAAAAGGGTGTTTTTGTCTTCCTTTGTACTTTTTACTTTCTGCTTTTAACTTGGGTAACTTTTGCATATCCACTGTCTATGGCCCCCACTTTAAGAGTTTTGTAATATCGTTTGGTTTGGTGATTTGTGTGTGGTGTTGATCTTCCTACTTTCTGTGTCTTAACACACCCCTTAGATGCCGTGGGGTCGTCGTCTTTTTTTGTGGGGTGGACTAGGTGGCTCATTCCCTAAAAGTTCTCCGAAACATTGTGACCTAATATCCTTTGCTTAGCACCTACTGGTTTTTCTTTTTTTTTTTTTTCCGAGACGGAGTCTAGCTCTGTTGGCAGGCCGGAGTGCAGTGGCGCGATCTCGGCTCACTGCAACCTTCCGCCTCCCGGGTTCAAGCGATTCTCCTGCTTCAGCCTCTGGAGTTGCTGAGATTACAGGCAATCGCCGCCGCCCAGCTAATTTTTGTATTTTTGGTAGAGATGGAGTTTCACCGTGTTGGCCAGGCTGGTGTCAATCTCCTGATCTGGTGATCCGCCCACCTCGGCCTCCCAAAGTGCAGGTGTTACAGGCGTGAGCCACCGTACCCGGCCTGGTTTTCCTTTCTTAAGGAGTGGGGGGATTTTTGTGTGAGGTGGTATGGAAGTGTGGGTGAATGGTTAAGCTGAAGAATTAAGTGCAGGTCAAAAACATGCTGCAGGGGAAGCAGAAATTAAGTGGGGTAGGGGAGAGGCGAAGAAGGACCTAGTTTTAAACCGTGAGGAGGATTGGTACTAGAAGATGAAAATGAGGATTGGGGTGTAGAGAAATTGATTTTTTGAGCCATACAGTTTTTCATTTTTTCCTGGATTTCTGCTTGCCTTATCCAGGTTTAGCCTCTTCTGTCACCTTCTGCTTTCAATATTGGGTCTGCTACTGGGCTTGGGTAGGGACCCATCCTTAGGCGCATGCGCTAGTATATTTTTCCAAACATTTGTATGATGCTTCTTCATTCTGGAATTTTCTAAATGCATCCTTCCCTTCTATCCAGTTCTTTTACATCTTTGATTACTCTCTCCGCTTTACGTATTCCTTAGGGTTTTTTCTTAGTAGTATTTTCTCATATATGCATGTTCTAGGAAACTATCTTGGAGAGGATGAGGGTGAGAAAGAGAGTATATGTAATAGGAGAAAGGAATAGAGTATGTGTAGCCAAGGAATCTAACCAGGAAAGCTGGGACTTGAGAATTTTTCAGAATCACGTTAGGGTTGGGACAAGTTGAAAGGCTAGAACCTGGGAGGAGGCATGGGGTTAACACAGGAGAGAAGGAAGAGGCAGGGCTGAGAGAGAAAAACTAGGAAGTGCTATCCAGGGGATTGGTGGGGAAAGCCAACGGTTGGACATTAATGAAAGTGGGGTGTAGAGAGGGTTTCTACATAGATTTAGGGCAAGGTATATGGAGAAGGTATGGGAACGGTTGGAACAGAGGAGGCTGGTTTGATGTGTTTAAATAGAGCAGAGTTGAAAACAGGTAATATTTGACAGCTGGCAAGACAGGGAGGAACTGCAAATTGTTGTAAATCCTATTGAGAGGAAGGAAATTGAAGGAATAAAATATCAGGATAGTTGATAGGATCTTTAAATATTTGGAATCAAGGAAATGGCCCTTACCTGGGAGGTGAAGTATATGACGATTATCCAAGGTTCATGTGTGTTTCTGATGTGCATGCTGGCCTTTAGTTGGGGTGTGAGGCTGCACATTCTGAACCAACTAGTCTGCTGTTCAGATACCTAGGGGCTGTGTAGTTTATTTCATATTCGTATAGGGTGGTCTGAAATCCTTAGGTAAGTTTTTGGGAGAGTCTTTGGACATGGACTAGAGGCCGTTGGGTGCCACAGATCTGTGTCTGGTGTTTGTTGTGACCAGGAGGCTTTGGTTGGTTACCAGAGGTTAGGAATTAGAGTAGTTGGTAAACACACCACTTGTGCATTTTGGGGCCAAAGGAGAACAAAAAGGGACAGTGTGGAGAGATTTTAGAGGAACAAGATCCTTGTTTGCCTAGGGTGGAAAAAGAAGAAAATTTAGGTGTAGGGAGGGATTATTTAGAATTCTGTGCAAGGGCATTGAGAGAAAGGCTGTAAGAACTGGGCTGTGATTTGGTAGAAAGGAAATTTGGAAGGGCAAAGAAGTGGTTTTCTTGGGAGACCAGGAGGATGGTGGAGCATTATACAGCGAAGACTTAGTGTGAAGATCAATGTTGAATTAGGGATGAAGGAGAGCAGGGACTTGGGTGTGGGGCGGTAAGTGGTTAGTTTGGGGCCAGGGGCCTGACCCGTGTCTCCCCGCTCCCCCTCAGGAGCGGTGGTGCCCCCCCCGGGCACGGGGCCATGTACAACGGGATCGGGCTGCCGACGCCCCGGGGCAGCGGCACCAACGGCTACGTCCAGCGCAACCTGTCCCTGGTGCGGGGCCGCCGGGGTGAGCGGCCTGACTACAAGGGAGAGGAGGAACTGCGGCGCCTGGAGGCTGCCCTGGTGAAGCGGCCTAATCCTGACATCCTGGACCACGAGCGCAAGCGGCGCGTCGAGCTGCGATGCCTCGAGCTGGAGGAGATGATGGAAGAGCAGGGGTGAGGGAGAGCTGGGGGAGAGTCAAGCACTGAATGAGTGCAGAGCTGGGGGTGTTAGGTGGGATGTATAGGGAGCTTAGGGTGGTTGAAAGAGGCCTGGCAAAGAGTTGTGGTAGGGGAGGAGGCAGATGAGCTCTAGAGAAGTGAAAACAGTTAAGGGACAGTGCAGAGTGGGAAATGAGAAGGCTGTGTGTCTGGGGCATAGATGGGAGCCTGAGGTACTAAATGGAGGCACGTGGGAGAAGGGAGGGGCCATTGAGGAACAAAAATGTGTTTTAAGGAAGAGATGGGAAAGCAGAGACCAGGTAGAGGAGCTAGGTAAGCTGATAGGTGTTGTCATTGGTAGAAAAGAAGAAGATAAATGGATGTAAGGATTGAGGCCTTGGAAAGTAGCATAGGCAGGAAAAGAGGAATTAGAAGAATACGTGAAGAAGTGGGAATCATGGGCTGGGAAGGGAAATTTTGGAAAAGGAGCCCATTAAGGCAGAAAACTCTTTTAGAGCAGTGGTTTTAAACTTCAGCAATGGTGATCCTTTTATACAGTATCCCTTACTTTGGAATCCCAGGAAGTAAAAGGCACATTCTTGTTGAAGTTGGGGAGGAGCACTTGGAACCCTGCTTGCTTAACTTTTTTCTTTTGGTCCCTGAGGTGTAGCATATTTAAAATCCACTGTTCTAGAGGGAGTAGTAAGTAGAGGGAAGAAAGATGATGGGAAAAGATCAGACAGAAGGGACTTTTGGGTGAGCGAAAAGTTCTGTGTGCGCATGGAGAGGGAGGGGCCCCTTTTGGGAATGAGGGAAATGGAAACCTGGGACTGGGGAAAGTGTCCTGTCGAGCTTAACCCTGAAGGGATTTGTTCTTCAGGTACGAGGAACAGCAAATTCAGGAAAAAGTGGCGACCTTTCGACTCATGTTGCTGGAGAAGGATGTGAACCCTGGGGGCAAGGAGGAGACCCCAGGGCAGAGGCCAGCGTGAGTGTTGCGCTCTCCCTCGATGACTCTGGACTCTACTCTGGCTGCTGGCTGCTGCTGCTGTCCTTTTCCTTACGTGGGACTTCCTCCCTGCTTTCGTCTGCCTTTCCCATGCCTTATTTGGCTCCTGCTTATACTTGTGTTCTGAATATGGCTCTGTCCTTTATATTTCCTTCAGACTTTTGCCCTTCTTTTCTCTAGGGTCACGGAGACTCACCAGTTGGCAGAATTAAATGAGAAGAAGAATGAAAGACTCCGTGCTGCCTTTGGCATCAGTGATTCTTACGTAGATGGCAGCTCTTTTGATCCTCAGCGTCGTGCCCGAGAAGCTAAACAACCAGCTCCTGAGCCTCCCAAACCTTACAGGTATACAAGGCCAAGAAACCACTGTCAGCTTCTTTTCTTGATTGTAAGCTCCATGCTCTATTTTTGTCTTTTTGCGGGCTGGTTTCTTCCCAAACTCTTCAGATTTTGTTCTTCTGAAGTTGAGGTGTCCAAAAAAATGTGTCCAAGGGTTAGTCACAGTGGGTCACGCGCGTAATCCCAGCATTTTGGGAAGCTCAGGCAGGAGATCACTTGAGGCCAGGAGTTTGAGACCAGCCTGGGCGATGTAGTGAGACCCCATCTCTACAAAAAGAAAAAAAGCTGGTTGGTGGCACATGCCTGTAGTCCAGGCTGCTTGGAGAGGTGGAGGCAGGAGGGTCTTTTGAGCCCACAAGTTGGAGGTTACGGTGTGAGCTGTGTTGCTGCCACTGCACCCCACCTGAGGCAACAGAGCGAGACTCTTATTTTTTTATTTTTATTACTATTTTTTTAGACTCTGTCTTTTAAAGAAAAGAAAGGAATGTTTGTTCTACCACCCATCTCTGCTGCTTTTCATTTTTCCCTAGCCTTGTTCGGGAGTCTAGCAGTTCTCGCTCACCAACCCCAAAGCAGAAGAAGAAGAAAAAGAAGAAAGATAGAGGACGGTAAGTTAGTTGGAAAGTGACTCTGATAGCCAGAGGACCAATCCTGTGGTGTACCTTTCTCTCTGGAAGTGGACAGTTCTGGCTTCCACAAAGCAGGAGATAGTTGTCAGGGAGGAGGGAGTTACCATTGAGGCCTCAACTAGAAGAAATACCTGAGTTTCTCAGTGGGGAAGTGTTGAGTTTGCAGTTCTGCTAATTAAGATTGGCCAGCAGCATTTTGGATTCTGGAATTTTCTTTTTCATTTTGAGGTTTGTTGACTTAAGGAGTTACTTGTGCTTGTTGGAGAAAGAAGAAATAAGTCCTGGGCTTAGGTCTGGGGCATTAGTGCTATTAGGACATTCAAGTGTTTTAGAAACCTTTTTAGGAGAGAGATTGTAAGTGGGAGGGCCAGGAAAGAAGCCAAGCAGGATGAGCTTGCTTTTGAATCCATCTTTAGCAGGTCAGAGAGCAGCTCTCCTCGACGGGAGAGAAAGAAAAGCTCAAAGAAGAAGAAGCACAGGTATGAGGTGGGAATACTTGAATGACTGGAGAAGGTTTGCTGAATTCAGGCAGAGGTGTTTCTTATGTTTTTTCTTCTCTTTTTTCCAACAGGTCAGAATCTGAGTCCAAGAAACGTAAGCATAGGTAAGAGCTCTTTAACTCATAGGGGGCGCAGTGGCATGTGGAGTGGTGATTTTTTTTTCTTGGAGTGAAGCTCAATTCCTTGATCTTCCTTGTGTCAACACTCCCTCTTTCCATTTCACTTTTGGTTTTATTTCCTTTTTTAAAGAAGTTACTTTTAACAACCTTTCCTTATTTCCCAGGTCTCCCACTCCAAAGAGCAAACGTAAATCTAAGGACAAAAAGCGAAAGCGGTGAGTGAATTTGTGGGGAATTTGCTTAGGAAGTAAGTGAACGCCACCTTAGTGGGAGGGAGTTGAATGAGTTATGTCCCTGACTGGTAAAGGGTTGAGGGATACGTGAGGAGAATCCAGGGCAGGTACAGCAGTACCCTGAGCTGTGGTGGTGGTCTTCCTTCAGGTCTCGAAGTACAACACCAGCCCCCAAGAGCCGCCGGGCCCACCGTTCAACTTCTGCTGACTCTGCTTCCTCCTCCGATACTTCCCGCAGTCGGTAAGGGGTAGTCCAGGAGGAAGGGAGGGAGAGGGAATGATGGGTTAATTAATTTAATATTTATTGAGCGCCCACGGTGTGCTAGGCGCTGCACAGACCATTCGGAAGACACGGTCCCTGCCCTCTAGGAGCTGACAGGCTAAAGCAACAGGATGGACAGACATATACATTTCCCCTTCTCTTTTTTTTTTTGTTTTTGTTTATTTGTTATTTTTGTTTCGTTCTGATGTATATGGACTGCCAGAATAGGGGGGGTGGTGGTTTGTTCGTGGTGTCTGGGGGAGGAAGGAATCCTTACCCTGGCTTCCTTAATCGGGGAAGGCTTCCTGAAGGAGGTGGGCTCAGAGGTGAGTTGTGAATGAAGCGGGTAGGGAGTGGGCTGGGTGGATGGTTTGGGGATGTTTGGGGGAGGTGAGTAAAGGGGTAGAGGGAGAACGCTCTTTGGGATTGTGTTGGGAAAAGAAGAACCAAAGTGGACTGTACTTGCATTTCAGTGAATGATTTGAGTTGTGCGACTAAAGGCTTTTTGGAAGAGGGTTGTCCAGTTAGGAAAGGTGGATGGGAGTTGGGGAGGGGGTTTTCTGTTCTCCCTTTGAGCTGATTTCCTTCCTCTCCCACGTCCTCAATTAACTCCTGCAGGTCTCGAAGTGCTGCAGCTAAAACTCATACAACTGCCTTGGCTGGGCGAAGTCCTTCCCCTGCTTCAGGGCGACGCGGGGAGGGAGATGCGCCTTTCAGTGAACCAGGTACTACCAGCACACAACGGCCTAGTAGCCCGGAGACTGCTACGAAACAGCCTAGCAGCCCTTATGAAGACAAAGATAAAGACAAGAAGGAGGTATGTTCCTGAGTTGGTGATGTTCATTGGATTGCAAATGTATAGATTTAGGATAGACATGTGATGTGAAAGGGAGAGGTAATAACTTATTAAAATAAATAAATTCAGTTTTTTTTCCTGCATTTCTCTCCTAGTTCTCTTACTGCATCTGCAGAACTTTTAGTGTTGTTACTAGACTGAATTGTGAACCCTTTAGAATCAAATCTCACTGGATGTTAGGTTTTATATTGTGTCTTGTTTATACATAGATAGAACTGGAACAAACGTTGTATCTTATCTGTGTACTCCGTATGATGCCTCTAGTTTCTTCTCTTTTTTCATTAAATGCTGGTCATGTCTCACCAAAACTTTTTAATCCATTGCGTTGCCACCAATAGTTTGAATGAAACACTGAAATAGTCTTCAGTAGTCTTCTGTTCCAATTTTAAGCATTAATCATTTCCTCTTGCTTTAGTGATTACAGTCTGAATTCTTGGCCTCTATCATCAATTTTCCATGTCATCCAGGGTTACCTTTCCAAATTACAAGTTGGTTGACCTCAGAAACTTAACTACTTCCTTATTGCTTTTGAATTATATTTAAGGCTTTTAATAGTCTGGTCTTTTTCTCATTTCCTGTACTCTACCCATCCTGGGCTGCTTTTTTACTCTTCACACAAATCATGTTCTCACATCTTTATTCATGCTGTTTCTTTTCGTTTAATAGAGTTATTCTTCAAAGGTGAAGTTGCCATTCGCTTTAGGAAACTGCTTATTTTTCCATTTAAAGATAGTTTTTTTCCATTCTTATAACATTTTGTAGTGGTATTTGTTAAATGTAGTAGTGCATTAGTTATTTGCATTTTGTGTTTCTTTTAGTTTTAAGATTCTGGCTATCCATATATTCATATGTTTTCACCACTGTGCTTTATATGATTCCTTGTTATTGAATGAAAGTGATCGCTTGTGGTCAGAGGGTGTGTAAAAGAAAAGTTATCATTGGAAAGGGTGTTGGGATCTTAGGGGTGATGTGAAGTTTTGGCGTTTATGAATCCCTATCCCTGCTCTCTCTTCCACTCTTAGAAATCTGCAACTCGACCTAGCCCCTCTCCGGAAAGGAGCAGCACAGGCCCAGAACCACCTGCTCCCACTCCGCTCCTTGCTGAGCGACATGGCGGCTCCCCACAACCCCTTGCAACCACCCCCTTAAGCCAGGAGCCAGTGAACCCCCCATCTGAGGCCTCTCCAACTCGGGACCGTTCACCACCTAAGTCTCCCGAGAAACTTCCCCAGTCTTCTTCCTCAGAGAGCAGCCCACCATCCCCTCAACCTACCAAAGTTTCTCGGCATGCCAGCTCTTCCCCAGAAAGTCCTAAACCTGCTCCAGCTCCAGGGTCCCACCGAGAGATTTCTTCTTCTCCCACATCTAAGAATCGCTCACATGGCCGAGCAAAACGGGATAAATCACATTCTCATACCCCCTCCCGTAGGATGGGGAGGTCCCGTAGCCCTGCCACCGCTAAGAGAGGGCGATCTCGGTCTCGAACCCCTACCAAGAGAGGTCATTCTCGATCCCGATCTCCCCAGTGGCGTAGGTCCAGGTCTGCACAGAGGTGGGGAAGATCTAGAAGCCCCCAGCGACGTGGCCGCTCTAGGTCTCCTCAGCGACCAGGCTGGTCTAGGAGCAGAAATACCCAGAGAAGAGGCAGGTCTAGGTCAGCAAGGCGAGGGAGGTCCCACTCTAGATCCCCAGCCACTAGGGGTAGATCTCGTTCTAGAACACCAGCCCGCCGGGGCAGGTCCCGCTCTAGAACACCTGCCAGGCGGAGATCACGATCCAGAACTCCCACCAGGCGTAGGTCTCGGTCTAGAACACCAGCCCGGAGGGGCAGGTCTCGGTCTAGAACACCTGCTAGGCGCAGATCTAGGACCCGATCACCAGTACGACGCAGGTCTCGTAGTAGATCACCAGCCAGGAGAAGTGGCAGGTCACGCTCTAGAACCCCAGCTAGACGTGGCCGCTCACGCTCCAGAACCCCAGCCAGACGTGGCCGCTCACGCTCTAGAACCCCAGCTAGACGCAGTGGTCGCTCACGCTCCAGAACACCAGCCAGGAGAGGGAGGTCTCGGTCTAGGACACCAAGACGAGGAAGATCCCGCAGTAGAAGCTTAGTTAGACGTGGAAGATCTCACTCTAGAACACCTCAAAGAAGAGGCAGATCTGGCTCATCTTCAGAGCGGAAAAACAAATCCAGAACATCTCAAAGAAGAAGCAGGTCCAATTCAAGCCCAGAAATGAAGAAATCTCGCATTTCTTCAAGGCGGAGCAGGTCTCTCTCTTCACCACGGTCCAAAGCAAAATCTCGCTTGTCTTTGAGGCGCAGCCTTTCAGGGTCTTCCCCATGCCCTAAACAAAAGTCACAGACACCACCCAGGCGCAGTCGCTCTGGATCCTCCCAACCTAAAGCTAAATCTAGAACGCCACCCAGACGCAGTCGCTCCAGTTCTTCTCCGCCACCTAAACAGAAATCTAAGACACCATCAAGACAAAGTCATTCCAGTTCATCTCCTCATCCTAAAGTGAAATCTGGAACACCACCGAGGCAAGGGTCCATAACAAGTCCCCAGGCCAATGAGCAATCTGTAACGCCACAGAGACGGAGCTGTTTTGAATCATCACCTGACCCTGAGTTGAAATCTAGGACCCCTTCTAGACATAGCTGCTCAGGGTCCTCTCCTCCTAGAGTGAAATCTAGCACACCTCCCAGACAGAGCCCATCTAGGTCATCATCTCCACAACCCAAAGTGAAGGCAATAATATCACCAAGACAAAGAAGCCATTCTGGCTCCTCTTCTCCAAGTCCTAGTAGGGTGACGTCGAGAACAACTCCACGGCGAAGCAGATCAGTATCTCCCTGCTCCAATGTGGAATCCAGATTGTTGCCAAGATACAGTCATTCTGGGTCCTCCTCACCAGATACCAAAGTGAAACCTGAAACACCGCCAAGACAAAGTCACTCAGGGTCTATTTCACCATACCCCAAAGTAAAGGCCCAAACTCCACCGGGGCCAAGTCTTTCTGGATCAAAGTCACCATGTCCCCAAGAGAAGTCTAAAGACTCACTAGTTCAAAGTTGCCCTGGATCCCTCTCTCTCTGTGCAGGAGTAAAATCTAGCACACCACCAGGCGAGAGCTATTTTGGTGTCTCATCTCTGCAACTGAAAGGACAATCTCAAACTTCACCAGACCACAGATCTGATACTTCAAGTCCAGAAGTGAGACAGAGTCATTCAGAATCACCATCTCTGCAGAGCAAATCTCAAACATCACCTAAGGGAGGTCGGTCCAGGTCTTCATCTCCAGTCACTGAGCTGGCATCCAGATCTCCAATAAGACAAGATAGAGGTGAGTTCTCAGCGAGTCCTATGTTGAAATCTGGAATGTCTCCTGAGCAGAGCAGGTTCCAGTCTGACTCTTCTTCATATCCTACAGTGGACTCGAATTCTCTCTTGGGGCAGAGTAGATTGGAGACTGCTGAATCAAAAGAGAAAATGGCCTTACCCCCTCAGGAGGATGCTACTGCATCACCTCCTAGACAGAAAGACAAATTTAGTCCCTTTCCAGTACAGGATAGGCCTGAGTCTTCACTGGTATTCAAAGACACACTTAGAACCCCGCCAAGGGAAAGAAGTGGTGCTGGGTCATCTCCAGAAACAAAAGAGCAAAATAGTGCATTGCCTACGTCAAGCCAAGATGAAGAGTTAATGGAGGTGGTAGAGAAGTCTGAAGAACCCGCAGGCCAAATCCTGTCTCATTTGTCTTCAGAACTTAAAGAAATGTCCACAAGTAACTTTGAATCATCTCCTGAAGTAGAAGAAAGGCCTGCTGTGTCTTTGACTCTTGATCAGAGCCAGTCACAGGCTTCTTTGGAAGCAGTAGAAGTCCCTTCAATGGCCTCATCTTGGGGTGGGCCACATTTTTCTCCAGAACATAAAGAACTGTCTAACTCCCCACTCAGGGAGAACAGCTTTGGATCACCTTTAGAATTTAGAAACTCAGGCCCACTTGGTACAGAAATGAATACTGGATTTTCTTCTGAGGTTAAAGAAGATTTGAATGGACCGTTTCTTAATCAGCTGGAAACAGATCCATCTCTAGACATGAAAGAACAATCGACAAGATCCTCTGGACACAGCAGTTCTGAGTTATCCCCAGATGCAGTGGAAAAGGCAGGGATGTCTTCAAATCAGAGCATCTCTTCACCTGTGCTTGATGCTGTACCCAGAACACCCTCGAGAGAAAGAAGTAGTTCTGCATCTTCTCCTGAAATGAAAGATGGTTTACCCAGAACTCCATCAAGGAGAAGCAGGTCTGGGTCTTCTCCAGGACTTAGAGATGGGTCTGGGACTCCCTCGAGGCACAGCCTGTCTGGGTCCTCTCCTGGAATGAAAGATATACCTAGAACGCCATCTAGAGGGAGAAGCGAATGTGATTCTTCCCCAGAACCGAAAGCTTTGCCTCAGACTCCTAGGCCGAGGAGTCGTTCTCCATCATCCCCAGAGCTCAACAACAAGTGTCTTACCCCCCAGAGAGAAAGAAGCGGGTCAGAATCATCAGTTGATCAGAAAACTGTGGCTCGGACTCCCCTGGGGCAGAGAAGTCGTTCGGGATCCTCTCAAGAACTTGATGTGAAACCCAGTGCATCCCCTCAGGAAAGAAGTGAGTCAGACTCTTCTCCAGATTCTAAAGCCAAGACAAGAACCCCACTTCGGCAGAGGAGTCGGTCTGGATCATCTCCAGAGGTTGACAGCAAATCTCGACTATCCCCTCGGCGCAGTAGGTCTGGTTCCTCCCCTGAAGTGAAAGATAAGCCAAGAGCAGCACCCAGGGCACAGAGTGGTTCTGATTCCTCTCCTGAACCTAAAGCTCCAGCCCCTCGGGCCCTTCCCAGACGAAGCAGATCAGGTTCATCAAGCAAAGGCAGAGGCCCTTCTCCTGAAGGAAGCAGCAGTACCGAGTCCTCTCCTGAACATCCGCCCAAATCCAGAACTGCTCGCAGAGGTTCCAGGTCATCACCAGAGCCCAAGACCAAGTCTCGTACACCACCTCGACGTCGCAGCTCTCGATCATCTCCGGAGCTAACAAGGAAGGCCAGACTGTCCCGTAGAAGCCGCTCTGCCTCATCCTCACCAGAAACTCGCTCTAGAACTCCCCCAAGGCACCGGAGAAGTCCCTCAGTGTCTTCCCCGGAGCCAGCCGAAAAATCGAGGTCTTCACGCCGACGGCGCTCAGCTTCATCTCCACGCACTAAGACAACCTCAAGGAGAGGCCGCTCTCCTTCGCCAAAGCCTCGTGGACTCCAGAGGTCCCGTTCCCGCTCAAGGAGAGAGAAAACAAGAACAACCCGACGTCGAGATAGGTCTGGATCTTCTCAGTCAACCTCTCGGCGAAGACAGCGGAGCCGGTCAAGGTCGCGGGTTACTCGGCGGCGGAGGGGAGGCTCTGGTTATCACTCAAGGTCACCTGCCCGGCAGGAAAGTTCCCGGACCTCCTCTCGACGCCGAAGAGGCCGCTCTCGGACACCCCCAACCAGTCGGAAGCGTTCTCGCTCACGCACATCACCAGCCCCGTGGAAACGCTCTAGATCTCGAGCCTCTCCAGCCACTCACCGGCGATCCAGGTCCAGAACCCCCCTGATAAGCCGACGTAGGTCCAGATCTCGAACTTCACCAGTCAGCCGGAGACGGTCAAGGTCCAGGACTTCAGTGACTCGACGAAGATCCCGGTCAAGAGCATCCCCAGTGAGCAGAAGGCGATCCAGATCCAGAACGCCACCAGTAACCCGCCGTCGTTCAAGGTCTAGAACGCCAACAACACGCCGCCGCTCCCGTTCTAGAACTCCACCAGTGACTCGCAGAAGGTCCAGATCCAGGACTCCACCAGTAACCAGGAGGCGATCTCGAAGCAGAACTTCGCCTATCACTCGCAGAAGATCAAGATCCAGAACATCTCCGGTCACCCGAAGGAGATCTCGATCTCGCACATCTCCAGTAACTCGAAGAAGGTCCCGCTCTCGAACCTCACCAGTGACACGCCGCCGCTCTAGGTCCCGGACACCTCCAGCTATTCGGCGCCGCTCTAGATCTCGAACGCCACTGTTACCACGCAAACGTTCTCGAAGTCGCTCACCACTTGCTATCCGCCGCCGCTCCAGATCCCGTACTCCACGAACAGCTCGGGGTAAACGGTCCTTAACAAGATCTCCTCCAGCCATCCGCAGGCGTTCTGCATCTGGAAGTAGTTCTGATCGTTCACGATCTGCTACTCCTCCAGCAACAAGAAATCATTCTGGTTCACGGACACCTCCAGTAGCACTCAACAGTTCCAGAATGAGCTGCTTCAGTCGTCCTAGCATGTCCCCAACACCTCTTGATCGCTGCAGATCACCTGGAATGCTTGAACCCCTTGGCAGCTCTAGAACACCCATGTCTGTCCTGCAGCAAGCCGGCGGCTCCATGATGGATGGTCCAGGTCCCCGAATACCTGACCACCAGAGAACATCTGTGCCAGAAAATCATGCTCAGTCCAGGATTGCACTTGCCCTGACAGCTATCAGTCTTGGCACCGCTCGGCCTCCTCCGTCCATGTCTGCTGCTGGCCTTGCTGCAAGAATGTCCCAGGTTCCAGCCCCGGTGCCTCTCATGAGTCTCAGAACCGCACCAGCAGCCAACCTTGCCAGCAGGATTCCTGCAGCCTCTGCGGCAGCCATGAACCTAGCCAGCGCCAGGACACCTGCCATTCCAACAGCAGTGAACCTGGCTGACTCTCGAACGCCAGCTGCAGCAGCGGCCATGAACTTGGCCAGCCCCAGAACAGCGGTGGCACCTTCGGCTGTGAACCTGGCTGACCCTCGCACTCCCACAGCCCCAGCTGTGAACCTAGCAGGGGCCAGAACCCCAGCTGCCTTGGCAGCTCTGAGTCTCACAGGCTCTGGCACACCACCAACTGCTGCAAACTATCCCTCCAGCTCCAGAACACCACAGGCTCCAGCCTCTGCAAACCTGGTGGGTCCTCGGTCTGCACATGCCACAGCTCCTGTGAATATTGCCGGCTCCAGAACCGCCGCAGCCTTGGCCCCCGCGAGCCTCACCAGTGCTAGGATGGCTCCAGCATTGTCTGGTGCAAACCTCACCAGCCCCAGGGTGCCCCTTTCTGCCTACGAGCGTGTCAGTGGCAGAACCTCACCACCGCTCCTTGACCGAGCTAGGTCCAGAACACCACCGTCTGCCCCAAGCCAATCTAGGATGACCTCTGAACGGGCTCCCTCCCCTTCCTCTAGAATGGGCCAGGCTCCTTCACAGTCTCTTCTCCCTCCAGCACAGGATCAGCCGAGGTCTCCTGTGCCTTCTGCTTTTTCAGACCAATCCCGTTGTTTGATTGCCCAGACCACCCCTGTAGCAGGGTCTCAGTCCCTTTCCTCTGGGGCAGTGGCAACGACCACGTCCTCTGCTGGTGATCACAATGGCATGCTCTCTGTCCCTGCCCCTGGGGTGCCCCACTCTGATGTGGGGGAGCCACCTGCCTCTACTGGGGCCCAGCAGCCTTCTGCATTAGCCGCCCTGCAGCCAGCAAAGGAGCGGCGGAGTTCCTCCTCGTCGTCGTCGTCCTCTAGCTCCTCCTCTTCTTCATCATCGTCGTCGTCGTCCTCCTCCTCCTCTGGCTCCAGTTCTAGTGACTCAGAGGGCTCTAGCCTTCCTGTGCAACCTGAGGTGGCACTGAAGAGGTGAGGGAGCTTGACTTTTAGAAATCTTCAGTGGGGGAGGTATTGGGGATGGGTTGGGGAGTGGGGAGGGAGAAACCATGTCACAGGTGCTTGGCTCTTGGAGGAGGTATGGGGACCTTGACCCTCAAGCTGGGGGTAGAAGAGAATGCTGGGGCAGGGGGCGGAGGGAGGAGGAATGGGACAGATAAAAGTCTCCGAAGGTTCATTCTCTAGAGGATAATGATAAGTTTTCCGTCTCTACAGAGGACAGAACTAGAGGAAATGGACTTAATTTTACAGCAGGAGGGATGGCAGTTAGACCTCAAGAGGAACTCCCTGGGCTGGAAGGATCTTCAGAGGTCATCCCATCCCTCTCCCTGCCTCCAGGCAGGACGGCCCCTTCCCCAGCCAACCTGCACTCACAGGGGCCTCCCCAAGCTGCGGCTCTCCGAGGAAGGAGACTACCCAGCTTCAGCTTCCACACCTGAGCCCAGAGGCCTTATTCCTCCATCAGGGACATTCTTGAGGTTTAACCTTGATCCCTTATGCTGCGGGCCCCAGCCTGTTGCTTCTGTTAGCAGAGGTTGGGTCAGCTCGCACCACTGCTCTCCAGAGAATTGCTGGCTCACGTGGCTCGGAGAGCTCCCAGCGCCTTTCTCAGGCACCCCTCCCCCCACTGCCGTTCCTCCAGGCCAAGGAAGGTAGGGTTGGGGCTGGGGCAGCTTGTCTCCTTGTGACACTCCTCTCCTCCCACAGGGTCCCCAGCCCCACCCCAGCCCCAAAGGAGGCTGTTCGAGAGGGACGTCCTCCGGAGCCAACCCCAGCCAAACGGAAGAGGCGCTCTAGCAGTTCCAGTTCCAGCTCCTCCTCTTCATCTTCCTCCTCCTCCTCCTCCTCCTCTTCTTCCTCCTCCTCTTCCTCTTCTTCTTCTTCCTCCTCATCTTCCTCCTCCTCGTCGTCTTCCTCCCCTTCCCCTGCTAAGCCTGGCCCTCAGGCCTTGCCCAAACCTGCAAGCCCCAAGAAGCCACCCCCTGGCGAGCGGAGGTGAGTGCTGTCTTGCCTGAGTTGAAAGGTGGGTGGGGGAGTGACTTGTCCAGAGAAGGGGCCCTGGGGTGTGAGCTCCCCGCTGGGTGTCTCACGTGGCCTTGGGCATCTGGTTGTGGGGGAGGAGGCACTTGCTCTCCTCTCCCCATGCTCGTTGCACCCTGTTCTGGCGAAGGGCTGCGCCATCCACAGCGGCGCTCAGGCCAGGACCAGGGGGTCCTTGGTTTCTTCCTCTCCCTCCCTCAACACATAGCCTGTTCCCAGGGTTCTAGCTTTGTCTCCCTGTTGCTACTGCCAGGGCTCTGGTCTGGCCACCATCATCTTCTCCCGACTCTGTCCACAGCCTCCTCCCTGTCTCCCCGTCTCCACGCCATTCTCTTCCACATGTAGCCAGAGGGACCTTTCTAAAACGCACATCTGGCTACTTCCCTCCACTCCACAAATCCTTCGGGACGCCCTGTGGCCTGCAGGACAAAGCCCCACCTCTGCGGGAGTGGCGTGTGAGGCTCTTCACCAACGGGCCTTGCCCGCCCTGTGTTCTCCTCCTGCCCGCCCCCACACATGCCCTGTGCTCCAGCCACACCCAGCGCCTTGCAGTCTAAGGAGAGCCCATGCCTTTGGACATGCTGTTCCTTCTGCCTGGAATTTCCTTGTCCGCCTGGTGAACTCCTCGTTCTGCAAGACTCCGCTCAAAACAGCACCTTCGAGAAGACTGCCCTGCCCCTTCCCTGCCTTGCCCCATGTCCCCCTCCCTTGGGTCCCCAGAGCCACGCACATCCAGCCCTGCTTCCCACACACGGGGCCGTGCGTGCCTTTCTTCACCACTGAGCTCCTTCAAGGGCAGGGACTGTCTTTATCTTTGCATCCCCCGCTGCACCCTGTGCCTGCCCACTGGGCACTCGGTGGATGGTGTGCGGGCGGATGGGTGAGTGAGCGGACAAAGGTGGGTCTGAGGCTGGCCCTGTGTGGTGTGAGGTTTGGTGGTCAGGACCTGGGCGGGTGGTCCTGAGTGCTGGCCCGTGTGCTTGAAAGGGTGTGGTGCTATTGGGTCCTACTGTGTTCCCCAGGTCCCGCAGCCCCCGGAAGCCAATAGACTCCCTCAGGGACTCTCGGTCCCTCAGCTACTCGCCTGTGGAGCGTCGCCGTCCCTCGCCCCAGCCCTCACCACGGGACCAGCAGAGGTAAGGCCAACTGCAGGTGTCAGCACCCAGCCTGTCTGGCCGCCACTGCTTTCTACAAAGAAGAAAGCTTTGCGGTTGTGGCTATGTGGTGCCTGAGGTGGTGCCACCCTGTGGCCTGATGTCTGTCCTGTGTTGCAGCAGCAGCAGTGAGCGGGGTTCCCGGAGAGGCCAGCGTGGGGACAGCCGCTCCCCCAGCCACAAGCGCAGGAGGGAGACACCTAGCCCTCGGCCCATGAGACACCGCTCCTCCAGGTGCGTGTCCTGGAAGGCTGATGCCCCCTTCCGGGAGCCAGTTGTGGTGGTGGGTGGCGGCCCCATTTTGGGAGTGGCCCAGAAACTGGCCTTGAGGGCTGGGGTGGGAACTCCCTGTTGACCCATATCTTCTCTTGCAGGTCTCCATAAATTGTCTTTGGGGGATTCCACCACACCCAATGCTCTGGAGCCACAAGGAGTGTCCCTTCTTCCCCAGCAGAGCCGTGGGAGGGTCCTTGTCTGCTCTCCTTTGAACCTTGGCAGCCCTTGGATGGAGGGCTCCCTTTCCCTCCCCTTTTTTTTTTCTTTGTTCCTGTGAAATGTTAATCTCCGTGAGTTCTTCCTGGTTCATGTGTTCTGGGGGGTTTGGGGTGGGAGGGAATGCAGATGGGAGTTGGGGGAGGGGAGGATACAGTTCAGGATACCCCAGCCTGGAGTCAGGGCCAGGGAGGCATGGCCCCACTTGTATCCAGAAGTTCCCAGGGGTGATTGTGATGGTGGTTGGGACTGGAGGTTGTATAAGGTGTTCTTGGAAGGAAGGGGCAGGAGTTGGAATTAGTTGGTCCCTACTGTCCCCCATGAGGTTGTGAACCCCTCCCCCCAACTTTTCATGTTTCTTAAAGGCATTTTGGTTTTTTAAAATCTGTACAGCAAGAGCAACTTTTTCTGTCAAATAAAAATGAGAAATGCAGGAACTGGGTCTGTAGACTGTTTATTAAAGGTGTGTTAAGGGGGCAGCCACTTCCCTCCGTGATTACAGCCCCCAGCGTGGGTGGACCTGTGTGGGTCCGTCTTGGGGTTCCCTCGTTGAACATGCTGTCAAACCAGGACACTGGCTCCAGCTTGTGTTTCTGCTCTTGGCCATCGTCTGGGAGTGGACATGCAGGCTATGGGGGTGGGGGGCACTTAGAAGGAGAAAGGCCTAAAACTGGAATCTCTTGTCCCTGAGGCTGGCTCTGGTCTTTGTGTCTCTCCCAGTCCTTCCCTTTCCTCCCCCTGGCGTGGTTGGTGTGGCTGGCTAGCTGCTAACAATGGCTTGGGTCTCAGGGCAACCCAGGTCCCCATGGTGCCTTTAAGCAGCAGGCTGGGCCAAGTTCTCAGCCAGGGTCTCAGGATCTGGGAGACAGGACAGCACAGGAACTGCCAAGCACAAGCCCCAAAAGGAGCCCACAGGGAGTGGGACCCATCCCAGGGAGGGGCGGGAAAAAGAGGCAGCAACCAGGCAGACTCCCAAATCTCTTTTATTGGGGGAAATGGGCCTCTTGGGGGTCCTCACTGCACGGCTTGTTCATTGGCACTGCTTCCCGAGTCCTGGGGCTTCATCACATCGGGCAGCTCTGGCGGGCTGGAAAACGGCTCGATGCACAGGGCCTCAAAGGTGTCATCTGTGGAGGAAGCAGCAGAGCTGCAGGGGGGTATTCCAGCTCTTGCCCCAGCTGGGGCCTTGGTGTTCACGTGTGATCATCTGCAGCTTTGGGGATCTCCATGCGAACGCCCCTCCACACGGCTGTAGTCTCCACAGCGCTGACCTCCCTGTTCCAGCTACCCCCGTGGCCCCACGGTAATGTCTCCTACCCCTGTGGGCCCAACCTGAAGGTCCCCAGCCCTTCCCACTGACCATGCTGGGGCCCCTTTCCTCATCTTCCATGTCCACTAGTGAGTCTGAGGGCTCACCATCTGCAGCCAGCATCACCCTTCACCCAGAATATATCTCCTTGTTCCCTTCACACACTTTGGGAGGCCGAGACGGGCAGATCATGAGGTCAGGAGGTCAAGACCATCCTGGCTAGCACGGTGAAACCCCATCTCTACTAAAAATACAAAAAAAAAAAAAAAAAAAAAATTAGCCGGGCATGGTGGCGGGCACCTACAGTCCCAGCTTCTCGGGAGGCTGAGGCAGGAGAATGACGTGAACCCGGGAGGCGGAGCTTGCAGTAGCTGAGATCGCGCCACTGCACTCCAACCTGGGCGACACAGACTCCATCTCAAAAAAAAAAAATCAAACTAGACTATCTAGACTATTCCTCCCCTGCTGAAAACCATCCAGTGGCTTCCCATCATGACCTGAATACCACCAAGTCCTTGCCGTCTGTCTCTCCCTCTGCTTCCCACGCTCTGAGGCTCTGGCTCTCTATGTTCTTCTGTAAGTTCTTTCCTAACTCAGACCTTCGCACTTGCTGGTCCCAGCACTCGGAATGGCTGGCTGCTTCTGGACTTTCAGGGTCCAACTCAGGTCACCTCCTCAGATGAACCTCCAGTCCACGCACCCCCAAAAGTCAAGACATCCTGACACTCTGGGCGTAGGGGCACTTACCACTGGACAAACTGCCCTTTTGACTGGCTCCAGGAAGGCAAAGGCCTTCCCTGTCTTGTCCCTACTGTCACCCCAACACACAGCAAACAAACCCACAGCTTTTCTCCTGTGCTTTCTTCCAGCTAGGAGACCCATCTCTGCTTGGCTCAGGGTTCTCAACTGATCAGGCATCCCAGGGAAAGCTGGAATGCCTGATCACAGTTGTGGCGGTCACAAATGGGGAGGTGGGGTGCCCCAGCGCTATCTAGTGGGTAGAGGCCTGGGATACGGCTCCACGTGCTATGGTGCACAAGGCAACCCACACAGCAATCCAGCCCAATGTGCCCACTGTGCCGAGGTTCAGAAACTAATCCATCTTCCAAGCCACAAACCTGTGACAATTCGTGCCTTCACTACCTCCCTCATTCTTTTGTGATGAGCCGGGACAATGCCCTTTAACATTTGATTTGAAATACTCATCTCCTTGAGTGGTAAGCTTGGGGGAGGGGAGAGGCGGAGGGTGGGGCACCCATTCAAGGCCTGGGAACAACATGATGATGGGTTGAGCTGCACCCAGAAGTGTGTTTCTGCAAGCATTCCATGGGGAAGCAAAGAGCTGACAGCCCATGCTGTGCCCCCTATCAAGACAGCCATCACCTGCAAGAGGGATGATGTGACCTGGGCTCCGGAGTCACCACCACATTCCATGCCATATTAGGGGTTGTGGGAGAAAAACAAGTCACCTTCCTTAGCCTTGATTTTCTCATCTGCAAAATGGGTCTATCAGTATCTTCCAAGTCACAGCAAACCTCTAGGGGTACCACTGTTGAAATTAGAGAAAGGGACACTTCTGGGGGAACACAGCCCAGCTTCGGTTCACGAAGCAGACCAGATATGCTCTTGGCACTCCCTTGCTCTCTTCAGACAGGCACCCCTGGGCCAGGCACCGAGGCTCAGGCCTGTAATCCCAGCACTTTGGGAGGCTGGGATGTATGGATCGCCTGAGGTCAGGAGATTGAGACCAGCCTGACTAACATGGTGAAACCCCATCTCTACTAAAAACACAAAGATTAGCTGGGCGTGGTGGCACATGCCTGTAATCCCAGCTCCTCAGGCCACTGAGGCAAGAGAATCGCTTGAACCCGGGAGGCAGCGGCTGCAGTGGGCTGAGATGGCGCCACTGCACTCCAGCCTAGACAACGGAGTGCGACTCTGTCTCAGAAACAACAACAACAAAAATGCACCCATGTACAAGGCACGACCTGTGTCTATGCCAGCCCTGCACCTGACTCTTAACATCACCATCTGGGCAGAAAGAGCCCACAGAAAGGCTCTGAAGCTTCCCATCTGTTGGGCACTGGCAGCAGGCCAGACCTGGGGTGCATGAGGACTCAACACCACCTTGCTGTGAAGCCAGTCTCATCACACCCCTTTAAGGAGAAGGGAACACTGGGGCCAGGAGGGGCAGGAGGGCAAGGTAGCTGGCCAGAGGATATAGCTGCTGAGACTGAGGCCTAGCCTGAACTTATGGAACGGAAAGGTGGAGCTAGGACTCTACTCTTCCTCTTCAGCCTTTGCTATGTTCCCTTACAGGCAGAAAAATAAGAATTCCTTACAACTTTATCCAAGTTTTCTCAGCCATCCACACAGCTGCTGGGTCCACAGCTGTGAAAACACAGCTCTATAACCTCTCTTCAAGTTCCTAGAGACAAAATATTTTAAATCTCCCCTCCCTTTCTCTTGGGTGGAAGAAGATATCTTGGCGAGTAGTAAACCACTCCCTAATCCCCAGGTTTCTAAAGCTTGGGCAGGGGTGGGGTATGGCTGATGGAAGCCCAGGCTCTGGATCTGAATCCTAGATGTGGCAGTCCCAGCAGATGACCTAACCTCCCCAGGCTCACTTTACTGAACCTGAAAACTGGCAAAATCCAAATCTCAGCCACACAGAGATGCAGAGGGTTTCGGTGATACATAGCATAGAGCCTGGTATGATGTCTGACTCCAGCAAGGGCCCGGCAGTCAGCATCCTAACCGTGGCTCCCTACGTGACTGCTGGTAAGCCTGTGTCCTCATCTGCAGAACACGGATGATGGTATGTGGACTTCCCAGGGCTACTGAGAGGATGAGACAGGGCAGTGGAAGCCACACACAGAGTAACATGCAGAGCACGGAGCCAGGCACTCACTCAGCCTCCTGTAAATGTGAGCTGGCTTCACAAAATAAGCTTTGGTTTCTGTAAGCATCTCATTTGGTTGCTTCTTTTTTAAAAAAAAAAAAATGAGGAAACAAACACATTGTGAAAGGATATTGCCAGCCCTTTAGGCACGAGGAAGACACTGCCCTGAAGGCTTCAACTCCAGGCTCCCTGATGACCTTCTTTGGAACAGTGTTCCCAACCTGCTTGGCTACCACCCAGCCCAGTGGGTGGTGGGCCTCTCACCTGCCCGGAAGGCCAGCCCCACTGTGGCTGGGGCCTGTGGCCGTGCTGTTTGACTGGTGAAGCCACACTCGCCCAGTGTCTTGCCATCATCCAAGAGTTGGTCATCCTGAGGAGAGAAGCAGGATCTTGGGAGAGGCCCTACATGGGGCAAGTCCCAAAGACTTCTGACCAGCAACTACACGGGAAGTCAGAGGAGGGAAGAGAGAGTTCCCTCAGTGTGGCCCAGGACCACCACGCTGCTTGACAAATACACAGATTCCAGGGTTATATCCAAGAACTTCTAAATCAAAACCTCCCAGGGTGGGACTTTAGAATCCGGTTTTATCCAAATTCTCCAGGCAAATCTAATTTGAGGAGCCACTGAGCTATCTGGAGATAGGCAGACCTGGCTTTCAATCCCAGCTCTGTCACCCTGGACTAGGCATTTGAACATTTTTTTATTTTAGAGACAGGGTCTCGCTATGTTGCCCAGGCATGCAGTGGCACAGACCCAACATAAGCGCTATCATAGCCCCCTCCAGCTTGGAACTCCTGGGCTCAAGCAATTCTCCTGCCTCAGCCTTCAGAGTAGCTGGGACTACAGGACCATGCCACCACGGCTGGCTGGTAGTTGAGCCTTTTGATGCAAAGTTTCCTCATCTGTAAACTAGGAATTACCAGAATTCTCAATTCGTAGGGCCACCAGAGGGTTTCAATGAGCTAGGAAGAAACATAAAGCACTAAGTAGACATGTGGCACACGGGACATGCACAGGCACGGTCATTTAATATTTGCTAAGTCCCAGTAGTTATGAGTGAGGAAAGGCCTTTAGAGACCATGGGAGCTGAGGCTCTGAGCCTGGAGCTAAAAGTCAGTTTCCCAGTTTCCAGCTCTAGAATCTGAACAATGCACTTGGGCGACAACCTCACAATGTTGGGAGACGTAAATCAGAGGCTGATGCATCTGACTCCCCAATGCAGACCCCAAACCCCAAGCCATTCTGACTGAATAATCTCAGTTCGTTTGCAAGGGGAAAGGGGGGCTTCTAGGACATCAGCAGGAGGTCGGGAGGTAATAACAAACGGTTGCTTGGTGAAGAACGAGTGGGACCTGACTTTCTTTGCATTCACTGAGTTCCCCACCCTCCACCCGAAGGAGTGTCCGGGGGGACAGCGTGATTCCGATGGGCCTGCGAAGAAGGGTGGGGATTAAGGGGTCGTGGTTCGAACCCTGGCGCTGCCAATGACCTTTGGCTGGTTAAGCGACCAAGCCGAACCTCAATTTCGTCAACTGCACGGCGCGGGCGATACCGTTGCAGGGGTTGCATGCCACGGTGCCCTCGGCGCCCGGGGCCCGGCACGAGGTCTAAACATCGCCCCCGGACCGGAGATCCCCGCGGCGAGCGCAGCTCGCGCTTCACCCGCACAACGGATGTCCCAGTCCCGCGGCTCGGGCGCCCGCAGGCGTCGCCGGCCGCTACTGTTTACATCGCGGACAGCGTAGGCGTCAGCCCCGTGCCCGGCGCCGGGTACCCGCTCCCCTCGGCCCGCCCGCGGGACCCACCTTGTACAGCCGCTGCTCGTCAGGAGGCCGCTTGAGGATGCCCTCGACGATGCGCTTCAGTTCGAACACCGTGCTGGACTCCTTGGCGTCCGTGAAGATGGTGGTCTTGTGGCGCCGGATCATGAGGAACACGTCCTGGGGGCGGCGGGCCGGCGTGAGCACGAAGCCCGGGCCCCCCGCGCGGCCCAGCCGCCCCCCGCCGCCCCCGGCCCGGCCCGGCCGCCCCTCCCCCACGCCCGCTCACCATCGCGGCTGCTGCCTCTCCCCTCGACGCGCCGGCGCAGCCGCGCTCCGCCCCGTTCCCGGCAGCCCGCGCGTGGCCCAGCATGCCCCGCGCCGCGTCCCTTCCCCCGGCGCAGCCCCGCCCCGTGCCGCCCCGCAGCCGCCGCCATTTTAAGTGATCTGGAAGCGGGCGGTATCGAGGGGCGTGCGGCCGCCATCCCGACGGCGGGCATGGCCTTTGGAGGCGGTGGCGCCGTCTTGGGACTGGCAGAGGGGAGGTCCCCGTGTTGGTGCGGTCCGGCGGGCTCCAAGCTCGGGCACACCGAGCTCGGGGCCGTCTTGTCGCGGCGTAGTCGTGGCCGCCATCTTGGGCAGGCTCCGCATTTGGGGTCTTCTGGCCGCCGTGCTGGGGACAGTCACCCCCGCTCCCTGACCCGGGCTGGATGCGAGGACTGTCGCCGCTCAGAGGGGCTTATGACCTGTGAAGAGCCCTGGGGGCTGCTGTTGGGCTTAGGGATGGCCCGGGCGAACTCCTTGGGCTAGAAGAGGAGGCACGGGAGCGGTTGGCGACCGCTCTTCGCAGGAGGAGGGAAGGGGCAGCTCCTTGCCCCAGGAGCCCTGGGCGCCTGTCCGCCTTCCTGCTTGGCTGCATTTCGGCTCTGAAAAGGCCTAGAGACTTGATTCTCCTGGCTGGCCGCTCTTTCCACCAAGGCCCTGTTTCCTGAATGCTGGACACTATCCTGCATCGCCCCAAGTTACATTTACATGAGAGTGAGGGCCCCCCACTTGACCTCTCCCTTGCAGAGACACCCCAGGCTGGGTCGTGCTGGGCGGGTGTCGGAGGCGGCGTTGGAGAGATGAGCCAGAGGGTGGCCCTGGACGCCAAACCGCCCTGCAGTCCTCCGAGCTGCGCTTTGAGGGCTGTTGAGAGAGGGGTGGAAGGTGGAGGTGCGATTTTTGCCTCGGCATCTAGAGAGGCGAAGGAGCAGCCCTGGGCTCCGCTGCTGACTGTGGCCATGGGCCGTTAACCTCATCAAAGCCCAGTTTCCTCCTGTTGTAGATGGGAGAGGAACAGTTTTTGAACTGCGTAGAACCTCGGCAAGTCTTAGCGCTGCATTTGTGTTTTCTAAGCTGTAATTCTAGTTATTGCTACTTTTGACTTGTGGAATGTGGCTCCTCCCTGGGGAGTCCTCCAAAGTCCCTTCCCTCGTGTGACTTCCTTCACTGCGGTTCACTGCAGCCCCTACCCCCGCTCCCAGGGTCCTCAGCATCGCAGTCCCTGCAGAACCTGTCTCTTCTTCATGACGTGAGTCATGAGGCATTGGACAGGTAATTGCTGGGAAGAGCTCTTGGCCAGGCTAAAATTTCTTTCTCAGTCGCAGTGTCTGGCTGGGGGCGGTGGCTCACGCCTGTAATCCCAGCACTTTGGGAGGCTGAAGGGGGTGGATCACTTGAGCCCAGAAGTTCAAGACCAGCTTGGCCAACAAGGTGAAACCCTGTCTGTACTAAAAATACAAACAAAATTAGGTGGGCACGGTGGCGCACGCCTGTGGTCCCAGCTGCTCGAGAGGCTGAGCCAGGAGGATTGCTTGAACCCGGAGGCGCAGGTTGCAGTGCGCCGAGATCGCGCCACTGCACATCGCCTGGCGACAGAGTGAGACTCTGTCTCCAATTAATTAATCCCAGTGTCTTTACCTACATAGAACTGGCAACTTTAAATCCTGTGCTTCTGTGGAGGGAGAGCGAAGGAAGAGTGTGGACAGTGGGGGCCAGGAAGTTCTCAGGTAGCCCAGCAGGCCACGCAGAAGTCAAGGGGTGTGTAGGTACAGGAGGGGCCGTCTCCACAGGGAGACGCCTGGATCCATACTCCATCCAGGCTTCATCTGCAGAGACCAGGGGTGGACACCTCGTTTGTGGGGGCCGTCACAGCTGATGCCCCAGCTCAGGATGTCCACCAGAAACCAGGAGTCACCATCCTCTTAAGGGTGGTGCCTGTCCTCCAGAGAGCATATCACTGGGTTCAAACCCCAGCTCCTACCGGCAAAGCCCGGGGCCTCCACCTGGGTGTTCCCATCCATGAAGCGGGGATACACAGTGTGGAGCCCTTGGGAGGTTGGGGAGTGTGCCTGCCCTCACCGCGCATCAGCTCATAAATACAACAACAGTTGCCTTCACGTGCTGATGCTCAGTGAGCAGTGGCGCAGTTCCCCAGCTGGCGCAGTCAGTGGTGTCTGTCTGCTGTCAGAGGTCACCTGGACCCAGCACGAGTCCTTGCCCCTAGAGGGAGTCTCCACACACCCCACGACGCTGTCCTCCCTGTGGGATAACTACACGAGGAGATGGCAGGCCATCGTATCATTCAGTGCAGCGATACCTCCTGTGGTGGGAATGGGGTCAGGAGGGATTTTCCCGGAGCAGGGCCACTCGCTGGCCTAGCCTGGGGTCTCCACTTTTGGAAGTGTGGTCTTGTGGGGTCCAGGTTCTCCTTAAGGGCCTTTACAAGGAATGGGAGCGTCCAGTGGTGGAGAGGAGCTGGCTGGCTGCGCCTGCTACCCACACGGGAATGTCCTCCTGGGCTCCTCTCTTCAACTGGCCTTCACCTCTCCGCCTCACAGATTTCACTCGGAGAATCCGCCTTGCAGCCTGTCTTCTGCTCCCTCCCATCTACCTTTTGTTTTTTTTTGAGACGGAGTCTTACCCTGTCTCCCAGGCTGGAGTGCAATGGCGTGATCTTGGCTCACTGCAGCCTCTGCCTCCTGGATTCTCCTGCCTCAGCCTCCCGAGTATCTGGGATTACAGGCATGCACCACCATGCCTGGCTGTTTTTTTGTATATTTAGTAGAGACGGGGTTTCACCACGTTGGCTAGGCTAGTCTCGAACCCCTGAGCTTGTGATCCACCTGCCTCAGCCTCCCAAAATGCTGAGATTACAGGCGTGAGCCACCACGCCCAGCGTCTGTCTACCTTTTATTCCCATCACTCCCCACCCCAGACAGGGTGTTGTGTTATGATGGGGAAGGCCCTTGTGTCTTTTGGGTGTGTTAGACCTGGGAAACAATCTGTCTTCTCCTTTCACGTGCCCCAAAGCAGGACTCCAATCTTCCCCGGGCCTTTCTGATTGGGAGTCTTAAGACCCTCCCCAGAGAGGGCCCCACCCTGTTCCCTGGGAAAGGAATGCTGACAAAACCCTACAGGACGGTTTGGAGACAGGGTTAGTTCAACTCGTGTGTGTCCCCAGAGGGTGACACCACAGGGATGAATGGGAGCTCCAGGCCCCTCCCCAGCACCTCAACCTGCACATTGCTTCATCTGGATCCTTTGTAACATCCTTTATAATAAACCAGTGAAGGTGTTTCTCTGAGTTCTGTGCATCGCTCTAACAAATTAATTGACCCCAAAGAGGAGAGTCATGGGAACGCTAACCTGAAGCCAGTCAGTCAGACGTTCCGGAGCCCAAACTTGCGATTGGGGAATGGGGAGGCAGTCCTGTGAGCCCCCACCTGTGGGACCTGAGGCTGGCGCTGGGCAGATAGTGTTGGAATTGAGTTGAGGACACCCTGCTGGTGTCCAGTGCTTAGTGTGTGGGGGAAAAAAACCCACAACTGTTGGTCACAGGAGTCTTCTGTGTTGATGATTGTGGTTTTGGTGTGAGAGTGTTAGGGACCTCTGCTTACCAGGCCTCTGGTTTAATAAAACAACCAGAGTGACTCCATCTTAAAATGTGTAGCTAAGCACTCACAAGGCATCTATAAGGTTCATGCTGTCTGAAAATAGCCACATTCTTTTTGTTTTTGAGACAGGGTCTCCTTCTGTCACCCAGACCAGAGTGCAGTAGCCTGATACTGGCTCAAATAATCCTCCCACCTCAGCCCCTGGAGTAACTGGGACTACAGGCATGCACCACCACATCCGGCTAATTTTTGTAGTTTTTGTAGAGATGGGGTTCCACCATGTTGCCCAGGCTGGTCTCAAACAGCTCAAGCAATCCTCCTGCCTCAGCCTCCCAAAGTGCTGGGACTACAGGCATGAGCCCCTACACCCAGTCTAAAATAGCCACATCTTAAGCTGGCCACCAATTAGGATTACAAAATGTTTATGGCCATACAGGACTTCTCCCAGAAGGCCCATAGAATGTCCACACGTTCTGAGAATGCAGCCCACTTTACTAAGATAGTGTCAGTAAGCAGGCTAAGACAGAGGATGCACGGTCACCGATGGCACCAATAGCCCCGACCTTTAGTGAGCACATATCTGCACGTTCCAGGTTTATTTACTGCTCCTTGTAGTTTCTCTCTCTCTCTCTTTTTTTTTTTTTTTTTTTTTGAGACAAAGTCTCACTCTGTTGCCCAGGCTGGAGTACAATGGTGTGATCTGGGCTCACTGCAACCTCCGCCTCCCGAGTTCAAGTGATTCTCCTGTCTCAGCTTCCTGAGTAGCTGGGATTACAGGTGCGTGCCACCACACCTGGCTAATTTTTGTATTTTTAGTAGAAACGGGATTTTACCATGTTGGCCAGCCTGGTCTCGAACTCCTGACCTCAGGTGATCCACCCTCCTCGGCTTCCCAAAGTGCTGGGATTACAGGCGTGAGCCACTGAGCCCGGCCTGTAGTTTCTTATAAGCAGAGACACTAACCAAAGACGTTGAGTTCTTCCTCCTGCTCTCTGAGCACGCCTGCTCTGTGATGGAGTCCTTTCTAATCAACTTGCTTCTCTCACTGTGCTCTGTGGCTCACCTTGAATTCCTTCCTGTGTGAGATCCAAGAACCCTCTCTTGGAACCCTGTCTTGGGGTCTGGATTGGGACCCTCTTTTCTGGCAACAAGAGTAGAGGAAAAACACAATTTGAGAGAGATTTTCCCTACACACAGATCTTGCTCTGTAGCCCAGGCTGGAGTGCAGTGGCGTGATCTTTATGGCAGCCTTGAAATCCTGAGTTCAGGCGATCCCACCTCACCCTCCCGAGTAACTGAGACTGCAGGCACGGGCCACCATGCCTGGCTAATGTAATTTTTTGTAGAGATGGGGGTTTCACTATGTTGCCCAGGCTGGTCTCGATTTTCTGGCTTCAAGCAATCATCCTGCCTTGGTCTACCAAAACACTGGGATTACAAGCATCAACCACTGTGCCTGGTCTACTTCTTTTGTTTTTGTGTTAATACGTAGTAGTTATTCACGACCATGCGTTAGTAATGTGCCTTATTTGTAAGAGTGTTTTATAGCTACTTTTGTCCCCATAAGGGATGTGACATAACTGTTAGGAGTGTGGGATTTGAGTTCAAATCTGTCTCCACTACTTACCAGCTGTGGGCCTGTGGCCAAGTTACCTAACCTCTCTGGGCCTGTTTCCCCTTCTGTGAGATGAGAAGAGTATCTCCTTCAAGGGCTCTGAGGTCTGCTGAGAGCATGTACATGCCTGGCACAGTGCACATACTCAGCGGGCATAACGACCACCTTGGCCGACATCTGGACCCCCAACAGCCACGGGAGTGCAGGTGTTATCAGTGCAGATTACGGAGAGGGAAGTAGGCCCCATCCTGTGGAGGTCAGTTGCACGGGGCTGACAAGAGCTGCCACTCGTCTGGCCCCACAGGCCATCATGCCGGGAACGGGCCAAGAGGACGGGTGCGGGGAGGCTGCCCTTTTGGGGGTGGGAGGGAGTGGAGAGAGTGGAGGACCTCTGCTTTTCCCAGAATCAGACCACCTGGGCTGGAGTCCCAGTCTACCAACCTTGCCGGCGGTGTGACTTTTGGGACTTGTTTTTCTCATCTGACAAATGGGGACAAGCCACCTCACGGAGCCTCCTGTGGGAATTCAATGAGCTGATGGAATAAAGCCCTCCCTCTGCACAGTGTCTGGTGAGGGCTTGACGAGGGGCCGTGATTTCTTCTCATTAATGATCCTCCCTTCCCTGCCCGGCTCCACTCCCTTCTGCCTCCTTAGCTGGGCCTGCAGCCTTTTGCAGGCTCGCCTGCCATAGCCATGCCCTGTCGTCCTGGGCACCTGGTGCCTGATGACCACACCAGTGGTGGCCAAGCTGTACTGCAGCATGGTCTGTTCTCCACCTGGGGGACAGAGAAGCCTTGAGCACCCTCCCTGCCCCACCTGGCCTGGCCCAGCCGTGACCATCTAGTACAGCCCACTTCCCTGGCTCCCCAGGAGGAAAGGGGAGGGAGGCGATGCTCAGGCCTGTGCCTGGACCTAAAGGGGCTGCGCCTTTGAAGTTTACCTTCCCTTATCTTCCCTTCCCTTCTGCTGATAGCCCCTGTCAGCTCCAGAGTAGGTTTTGAATTTTCCAGGTTTTGTTTCTTTTCCTTCTGCAGCTGTGGAAACTGACCTCTATCTATTGGAACGGGTGGTCCTGGCTCTGGAGACAAGGACATGGCAGAGAGGGGACAGGATGCCAGGCACCAGGCTGGAAGGGGACCCCAAGGGTGGGCAAGGACCTGCACGTGGGCTAGCTGTTGGCGTCTGGGTGCAGGTGTCAGTAGGGTGGCCTGGGCCCCAGGCTCACCCTGGGAGTGAATGGTGGCCAGACACAATGAGAACAGAATCTGGGCCTGCCCCGGGACTCCTGACCCCTCCTGGGCCGAGGGCCTGATACCAAGTGCCCAGCCTCTTGCAGTATGTGGGGAGGTGGCCGCGCTGGCCAGCCCACCTTTCCCACTGGGACACCTTCATCACAGTGGGGCAAAATCTATATTAGTTTTTATTGCTGTATAACAAGTCAGCACAAATGGAGCAGCTTAAAGCACACATTTATTAAGTCACAACTTTGTAGGTCAGGAGTGGCTCAGCTAGGTTCTCTGCTTAGGGTCTCTTTAGGTTGAAATGAAGGGATTGGCCGGCGGGGCTCTTATCTGGAGGCTGGGGAAGAACTTACTTCCCAGCTCCTTCAGGGTGCTGCCAGAATCCAGTGCCTTGCGGCTGTGGGTCTGAGGGTTCCGATTCCCTGCCGGCTGTCTCTCAGCTCTTAGAGGCCGCTCATGGCTGTGGTCCCCGTGTCCTCAAAGCCAGCTATGGAGGATCTCCCTGGTGTCAAATCTCTGTCATGCTGTGAATCTGACTTTCTCCAGAAAAAGATGGGCACACAGGCCAGATGGGCAGCAATTGGTTTGCCCATCACTGCGTGCCTTGCGCCCAGCCCTGGCCAGGGCCAAGAAAAGTAAATACAAGCCAGGAAGGGAGTGGGGAGTGTGACTCCCTGGGACTCATGGCAGATTCCTGGATGAGGGTTGGTGGAGTCAGAGCTGGTGATCCCCAAAGAGGAGAGGAGGCAGGAGGTGGTGGGTGGGGGGTGGGGTGGCCTTTAGCTTTTTTAGGCATCTTGGCCTCGAGGCAGAAGGGATGTGGGGTATAGGCAGGTGCCTGGATGAACCAGGAGGCTGAGGGACCCCAGCAGCTGGCTCCAGGTCAGCCTCACCGGCTAGCATTAGAAGCTGACGCGAGCCTGAATCCAGGGGCTATATGTGGCCACACTGGTGTAGACCCCTGGACGGTTGGGCAGGGCACAACCCTTGCCCCAGCTCACCACGCCCACCAGGACCCAGCTCCCAGACTGCAGGCAGGTCAGAGGTCCCCCAGAATCACCCTGCAGGAGAAAGAGGAGCCTAAGTCCCAGCCCTCCCAGGACTTCAGTTCTCAGGGTTCCAGACCCCTGGCGTGGTGCCTCTAGGTTGGAGGCCAGGATCCTGAGCCTGAGTTGGGATGTCCTGGGTCCTGGAGTTCAGGGAGGGAGGGTGCTGGGCACAGGGAGGGGACTCCGGAGGCTGGGGAGGCTGGGTGCACACCTGGCAGGCGTCCTTGTGGCCCTGGGGGTAGCCGGCACACAGACTCCCAGGCAGCACAATGCGCTCAGCCTGGGGCACGTCCGCGCCCACGTGGTAGAGGCCGTCGCAGGTGCGCGAGTCCAGCAGCGGCACCCTTACTCCTTGTAGCGGTCGCCACTCTGGGAGGGGCACTGGGGGAAGAGGAGGGACCTCTGAGAGGAAGGCGTGGAGCGGGGGCCAGTGGGAGAAGCTGAGCTCTGAGTGAGAGGAGGTTTTGTTCCCTAGAAGCCGCGCTGGGTCCTGGATTGGGGCAGTGAGGGGCTGGGATTTCCAGTCAGATGGAGGAGGACGTGGGGGCTCCCGGATGCCTCGGAGCCCCGCCCTCCTGCCTTACCTCCTGGGCGGAGGCTGCCCCAGCCGGTGACCCGGCATGGTGTGCCGGGCGGCGGGCGGGCGCCGGGCACGGGCAGGCAGACGGGTTGGACGCGAGCGCTCAGGGGCACCGGGCGACGCAGCTGCAGCAGTGCCAGGTCGCCGCGGGCCCCGTCCTCGGAGTAGTCCGGGGGCAGCAGCACCCGTCGCACGGGCACCGAGAGCGTGCGGGGCGAGGTGGAGCCCAGACGCAGCGCCCCCAGGCGCACGCGGTACTCAGCTGGCAGTGCCCTCCTGCAGGACAGGAGCGGGGGACTACTTCCAGCACCGGGTCCTCGACCCCCTCCAGCCCGCCTCGACCCCAACGCCTCTGCCAGGCCACGCCCGGTCCTCTGCGGGCCTTGCCTTCCTTGCACACCCCGCCTGGGCCCTCGGTGAGCGCTGACCTGGGGAAGCAGTGCGCCGCTGTCAGCACCCACTGGGGGGCGATGAGCGACCCCCCGCACACGTGTGCCCCACGATGCTGGATGCTCGCCTGCCACGGCCACTCTCCGTCCCGGCCATCCCGGCCCCCAACGATCCGACTGGACATGCGGGGCTGCCCGCAGGCTAGAAAAGGACCAGGGGCGGTGAGGGTTGGCTGAGGACCTGGGGCCTGGGAGGCAGGTGTTGGTGGGGAGACACGGGGCCGAGGTCCAGGAGGGGCTGACTCGGGTGGACTCCGAGGCTTCCTCACCTGCAGACTTCCTTCCCTGAGTCCCAGCAGCTCCTGGAGGAGGAAGCAGGGAAGGGACCAGATTATAGATTTGGTGTCAAATAACGGAGTTGGAGGGGAGGCCAGAGATGAGGAAGGAGGGTGAAACAATGTTGCCCTGACATTGCGCCAGGCTTTCGTGCCGTCTGTTATCTTATTTAACCCTCCCCAGAGCACTGTGAAGGTGCAGGGGGCAAGGGCGTATGAGCATGACACCGACAAGCACATCGAGGTGTGGTGAGGTCAAGGTCAGTGGCAGAGAGGATTGAGCCCTTGGAATCAAGATTAGAAAGCCCAAGAGTGCTCCAGGGAGCCCGGCCCAGGGAGCAGTGAGATGGGAGAACTGGGAGCCAAGGTGTCTGCGGCCCTCACCCCCAGTCCCTGTCCCCACTCACCCAGCACCAGAAGGAGCAGGACCTGGAGACAGGAAACCCCTCTCATTCTGTCTTCAAGGCTGGGCTGGGTAAGGGTGGCACTGCCTAGGGCTTGGACTCTGGTCTGGAGCCAGCAGGGAGAAGAGAGGAGAGTCCTGGCCCAGGGGCACCAATCCTCACACCAGCCCGTCACCCCCTCCGTGGTCCTTCTGTCTGTCCTCAGCTCCTGGTGGGTTCTGGACTTATCCTGGTGGCCCAGGCTGTATACCCTTCGTTCTGCCCAGGGCCCAGGTATGCAGCACCCACCACCCAGATATTTGGGCATCCTTGGTCTCGACAGAAGCCCTGGAGCCTAACCCCCCTCGGTCATCCTCACTCCCTCCCTCATCCCCCTCCCCCATCCTCACCCCCTCCCTCATCCTCACCCCCTCCCTCATCCTCACTCCCTCCTCCATCCTCACCCCCCTCCTCCTCACTCCCCTCCCTTATCCTCACCCCTTCCCTCATCCTCATCCCTCTCTCATCCTCACCCCCTCCCTCATCCTCACCTCCTCCTCTATCCTCACCCCGTCCTCCATCGTCACCCCTGCTCCTCCTCACTCCCCTCCCTCATCCTCACCCCCTCCCTCATCCTCACCTCTCATCCTCACCCCTCTCTCATCCTCACCCCTCCCTCATCCTCACCCCTCCTCTATCCTCACCCCCTCCTCCATCCTCAGCCCCCTCCTCCTCACTCCCCTCCCTCATCCTCACCCCCTCCCTCATCCTCACCCCTGTCTCATCCTCACCCCCTCCCTCATCCTTCACCCCCTCCCTCATCCTCACTCCTCTCTCATCACCCCTCCTCCATCCTTCACCCCCCCATCGTCACCCCCTCCCTCATCCTCACCCCCTCCTCTATCCTCACCCCCTTCCTCCTCACTCCCCTCCCTCATCTTCACCACTTCCCTCATCCTCACCCCCTCCCCCATCCTTCACCCCTCCTCGTCCTCACCCTCATCCTCACCCACTGGCTGCCCCTGCAGCCCCCACAGCCCCTGGCTTGCTCTCACCCTCACAGCCTGGCGCCTTCTGCTGACTGGGGTTGAGGGAGGGCCTGGGGGCTTAAAGTGCCAGGAGAGCGCGAGGCTCAGCCAAGGAGTAATGAACAGGGCCGGGGCGGGGCTGTGGCTTTACCGGACCAGCCTCAAACAAAGATGCTTTGAGCAGAGCTTCAGAGGTGGCAGGAAAGGGTCAATGGGTTTCTCAAAGGAAGCCTGCCTTGCGCCAAGGTACTAGAAGTGGGGGCTGGCGGAGAGCAGTGGTGCGGGTAGGTGCTGGGAGGGGTGGCAGTCAGGTGGGGAAGCTCTGCAGGATCCGGGGCAACTCCTCTCCAAACCTGACCTGGGCTCCCTGCAGAGCACACGTTGCTGGAGCTTCTGCGCTCCATTGTTCTGTCCAGAAATCCCATCTCAGACGGAAGTCCTGGCCAGACAGCTCCACCCAGAGACCCCAGCATGGCCAGCCCCCTTCCAGATCCGGGGTCTGGAGCAGCTGGAGGTGGAAAGGGACTGGTTCAAAGTTGGTGGCACTCCTTACTTGACCAGAGGCAGGGGGAGACTTGACCTTGGGGACCAGTGCAGTCTTTGGTTTGGGGTGGCCGAGACAGAGCAAGATGCTGGGGTCAGGGGACAGGAACTCCCCTTCTCTCGAGGCCCGTGGAGGACCGGGGCCCGGATGGTCCAGGGCCCTGTAGTTCCCTCTTGGGCTCATACACAGTGTTCGCTGCCTAGAAGTCTCTCAAGTCCCTCTCTGCATAGTGAACTCCTCTTATCCCTCAGCCTTCTGCTCTGCCACCTCCTCCTGCCTCCTTTGCAGCCCTGCCATAGTTGTACTTTTTTCCTTTTTTTTTTTTTTGTTTTTCTTTCTTTTTTTTTTTAAAGAGACAGGGTCTTGGCCAAGCATGGTGGCTCATGCCTGTAATCCCTGCATTTTGGGAAGCCGAGATGGGTGGCTCATTTGAGGTCAGGGGTTTGAGACGAGCCTGGCCAACATGGTGAAACCTCGTCTCTACTAAAAATACAAAAATTAGCCAGGCCTGATGGTGGGCGCCTGCAATCTCAGCTACTCGGGAGGCTGAGGCACAGGAATTGCTTGAACCCGGGAGGTGGAAGTTGCAGTGAGCCGAGATTATGCCACTGCACTCCAGCCTGGGCGACGCAGTGAGATTCTGTCTCAAAAAAAAATAAAAAGGGAGAGAGAGACAGGGTCTTGCTCTGTCACCCAGGCTGGAGTGCAGTGGTACAATCACAACTCCCTGCGTCCTTGACCTCTGGGCTCAAGTGATCCTGCCACCTCAGCTTCCCAAGTAGTTGGGACCACAGGTGCATGCCACAGCACCTAGCAATTTTTTTTTCCAGAGATGGGGTCTTGCAATGATGCCCAACTTGTTCTCGAACTCCTGGGCTCAAGAGATCCTCTTGCTGTAGTCTCCCAAAGTGCTGGGGTTATAGGCATGTGCCACCGAGGCCAGCCCATAGTTGTCCTTTGACAGGGACTTGAGGAGGTTTGATTTACATCCTCTTGTCTCCCCTCCAGCATCAGGGTCTGGGTCTGTGTCCCTGTAGGAGTCCGCTTGGGCTGCCATAAACAAAAACCACAGCCGAAGGGGCTTTCTTTTTTTTTTTCTGAGACAGAGTCTTGCTCTGTCTCCAGGCTGGAGTGCGGTGGCGTGATCTCGGCTCACTGCAACCTCCACCTCCCGGGTTCAAGCTATTCTCCTGCCTCAGCCTCCTGAGTAGCAGGGATTTACAGGTGCGCGCCATCACACCCGGCTAATTTTTTTTTTTTTTTTGTATTTTTAGTGGAGACGCGGTTTCACCTTGTTGGCCAGGATGGTCTTGATCTCTTGACCTCATGGTCCGCCCGCCTCGGCCTCCCAAAGTGCTGGGATTACAGGCGTGAACCACTGCGCCCGGCCGTGGGGGCTTAAACAACATAAATGTATTGCTCATGATTCTAGAGCCTGGGAATTCCAAGATCAAGGTGCCAGTAACATAGTTTTCATTCTAAGGCCACTTTTCTTGGCTTGTTGGGTGGCCTGCATCTTGCTGTGTGCTTCCGTGGCCTCTGTGTGCATGAGGGGAGGGAGAGAGACAGGTTGCACTCTTGTCACTTCTTATGAGTGACACAGAACGGCTGGGCTCCCACCTTCAAGCCTGGAGCCCCAGCCCTAAGTGAAAACATCTGACCCTGTTTTTCTGCCCAAATGATTGCCTTCTTGGCCCACCCCGCCCCCTAACCTGTACCGGTAAAAACCAGACCAGATGGCAGAAGAAAAGGAAGAAAAGAGCAACACAAGCAGCTGACCAGCAGGGATACAAGCTGCTGAGCCTTGGGGATACATGCGGCTGAGCTTTAGCTGTGGATAGATGCGGCTAACTTCAGATGGTGCGACTTCAGGGAAAGATCACCTTCCTTCCGCATCAATTCCCCATCCTGCTGACAGCCACTTTTATCACCCATTGAAATCCTCCGCATGCACTACCTTCCAAATAGCTCATGTGACCTGGTTCTTCCTGGACACTGAACAAGAACTCGGGTGTCAAAAAGGGCAGGTGCAGGATGCTGTCACCCTGACCCTTCACTGAACTGTTAATATTTAGCCATCCACGAACAACAGCTGAGTGAAACGAGCCACTCCAGTTCCTGCCCACGAAGGGGGTCACAGTCAAGGGAACAAATCCCGTCTCATAAGGACACGAATTCTATTGGATTAGGGTCCTACTCTTTTTTTTTTTTTTTTTTTAAGACAGGGTTTTGGTCTTGTTGCCCAGGCTGGAGTGCAGTGGCACAATCTCGGCTCACCGCAACCTCCGCCTCCCGGGTTCAAGTGATTCTTCTGCCTCAGCCTCCCGAGTAGCTGGGATTACAGGCATGCGCCACCACGCCCAGCTAATTTTGTACTTTTAGTAGAGACAAGGTTTCTCCATGTTGGTCAGGCTGGTCTTGAACTCCTGACCTCAGGCGATCCACCCGCCTTGGCCTCCCAAAGTGCCGGGATTATAGGCGTGAGCCACTGTGCCCAGCAGGGTCCTACTCTTGTGATCTCATTTAACCTTAATTACTTCCATAAGGGCAAATACAGTCACAACAGTGAGTAAGGCTTTGACATATGAATTTTGGAGGGGACACAAACATTTCAGTGCATAACATTCTCCAGTGGGCAGGACAGTGCCCAGCACAGAGCTGGCACTAAGGATTTGGGAATAAGTGGCCAAGGCTGAGCAGGGCAGCAGACTGGGGATGAGGCTGAGGGACACAGAGGAGGGGGCTGGTGGGGACACAGACCCAGCATCTGGATGCAACGTAGACAGAGGGTGGTCTTCAGGCCTGACCTCTGCTGTCCCCGTTTTAGGACCACCCTCAAGACCCGCTCTCTGCAACTGGGCTTTGGCGCCCCGGTCTCCAGCTCTGAGTCCTTGGGAGAGCTGTTGAAGCCTCACCTACCCTGCTTTCCTCATCTGCAAAATCCACCTGGTAGGTTGTGGTAAAGATTAATGGGGTTGACCATGCAGAGCTTGGCACAGTGACCAGCACTTGCCAAATACTAGGAAAGTCCTGCAAGAATAAAAGAAGTACACTCCCACCCTCCCTGAGCCTCCAGAATCTTCTGCTATACCAGGTCGGCTTGCCCTTAGAGGGCATAGTGGGGACAAGGCCAGGTGGGCAGTGTCCCTCTCTGTCATGGTTGGGTGCGGCTGGAGACCTGGACCAGTATGAGAGTGACAATGGACCCTCAGAATATGCAGCCATCCCGGGGGACTTGGCCAAGCACTGGGAGGGAAGCCAGCTAGGAGGATGGACTCCCTGTTCAGTGGGAGCTGGGTCTCTGCCTCTTCAGCGGGAGCTGTGTCTCTCCCTGTTCAGCGGGAGCTGGATCTCTGCCTGTTCAGCGGGAGCTGGGTCTCTGCCTGTTCAGCGGGAGCTGGGTCTCTGCCTGTTGCAATTTGGGGTGAAGGGGGAGGTTGGAGATCTGAGGACACCTGAGGGCTTGGGTTAAAGAAATGGATTCTCACGGCGAAATGGGCTTTTTTCAGGGGAGGGTCTGCAACTGGTTAAATATTGGACATCGGATCTTTGGGAGAGGAGGGAAAGAGCCCCCAGACCCAACCCCTGTCTCAGCTCCTATGTTGAGAAACTGAGGCACAGACCCTCAGGTAGACCCACCTCCCCTTCAGCACCACTCTTTTTTTTTCTTTTTTTTTTAGTGGTAAAAAACACACAATACAAATATACCATCTTGGCCGGGTGCGGTGGCTCACACCTGCAATCCCAGCACTTTGGGAGGCTGAGGAAGGTGGATCACCTGAGGTCAGGAGTTCAAGATCAGCCTGGCCAACATGGCGAAACCCTGTCTGTACTAAAAATACAAAAAATTAGCCAGGTGTGGTGGCGTGCGCCTGTAATCCCAGCTACTTGGGAGGCTGAGGCAAGAGAATCGCTTGAACTGGGGAGGCAGAGGTTGCAGTGAGCCGAGATCGCACCAATGCACTTCAGCCTGGGTGACAGAGTGAGACTCCGTCTCAAAAAAAAAAAAAACAAAAACACACACACACAAAATAAACAAATATACCCTCTTAATTTTTAAGTGGATGGTATAGTATTGTCAACTATATGCAGATTGCCGTAAAGAGATCTCTAGAGCATTTTCATCTTGCTTGACTGAAACTCTCTTCCTTGAACAATAGCTCTGTGTGTCCCTCTCCCCCAGCTCCTGGCAACCACCATTTTACTTGCTGCTTTGATGAGTTCGTTACTTTAAATACCTCATATAAGTGGAATTTTGCAGTATTTTTTGTTCTGTAACTAGCTTATTTCACTTAGCATAAGGTCCTCAAGATCCATCCGCGTTGTAGCATATGAAAGAATTTCATTCTTTTTTAAGGGTAAATAATATTCTGTCAGAAGTTCCTGACCAGCCTGGCCAATATGGTGAAACCCCATCTCTACTAAAAATACAAAAATTAGCTGGGTGTGGTGGCGCCCATCAGTCCCAGCTACTCAGGAGGCTGAGGCAGGAGAATCGCTTGAACCTGGAGGTGGAGTTTGCAGTGAGCCGAGATGGTAACATTGCAGTCCAGCCTGGGCGACAGGAGCGAAACTCCATCTCAAATCATCATAATAATAATGATAATAATAGGCTGGGCACGGTGGCTCACGCCTGTAATCTCAGCACTTTGGGAGGCCCAGGCAGGTGGATCTCGAGGTCAGGAGATTGAGGCCATCCTGGCTAACACGGTGAAACCCTGTCTCTACTAAAAAAAAAAAATACAAAAATGTAGCCAGGTGTAGTGGCATGTGCCTGTAGTCTCAGCTACTCAGGAGGCTGAGGCAGGAGAATTGCTTGAACCCGAGAGGCGGAGGTTGCAGTGAGCTAAGACTGCGCCACTGCAATCCAGCCTGGGCAACAGAGCAAGACTCTGTCTGAAAATAACAATAATAATAATATTCTGTTGTATACGACATTTTCTTTATCCGTTTATCCGTTGATGGACATTTGGGTTGTTTTCATATCTTGGCTATTGTGAATAATGCTGCAATGAACATGAGTGTGCAAATATTTTTCTGAGATCCTGTTTTCGGTTCCTGGGGATATATACCCAGAAGTGGACTGCTGGATCATATGGTAATTCTATTTTTAATTTTTCGAGGAAACTCCATACTGTTTGCCATAGCGGCCGCACCATTTTTACAATCCCATCAACAGCTCTCAAGTGTTCCAAATTTTCCACATCCTCACCGACACCTGTAATTTTCTATTTTTTGTTTTGTTTTGTTGTTGTTGTTGTTTTGAGATGGAGTCGCACTCTGTCGCTCAGGCTGGAGTGCAATGGCATGATCTCAGCTCACTGCAACCTCCGCCCCGCCCCGGGTTCAAGCAATTCTCCTGCCTCAGCCTCCCAATTTTCTGTTTTTTGATAGTGATCGTCCTAATGGGTGTGAGGGAATATTTTGTTGTTTGAATTTGCAATTCTCTGACAATTAGTGATGCTGAGCATGTTTTCGTGTGCTTGTTAGCACATGTGTGTATCTTCTTTGGAGAAATGTCTGTCAAGTCCTTTGCCCATTTTTAAATTGGGTTATTTATTTGTTATTGGGCTGTAGTTCTTTATGTATTCTGGTTATCAGCCCTTTATCTGACATATGGTTTGCAATTTTTTTTCCTATTCCATATGTTGCCTTTTCACTCTGTGGATCATTTCCTTTGCTGCACAGAAGTTTTTGTTTGATGTATTCCCACTTGTCTATTTCTGCTTTTGTTGCCTGTGCTTTTCACATCCGATCCAAGAAATCATTGCCCAATCCAATGTCCGGGAACTTTTCCCCTAGGTTTTCTTTCAGGAATTTTATTCACACACTGGGAATTTCTAGGAATTTTTCTTCTAGGAATTTTATGGCTTCAGGTCTCACGTTTAGTTCTTTAAGCCATTTTGAGTTGATTTTTGTATATGGTATAAGATAAGGGCCTATCTTTATTCTGAAACCACTGTTGCAAAATTACGATGGAGAAATATAGCATAGCTGACTCTGTCTTCCTTTTTTTTTTTTTTGAGACAGAGTCTTGCTCTGTCTCCAGGCTAGAGTGCAATAGTGCAATTTCGGCTCACTGCAACCTCCGCCTCCCAGGTTCAAGCGATTCTCCTGCCTCAGCCTCCCGAGTAGCTGGGATGACAGGCACCTGCCACCGTGCCCAGCTAATTTTTGTATTTTTTAGTAGAGACGGGGTTTCACCGTGTTGGTCAGGCTGGTCTCAAACTCCTGACCTCAGGTGGTTCACCCGCCTTGGCATCCCAAAGTGCTGGGATTACAGACTTGAGCCACCACGCCTGGCCAACTCTGTCTTCTTCTGACCTTCAAGCTGTCCTTGGTCATTCCTAGGCATAGGCCAAACTAACTTCGGGAGGAATTTACTTTATAGTTTAACTTAAAAGCAAAGATGATAATAGTCCCCACTAAAATTAACTCCCTCTTTGCTCAGGGACCAAAAACCGCCTTTGTAAGACTAATAAAAAGCCAAAAGACTAGGATGATGGGAGGGGCCTGAACTCTGCTCAGAGGTAGGCATAGTTTCAGTAATGCCTTACTGCTCGGGGGTCATGTGGCCAGAGCTTACAAGATTTGTGACTTCCCTAATTGCTTCTATAGATAACACCACTATTGTACAACCTAGGATTGTTTTTTTGAGATTTTGTTTGGACTGACCTCGCCCAGACTCATGACTCATGACTCACGGCTCAGCTAATCCTGTGGCCCTACCCAAAGGTGGATCAGCACCCAAGGACCCCTATGATTGCATCCCCAACGAATCAGCAGCACCCATTCCCTAGCCCACTGCCCACCAAATTGTCCATAAAAACCCTAACCTCTGAGCCTTCAGAGAGATTGATTTGAGTGATAACTCATTCTCCTGTATGGGCCAGCCTCACGTCAGTTAAACTCTTTACCTACTGCAATGCCAAGGTCTCAGTTAATTGATTAACTGTGCAGCTGGCAAGAAGGACCCATTAGGTGATTACAGTTCTTTTGCATGTGAATAACCAGTTTTCCCAACACCACTTTGAAGAGATTATCCTTTCCCCATTGTGTAGATCAGTTGACCATATATATATATATATATATATACATATATACATATATACATATATACATATATACATATATACATATATACATATATACATATATACACATATATATACATATATATACACATATATATACATATATATACATATATACATATATATATACGTATATATATATATGAGGGTTTATTTCTGGGCTCTCTGTTCTGTTTTGTTAACTTGTATGTCTGTCTTTATGCTAATACCATATTGTTTTGATTCCTGTGGCTTGGTAATAGTTTTTGAAATTGGGAAGTTTGAAGCCTCCAGTTTTGTTCCTTTTTCTTATAATGGTTTTGGTTATTTTGGGTCCTTTGACATTCCATATAAATTTTAGGATTTTTTTCTGTCTGAAAAATGCCATTGGGGTTTTGATAGATATTGCATTGAATCCACAAATTGCTTTGGGTACTATGGACGTTTTAACAACATTGTAATTGCCCAACAGTTTGTTCCTGACTGCTGCACAGACGAAACCAGTTCACTGAAAAGATGATGTTGCAGTAAAGAAAGAGTTTAATTGACCCTAGGCTAGCCACATGGGAGATGGAGTTATTACTCAAGTCAGCCTCCCCAAAGGCTTGGAGGTTAGGGTTTTTCAACGATAGTTTGATGGGCTGGGGGCCAGGGAATCGGTGCTGCTCTTTGGTTGGAGATGCCATCATAGGAGTGTAAAAACTTGTCCTGTGTGCTGAGTCCACCTTTGGGGGGGTTGGCAGCATCAGCTGAGCCATGAGTCATGAGTCTGGGTGGGGTCAGTCTGAAAAACATCTCAAAAAACCAATCCTAGATTCTGCAAGAGTGATGTTATCTATAGAAGCAATTGCGGAAGTCACAACTCCTGTTACCTTTTGCCACGCCACTCCTGAGCAGTAAAAGGCATTATTGAAAATATGCCTACCTCATAGCAGAACTCAGGCCCTCCCGTCATCCTAATCTCATGGCTTTTCATTAGGTTTTTTTGTTGTTGTTGTTAGCATTTAATGAACCTCCCTCCATGTGGCTTCCAGCCACCAGGACACAGGCCTCCGCAACCCCCTGCCTCCCAGACACCGTTAATCTTCTCCTCAGCTCTTTTGCTGAAGAATTTGGCTTTCATGGTGACACGATGCTTTGGGAGCTTTCCCTTTCCCAGAACCTTGCAGCAGCCCTAGAAGAGAAGAGAAAAAAGTTTACAATACACTGTGGTAGGTACCAACTGCTTGATGGGTATGAGGAAAGAGGGCTGCTAACCCACTTTCCAAAACCCCAGGCAGGGTATGTATGTTTCTGATCTGGGCACTAAAGGAAGCAACAACTGCCCCCACCAGTGAATCAAGACCAGTAGATTCTCTCCAAGTACCGTAGCACACCAAGAGCTGTGTCAGCATGCGACTTAGTCTCGGCAGCCTTTCATTTGTTTTACGAATACAGTTTCATTTCCAGAACAAGGAGGAGATCAGTTTTAGGGAGGGATGATTATCATCCTTACTTCAAAGTTAAACTATAAACTAAATTCCTCCCATGGTTAGCTTGGTCTACACCCAGGAATGAGCGAAGGACAGCCAGCCTGTGAGGCTAGAAGCAAGATGGAGTCAGCCACGTTAGGTTTTTCTCATTGATATGTTTGCAAAGGCGGTTTTAAGATTGTCTTTTAATTCATGAACATGGAATGTCTTTTCGTTTACTTAGGTCTTCTTTAATTTTTTTTTTTTTTAAATTTGAGACGGAGTCTCGCTCTTTTGCCCAGGTTGGAGTGCAGTGGCGTGATCTCAGCTCACTACAACCTCCGCCTCCCGGGTTCAAGCAGTTCTCTGCCTCAGCCTCCTGAGTAGCTGGGGTTACAGGCACGCGCCACCATGCCCGACTAATTTTTGTATTTTCAGTAGAGACAGGGTGTCACCATCTTGGCCAGGCTGGTCTCACACTCCTGACCTCGTGATCCACCCGCCTCGACCTCCCAAAGTGCTGGGATTACAGGCGTGAGCCACCACACCCGGCTGGGACGGTTTTCTTAATTTCATTTTTGGATTGTTCATTGCTAGTATATAGAAACACAGCTGATTTCTGAGTGTTAATTTTGTATCCTGCAACTGCTGAATTTATTAGTTCTAACAGTTTTTTTGTGTGAAATCTTTTTTTTTTTTTTTTTTTTTTGAGATGAGTCTCGCTCTGTCGCCCAGGCTAGAGTGCAGTGGCGCGATCTCGGCTCACTGCAAGCTCCGCCTCCTGGGTTCACGCCATTCTCCTGCCTCAGCCTCAGCCTCCCGAGTAGCTGGGACTACAGGTGCCCGCCACCACGCCTGGCTAATTTTTTGTATTTTTAGTAGAGACGGGGTTTCACCGTGTTAGCTAGGATGGTCTCGATCTCCTGACCTCGTGATCTGCCCACCTCAGCCTCCCAAAGTGTTGGGATTACAGGCGTGAGCCACCACGCCCGGCCTTGTGTGAAATCTTTAGAGACTTCTACAAACAAGATGTCATCTGCAAATGGAAGTATTTTACTTCTTCCTTTCTGATTCTCACGTCTTTTTTTTTTTGTCTAATTATTCTGGCTAGAAGTTTCAGTACAATGTTGCATGGCATTGGTAAAACTGGGCATCCTTGCCTTGTTCCTGATCTTAGAGGAAAAGCTTTCACTTTTTCATCGAGTATGATTTTAGCTGTGGACTTTACTGTGTTAAGGTCTTGTCTTTCTTTCTTTTTCTCTTTCTTTCTTTCTTCTTCTTTCTTTTTCTTTTCTTTCTTTCTTTTTTTTTTCCAATATCTTGATCTGTCGCCTAGACTAGAGTGCACTGGCATTATCGCAGCTCATTGCAGCCTCTATCTCCCAGTCTCGAGTGAGTCTCCTGCCTCAGCCTCCCAAGTAGCTGGGACTTCAGGTGTGTGCCACCATCCTCAGCTAATTTTTTTTTTTTTTTTTTTTTTGAGAAGGAGTCTTGCTCTGTCGCCCAGGCTGGAGTGCAGTGGCGCGATCTTCCAGGCCCCACCGGGCCCTCAGGAAGGCCTTGCCTACCTGCTTTAAGGGGACTCCTGGCTCAGGGCCAGGCCCCTGGTGCTGGAGGAGGTGGTGGGTGGAGGGCAGGGGGCACCAAGCGGGCAGCCAGGACCCCCGGGCTGCAGACAAGAAAAGGACTGTGGGGTCCACCGGGTCTGGGCCACATCAAGGAATGTGGTTGAAGACCCGCCCTTAGGAGCTGAAAGCCAGGGCGCTACCAGGCCTGAGAGGCCCCAAACAGCCCTTGGGCCTGGTTTGGGAGGATTAAGCTGGAGCTCCCAACCCGCCCTGCCCCCAGGGGGCGACCCCGGTCCGGCGCGAGAGGAGGCAGAGGGCGCGCCAGGCCGCGGGAGAGGAGGCCATGGGCGCGCGCGGGGCGCTGCTGCTGGCGCTGCTGCTGGCTCGGGCTGGACTCGGGAAGCCGGGTGAGCTCGGGGCGCTACAGGCGGGACCGGGGGCAGCGAGGAGGCCGGGAGGTGGAGGCCGCGAGGGTCACTTCTTGTGTCCTGCAGAGTCGCAGGAGGAGGAGCTGTTGTCAGGTAGGGCGCCCAGGACGCGCGATGCCAGCCAGGGCGGCTGGGCCGGGGTGCACGGGGGCCCATCTACTGCTCTCTGTTCCAGGTCCCGAGAACGTGATGCTCTCAAGTAACTAATGGGTCCTAGGGGTGGGACCGTCCACTGCCCACCACGTGGGAGGGTCCCTAGCGTCACCTTCTTGGCGCGCGGTTCCCCGGGGAGCCCCCCGCTGCGCGCACCCCGGGGCAAAGCCGGGCAGGGCGGGCCTGCCCACCCCACCCCACCCGGCAGCTCAGCCGCGTCCGTCTGTCCATCCCAGAGGCCTGCGGCCACCGGGAAATTCACGCGCTGGTGGCGGGCGGAGTGGAGTCCGCGCGCGGGCGCTGGCCATGGCAGGCCAGCCTGCGCCTGAGGAGACGCCACCGATGTGGAGGGAGCCTGCTCAGCCGCCGCTGGGTGCTCTCGGCTGCGCACTGCTTCCAAAAGTGAGTCTGGGGGGCGGCCGGGGCCTCAGACTTGCTAATGGCCTCCAGGATGAGCAAACAGTAGCCACCCAGCAGCTTGGCCTCAGGGACTGGGCCTCCAGCGTGCTCAGGCGGCCAGCCCCCTATTCCAAGGCTCCCCGCCCTCTCTCCTTTTCTGCTAGGCACTACTATCCCTCCGAGTGGACGGTCCAGCTGGGCGAGCTGACTTCCAGGCCAACTCCTTGGAACCTGCGGGCCTACAGCAGTCGTTACAAAGTGCAGGACATCATTGTGAACCCTGACGCACTTGGGGTTTTACGCAATGACATTGCCCTGCTGAGACTGGCCTCTTCTGTCACCTACAATGCGTACATCCAGCCCATTTGCATCGAGTCTTCCACCTTCAACTTCGTGCACCGGCCGGACTGCTGGGTGACCGGCTGGGGGTTAATCAGCCCCAGTGGCAGTGAGGCTGGGGATAGACCGGGTGGGGTGATGGGGGTGCGGGGTGAGCATTACCCTCTACCCCTGTTCCCGCTACACAAGCACAGCAGCCCCCTCCTTGGTCTGGGGCTGCAACCTGCGCCCCTCCTGCTCTCATTCTCTCCTCACTTGCTTTTCTGCTCTCACTGCCACCTGTCAGGGCAGGGACCAAACACCCAGTTCTTCCCCCTTCCAGGGACTGTGGGGGCCAGCAGGACAGTGTGAGAGGGAGGCCAGCTTGGCCTGGGCCTGAAGGAGTGAGGGGGAGTTCGGGAGGACCTGGTGACAGAAGCCTCAGGCAATGATTTTTAAAAATTGAGGCAACTCACAAACCATAAAATTTTCAAGTGTTCAGTGTTGAAGGACACAATTCAGTGATTTGTAGCCTACAGTCATGTGTCACTTAATGACCGGGATATGTTCTGAGATATGCATCATGAGGCACTTTCATCATTGTGTCAACATCATGGAGTGTAGTTACACAAACCCAGATGGCAGAGCCTGCTACACACCCAGACTGTGTGGTCTAGCCCATTGCTCCTGGGCCACAAACCTGTGCAGCTTGTTACTGCACTAAATACCAGAGCAGTTGTAACACACTGGTAAGTACTTATGTACTTAAACATATCTAAACAGAGAAGAGGCACAGTAAAGATATGGCATAAAAGATAAAAACCAGGCCAGGCGCATGAGCCTATAATCCCAGCACTTTGGGAGGCCGAGGCAGGTGAATCACCTGAGGTCAGGAGTTCGAGACCAGCCTGACCAATATGGTGAAACCCCGTCTCTACTAAAAATACAAAAATTAGCTGGGTGTGGGGGCGGGTGCCTGTAATCTCAGCTCCTTGGGAGGCTGAGGCAGGAGAATCGCTTGAACCCGTGAGGGGCAGAGGTTTCAGCGAGCCGAGATGGCACCACTGCATTCCAGCCTGGGTGACAGAGCAAGACTCCATCTCAAAAAAAAAAAAAAAAAAAAAGATAAAAAACAGTATACCTGTGCCCTAGGCACTTACCATTAGTGGAGCTGGCTGGACTAGAAGTGGCTGTTGGTAAGTGAACGAATGGTGAGTGAATGTGAAGGTCTAGGACATGACTGTACACTACTGTAGACTTTATAAACACTGTATACTGAGGCTACACTAAATTTACCCAAAAACCTTTTCTTTCTTTAATAGCAAGTGGAACTTAGCTTACTGTAAACTTTTTACTTTATAAAAATTATAGCTATTTTAACTTTTTTACTGTTTTGTAATAGCAGCTACCTTAAGACACAAACACATTGTATAGCTATATGAAAATATTTTCTTTCTTTATATCCTTTTTCTATGAGCTTTTTTTCTATTCCATACACATGGAACATACAACATATGATTTTTAGGGGTCTAGATTCTTTCATATAACATAGTGTCTCCAAGGTTCATTTTGTGGGATGTATCAATAAGGGGTTTCACTATGTTGGCTAGGCTGGTCTCGAACTCCTGACCTCAGGTGAACTACCCACCTCGGCCTCCCAAAGTTCGGGGATTACAGGTGTGAGCCACGGTGCCCAGCCGTTTTATCAATTATTAATAGTGAGCTATTAACATCTCCAACTATTGTTGTAGAACTGTCTATTTCTCCCACCAATTCTGTCAATTTTGCTTTATATGTTTTGGCGATCTGTTGTTAGGTATGAAGATATTTATGATTGGTATATTTTCTTGATGATTTGATTGTTTTATCAATATGTAATGTTGTTCTTGGACTCTTATTTTTTTTTTTAATTTTTTTTTTATTGATAATTCTTGGGTGTTTCTCACAGAGGGGGATTTGGCAGGGTCATGGGACAATAGTGGAGGGAAGGTCAGCAGATAAACAAGTGAACAAAGGTCTCTGGTTTTCCTAGGCAGAGGACCCTGCGGCCTTCCGCAGTGTTTGTGTCCCTGATTACTTGAGATTAGGGATTGGTAATGACTCTTAACGAGCATGCTGCCTTCAAGCATCTGTTTAACAAAGCACATCTTGCACCGCCCTTAATCCATTTAACCCTGAGTGGACACAGCACATGTTTCAGAGAGCACAGGGTTGGGGGTAAGGTCACAGATCAACAGGATCCCAAGGCAGAAGAATTTTTCTTAGTGCAGAACAAAATGAAAAGTCTCCCATGTCTACCTCTTTCTACACAGACACGGCAACCATCCGATTTCTCAATCTTTTCCCCACCTTTCCCCGCTTTCTATTCCACAAAACCGCCATTGTCATCATGGCCTGTTCTCAATGAGCTGTTGGGCACACCTCCCAGACGGGGTGGTGGCCGGGCAGAGGGGCTCCTCACTTCCCAGTAGGGGCGGCCGGGCAGAGGCGCCCCTCACCTCCCGGACGGGGCGGCTGGCCGGGCGGGGGGCTGACCCCCCCACCTCCCTCCCGGACGGGGCGGCTGGCCGGGCGTGGGGCTGACCCCCCCCACCTCCCTCCCGGACGGGGTGGCTGCCGGGCGGAGATGCTCCTCACTTCCCAGATGGGGTGGCTGCCGGGCGGAGAGGCTCCTCACTTCTCAGACGGAGTGGTTGCCAGGCAGAGGGTCTCCTCACTTCTCAGACGGGGTGGCCGGGCAGAGACGCTCCTCACCTCCCAGACAGGGTCGCGGCCGGGCAGAGGCGCTCCTCACATCCCAGATGGGGCGGCGGGGCAGAGGCGCTCCCCACATCTCAGACGATGGGCGGCCGGGCAGAGACGCTCCTCACTTCCTAGATGTGATGGCGGCCAGGAAGAGGCGCTCCTCACTTCCTAGATGGGATGGCGGCCGGGCGGAGACGCTCCTCACTTTCCAGACTGGGCAGCCAGGCAGAGGGGCTCCTCACATCCCAGACGATGGGCGGCCAGGCAGAGACACTCCTCACTTCCCAGACGGGATGGCGGCCGGGCAGAGGCTGCAATCTCGGCACTTTGGGAGGCCAAGGCAGGCGGCTGGGAGGTGTAGGTTGTAGCGAGCCGAGATCACGCCACTGCACTCCAGCCTGGGCACCATTGAGCACTGAGTGAACCAGACTCCGTCTGCAATCCCGGCACCTCGGGAGGCCGAGGCTGGCGGATCACTCGCGGTTAGGGGCTGGAGACCGGCCCGGCCAACACAGCGAAACCCCGTCTCCACCAAAACCAGTCAGGCATGGCGGCGCATGCCTGCAATCGCAGGCACTCGGCAGGCTGAGGCAGGAGAATCAGGCAGGGAGGTTGCAGTGAGCCGAGATGGCAGCAGTACAGTCCAGCTTCGGCTCCGCATGAGAGGGAGACCGTGGGGAGAGGGAGAGGGAGAGGGAGAGGGAGAGGGACGTTCTTGGACTCTTATAACAAGTTTGTATTAAATTCTATTTTGTCTGATAGAGTATAGTAACCTCAGCTCTCTTTTGGTTACTATTTTTATGGAAATTTTTCCCAACCTTTCACTTTCAGCCTGTGTGTTTCACTGGATCTAAAGTGACTCTCTTATAAGGAGCACCTATCTGGATCCAGTGATTTTTTTAAAAGCGATTTTATCAGTCTCTGCTTTTTATTTGGAGCATTCAAGCCCTTTACATTAAGAGTAATTGATTACAGATCTGCAAAGAATGACTTCTGCCATTTTGTTACTTGGTTTTTAGATCTCATCATATCTTTTTTCCATGCTGATATTTTTTATTTCTTTTGTTTCTTATTTCCTCATTTTTGTTTAACTGATTGTTTTAGAGTACCATATTGATTCCCTTCTCATTTCCTTCTCCGTGTTTATTTTGCTTTGTTAGTGGTTGCTCTAGGGATTACAATTAACATCTAAACCTTATAATAACCTACTTTGAATTTATACTAACTTAGCTTCAACAGTATTAAAAAAAATCTCTGTTCCTATATGGCTCCATTCCTCCACTTTATGTTGTTATTGTCACAATTTACATCTTTGTTCATTGTGTAACCTTTAACCTAGATTTATAATTATTGTTTTATGTATTTGTCATTTAAATTACATAAGAAAAAGAGGAGTTACACACCAAAACTACAATAATACTGACTTTTATATTTACCTATGTAGTTGTCTTGACCAGGGCTCTTTGTTTGTATGACTTTGAGTTACTCTCTAGTGTTCTTTCATTTTAACTGGAAGGATTCCTTTATCCACTTCTTGTAGGATAGGTCAACTAATGACAAATCTTCTCAGCTTTTGGTTATCTGAGAATGTCTTAATTTCTTCTTCATTTTTTTCCTGATATAAAATTCTTGGTTGACTGTTTCTGTTAATCTTGCTGAGGATCCCTTGTCCTTGATGTATCACTTCTCTCTCCATGTTCATAAGACTCTCCCTTTATCTTTTGTTAGTTTTATTATAATGTGTCTCAGTGTAAATCTCTTTGTGTTTATCCTGTGGAATTTGCTCAGCTTCTTGAATCTGTGGGTTCATGTCTTTCATCAAATATGGCAAGTTTTGACCTGGATCCCACAGCTGTCATGTGTTAATCATAAACATTCTCATCTACTGTAGCCCTTCTTCCTGCCATGCTTTGGTTGAGAAATTTCTCCGCGGACTCAGGCAGGGGCTATCATCTCCATTCTACAGATAGAGAAACCGAGTTTCAGGAAGCACTGCAACAGCCTGGCCCATCTATTGGGTTATTCTGTGATATTGTTGATTGCTTTTGATGCACTGGGTGCTGGGGAGTCAAGAGCAATGCTGGGTGTTGTGGGTGTGTCAGGGACCTTCTCCCCACCCCTATAACACATGCCCTTTCTCCTCTCCCTGCTCCAGATAGCAGAGGAGAGGTGAAGGGTGCTGTCCTTTTCTGTCCTATCTCCAGCACCTCTGCCACCTCCTTACAACCTCCGGGAAGCACAGGTCACCATCTTAAACAACACCAGGTGTAATTACCTGTTTGAACAGCCCTCTAGCCGTAGTATGATCTGGGATTCCATGTTTTGTGCTGGTGCTGAGGATGGCAGTGTAGACACCTGCAAAGTGAGTGCCTCTACCCCACCAGGGAATCCCACCCTCTCCAGCTCTACACCTGAGAGCAGCTACCATTTCTCCCCCAACCACTCCCAACCCATTGCTTAGATTTCTTAGGAGAAAACCAGTGCAGTCTCAGTTACTGAGCCTACAAAATATGCTTCTCATTTTTCATAAATTCTGCCTACACTGATTAACCCACCAACCCCTGGAGGCTGTTGCCCCACTTTGAAAGTGTAGAAACTGAGACTTGATTCCATGGGAAGGAGTAAGGTTTGCATTCAGTCTGCCTAGCCCCACAGCCCCTCCTGCTCTCATGGCCTCTGCTGCCCCACCCACTCTGCCCCAGCCTGGGCTCACCCATGCTGCTCCCCAGGGTGACTCAGGTGGACCCTTGGTCTGTGACAAGGATGGACTGTGGTATCAGGTTGGAATCGTGAGCTGGGGAATGGACTGCGGTCAACCCAATCGGCCTGGTGTCTACACCAACATCAGTGTGTACTTCCACTGGATCCGGAGGGTGATGTCCCACAGTACACCCAGGCCAAACCCCTCCCAGCTGTTGCTGCTCCTTGCCCTGCTGTGGGCTCCCTGACTCCTGCAGCCATTCTGAGTGCACCAGAAACTGTGAGGCTGCAGTGGGGACCACAGTATTGGCTCACCTCCTCTGGGCTGTGGGCGCTTCAGGGACAGGGTTGGGACTGCCTGCTGGATCAGATTCCGGCCCCTTTTGTCTCGTTTGCTAATAAATACGTGTGCATGTTCAAGCTGATGCCTTACAGAGCTTTCTGTGGACCTAAGGGGTTTCGTGGACAACTCCCTCCTCTTCACTCATGTCCAGTCCAGGCCAAGACCCCACCTGAACTCCTAAATTGTTATCCAGGTTTTTGTTGCGAACAGCAGCACCCTCTGGTTATTTCCATCGGAAAGATAATTGATGGAAGAGCAGTAGTACTTCAGTGTGTCAGAGGGGTGGGAAGACATGGATTGGGGGTGCCATGGAGGAAATGCTCCCAGTGCTCCCATCCTAGGGTTCCCAATCACACAAATGCCAGATGTTCCTGATCTTATTTTGGTCACTCCAATGGTTGACCTAAAACCAGGACATGGGTGCGGTAGTTTATCTGGAAGGTGATCCCAGGAAGCAAAGATGAGAAAGTGGAGAAACCAAGGCAGGAAAGGCACAAATGCCAATGAATTTGCTCAAACTGGGAGAAATTGGGCCACAATCCTGTGGGGGCTTCAGCATTGGCCCACTGAGGACAAGGACACCAGGAGCGAGTGTTTCTCTCTTCCCCCTGATGCCACAAGTTGAGGGAGGTCCTTGGGGCATGGTATGATGCCCCAGAGCTCTAGCAGCCCCTAGGTGAGGCTGTGGGCACCCAGGCAGCTGCTGTAGCAGCACCATAAGGTGGCTGGCATGGGGGAGGGGGGTATGTCTTCCCCTGCCTTGAGGTTCCTGACCCCAGCATCAGCTTGGCCAAGGAACCAGTCCAACAAGGTAAATGCTGCAGACTCCCTGAACTGGGAAAGCGATCTGCATTTTGCCAAGATCCAAAAATGCTGTGAGCACAAGAAGGTACAAGAAGCTCTGGCCTAGGCAGCCCCTGATCCCATCCCCACCCCACAGCCCCTGCTCCTTTGAAAATGCAACCACTTGAAGCAAACTCTCCCTGCTCACCATTAGCCTCCGGAGGAAGGCTGTAGAGGGGCTCTGGTTCCTCAAACCATGGAGGGTGGGCAGTCACAGGTGGTCCCTGCCTACGATGTCCTCCCACCCTTCAGGACCACATCACTCACCAGTGGGGGGCTGACCTATTAGCAGGCGGAATTGCCAGTCCTGCCAAATTGTAGAGGGAGTGTCATGATACAGTGGACGTGCTATCCTCCTACCCTGTGCATGCGTTGGGGTCAGGGGAGGGTCTTCCTGCTGAGGAGACCTGGCCTATCCAGATAGAAGAATACTGAGACTGGAAAAGGGTGAGCAGATTCAAAGGTAGGACTGGAGTGGATGTAGCTGGTTCTGAGGGACAGGAGGTGAGTCCAGCGGCCCTTTCTAAGTTTGAGGGTGTTCTGCAGGTGAGCAGGTCTATGCAAACCTATCCTCAAAGGCCAAGGGAGCCAACAGGACAAAGAAAGAGGCTGACAAATCCAGTGTCTAAGGAATAAACATTTAATAGGAACTTACAAACTGAAGTGATGTATTGGTTGTCCATGGGATGGTGGATCTCCACACCCTGCAGAAAGTATTCTTTATATCACAAGAATTTTTTTTTTTGGTAAAACAAGTGCAATTGGTTATGCCTCAGACATTCCAGCAAAATCTTGACCACTGGGGAGATTAGAGAGGCATCTTTATGAGGAGTTATCTGTGTGACAGGGACAGCTTGGTATGCTGGAGCGAAACATGGTCATCATGGGGTTTTCACTTCAAGATGGCGTCACTCTTGCCATACAAAAGACTGTTTTCCTATAGGTCTAGGGACATTCCAGCGGAGTTGAACAAGTAAAGTAGAGACGGACATTTTTTTCTTTTTTGAGATGGAGTCTCACACTGTTGCCTGGGCTGGAGTGTAGTGGCATGATCTCGGCTCACTGCAGCCTCCACCTCCAGGGTTCTCCTGCCTCAGCCTCCCAAGTAGCTGGGATTACAGGTGCACACCACAACACCTGGCTAATTTTTTTGTATTTTTTTTTTTTTTAGTAGAGATGGGGTTTTACTATGTTGGCCAGACTGGTCTCGAACTCCTGACCTCATGATCCTCTCACTTTGGCCTCCCAAAGTGCTGGGATTACAGGTGTGAGCCACTGTGCCCGGCCTAGAGATGGACTTTCACCAGAGGGAATGACTTCAGAGATAAAAGGTGATGTCCACAGCCCAAAGTGGCCCATTGTGGGTGTCAGCAGGGCCTCAGGGTTCCATTGCCATATGCTGGCAAGGCAAGAGGAAAGGTGGGGACTAAGAGTAGCTCTGGGATTGGAGGAGCCAACTGGAAGGAGAGTGGAGCTGGAGCACCTCGGGGTGGGGTGATGGAATAAGGACAAGGTGTAGCGGCTGCCTGTGAAAGGAGCAGAGGAATGTGGGGAATGGGCAGGCAGGTTTGGATCTTGGGTAGGAAATCCACATGGGTGGGGGGACAGTCAGAGCCCAGAGGACTCAGAGCTCTTGCTGCCATGGCCAAGCCCTGTTGGGATGTTGGCATCTGCCCTGCCCAGGACCCCCACCCCCAGGCCACAGGAGACAGAGGCTACACCTCCAGGCATCGAATGAATAGACACCAAGGGTGACGGGCAGGGAGGGATCTGGAGATTTCGGGGGTGTCTTAGTGAATTCTTACGTTGCTATAAAGGAATACCTGAGGCTGGGTAATTTATACAGAGAAGGGGTTTATTTGGCTCATGGTTCTGCAGGCTGTGCAAGAAGCATGGCACCAACATGGTGAGGCCTCAAGAAGCTTCCACTCATGGCGGAAGGTGAAGCAGGAGCACATGTGTCCCATGGCAAGAGCAGTAGCGAGAGAGATGCCAAACAACCAGCTCTCACATGAACTAACAGAGCAGGAACTCACTCATTACTGCAGGGAGGGCACCAAGCCATTCACGAGGGACCCACCCCCATGACCCTAACACCTCCCACCAGGCCCACCTCCAACAGTGAGGCTCCCATTTCACATGAGATTTGGAGGGGACAGACATCCAAACCATATCACCGGTGCATCAATATGGTCTGTGGTCAGGAAGAGATAGTTAGGCTGGGTCACCTCAAGGAAGAGCAAGAGACGACCAAACACAGACGGTGGGACGGGGAGCAAGCAGAAGGAACAGCATGTGCCAGGGCCCTGAGGTGGGAAGGAACCTGGGTGTCTCCACCCTGAAACCAAGGGTAAAATAATGACAGCAGCATCTGCGGGGCCAGGCTCTATTGCGAGGGCTGAGCCTGCATTAACTTACTTCTTCCTCACCCTGAGGCTGCTCCCCCGTGAGGCCCCAACAATATGGCTCCCAGTGCCTGCCTGCCTGGGTTTGAATTTAATCCATTTACTTTTAAGGTTGTTATTGATAGGTAAGGACTATTTCCTTCATTTTATTTATTTATTTATTTTTTTGAGACAGAGTCTCACTCTGTTGCCCAGGCTGGAATGCAGTGACACCATTTCGGCTCACTGCAACCTCCACCTCCCGGTTCAAGCGATTCTCCTCCCTCAGCCTCCCAAGTAGCTGGAACTACAGGCCTGTGCCACCACACCTGGCTAATTTTTGTATTTTTAGTAGAGATGCAGTTTCACCATGTTGGCCAGTCTAGTCTCGAACTCCTGACCTCAGGTGATCCACCCGCTTTGGCCTCCCACAGTGCTGGGATTACAGGTGTGAGCCACCACGCCCGGCCCATTTTGTTAATTGTTTTCTGGTTATACATCCTTTGTTCCTCTCTTCTTGTTATCATTGCAGTTTGGTGGTTTTCAGTAGTGATGTTTAATTCTTTTCTCTTTCCCTTTTATATATCTGCTCTACCAGTGAGTTTTATACTTTTACGTGTTTTCAAGTTAGTGATTACCACCTTTTTGCTTCCAGATGTAGGACTCCCTTCAGCATTTCTTGCAAGACTAGTCAGTCTAGTAGCGATTAATTCCCTCAGTTTCTGTTTGTCTGGAAAAGACTTTACTTCTCCCTCATTTCTGAAAGATAGGTTTGGCTAATAACTTTCTCCTTTCAGCACTTCGACTATATCACTCCTCTCCTGGCTTCAAAGGTTTCTGTACAGAAATCTGCTGTTTGTCTAATGGAGATTCCTTCATATGTGACTTGACACTTTCCTCTTGCTGTTTTTAGAATTCTCACTTTGTCTTTGAGTTTTGACAATTTGACTTTGATTTGCCTCAGAGAGGACCTTTTTGGGTTTAATATATTTGGGATACTTTGAGCTTCTTGGGTCTAGATGGCCATATCTCTCTCCAGACTTGGGAAATTTTCATTAAGTAGGTTTTCTATGCTTTATCCTCACTCTTCTCTCTCTGGAACTCCCATAATACAAACATGCCTATGCTTAATGGAGTCCCTTAAGTCTTACAGATTTTCTTCTTTCCAATCCTTTTTTTTTTCTCCAGTTGGGTAATTTGAAACAAACTGTCTTCCAGTTCAGAGAATCTTCTGCTTGACAAGACTACTATTGAAGCCATTATATTTTTTTACTTCACGAATTGAATTTCTCAGCTGCAGAATTTTCTGTCTTGTTCCTTTGTTATGGTTTTTTATCTGTTTGTTGAATTTCTCATTAATATATGTTTTCCTGATTTTGTTGAATTGCCTGTCTGCATTTTCTTTTATCTCATTTAGTTTTCTTTTCTTTTCTTTCTTGAGATGGAGTTTCACTCTTGTTGCCCAGGCTGCAGTGCAATGGCATGATCTTGGCTCACCGCAACCTCCGCCTCCCGGGTTCAAGCGATTCTCCTGCCTCAGCCTCCTGAGTAGCTGGGATTACAGGCATGTGCCACTACGCCTGGCTAATTTTTTGTATTTAGTAGAGATGGGGTTTCACCATGTTGGTCAGGCTGGTCTTGAACTCCCGACCTCAGGTGATCCACCCCCACCCCTGGCCTCCCAAAGTACAGCCGTAAGCCACCATGCCCGGCCTCATTTAGTTTTCTTAAGATCATTATTTTGAATTTATTTCTGACAGTTCACTGATTTCCTTTTCCACTGGGCTCTGTTACTAGACAATTATGTTCCTTTGATGCCAGATTTTCTTGCTGCTTCATGTTTCTTGTGTCCTTGCACCGATGTCTGTACACCTGGTGGAACAATCGCCTCTTCCAAAGTTTCTAGAGTGGCTTTCATAGAGATAGACTTTTACCTGCAGTTGGGTCTTAGTGTGCTGGTTGGAAAGGGTGTGGTGGCTGTGTTTCCAGATGGGTGCAGTGATATGGTCTCGGTGCAGCTCTTCAGCTGTGTTGAGCATCAGCAATAACTGTGGGTGCCTTGAGGCCCAGGCTGTACAGATTTGTGGCAGTGGTTGTTAATGTCCTTGATGTCAAGGGCTTTTGGGATCCTCCTATTCTTATTTTCCCCACAATGGGGACATGCAGCCAAAGGGGACCTTTTAGTGTCAAGCTTGATATGGCTCACAAGACAATGCAGTGGCACTGGCTTTCGTTTGCAGGTGCTTGGAGTAGCTGTGGGGCTGGGGTCCTAGGCTCAGAGCCTGGCGTACAAATTGAGGCAAGGCCTGGGTCACTGGGTGCAGGCTTACTCTCTGTGGCAGGGTTGAATGTGCGTTGCCCACAAAGCCAGGATCTGTACTTCTGACGCACTCTCTAGCAGGTCAGGCCCAGGGGGCTGGGTTGTAGCTGTGATTCTACTGTGGGGGGCAGAGCAATGACCCAACTCTGGGGAAGATGTGGTGCTCTTCATGTTTAAACCTGGGGATCAGGGTATGGCTGCCACTCCGGGGCCTGAGCCAATAGGGCTCAGTATAACTCAGGGTTCAGGGGCTCAGCGTAACTCAGGATTCAGGGGCTCAGCGTAACTCAGGATTCAGGGGCTCAGTGTAACTCAGGGTTCAGGGGCTCAGCGTAACTCAGGATTCAGGAGCTCAGCATAACTCACGGTTCAGGGGCTCAGCGTAACTCAGGGTTCAGGAGCTCAGCGTAACTCAGGGTTCAGGGGCTCAGCGTAACTCACGGTTCAGGGGCTCAGCATAACTCACGGTTCAGGGGCTCAGCGTAACTCAGGATTCAGGAGCTCAGCATAACTCACGGTTCAGGGGCTCAGCATAACTCACGGTTCAGGGGCTCAGCGTAACTCAGGATTCAGGAGCTCAGCATAACTCACGGTTCAGGGGCTCAGCGTAACTCACGGTTCAGGGGCTCAGCGTAACTCAGGGTTCAGGGGCTCAGCGTAACTCAGGATTCAGGAGCTCAGCGTAACTCAGGGTTCAGGGGCTCAAAGTAACTCACGGTTCAGGGGCTCAGCGTAACTCACGGTTCAGGGGCTCAGCGTAACTCAGGGTTCAAGGGCTGAGGCTCCATGCAGTAGTGACTCTGAACCCCGAGAAGGTAGGGCTTGGCAGTATCCCCGACTTCATGAAGCCAGATACACTGGCAGAGTGGCAGAGCACAGCTGTCATTTCAGTCCTGTTGGGGAGGGAGGTAGCAGGAAACAGCACATTCGAGGGGAAGGCAGGGAGCAGCGCAGGGAGACTATCTCTATCTCTAGGAGGCTAATCCAGGGAGGCAAGGTGCTGGAGCTGGCCCAGAGGGCGGTGTCTCAGCTGGAGATGGCCCACAGCAGGGTGTCTCAGCTTAGCCACTGCTGAGCCAATGTTTCCCTGGGATGCGAGCTACTACATCAGGTCAACCCCTGGATTCACAGCTGCTCAGCTCAGCCAGGGCAATGATCTCTTGGGGGAAGTGGGCTGCTTTAGCTTAGGCCTGGGGAATGAGACTATTCTGGGTAGCCCTGGCACCATTTCCTGGAATGCAGCACGCTTCTCCAACTTCAGCTCTGAGCAGCCAAGGTGCTGTTTTCCCGGGAGGCAGGTTGTGGCTTCAGCTCTGGCCTGAGCGGAGAAGGGGGAAGGTTAGGTGGAGCACCTCCACCACTGCTTGGCCCCAGGAGCAAGGGTGTGACCGCTGCTCACGGCTCAGTTTAGGGGTGTGAAGCCACCAGGCTGAGGTTGTTCAGTGGTGGATTAGTCTCAGGGATAAAGGGCAACTGTGGCTACTCAATCCCAGGGCAAGATATGCTCTGGCTGTAGTTCCAATTCACCGCTGGCGCAGTGCGGTAGCCACGTGACCACAGGAAATGGGCTCACTGTGGGCTCCTCTGCAGGGAGCTCAGCTGTGCGGCCTCAGTTAGCCCCCTTGCCTGGGCTTAGTGCCTGTGAGGACAGGGGACGCTAGTGGTGAGGGCTATAGGTGTCCAAGGTGCTGGTGGGGCTCCTGGGATCCCCTGCTTACCTCCTTGCCTCATTCCCAGCTGATCCTGGTTGAGGACTGGGGTGCAGGCCCAGTGTTTCCTTCTGTTCTTCATGCGGCCATCCTGAGTTTCTCTGCTCACCAGGTTTCTGTTACTCCTCTAAAGCACTCTGGTGCTCTTCCTCAGTTATTTTCATTAAAAGTTAATTGTTGGCCAGGCGCGGTGGCTCACACCTGTAATCCCAGCACTTTGGGAGGCCAAGGCGGGCAGATCATGAGGTCAAGAGATCGAGACCATCCTGGCCAACCTGGTGAAACTGTCTCTACTAAAAATACAAAAAAAAAAAAAAAAAAAAAAAAGGGGGCATGGTGGTAGGTGCCTGTAATCCCAGCTACTTGGGAGGCTGAGGCAGGAGAATTGCTTGAACCCGGGAGGCGGAGGTTGCAGTGAGTTGAGATCACGCCATTGCACTCCAGCCTGGGCAAAAAGAGCAAAACTCTGTCTCAAAAACAAAAACAAAAACAAAAACAAATATTGTTTATTCATTGTTCTGGCTGTCTTAGTGAGGGGAAGGAGGACAAGAGAACTAGGGGGGCCATGGATGGGTGGCCCGCACCTGTAATTCCAGCACTTTGAGAGACCAGGGCAGAAGGATCGCTGGAGGCCAGGAGTTCAAGACCAGCCTGGATAACATTTTGCTCTACAAAAAATTTAAAATAAAAATGGGCCGGGCGCGGTGGCTCATGCCTGTAATCCCAGCACTTTGGGAGGCCGAGGTGGGCGGATCACAAGGTCAGGAGTTCGAGACCAGCCTGGCCAACATAGTGAAACCCCGTCTCTACTAAAAATACAAAAATTAGCTGGACGTGGTGGCACACGCCTATAGTCCTAGCTACTCGGGAGGCTGAGGCAGGAGAATCACTTGAACTCGGGAGGCAGAGGCTGCAGCGAGCCGAGATCGCCCCACTGCACATTAGCCCGGGCGACAGTGAGACTTAGTCTCAAAAAAAAAAAAAATAAAATAAAATAAAAGTAAAAATAAAAACGTAGCTGGGTGTGGTGGCCCGCACCTGTGGTCCCAGCTACTTGGGAGGATGAGGTAAGAGGATTACATTGAGCCTGGGATGCTGAGGCTGCAGAGAGCCAAGATCTCACCACTGCCCTCCAGCCTGGCCAATAGAGGGAGACCCTGTCTCAAAAAATAAAATAAAATAAAATAAAGAAAAAAAGAAAAAGGAAGGAAATTGTGACACATACAGCGATATGGATGAGCCATGAAGACACTGTGCTCAGTGAAATAAGCCAGTCACAAAAAACGAACACCGTGTGATTTCACACATATGAAGTACTTAGAGCAGCCAAAAGCGTAGGGACAGAAAGCAAAACAGAAGTTGCCAGAGACTGACAGGGCGGGAGCAGAGCCTCACTTTAGTTTTGGCACCTGGCTCTGGTTGTGACGCCTGCACCGTCTCCCTGGAGGGGCTGGTCAGAGCTGGGCTCCCACTGACTGATGTGCCAAGATGAGGCCCCCACTGTACCTCTGCTCCCACCCTTCTGCACCACCCACCCAGCTCCCATCCCTCTGCACCACCCACCCAGCTCCCACCCCTCTGCACCACCCGTCCAGCATTCCTCTGACTTTCAGGGATAGCAGGGGCCAGGCACAGGGAGTGGGCAGCGGAGTCCCTCTCAGGAGGAGCCTCCTTCAGGGAGGTGGAGGTGGAAGAGGCCAAGCCCTTGGCCAGCACAGCTCTCAGAGGCAGGAGCTTGGAGGTGCCACAAAGCGGGCTGTGTTCTCGCGCTAGCCCAGCCTAAGGGCACCTTTCCATGTTTTGTTTTGTTTTGTTTTTTGTTTTTTTTTTTTTTTTAAACACGGACTCTCGCCCTCTCACCCAGGCTGGAGTGCAATGGTGCGATCTCGGCTCACCGCAACCTCTGCCTCCCAGGTTCAAATGATTCTCCTGCCTCAGCCTCCAGAGTAGCTGAGATTACAGGTGCCCACCACCATGCCCAGCTATTTTTTGTACTTTTAGTAGAGACAGGATTTCACCATGTTGGCCAGGCTGGTCTCGAACTCCTGAACTTGTGATCCATCCGCCTCGGCTCCCCAAAGTGCTGGGATTACAGGCTTGAGCCATGGCACCCGACCTGTCTTTCCATGTTTTGCTGGCAGTTCAGGGGCCTTCTTTCTAACTCCAGGCTGACAGGGTTTGGCGCCCAGAAGGAGAGTCACTTGGGCCAGGACTCCAGAAGCACCAGCTGAGGTTGAGGGGACTTGGTGGAAGGGATAGTTAGCAGCCTGGCCAGAGGGGCGCCAGGACTCACCCAAATGCACACTGGAGGGGATGTTCAGATGGCACGAGAACGGGGATCACACATGGTCGTTCACACACGTGCACTTGAAGATGCATGCACACACATACACCCAGACACACACACCCGCCCAGCCTCTCCTGCACGCAGGGGGCATGCACACACGAGGACGCTCCTCACCTGCATGCCTGACCTGGGGAAGAAGCCCACCTGGTGGGAGGCACCCTCCTCCCACCCTCCATCTGCCATGGCCCAAGTGCTGGCCCCGAGCCCGTGCCCAGGGAGACTCAACACAGGCCCTTTGTCCCTTGGGATCAGGGCTCCCAAGAGAGGGATTTACTGAGCATTTATTTCCTGCCCCGGGCACGCCCCAGTCCTCATTCTGCCAGGAGAAGGGAACAATGAGGCCTTCTCCTGCCCGCAGAGGTGGCTCCGGGCCGGCTGGCCCTTATGTGTCAGGAGTCGGGTTAGGACCACAAGTCCCTGTCCTCCCTGCCCTCCAGGTGTGGGGCTTGGGAAGACCCCTCTGTGACTCTGCAGCCTGAGGCACAGCAGACAAGAGAGTCTCCATCTGCAGCCCATGCAGCAGCCAGGGCCTCCCTGCAGCCCCCGGGCCAGGCTTGGCCTCTGCGGGAAGCCCCCAGCCTCACTGGAGGCAAGAACCTGAGTCCCTGGCTCAGATCTCCGGGTAGGACTGGCCTGACTGAGACCCTGGGCAAAACCAGGAGCTGACACCTCCTAGGGGCCTCAGCGGATCCCTGGGACTCAGGAACCAGAGGGAACGTCCTGCTGGCTGGGAGAGGGGCAGGATCAGAAGCCCAGGGACCTTTGCCCCAACCCAGCAGGCCAAGGCCAGGCTGTGCATGTGACTTGTCCTTGAGCAGCTGCTGCTGGGGAAGGAGGCCCTGAGGGAAGGCACCGCAGCCTTGTGCTCCTGAAACCCGAAGCTCCCACACACCCGCTGCGCCCTCATTGAGTTCCCGTTGGTACCATGCTCTGTGCTAAGCATTTTATCTGTACTTTCCCCAAAGAAACTTAATACTTTTATTGGAAAACCAGAACGCCTAACCACACATTTTGCCTAATCTTTCATGTAATTAACCTTCCACTAGTGCAAGTGTTGAAAGTAGAATACGCTATTCCCAAGTTTCAAGTTGAGGGAGGCGGGATTCCCAGGTTCTGGTTGTACATTCCCATTTTCACTGATCTGTTCAGTGGTCAATGGATTCTTGGGTTGCTTTCATGTCAGCTACTGTGAATAATCCTGCTATGAACATGGGTATACAAATATCTCTTGAAGGCTGGGTGGGGTGGCTCACACCTTCACCCTGGCACTTTGGGAGGCCGCAGAGGGCAGATCACCTGAGGTCAGAAGTTCAAGACCAGCCTGGCCAACATGGCGAAACCCCATCTCTACTAAAAATACAAAAATTAGCTAAGCATGGTGGCAGGTGCCTCTAATCCCAGCTACTCTGGAGGCTGAGACAGGAGAATCACTTGAACCCAGGAGGCAGATGTTGCAGTGAGCCAAGATCGCACCACTGCACTCCAGCCTGAGCGATGGAGCAAGACTCCATCTCAAAAACAAACAAAACTAAATCCCCCCAAAAAACCAAAAACAAATATCTCTTGAAGACCTTCCTTTCAGTTCTTTTGGGTGTATGCTCAGAAGTGGAATTGCAGCTGGGCGCGGTGGCTCATGCCTGTAATCCCAGCACTTTGAGAGGCCGAGGTGGGCGGATTACCTGAGGTCAGGAGTTGGAGACCAGCCTGGTTAACATGGCGAAACCCCGTCTGTACTAAAAATACAAAAATGAGCCAGGTGTGCTGGCGCGCGCCTGTAACCCCAGCTACTTGGGAGGCTGAGGCAGGAGAATCGCTTGAACCCAGGAGGTGGAGGTTGCAGTGAGCTGGGATCACGCCAATGCACTCCAGCCTGGGCGACAAGAGCGAAACTCCATCTCAAAAAAAAAAAAAATTGTTCCAGAGAAGTGAAGAGAGCCCAGCGGGAGCCCGCAGTGGGGACAGCCTGGGCAGAGACTTGGGGAGATCCCCATTCTGGGTGGAACGGGCCGAGGACCACTGTTTTCCCAAGAAGGTCCCATGAAGGAGCAGCCATGCCTCTAGGCCCCACCCGGCCTTCAGGGGGTCCCCAGGCTTTAAGGGGACTCCTGGCTCAGGGCCAGGCCCTTGGTGCTGGAGGAGGTTGTAGGTGGAGGACGGGGTCACCAAGAGGGCAGCCGGGACCCCTGGGCTGCAGACAAGAAAGGGACTGTGGGGTCCACCGGGTCTGGGCCACATCAAGAAGTGTGGTTGAAGACCCGCCCCTAGGGGCTGAAAGCCAGGGCGCTGCCAGGCATGAGAGGCCCCAAACAGCCCTTGGGCCCAGGAGGGTGAAGCTGGGAGTAGAGGGCAGAGCTCCCACCCCGCCCCGCCCCCAGGGGGCGCCCCGGGCCCGGCGCGAGAGGAGGCAGAGGGGGCGTCAGGCCGCGGGAGAGGAGGCCATGGGCGCGCGCGGGGCGCTGCTGCTGGCGCTGCTGCTGGCTCGGGCTGGACTCAGGAAGCCGGGTGAGCTCGGGGCGCTGCTGGCGGGATGGGGAGGCGGGGGAGCGGTGGGGAGGACGGGAGGTGGAGGCCGCGGGGAGTCACTTCTTGTCTCCCGCAGAGTCGCAGGAGGCGGCGCCGTTATCAGGTAGGGCGCCCAGGACGCGCGATTCCTGCCAGGGCCGTTGGGCCGAGGTGGACGGGGGGCGGTGAGGGGGTAGAGGGGGGCCTTTACTGCTCTCTCGCCCCCGCCCCCGGGATCGAGAACTCTGTTGGCGTGGAAAGTAACTAACGGACGCTGGAGGGGGATGGGCGGGCCCTGCAGAGCACGTGGGAGGATCTCCAGTGTCACCTACTTCCTGCTGCACACACGCGAGGGGACCCTGGGTGGGCAAAAACGTGCTTTCCCGGACGGGGTTGAAGGGGAGAAAGGGAGAGGTCGGGCTTGGGGGGCTGCCTCCCGCGGCTCAGCAGTTCCTCTGACCATCCGAGGACCATGCGGCCGACGGGTCATCACGTCGCGCATCGTGGGTGGAGAGGACGCCGAACTCGGGCGTTGGCCGTGGCAGGGGAGCCTGCGCCTGTGGGATTCCCACGTATGCGGAGTGAGCCTGCTCAGCCACCGCTGGGCACTCACGGCGGCGCACTGCTTTGAAACGTGAGTGGGGGTGCGAACGGAGGGGTGCGGGGACGGGCAGGAACAGGGCTGGAGGGAGTGCCACCGAACTTTACCTCTGGTCTGATGCCAGACTTGGGCGTGAAAGTTGTGCGTGGATGCGGCCTGGTGTTCTCCTGAGCCCCAGGCTGTGCTGCAGCCGGTTACACCCACTCCAGTTCCCTTTGGGTCTCCTGGAGGGAACCCTGTTCAGGTTATTCCAGAATGTTCTTCCAGAACATTTCCACACACTTTTGGGTATTCTCTCCCTTTTTCTTTCAACCCAAAGTTCACCACTGACCATCCCACCCTCATCCCCCCTCCTGGTGGACGGTGCGGTACAGTGTGGGGCACTGAGCCAAGGCCAGCACCCCCGGGCCGCTGTGTGGACTCCATCCTGCCAATCCCACATTGGCGTGGTGCATCTCCCCATTCCTCCTTGGGCTGCATGGGGGTGCCCCTGGAGGCCTTGGCTCAATGCAAGGCTCCTTGGGACAGCTCTGGGAGGTGACAAGACCCCACCCTTCTGCTGCAGGAGCAGGTCCTAGGACTTTGGTTGTGGTCTGTCTGGGCTCCTTCATTTCTGCAGGGGACCCTGGGTGTTAGCAAGTAGCAGCAACACCACAGTTTCCCCTCCTGCACTGGACCCCAGTTGTGCTCAGGTAGCCAGCCCTCCATCCAGGGCCCCTGACTGCTCTCTTCTCTTCTGCCAGCTATAGTGACCTTAGTGATCCCTCCGGGTGGATGGTCCAGTTTGGCCAGCTGACTTCCATGCCATCCTTCTGGAGCCTGCAGGCCTACTACACCCGTTACTTCGTATCGAATATCTATCTGAGCCCTCGCTACCTGGGGAATTCACCCTATGACATTGCCTTGGTGAAGCTGTCTGCACCTGTCACCTACACTAAACACATCCAGCCCATCTGTCTCCAGGCCTCCACATTTGAGTTTGAGAACCGGACAGACTGCTGGGTGACTGGCTGGGGGTACATCAAAGAGGATGAGGGTGAGGCTGGGGACAGGCGGGTCAGGGAGGAACTGTCTTTGTTCACCTGTTCCCCTGCATAGGCACAATAGCCCCCTGCTTGGTCTGGGGGTGCAGGCTATGCCCCTCTTGCTTGCAGTCTCTCCTCACCTGCCAGGGCAGGGACCAAACACCCAGTTCTCTCCCTTCCAGGGGCTGTGGGGGCCAGAAGGAGAGTGTGAGAGGGAGGCCAGTTTGGCGCAGGCCTGTGGGTGGTGCGGTGGTGGAGGGGTTCTGGAGGGCTTGGCGACATAAACCTCATACTTGGATTTATTCCTGCATCTTTCCACCTCCCCCAGTGCTCACCAATGCCCCAGGCATCAGGCTCCTGGGCTGCCTCTCCATGCCTCCCACACCCACCCTAGCTCTGGCCGATTCTCCTGCAGCACTGAGCCCATTCCTCTCCCCAGAAACTTCCAAGCCATGCTCAACCGCAGCTCCCACGGAAACCCCTCTGGGGGTTCCTCTGGTGGGCCTGCCCTGGCACCTGCGTGTCCCCCAACACACATGCCCTGAAAGAAGTGGGCCCAGCATCCGGAGGAGCCCCGGCAGCCCCAGACTGGGCGTGTTCCCTGTATCAGGAATCCCTTCCCTCTGCTCCCCTGTCTGGCCCGTCCCTGCATCATCCCACAACAGTAGTAACAATAACAAACGTGGTTCCTTGAGCACACGCTGTGTGCCTGGCACTGTTCTAGACATGGGGGCCCAGCAGTGAGCCAGGCGCGGCCTCTCCTCCTGCTGGAGCTCACCTAGGAATGAAGTTGGTAACGTTCTTATACCCATCTTACAGATGAGAAAACTGAGAGGGTTATGGAAATTGCCAAGAACTAGTAAATGGAGAAGTCAGGGCCCCTTGCCTTAGAGAGGGTAAGGGATGTCCCCAAGTCACACCCCGGCAGTTGGGAGTGGGGAACTCAGCACTGGAGCCGCCTCCCTCTGGAGGAGGGATCCTTTGCCTTCCCTGAGAAGGACCCTTGCTGCAAACACGAGTGGATATGAGCCAGGGGCACGGCCAGGCTGCCTCTGCCACCCTCTCTCCCCAGCCCAGGGTAGACAGGTCACACCAACCCCAGGCTGTGCCTCAATTCACAGTGCCGGGGAGGCAGGGGACAGGCACTTCTGGAGCCCCCTGCCTGGTGTGCACCTTTGCTGTGCCCTGCGCGGGCTGGGAGGCCTTGGGCAAAGGTGTTCATCTTACAGTGCCTCAGTTTCCTCCCCTGTGAAATAGGGGAATGATGGTGCCACATCAGAGGCTAGTTCCCAGGTTGTTAGTCCCGAGGGCTTAGGAGAGGCCCCGCTGACGGGAAGCGCTGCCTGCAGGTTGGGTCTCATTGTCTTTTGTCATCCTCTGCAGGACAAGGTGCTGGCTGGCACTCTGAGGCAGGAATTGGACAGGTGTGGGCTCCTGTCAGGCTCTGAAACTTCCCCAGTGCCTTGCTGGGGGTCAGCGGGGCAATATCCCCCTGACTCTCCTTATCTGGGAGTAGGTCCTGATGACTGCCGCCTCCCAGGGGTGCTGGGGGTCCCTAAGAGTGCTGCAACAAGCTTGTGTCCAGGCCTGGAAAGCGCCCAGCTGCTACTGAGGCCAGGGCTGCAGCCAGGCTGCCCCTCCCCCAGGTCTGGCTTTGGATGCTCATCTGAACACCGTCTCAGCTGCCTTCGCCCCTCCCTCGGCTCCTTTTGGCTGAGGAATCTCTCCATGGCTGCAGGCAGGGCCATTGTTGCCATTCTACAGATAGGGAAAGTGCGGCTGGGGGAGCTCTGACAGCCTGTCCCTCCCCGGGGCCTTCTGTGATGCTGCTGAGGGCCTCTGTTGTGCTGGGGTCTGGGTTGGAGCTGGGGGTAATGGAGATGAACCTGCCAGGCACAGTGGGTGCCCCAGGGCCCCCACCCCCGCAGCCTATGCCATCCCTCCATAGAGGGGCCTCAGGTTGCTGTCTCTCTCCTTCCCACTATCGTCCGCACAGCACTGCCATCTCCCCACACCCTCCAGGAAGTTCAGGTCGCCATCATAAACAACTCTATGTGCAACCACCTCTTCCTCAAGTACAGTTTCCGCAAGGACATCTTTGGAGACATGGTTTGTGCTGGCAATGCCCAAGGCGGGAAGGATGCCTGCTTCGTGAGTGTCCTTGCCACCACTCCCAGCCCAGGAAAGCATCCTGTGTCCCTGTGCCTTATTTGACCCTCATGCCAACCCCGGGAGGTGGAGACTGTTGCCCCACTCTGCAGATGCAGAAACGGAGGCTTGGCTGCTGCCAGGGGGAGGAGGAGGATGTGCACCCAGTCTACCCAGCCCCATAGCCCTTCCCACTCTCAGCCCCTCCCCTGCCCCACTCACTCTGCCCCAGGCTGACCTCAGCCCCGCTGCTCCCCAGGGTGACTCAGGTGGACCCTTGGCCTGTAACAAGAATGGACTGTGGTATCAGATTGGAGTCGTGAGCTGGGGAGTGGGCTGTGGTCGGCCCAATCGGCCCGGTGTCTACACCAATATCAGCCACCACTTTGAGTGGATCCAGAAGCTGATGGCCCAGAGTGGCATGTCCCAGCCAGACCCCTCCTGGCCGCTACTCTTTTTCCCTCTTCTCTGGGCTCTCCCACTCCTGGGGCCGGTCTGAGCCTACCTGAGCCCATGCAGCCTGGGGCCACTGCCAAGTCAGGCCCTGGTTCTCTTCTGTCTTGTTTGGTAATAAACACATTCCAGTTGATGCCTTGCAGGGCATTCTTCAAAAGCAGTGGCTTCATGGACAGCTCATTCTCTCTTGTGCAGACAGCCTGTCTGTGCCCCTGGCTCACACCCACATCTGTTCTGCACCATAGAACCATCTGGTTATTTCGATCAGAAAGAGAATTGTGTGTTGCCCAGGCTGGTCTTGAACGCCTAGGGTGGTCTCGATCCTCCCGCCTCACCCTCCTGAGTAGCTGAAATTATAGACGCACATCATGCTCAGCAATGGAACAGGAGTAGTTCCAGGGTGCCAGGAGCTGGGAAGCCTGGATTGGGGGTGTGTGCATTGGAGGAAACAATCCTGACATCCCTCACCCCACAAGGATCCGGCACAGAAACGCCAGACATCCTGATCTTACTATGGTTCCCCCAAGGCTGACCTAGGACCAGGACATAGGTGCAGGTAGTTTATCTGGGAGGGGATTGCAGGAAATGGGGAAACCGAGGCAGGGAAGGAAGGAACACCAATGAGCTTACACAAACATAGAGGGTACCATTCTAGGCAACTGGGGTGCAATCCTGTGGGGGCCTCAGCGTTGGCCCACTGAGGACAAGGACACCACGGTGGGCGTTTCTCTCTTGACCACTCCCCCCACCATGTTGAGAGTAGTTCTGGGGCACGGGATGCCTCAGAGCTGGGGCAGCCCCGAGGTGAGGCTCTGAGCACCCAGAAAGTAGGCAATAATGGTTCCCCTTGTGGGACTCCAGCTGGCTCCAAGTTCGAAAATCATGGTCCTCCCTTAGCGATGTTTTTATTTTTTTATTTTTATTTTTGCAGTTTATTGCATAAAGGAATTACACTAGTTCAAGTTAAAAGCAGACCTCAAATGGTTAAATTAGACAAACTGTGAGGTTTTAAAACTTGTAACAAGGGAAAGAAGGGAAATTCTACTCATTACAGGGAAATCCTCACTTAAGTTTCAGTGAGCCACAAGTAGTTAAAACCCTTGAACCATCAGCAGATCGTCCTTAGCCAGTCCCACCTCTACAAGGAACTGGCATATGTTCTTGCGCTGGTCACCCTGTAGCTGAATGACTTCTCCATATTCTGGATGCTCAATTACCGTCCCATTGCAGGGAAATTTCCTCTTAAATGCCTTCACTAGTTGCTTTTTATTGTAATCCTTAGTGATCGCTTAGACAGTGCTAAGGGTTTTCCTGTCATTTCTCTGTTAAATCCTTGCATGGATGTATTCCTCAGTGCCTGCAGGGAGCAGGTCATCACTCTTACTTAAATCAGCAAAGGGGTGGAAGAGTGGAGATTCTGGACAGTGGACATACGAGATGACTCCTTTTCCTCAGTGGAAACGGGCAAAACTCGGGCCAAGGCGCCAACAGCCACAGATTTCCAGCCAGAAAAACAACACCCCAGAGATCCTGTAACATTACGAAGGCTTTGGAATGTCATATTTAAATTGTTTATAGATCAGTTTTATCATCTACCTGTAGACTATATTGGACCCTAAATTCTAAGTTCCTCCAATCCAGTTTTCTCCTACGGAATTATTAAAACTGGAAGCTGCTCTTTCATAAATGCCCTGCGAGCTAAAACAAAACAACTTAACATAAATATCAAGGGACAAGTATTGTGCCTGATGTGTGGACCGCACAGAGTTCACCAACCATCCAAGGCCATAACCAGAGACATTTTAACTGCAAAATTGCCGGCTTCATACTGCAGCTTTTCCCAAGACCATCAAAACGAGATTCCGTATCATGGTGGTCCACTTACCTCTCTTAATGCGCACCTTTCTCCCTTGACAGGATAATGTGTAATTAAAATTTTACAGCCAGTAACTGCTTTGGGTAACTTAACAGAACTGGACCTAAAAACATGCTTCACTCCACCTAGTGGGTAACTTTGGCGATATCGCTAACACAACTTGTTCAAATTGTACTAGTGGTCCCTTTTATAGAGTTGGCCCTGTTTTCTGCTTTATTTCAACCCAGTCATGAAATGCTACTTAATGGCTACAATAGCTTTCAGCCAGTTTGCCTGTCATCCTTTTTTTTTTTTTTTTTTTTTTTTGAGACAGAGTCTCACTCTGTCACCCAGGCTGGAGTGCAATGGCACGATCTCAGCTCACTGCAACCTCCGCCTCCCTGGTTCAAGCAATTATCCTGCCTCAGCCTCCTGAGTAGCTGGGAGTGCCATCATGCCCAGCTACTTTTGTAATTTTTAGTAGAGACGGGGTTTCACTATGTTGGCCAGGCTGGTCTCAAACTCCTGACCTCTCGATCCACCCGCCTCGGCCTCCCAAAGTGCTAGGATTACAGGCGTGAACCACCATACCTGGCCTAGTTTTTTGTTTGCTTTTCGTTTGTTTGTTTGTTTGCTTTTGTTTTTTTAAGAGATAGGGTCTCGCTTTGGCACCTAGACTGGAGCCAGTGCAGTGACGTGATCCTAGCTCACTGCAACTTTGAAGTCCTGGGCTCCTTCCACCTCAGTCTTCTGAGTAGCTGGGTCTACAGGCCCACACTACCACCACCAGCTAAGTTGTTTAAAGTTATTTTTTGTAGAGACAAGTTCTCACTTTGTTGTCCAGGCTGGTCTCACGTGGGCAGTTAGCCCCAGACCTCCTGCCAGATGCCCCAGCCCAGCCAGGTGGTCCGGAATCCATAAATATTTTTTAAACCTGTGAATATACACTTCGAGATTTGTGATTTCGTTGTATGCAAATTGTGCTTCAAACTGGGAAAAGCCCAACCCCCCAAAAGTCTAGTTAACGATACGCATGTGGAAGTCCCTGAGGGTAAGTGAACTGAGGTCTGCACCTGACGTCTGAGGAAAGAAGATGAACCAATGAGTGGACGGAGGGTCCGGGACATGGACAAATGCAGTGACACCCACACAGGAGAATGCTGAGGACTGGAGAGGCAGGGATTGCGTGGGTGTCACTGTCACCTTTTACTCTCCAGTATGTCTGAATTTGGGTGGTAAATGTAGGGGAAATGTCTGTTGACTTTGTCCTTGGAGGACAGCTCCCCAGGGCCCATCCTCAGCTTCTGCCATCTTGGTCCATCTGGATCGTCCATCCTCGAGTCTGGAAAATTCCAGGCCCTCCACATGGCTTGCTGTGGGGGCTGCAGTCAGGAACTGGCCTCCCGGACCAGCGACGCCCCCCACAGGGCTACTCCCTCTGCAGCCTCCCAGGGAGGACTCAACCACTCTTGGGAAGGAGATGAGCAACTGACTCAAACCAGTCTGAGGCTGTTCCAGTGCCTGACACCATCGAGGGCCTCGTCCGGGCCGGTCCTCATGTATTAGTCCATTCTCACGCTGCTAATAAAGACATACCTGAGATTGGGTATTTTAGAAAGGAAAGAGGTTTAATTGACTCACAGTTCAGCGTGGCTGGGGAGGCCTCAGGAAACTTACTATTAGGGCAGAAAGGGAAGCAAACACATCCTTCTTCACATGGTGGCAGCAAGGAGAAGTGCCAAGCAAAAGGGGGGAAATCTCTGTATAAAACCATCAGATCTCGTGAGAATTCACTCTCTATCACGAGAACAGCAGCATAGGGGTAACTCACTGCCCACGACTCAATTACCTCCCACCAGGTCCCTCCCACAACATGTGGGAATGATGGGAACTACAATTTAAGATGAGATTTGGGCGGGGACACAGCCAAACCGTATCACCTTAATAAGACGGACTCGTTTCCCCCCAGCAGACGGCTGGCGGCCGCACACATTGTCTCGCTCCTCCCTCCCAACAGCCTCAGGTGCTGAGGTGTGCTAGAGGCTTATCTACCGATAGAGAAACCGAGGCTGGGAGTGGCTGCGGGAGGTGCAGTCAGGAACAGGGTCGGAGTGTGGCGCCGGGCCAGGCCGCTCAGGTCCCTTATCATGGAATCTACCGGGGCAGGTGCGAAGGCTGAGCCCAACATCCTTCCTCCATTCACAGGACAGGGCCCGAGCAAGTCAGCTGGAGCACAGCCACGGAGGTGGACAGGGTCGGCCCCCGTGGGGCACTTCCTGGCCCCCAGGAGAGGAGGTCAGGAGAGTGGGGCGAGCCCCAGGTTCTAAGCAGGTGCCTGCCTCAGGAGAGAGTCAGGGGGATGCTAACCAGGTGCTGTGGCTGTCTTTGTCTCCCCAAAGTACATATGTGGAAGCTCTAAGCATATGTGTCAAGAGGTGGGACCTTTGAAAGTAATTAGGTTTAGATGAGGTCATGAGCACAGGACCTCCAGTGATGGGCTAAGGCCCTTATAAGAAAAGGAGACCAGGGCTCTCCTCTTCGCCCCTCCCCAGATAAGAGGACACAGTGAGAAGATGGGGGTCTGCTCGCCAGGAAGGAGCCCTCACCAGCAGCCGCATCGCTCAGCACCTTGATCCTGGACTTCCAGCCTCCAGAGCTGTGAGAAACAAACCTCTATCATCTACCAGCCGCCCACGGCGTGGGATTTGTGTTACAGCAGCCTGAGCTGACCCAGACGCCAAGGAGCAACACACGCACCAGGGTAGGCTGGAGAAACCAGAACCCGGGAATCCCGCCTCCCTCAACTTGAAACTTGGGAATAGTGTATTCTCTTTTCAACACTTGCACTAGTAGAAGGTTAATTACATGAAAGATTAGGCAAAATGTATGGCTATGTGTCCTGGTTTTCCAATAAAAGTATTGAGTTTCTCTGGGGAAAGTGCAGATAAAATGCTTAGTGGAGGCTGGGCGCTGTGGCTTATGCCTGTAATCCCAGCACTTTGGGAGGCCGAGGCAGGCAGGCAGATCACAAGGTCAGGAGTTTGAGACCGGCCTGGCCAATATGATGAAACCCCGTCTCTACTAAAAATACAAAAATTAGCCAGGCGTGGTGGTGGGTGCCTGTAATCCCAGCTACTCGGGAGGCTGAGGCAGGGGAATCGCTTGAACCTGGGAGGTGGAGGTTGCAGTGAGCCGAGATCGAGCCACTTGCACTCCAGCCTGGGCAACAGAGACAGACCTCGTCTCTAAAAAAAAAAAAAATGCTTAGCACAGGCGTGGCACCAACGGGAACTCAGTGAGTGTGCCGCGGGCATGCGGGAGCTGTGCTTTCAGGAGCAGAAGGCTGCGGTGCCTTCCCTCAGGGCCTCTTTCCGCAGCAGCAGCCGCTCAAGGGCAAGTCCATGGGCACAGCCCAGCTTCGGCCTGGTGGGGTTGGGGCAGAGGCCCCTGGGCTTCTGATCCTGCCCCTCCCCCAGCCAGCAGGACCTTCCCTCTGGTTCCTGAGTCCCAGGGAGCCGCCAAGGCCCTGGGAGGAAACAGCTCCTGACTTTGCTCAGAGTCTCATTCAGGACAGTCCTACCCAGAGATCCAAGCCAGGGACTCATGTTCCTGCCTCCAGTGAGGCTGGGGGCTTCCCACAGAGGCTCAGCCTGGCCCCCAGGCCACAGGAAGGCCCCGCCAACTGAGTGGGTGCAGATGGAGACCCTCTTGTCTGCTGTGCCTCAGGCTGCAGAGCCACAGAGGGGTCTTCCCAAGCCCCACACCTGGAGGGCAGGGAGGACAGGGACTTGTGGCCCTAACCCGACTCCTGACACACAAGGGCCAGCCGGCCCGGGCCACCTCTGCAGGCAGGAGAAGGCCTCATTGTTCCCTTCTCCTGGCAGAATGAGGACTGGGGCGTGCCCCGGGCAGGAAATAAATGCTCAGTAAATCCCTGTTTTGGGAGCCCTGATCCCAAGGGACAAAGGGCCTGTGTTGAGTCTCCCTGAGCACGGGCTCGGGGCCAGCACTTGGGCCATGGCAGATGGAGGGTGGGAGGGGGGTGCCTCCCACCAGGTGGGCTTCTTCCCCAGGTCAGGCACGCAGGTGAGGAGGAGTGTCCTCGTGTGTGCATGCCCCCCGCGTGCAGGAGAGGCTGAGCGGGCGTGTGTGTCTGGGTGCATGTGTGTGCATCCATCTTCAAGTGCACGTGTGTGAACAAGTACGTGTGATCTCTGTGTTCGCGCCGTCTGAACATCCCCTCCAGTGTGCTCTCTCTTCCTCCAAGTCCCCCCAACCCCAGCTGGTGCTTCTGGAGTCCTGGCTCAGACGACTTTCCGTCTGGGCATCAAACCCTGCCAGCCTGGAGTTAGAAAGAAGGCCCCTGAACTGCCAGCAAAACATGGAAAGGCGCCCTCAGGCTGGGCTGGGGCAAGAACACAGCCCCTTTGTGCCACATCTGAGCTCCTGCCTCTGACAGCTGTGCTGGCCGAGGGCTTGGCCTTTTCCACCTCCACCTCCCTGAAGAAGGCTCCTCCTGAGAGGGGCTCCGCTGACCCTCCCCTGGCCTGGGCTCTGCTTCCCCTGAAATCAGAGGAGCGCTTGAGGGGGTGCAGAGAGGTGCAACTGGGGCCTCACCTTGAAACACTAGTCAGTGGGAACCCAGCCCTCACCAGCCCCTCCAGGGAGATGGTGCAGGTGCCAGAAGAAGGGCCAGGTGTCAAGGCTAATGTGCTGCTCTGCTCCTGCCCCGTCAGGGCTGGGGTGTCACGGGGAGCCCCCTTCCTGACTCTGCCATCCAGCACCACGGACAGGGCTTTGGTGGTTCTTTGGGAATAGGTATCAACCAGGGGTGGGCGGACGTTTTGTGTGAAGGGCCAGATGGTACAATTTTAGGTTCAGGGGCTGCAGGTCTCTGTCACAGCCATGTGAGCTTCTGTGCAAGCATGAAGACAGCCACAGGCCACATGCCAATGAGCGCACGGCGGCTGTGGGCCAGTGACGCTTGACTTAATGAACTGGAGCATGGGAATTTCAAAGAATTTTCATGGACCACAAGACATCGTTCTTTTGAATGTTTCCTAAGAATATTAACATGTAGGAAGCATTCTTTGCTCATGGGCGAGGCAGAAACAGGAGGTGGTTGGCTGGGCCATAGTTCGCCACCCCTGGCGCAGGCACCTGGTTCAAGTCGTGAAAGTCCTGCTCCTCCCGCAGCCCCTGCCCACCCTCATCCCGATGAGACCGGCGTCCCCGTTCCTGGTGAGCCAGCACTTCCAGAGCCAGTCTGTGCATGCACAAAGCCCTTCTTTGCACCCATCTTCCTGGGAAGCATGTGGGGTCCACACACACTGGTCTTCCAGCCTGTTTCCCTGGGGGATGGGTGTGCAGTGGGAGTGTCCCCCACCCTCTCCACCCAAGTTTTCCACAGCCAGGGATCCACCACCCGGGCTCTCGGCATCTCCAGGTGGATGCGCCCGTGATTTCTCAGCTTTTGCTCTTTCCAAAAATTAGCGTTGTACACTCTCCCCCAAGGCATAAAGTCTAAGGCTCAGGGCAACCAGCCCTGGGGGCCTCCCCTCCAGGGAGGCCCTCACAGCACCCTCAGGGGGAGGTTCTGTTGTTATCCGCAGAACAGAGGCCCAGAGAGGTGAAGCAAGAGCCCGCAGATCCCAGCCCCGCTACGTCAGGAAGCCCGGCTGGACCCACGTCTGGCTCCAGGGTCCTGTGTTGGTGATCACAGCCCTGTGGCTGTTCCCAGCGGTCACAGGCCCTGAGGAGCTTCAGTCCCTGGAACACACACAAGAGGTGTCCTGAGGACACGCATGGAACTGCGCTTGAGCTGCAATCTGTCCCCTAGTTCCCGCCTCGCTTGGGCATCTGACGGCCTTTATCTCTTCTCCCCTGATCCTTATCCGACACCCCAACTCTTCTGCAGACTCCAGTTCCTTCCCAGTGCCCTGGGTCCTTCAGGGTCCTTGGGATGAGACATCTCCGAACACGAGCTTTTCTCAGCTGGCGTCTGAGGGTGATGGCGTTCTGCCCACAGGCATCCGCCTGCACAGGCCTCCCTGACAAGAGGGGCTGAGGGGGAAAGGAGTGAGACAGAAAACCAGCAGGGCCCCGGGGACCGAGCCCTGGAGAAGCGCCAGTTCCCGCCCAGATGAGGGCCGACACCTCGGAAGGACCGGCCTGGGGGGTCGCCCTCCCCAGGCCCTCTGCCTCCCATCGTGGCATGGACTGCACCTTTGGTGTCCTTCCCTCCCATGGCCTCTGAGTCCCTGAACACTGGCTCATACCTGCTCCACCCAGATACAGCACAGAGGAGAGACCCGGGCAGCCTCTAAGGGCAGTGCCTTGAGGGCCAGTGCCTGGTGCACCTGCCGCACAGGGCACAGGACACAAAGGGCTGGGTGATCCATTCAGGCTCTCTCAGGGCCCGCGTCGAGCTCGGCCTGGGTCCCAGGAAGGCTGCCAGGCACCAGGTGCTGCCTGAGTCCGAAGGAGGCCCTGACTCCAGGTCGCCCACGGCAGGAGTGGGCCCCACGGAGCTTCTGTGGACCCTTGACCCGCCACCCTCAGGTGGAAGCCATCAGGCTGCGCTGGATAAGCCAGCCTCTCCCCACCTCTGCCATTCAAGTCGGTGCCAGTGCTGACTGGAGAGATCCCAGAGATAACTGTGAAATGCCTGTCACTGTTCTCAGCTTCGTTTATGTAGGCTGCAGAGCCAAGACAGCAAATACTGCACATCCGGGAGCCTCCCCAAGGCCGGCCCTGGGCCTTCCCCCAGGAAGAGCCCCACGGCCAGCTCCTTCCTGTTCCCCTGGCGGCCCCTCGCTTCTTCCTTCTGGATGGGGGCCCAGGGGGCCCAGGAGAGTATAAAGGCGATGTGGAGGGTGCCCGGCACAACCAGACGCCCAGTCACAGGCGAGGTAAGGTGCTTGGCTCCATGGGTGGGGCCCGGCAAGGTCACACTGGCCCTTGCTTTGGAGTCAGGAGGCCTCTCTTCTTCCCACAGAGCCCTGGGATGCACCGGCCAGAGGCCATGCTGCTGCTGCTCACGCTTGCCCTCCTGGGGGGCCCCACCTGGGCAGGGAGTAAGTCAGTGGGGTCTGCCCTCAATCTCCCCTGCCTCCCTCCAGGAGAGCCAGGGACTCACCCGGCCCTTGTCCCAGACTAACTCTGGTCACAGAACCATCCTGTCTGCCTGGAGGGGTGGGGTCCCCTGTTCTGGCAGAGGTCACCCCCATATCACCGCATGGGGATTTTCTTCCCTTTGGGTCTCTCTTTTCTTCAGAGATGTATGGCCCTGGAGGAGGCAAGTATTTCAGCACCACTGAAGACTACGACCATGAAATCACAGGGCTGCGGGTGTCTGTAGGTCTTCTCCTGGTGAAAAGGTGAGTAGGGCTATGGTCATGGGCCCAGCGCCATGTCCCCTCCCATCCCACAGTTTCAGGAACTCAGGGCAGGGGGTAAGCACCCGTGGCCACTTTTGCCACACATGCCTGGCTACTGTCGATGCTTCCTGGCTCCCGCTGATGCTTCCTGGCTGGAGCGGAGACGGTCAGACCGTCCTCCCTACCTTCTCCCTTCAACCCAAGCTCAACTCAACCAAAAATGGCCCCTCTGTCCCCATGCCTGATAGGAAAGTCAGGGGAAAGTCTGTCCGATTACTGTCAAAGAAGACAGGAGGTAAGGGTCAGAGTGGACCACTGACTGAATATGAGTCGCAGAAGTGTTAGAGGCAGAAGTCCAGGGCCATTTCCTTAATATCGAAGTGTCTCTGCTGGAGGTCTGGGATGGATTTTTGCCCTGCATTTAGAAGTTCTGGGGTCCTGGGAGAGGGGAGAGAAGCCCAATAGCAGAGGAGACAGAGTGTGGGCGGGGCGAGCCGGAGGGGTGCATCCTGGGAGAGCACCAGGGTGAGGGAGGGGTGAAGATGAGCCCCGTCAGGGAAGCGCTGGCGAGTGTGGGAAGTCACCTGCCCCTCGGCCTGTGAGCTGCTCTGCTTGGAGTGACTAAGGCTCGGGAGGTCCAGGCTCGGCCAGAGGCAGCTCATATGTGGGCCACAGTGACGGCAGCTGGTGCCTTCTGGGTCACGGAGACCTGGCGCTGCACGCAGCTCTCCTCACCAGGATCTCAGTGACTCCTCCCAAAAGTCACACCCACTTTGCAGACGGGGAAACTGAGTCCGGAGAGGCTGGGTAACGAGCTCAAGATCACAGGGCCCAAAAGTGGTAGAATCAGGGTTGGTGACCAGTGAGTCTGTGTCAGGGACCCAAAGTCTGATGGTGCTGGACTCTCTGCATCCCGGGAAGGAGGATGGGGGCGCTGAGGACCCGGGATGTGCTGGGCCATCCCAGATCTGGACGTCCAAAGCTTTGCCTCTCTCCCAGTGTCCAGGTGAAACTTGGAGACTCCTGGGACGTGAAACTGGGAGCCTTAGGTGGGAATACCCAGGAAGTCACCCTGCAGCCAGGCGAATACATCACAAAAGTCTTTGTCGCCTTCCAAGCTTTCCTCCGGGGTATGGTCATGTACACCAGCAAGGACCGCTATTTCTATTTTGGGAAGCTTGATGGCCAGATCTCCTCTGCCTACCCCAGCCAAGAGGGGCAGGTGCTGGTGGGCATCTATGGCCAGTATCAACTCCTTGGCATCAAGAGCATTGGCTTTGAATGGAATTATCCACTAGAGGAGCCGACCACTGAGCCACCAGTTAATCTCACATACTCAGCAAACTCACCCGTGGGTCGCTAGGGTGGGGTATGGGGCCATCCGAGCTGAGGCCATCTGGGTGGTGGTGGCTGATGGTACTGGAGTAACTGAGTCGGGACGCTGAATCTGAATCCACCAATAAATAAAGGTTCTGCAGAATCAGTGCATCCAGGATTGGTCCTTGGATCTGGGGTACAACCAAAGCCTTCCCTGCTCCTTGGAGACAAAGTCCCCAGTGCTGCAGCCCAGTGAACTGAGATGAGGGGTAGGGCAAAGGTGACTCTGCCGAGGACAGAAAGAGAGCAGCACCACCCCCTCAGAGGTGCTGTGGATCTCTGTGCCAGTCCCACAATCTTTGAAGAGTCAGGCTTCAAGGCCGCCACTCCCCACTGTCCCTCACCCCAGGCCCACCCAGCGGGCCTCTGCTGGCCACTCAGTCCCGGGATTCTCTGAGTGCTCAAGGGGCCTCAGGGAAGCCACTCACTCATCCATTCACTCAGCAAACATTTGCCAAGGCCGTGTCCTCACCAGGCTCGCCTGGCACTGGGGGTATAAAGAAGAGGCCAGGTTTCAGCTGAGTGCGTATACACTGTGGTGGGGGCTGGTGCAGAGGCAGATAGTGGCAGTTCACTTTGCCATCTGCATGGATGGGGACACATGCAGGTCATTGTGCGTAGGCACCTGCCCAGAGGTGAGGTGAGAGGGATGTGCTTCAGGGAAGTCTTCCTAGAGGAGGCAATGTCTGAGCTAAGTCTTAAAGGATGAAGGACAATTGGCCAAGTGGAGACAAAGGGAGGAGGGGATTACAGGTTGAGGGCTCAACATGAGCAAAGACAGGAGATGCAGATGGCTGGGGTAATTTGTCACAGTAGCAACAGGAAATCAGTACAAGCCCTGGACCTGGCCCATTCTTCATGTCCCCTTCCCAAGCCTCCAAGCCCACATGGGCACTTGCCAAGATCAGAGCTCCAGGGGCCTCCAGGGACGGGGTTTTCAGTCCTTTGGGACCATGATCCACAGAGAGAAATTGATCCTACTTGAGACACAGGAAGCAACACATGTAATGCAACAGCCAAGCACCCAACGATCATCTAATGCAACAGCCAAACACCCAGCGATCATCTAATGCAACAGCCAAACACCCAGTGATCATCTAATGCAACAGCCAAACACCCAGCGATCATCTAATGCAACAGCCAAACACCCAGCGATCATCTAATGCAACAGCCAAACACCCAGTGATCATCTAATGCAACAGCCAAACACCCAGTGATCATCTAATGCAACAGCCAAACAGACAAGTGATCATCTAATGCAACAGCCAAACAGACAAGTGATCATCTAATGCAACAGCCAAACACCCAGTGATCATCTAATGCAACAGCCAAACAGACAAGTGATCATCTAATGCAACAGCCAAACAGACAAGTGATCATCTAATGCAACAGCCAAACACCCAGTGATCATCTAATGCAACAGCCAAACACCCAGTGATCATCTAATGCAACAGCCAAACAGACAAGTGATTATCTAAGGCAACAGCCAAACACCCAGCGATCATCTAATGCAACAGCCAAACACCCAGCGATCATCTAATGCAACAGCCAAACACCCAGCGATCATCTAATGCAACAGCCAAACACCCAGCGATCATCTAATGCAACAGCCAAACACCCAGCGATCATCTAATGCAACAGCCAAACACCCAGCGATCATCTAATGCAACAGCCAAACGCCCAGTGATCATCTAATGCAACAGCCAGTCAGTGATCACGGGAAGGGCCAGGTCCTATTTCAGGGGCTCCACCCAAAGTCCCCACCCACAACAATTGAAGGACAGGACTTCAATTATCCTCATTTGCAAAATGAGGAAACAGAGGAACTGAGAGCAAAGTGACTTGTCCCACGCAGCCGTTAGAGGTAGAGTTGGAGGTCCACCTTGAGGTGACCAAGCTGCAAAGTCTGGCCACTGAACACCAGACCTAGGCAAAGATTTCCCAACCCAGTTTCATCTTTCTGCATGAAATACACACAGACGTTTTTTCTCTTCTCTACTTTTATTTTTATTTAATTTTAAATGCTGGTTGAGAGCCACTTCTTAACCTGGGGTCTGTGGACAAAAATCAGAAATCAAAATTCAGAGAATCCATGAACTGGGATGGGGGGGGGGAAATTACCTCTTTTTTTTTTATTGCCCTTGACTGAAAATTTCATGTTTCCTTCGGGTATGAATGTGACCTCACATGCAACACCCATGAAATGACCACATCAAATACTGTTGTCACAGACACCTTGAAATTTACAGCCGTCACCACTTCAAAATTATGGTGATCAGACTTGCCATTCAACGTGTTGATAATCCAAGCCCAGGCACAGAACACATTTAAGAAAACATTTTGGCCCGGGCACAGTGGCTCACGCCTGTAATCCCAGTACTTTGGGAGGCCAAGCCGGTCAGTTCATGAGGTCAGTAGTTCCAGGCCCAGCCTGGCCACCATGGTGAAACCCAGTCTCTACTAAAAATCCAAAAATTATCCGGGCATGGTGGCGTGCGCCTATAATCCCAGATACTCAGGAGTCTGAGGCAGCAGAATCGCTTGAACATGAGACGTGGAGGGTTCCAGTGAGCCAAGATTGCACTACTGCTCTCCAGCCTGGGTGACAGAGTAAGACTCTGTCTAAAGAGAGAAAGAAAGAAAAGAAAAGAAAATAGAAAAGAGCTGAGTCCCAAGCACTGCTGGTGGAATCCAGTTTCTGCTGAATGTGTTTTGAGTATGTGTGCCAATATTACTAGAGTGCTAGTAAGTCTCCTGTGATTTGGATCGTCTGTGTTCTGGGATGAGTGGATGGATGGATGGATGGATGGATGGATGGATGGGTGGGTGGGTGGGTGGGTGGATGAATGGATGGATGGATGGGTTGATGGGTGGGTGGATGGATGGGTGGATGAATGGATGGGTGAGTCAGTAAATGGATGGATAGGTCGGTAGATGGGTAGGTGGGTGGGTGAATGGGTGGAATAATGGATGGATAGGTGGATGGCTGGATGGATGGGTGGGTGAATGGGTAGGTGGGTAGGTGGGTGGGTGAGTGGGTAGATGCATGAATGGATGGATGAATTTATGAGTCAGTAGATGGGTGGGCGGGTGGATGGATGTACAAATGGGTGAGTGGATGGATGGATAAGTGGGTGGGTGGGTGAGGGGATAGATGGACAGAAAACACACTAGCGGGACCAGGCACAGTGGCTTACACCTGTAATCCCAGCACTTTGGGAGGTCGAGACGGATGATCACTTGAGCCCAGGAGTTCAAGACCAGCCAAAGCAACACAGCGAGACCCTGCCTCTACAATCTACAAAAATACATAACCAGGCGTGGTGGCGTGGGCCTGTAGTCCCAGCTACTTGGGAGGTTAAAACAGGAGAATCACTTGAGCCCAGGAGGTAGAGACTGCAGTGAGCTGAGGTCGCGCCATTGCACTCCAGCCTAAGAAACAGGAGTGAAACCTTGTCTCAGAAAAAGAAAAAAGAAAAAGAAAGAAAGGAAAAGAAAAAAAAGAAAAGGAAAGGAAAGAAAAGACACTAGCATTCATCACGATCCAATTTTGGACCAGGCGCAATGGTGAGTGCTTACACAAGGACTGCCTCATTTAATCATCACAAACACCCTTGCGGTGGGTGTTAATCTCACATTTTTAAAGACAAGGAAGCCCAGGCTGAGCGAGTGAGTCATGGAATTCCAACCGCAATCCCACAGTCCTCCTGCCACTTCCTGCTCAGGTGTTGGCCCAGTCCCACCATTGTCGGGGGAGGTTCTTTCCTGAGAGTCCCTGCGTCCCAAGTGCCCAAATACTTCAGCCACCACAACATGTGATTTTCTTGTCCTGGAATTCTGAGGTCCACATGCATACAGTGCCGCTGGCAGAGCCTGCTGTAATCCTGAGAATTCCTTTTCATCGACTCACTGCAAGTTCAGAGACAAGGCATCGACTCACTACAAGTTCAGAGACAAGGTGCGTGCCAGACCTGCACCCTGGGCTCCAGGGTGAGGAAGGAACCGCTCGTCCTACGCTGGGTCCCTGCCTCTGCTCCTGCTTGTCACCCTTGGCCAAACGTTCCCCAATCCCGAGCGGCTCTGGCCTTTGGACAGAAGTCAGCCTGTCAGCCTTCTGGAACACCTGCGTCCATTGTGGCCACTTCCTCATCCCCAGACCGGCTCAGTCTTGCAGGGGCGTTTGAATTGTTTCCTCCTACACAACACTGAACTGTGCAGCTCCCGCCCCGACCTGTCTCTAAACAGTGTCACTAGTCCCAAGGCCTCCTGCAGGCCACTGGGCCCACAGACAGGCCAACCAGCAAACTGGGGGTCCCACTGAGAGACACCTGGTGCTGGTTGCCGTGCACTTAGAGTGGGCCAGGCAGCTGGAACCTAAGAGGAGCTGCTGGAGGAAGTGGAGCACCTTGAATGTCACCTGGACTCACGTCTGCCCCTACCGCCCCCTCGGACCCGCACCCACCCCCCGGCCCAGGCACCAGGTGAACCCTCTGTGTCTTTCCAACAAGCCCCAGGCAGGAGGGGCTTCACAAGCAGAAGCACCAGTCTTGTAAGTCCTCTACAAACAGCACCTGTGTGAGGGGCCAGAGAAAGAGAAGACAAAGAGGGCTGTGTGCGCACCACAGTCCAGGTCAGGCGCGGAAAATCCTTCTGTAGCTTTTGCTGTTGGCTGAGGCCCCTTCCTTCTAACTCACCGTTGGCAGAAGTCGGATGCCTCGGAGAGAAAAGAGGCTCAGCAGGCTTCCCCTGCCCGTGGGGGTCAAGGAGCGTTCGTGCTGTCCACTGCCAGGAAATGTGGGGGGTTCTGAGGACCACACAGACACACACACACACAAATACACACCCATTCAAACATACACACAAAATACACATGCAGACACACACGCACACAAATACACACCCATATACACATACACACAAATACACACCCACCCAGAGACACACACAAATACACACCCATACACACATACACAGACAAGCACATACACAAATACCTACACACACACAAAAATACCCACCCACACAGAGACACACAAATACACACCCACTGACACACACACACAAATACACACCCATCCACACAGAGACACACACACAAATACCCATTCACATACACGCAAATACACACCCACCCCCACACAAATACACACCCATCCACAGAGACACGCACACACACATACCCATACATACATACACACACAAATACACACCCACCTCCCCACACACCCAGACACACACACACACCCACACACCCATTCACATGCACGCAAATATACACCCAGCCCCCCATGCAAATACCCACACAGAGACACAGACACACAGAAATACACACCCACCCAGAGACACACTCACAAACACACACCACAGAAACACACACACACATACATACATGCAAATACACACCCATACACAGACACACAAATACCCACAGACACACACACCCACACACACAGACACATACACATACACACACCTACCCCACAGAGACACATACAGAGACGCAGACACATACACAAATACACAAACACGTATGTACACACACACACACATGCACATAAAAGTACACCCACACCCATCCACACACAGGCACACACAAACACACATAAATACACACCCACACACAGACACATCCACACACAGACAGGCACACAGCCTGGACAGGGGCCTCCTGGATGGGAGTGGATCCTGGCACAGGGCTGATGGCACAGCAGCCCTGGTCAAGGTCATCTGGGGAAGAGACTGGGGGGGGTCCTTGGGCACGGTGGCTCACGCCTGTCATCCCAGCACTTTGGGAGGCTGGGGCAGGCGGATCACTTGAGGTCAGAAGTTCAAGACCAGCCTGGGCAACATGGTGAAACCCTGTCTCTACTAAAAATACAAAAATTAGCCGAGCATGGTGGTGTGCACATGTACTCCCAGGTAGGCTGAGGTGGGAGGATCGCTTAAGCCCAGGAGGTCGAGGCTGCAATGAGCTGAGATTGAGCCACTGCACTCCAGCCTGGGCAATAGAGCAAGACCCTGTCACAAAAGAAAAAAGGAGAGAGAAACTGAAGGGGCTGATATGCAAGGAGGGAGGCTGAGTGCTTCTGAGACATCCTTGGTGCTTCAGGCCTATGTGACGGAGGGCTGCCAACTCTAACATTAAAGCAGAAATCCAGAAGTGAGGATTTTGTTTTAATCCTTCACTTTCCCTCCTCACTAGATTTCTGGAAGGAGTTATTTATGAGTGAAGAGCTGGAGAATCCATTCGCAAACTGATGCATGAAAGTGATTAGCAAGAGAAAGTTGTGAGACAAAACAGAGAAGCTGAGAGGCCAGAAACCTCTACCCAGGACGCTGAGCTCCTGGCGGATCCGATGAGTCCCTCCAGGACACCGTCCACCCTGGGATGAAGGCAGAGGAGTTGGAAGGAGGCGAGGCCGTCACGGGACAACAGGACCCTATGAAGGTGGGCCCACAGCAAAAGGAGAGATGATTCTAGAGCATCCAGTCTTCTAGGGCAGCAAAACAACCTAAATTTTCTAAGAGGCCACCCAGCTGAGGGTGCCCCCGGGGAGGGCTGAGGCGTCAGGGTGACGGCTCCACTGCCCACTCACCTGCGACCTCAAAGCCCCTCTCCTCCTTGGGGTGCTCCTGACAGCCACCTCCAGGGCAGGCGAGTGGCGCTGGGACAAAGGCTGGCCCGACTGCGCCCCACCCAAGCAGACGGTCCTTCCCCCAGACCTGGCGCCAAACTGGAGTGAAAGCCCGACCACCGTGTCTCACAGGGAAACTGACACCAGATGCGAACTTCCAAATGGATCCCTCCCTGCAAGTGTGGAGCTGGCGCTACCAGGCACTGCTCTGGCCATGCGTCTAAGACACAGGCAGAGGGCGCTGCCCACCACGCTGGCGACGGCCTCAAAGCCCCTGTTCATGCCTGGGACAGCGCCCAAGGACCTTGCTCATGCCTGGGACAGGCCCCAGGGCCCCCACTGGCTGCAGTCAGCAGCGGGCAGGGTGGTGGGGGAAGGTATGGACACTCCGTGGGCCGGAGCTGGGAGAACAAGGCCTATTATTGGACACCTGGTGGCCATGGCAACCACACAAGGATGCCTGAGACTGAAAATCTGTGGGCTTCAAGGAGCTCCAGCTCTTGCACTGGCTGAGTCACAGTGACTATATAACTCTTACTCCCACTTTTGGGACACTTTTTGAGAGGGACAGGGATCCTATCTAACTACACGGGACAGACATCGCCCAAGACCGTCCTGAGCAAGCCTGGACGCTGTGACCCTAACGATGAAGGTGTCCCGCAGACAATGTCCGGGGCAGGCACCATGCTCTCCCAACCTACCACAGCCAGATGTTTTTGTAAAGAACAATAAAAATGAATTACTAGAAAAGCAAAGACATAAAATACACATAAAAAACCTACAGTTTTTATTATTAGATTCCATCAATCCTACCAGAAAGGGGATCCCGGACTCCATGGCTCATGGTTCACAGGGACCCAAGCAAGCATACGGTCAACAGCTCAAGCAGCAGCACTGGGTGGGATCTGGAGGTGCCTGAGTGGGATCCTGGGGCACCTGGGCGGGCCCCAGACATGCCTGAGTGAGATTCAGCCAGGGTTCTCTGAATCCAGTCTGTGTAGCTTAGCACCTGGGTGTAGACACCAGGCCGGAAAGGCCGGGCACAGCCGAATCCCCAGCTCACAATGCCGGCCTGGATCCACGTATCATTGATGGGGCAGACCAGCGGCCCCCCGGAGTCACCCTGGGGGAGAGAGAGGGAGGGCCCCATGAGGTCTGCATTGAGGGAGACACCTGGGCCCCAAGTGCCTTCGAGAATCTGCTGCTGAGGCCAAGGAGCTAGGCAAGGACTCTGGTCCCTCTGGAGACCCTGAGGTGTGGGACATGGGGAGAAAGTCCAGGACAGGGTGAGCCTAAAGGGCCCACACAACTGGATGGGGTGACCAGGAGCTGCAGTCACCTGGCAGGAGTCTTTCTTGCCCTGGACAGAGCCAGCACAGAGCATGTCGTCCTGGATGAGGCGCTGGCCAGCCAGGCTGGGCTCTCCTAGGTGGTACATCAGCTCACACATGTTCGAGTCCAGGAGGGGCACAGCCACCTCCTGAAGGACACTCGCCAGGGCTGGATGTGATGTGGGGGCCAGCCTGAGCCCACCTCAAGCCTCGTCCCCATCAGGTGAGCCTCTGCCCTCTCACCTGTGATGGTGGCAGCCTGCACCTCCTACCTCTTCTCTGCCCACCCACCCTGCTCTTCTCAACTCCCAAACCAGGAGGCAGTGGGGTCAGGGAGCAGGGCTCAAGCCCAGATCCTCTCCCATGACCCTGGCTAATCTCATGACCTCTTAGCCTTGGCTTATTCATCCCAACACGGGCACAATCCTGGACACTGGCTCAAGATCCCCAAAATCCAATATGGTGGTCACCTTGGCCAAGGGGAGTCCCACAGTCTGGACAGCATGGGTCCTGGCCCCAAGTGTTCCCAGCTTCAGGGTGGGGTGGGAGGGGAGAGGAGATAAACACGCAGACCAACGTCTGTGGAGACCACTCAGGCTGGCTCTGCGTGGTCCCTGGGCTTGTCCTCCCTGACTAGGAGTAGGGGCTGGTGAGTGCATATTCCCCTTCCCCCTCTCCTGAGTGGACCCCCAGCCCGTTTACCCAGCACACGGTCCCAATGGCGAGGGGGGTCTGGGGTCCTGGGAGGCAGATGGGGCTGAACTGGGAGGCCTGCAAGGGGGAGTCCAGCTCCATCAGGGCAATGTCCCCGCTGGTGGTGGTCCCATGGTATGAGGAGTGGACCAGGAGCCTCCTCACAGCCACCAAGGCCGAGTGGGGCTCTGAAAGTGAGGGTGTCAGCCCTCCGACTTTAACATGGTAGAGCCCGGGATCCTCAGACCTGGGAGGGGAATGGAAACACGGCCCACTGCAGGCAGCCGCCAAGGGGAGGGGTGAGGAGCACCCCCACCCAGCGCCACTCACCTCAGGAAGCAGTGGGCGGCTGTGAGCACCCAGCGTGGGTGGATGAGGGAGCCCCCACATACATGCCCCACTGAGGTCAACCACAGGCCAACCTGCCACGGCCAGCGTCCTTCCTGGGTGTCTTGGCCTCCCACAATCCTCCCGGCCTCCTTGGAGTGGCCGCATTCTGCAGAGGGATGGGCGGGTGGGAGACCTCAGCTTTATTCCCTCTCAGAAAGCCCATCCCTCCCGGTCTGACTCTTTACCCTAACATCCCTCTGCCCTTCTGACATCCCTTCTGACATTCCTCTGCCCTTGATGTCCAGGGATGAGGCTCCCAGGGCCAAGGGCCTCTGCATGTCCCCTGGGGCCAGTCCTCCCTGGCCAGGAGTAGGGGCTGTTTGAGTGCAGGGATGAGATGTCTACGGTACCTGAAGGCAGCACATCCCAATGGGCCCCTGGAAAGCAAGAGAGCAAAGGGGGGCACACAGGCTGGCAGGGGATGGGAGGGAGGAGAAGACAGAGGCGCATCCCTTACCTGGCAGCAGCCACAGCAGCAGAAGCAGGATGGGGCCTGCCCGAAGCCCCATGGCTCCTCTTCCCTACAGACACTGCACTGGGGTCAGAGTCCTTGGACGGCACCAGAGGTTGGGGGGGCGGGGGTGGCAGGTCATTAACCAGTGGCAATCACGCTGGAGCCCTCTGTGCCTGGCAGAACCCGCCCTCCTCAGATGCCGCTTGGGCTCCTGTCCCGCATGTTCCAGGGAGGTGGTTTAGAGGAGGCTGGGGATGCCAGGGCCCACCTCAGGCCAGTCCCTCCAAGGAGCCAGAGGTCAGAAGACCGGTCAGTCCACCCTACTGGGCTGCGATGTGGAAGCCCCACCCATCCTTCCGGCAGGCAGGAGATCCCCACTGCTTCACCCACTAGAAGCTCTGCTCAAGGCAGAGGTGGGGACCAACCCTCTTCACCCTGTCCCCAACCAGGAAGTGTGATGTCTCCACACAGGCCAGCCGGGCTGCCCCAGCCCACCTCCCGCCTCCCTTCCCACCAGAAGGACCTGTAGCTCCTGCAGAGCCCTCCTGGGGCACACCGTATCTAAGGGGCTGGAACATAGGGGAGCCCTATTCGTTGCTATGGGAACAAAGACAGCCAGGGTTCGGCCCCCCCAGACAGGAAGGGTCGACTCAGGAGACACGTTTTCCAGGTGCTACTTCCTCCTGCTGCTGCCACTGCCCAAAACCTTTGGCCCCCATCCCAGGGCCAGGGGCAGAGGCGGAGCCAGTCCCGAGGCAGCTGAGGACCCCACCATGCGCTTGGTGTTGTGCACGGCCTCCAGCCCGGACTGAAGTTGGCCTGACCCGAGAAGCCCAGGATCGCTGAGGAAGCTCCCCACTGTTGTCGCCTCTCAGCCCCACGCCCACTCATCCACAGGCAGCCGGGATGCTCACGCAGCCACGTCACGGACCTCATCTCGGCCTCGCTACGACTCTGCCAACAGGGGGCGCTGCAGGAGGCTACGCGGTCGCAGGGACTCCTTTCTGTCCGTTTCCGGCAAACTTCCCGCGCTCTTCCGGAGGTTGAGGGTGGTTCGCTAAACTTCCGGTGGGCTCCAAGAGAGTTTCCGGCGGACTTCCTGTGCGATCGGGCGGGGTTCCGGTCAGTATGCGAGTCCTGTGAGCATCATCTCAGCCTGGCCTCAGGCCCTGGAGGGTCTGGAAACTGAGTGGTCCCTCTCAGGAGGCAACCAAAAGACGTTCTCACTGGCTGACGATGGGACACTTGGAGCATCACTGTGGGCAATAACTTGGAGTGATTTAAATACGTGAGATAAGGCCGGGTGCGGTGGCTCACGCCTGTGATCCCAGCACTGTGAGAGGCCGATGCGGGCAGATCACCTGAGGTCAGGAGTTCGACACCAGCCTGGCCAACATGGCAAAACCCCATCTATACTAAAAATACAAAAATTAGCTGGGCGTGGTGGTGGCACCTATGATCCCAGCTACTCAGGAGGCTGAGGCAGGAGAATCGCGTTAACCCAGAAGCAGAGGCTGCAGTGAGCCGAGATCGCGTCACTACACTCCAGCCTGGGCGACAGAACGAGACTCCATCTCAAAAAAAAAAAAAGAAAAGAAGAAATCCATGAGTTCATATTACAAAAAAAACTTTATCATTTTTGGAGTATGCTAAGGAAATAGTTCATTATTTTGAGGATAATTAAATAGATGCCAAAAACATAAACATTTTTAAAAATAGAATGAAAGAGGCAACAAAAATAAATAGATGATGAAAAGTTTCTCTTTATGGAGGAATTTCTGCTAATAAATGGAACAGGAATATCACCATGTTGCAATCTAATGGACTAATTGGTCTAGGGAATAATCCTCAACAGCTAGCTCATCACTACGAGACAGTCAACTGGTGTGTACCCCCTGATAGACTTTTCTGGAAAAATCAGAGGCCTGCAAGGCGGAGTTCAGCTGCATCAGGGCAACATCCTCGCTGGTAGTGGTCCCATGGTATGAGGGGTGGACCAGTAGCTTCCTCGCAACCACCAAGGCCGGAGTGTCAGCCCTCCGACTTTAACATGGTAGAGCCTGGGATCCACAGACTTGGGAGGGGAATGGAGACGCAGTCTGCTGCAGTCAGCCGCCCAGGTGAGGCAAGGAGTGCCTGAATTTGCCCAAGACTGCAGATCTGGGGTGTGGGACATAGGGACAGAGCCCAGAACAGGCAGAGCCTGAAGAGTCCACAAATCTGGACTGGGAGTCCAGAGGGAAACACAGAAACAGAGGAATATGTTAGAGACAGCATGGGGGCACAACCAGCAAATCCAGATGGTGAGATTAAAGGACAAATGATCAGTTATTGGACAGTGACAAAGAAAAAAAAGAGATGGAGGGGGCATCTCGAGAATAAAAGAAACTTAAGACGTATAGCAATCAACTGCAGTGAATAAAGTTTATTTTGTAAGGGAAAATTGTGAAAGACTTTAAAGTGGACCCACAAAAATTACTGAGTAAATTCAATGGGGTTGTCTCTCATACTCTTCCAGGTTTTCTGATTCTGTGGGGGTCCCTCCCTTTGAGCTATTTTAAGACTGTAAATTGTAGATAACTGATAGGAATGCAGATTGTTCTTGTACATCTATTTAAGCAAATTAATTTCAACATTGCTGATGTGTTAAATATGTTCCTACTCTGAATTCTCCTTTGAACCAGTTGTAACATCTCACTGATTCTGTCATTAATTGAGTTAAATAAAAACACAGGCTGGGTGCAGTGGCTTATGTCTGTAATCCCAGAACTTTGGGAGGCTGAGAAGGTGGGATGATATTTTGAGGCCAGGAGTTCAAAACCACCCTGGTAAATATAGCAGACCCTGTCTCTCTAAAAGTAAAAAATTGACATGTATTAATTTTATATTTGTATGAGTCATGATTTTATCTTTTTAGCACATCATCCTTTAACAATTTATATTCTGATTCAAACGCACACATTGGAAAACATAAAATGAGCTGGGAATAGGAAATATGAATATTAATTATATTTGATGTTGTTAATGAATTGTTGTTACTTTTGTTTAGTTTGATAATGATATTGTAGGTCTTTTTCATGGCCCTATCTTTTAGAGATATATACAGAAAAAAATATTTAATTGGTCTCAAAAATCCAGAGTGAAAATAGGCAGTCTCTGTGTCGCCCAGTTATGGTGAAATATAAATTAATGCACCTGAAACTGGTAGGTGTTCATTTTGTACTGGAAGTGAGGTAAGTAAGGTCAACTTTATGATAATGCCAGCTTCCTGTAGGTTTACAAGCAGAGATGTGTGTCCCTGGACAGGGGTGTTTATTAATTGGAATCTCGTGAGCAGTCCCTTTTACTTCTGCTAACATTAGGCTAGTGAGCACCATTGTTGTGGGGAGATGTGATGGAATATTTTGTTGGTGGACGGTTTAAGCCTGAAATGACCTTCTCAAGACCCCTTGATATGCAAATCTGAGAGATGGCATGAGTAAGTTTGCATAGGGCAATGAGCAGGTCTAAAAGGAACTGTCATTAAGCCTGTATGGGGTCCTCAGTGAAATAGCCACAACTTCCTGGTATGCAGATTAAACCAAGTGTCTCTTGGCTACGTGTCATGATACACAAGCTAGGCGACAAACAATACCAACACAGATACATCTCTGCAGCACTTCCTATAGCCCATATCATTGCGGAACAGGAATTTGAAAGATGTAATTCGTATGTGGGAAATGTAAAGCAGCTGAAAGAATGGAATGCAAAATCCACCAACAGGAGAAAAACAAGAAATGGGAGTAAAACCGAATAGTAAATAAAGCATTAAGTAGCTGAATAAGCTACAGTTAGGAAACCAGTCACAAAAGTAGAGTTTAGTGAGGTTTGATATTATTAGAATTTCTCTTATTAAGTGGAATAGTCCCAACTGGGCCCATTAGCAAAAAGTAACCCCAAGGACTGCAAAGACAATTCTCCCTTGAGTGGTGTGAAAAGGAGGCCTAGTGTGCCCAGCTCCATTTTGCTCCTGTAAATCAAAAATAAAATACTAAGGCCCTCCAACCATCTGAATGGACCCCTCCTTTGGGCCAAGGGCATTCCAAAGTTAACCTGAAAAACTAGCTCAGGCCATGATGGGAAGAGGGGCTGGACATGCCTCATTATACCCTCCTTCCTTTTGCAATTCATAAAAGTGGACCAGCATTAACATCAATACAAACCTTAAGTCTGATAAGAAACATTTATAGTCTATTCTCTCTGAAACCTGCTACCTGGAGGCATCATCTGCATGATAAAACCTTGGTCTCCACACCCATTATCATAACCCAGAAATTCCTTTTTCATTTTGTTTTCTTTTGTTTGTTTGTTTGTTTGCTTTGTTTTGTTTTTTGAGATGGAGTTTCACTCTGTCACCCAGGCTGGAGTGCAGTGGCACACCCTCGGCTCACTGCAACCTCCACCTCCTGGGTTCAAGCAATTCTCCTGCCTCAGCCTCCCGAGTAGCTGGGACCACAGGCACCTGCCACCACGCCCAGCTAACTTTTGTATTTTTAGTAGAGATGGGGTTTCACCATGTTGCCCAGGCTGGTCTTGAACTGACCTCAGGTGATCCACCTGCCTCGGCCCCTCAAAGTGATGGGATTACAGGCGTGAGCCAACATGCCCAGCCCCAGACATTTCTTTCTATTGGTAATAACTCTTTCAGCCAATTGCCAATCAGAAAATGTTTAAATCTACCTATGACATGGAAGACCCCCCCCCTTCCAGTTGTCCTACCCTTCCAGGTTGAGCCAGTGTCAATCTTACATGTCTCAAGAGTTAGGAGGTCCCAGGCATAGGAGAAAGTCCCTTCAAGGGCTCAGGTATTAGGAGATGTATTATGTCTCCCTAAAATGTATAAAAGCAGGCTGTACCCCAACCACCCTGAGTACATGTCATCAGGACCTCCTGAGGTTGCATCACAGGTAAACCCTTAACCATGGCACAATAAACTTTCTAAATTGATTGAAATCTGTCTCAGATACTTTTGGGTTCACACCCCTAACCACCCTCCCACCAGGTGATATCTTTTTAGGTTAACTGCTTTTGCTTATCTCTGTGTGTAGGCTGAACTAACTGTGGGAGGAATTTAGTTTATAGTTTAAAGCAAGCATGATAATCCCTTCTCCAAACTTATCCCTGAGGAAATAAGGAGTGTGTACACACAAGTAAGAATGTTATGCTAAAGATTTATAGGAGCCTTGTGACCTGACCAAGGACAAAGAAGTTTCACAAGGCCCACCTCATACCGCTGCCCAGATGTCTGTGATTGTGAGTCACCTCTTATTTCAACCCTCCTCCTTCCCCTAACATAAAAGGAGCCTGAAATTCTATTAACTTAAGGTGGTTCTTTGGGACATTAGTCACCATCTTCTCGGTTTGCTGAGTTTCTGAAAGAAACTTGCCTTCCTTACCCCAACACCTTGTTTCTCAACTTATTGGCTATCATGCAGCAAGTGGTACAAGCTGTGGGCTCACATACGCAGGCTCAGCCCAAGCATCTGTTCATGTGCAGCTTGTGGCTGAGGCCAGAAGCCCTGATCACACAGGCACTGTGCTCTGTGAAATGATGGCTGGGCCTGTGACTATGACCTTGAAGACCTTTGACCTCAGATCCCATATGTAAGTCATCAGGGCAGGGGGCCAGTTGAGCAAAGGCTTCCCCGCCGAACAAGGGGAGGGTCTGTAGGACTAGGGAGACCGGTATCTATCGGCACCACCACTTGATGTTGAGCAAAGCAACATAACTGAATTGAAGGAATAATGGAATTTTCCAGTTTTCATAGGACTGGACCCTTTGACCCACGTAAACCTGTAGAATTCTTGGATACTCCATGGATTTAGTGGGATGGTCTCAAGAAAGAAAGGATCTCTGCTAAAAAGAGAATGTGGTGCTTGAGTAATTAGTTAGAAAAACAAGAGGGCCGGGCACCATGGCTTATGCCTGTAATCCCAGCACTTTGGGAGGCCGAGGTGGGCGGGTCACTTGAGGTCACGAGTTTGAGACCACCCTGGCCAACATGGCAAAACCCCATCTCTATTAAAAATATAAAAATTAGCCAGGTGTGGTGGCAGGTGCTTGTAATCCCAACTACTTGGGAGGCTGAGGCAGGAGAATCGCTTGAACCTGGGAGGCAGAGGTTGCAGTAGGCTGAGATGCCACCACTGCACTCCAGCCTGGGTAACAGAGTGAGTCTCTGCCTCAAGAAAAGAAAAAAAAAAAAGAGAGATATCCACACTGTCCACCAAACTGATGAAATAGATGATACTTATTACCATTAACTCATGAAACATTTACTAACGCCTACTATTTTGCCAGGCTGCAGTGAGCCATGATCACACCACTGGACTCCAGCCTGGGCCACAGACGAAGACCCTGTCTCTAACAACAACAATAAAAAGGTGGGGAAACCTGAAACTAACTGGGGGACCCTTTGAGGGTCCAAAATTCTTGTGGCTAGTTGGGAGCTCAAGGCCTTCATAATTTGGGTAATTTCTATGGGATTCAATTGTGCTGATGAAATCTGACATCCTGTGTCCATGAAAACAAAGAGTTTTCTGTAAAAAAATAAAAAGTTTTCTGCAAGTCTAAAACTATTATAAAATAGAAGGTTTGGAGTAGATGTACCAGTTAGGAATGCATTTAGCTGCAAGTAAAAGAAAATCCAACCAATCACGGTTTAAAGCAAACAAGAAGCCTGGGACTGGGTGCAGTGGCTCACGCCTATACTCCTAGCACTTTGGGAGGCTGAGGTGGGTGGATCACCTGAGGTCAGGAGTTCAAGACCAGCCTGGTCAACATGGGGAAACCCCATCTCTACTAAAAATACACACAAAAAAATTATTTTTGATGGGCATGGTGGCACATGCCTGTAATCCCAGCTACTCAGGAGGCTGAGGCAGGAGAATTGCTTGAACCCAGGAGGCAGAGGTTGCAGTGAGCCGAGATCTCACCATTGCACTCCAGCCTGGGCAACAAGAGCAAAACTCCACCTCAAAAAACAAAACAAAGGCCGGCGTGGTGGCTCACGCCTGCAATCCCAGCACTTTGGGAGGGCGAGGCAGGTGGATCACCTGAGATCAGGAGTTTAAGACCAGCCTGACCAATATGATGAAACCCCGTCTCTACTAAAAATACAAAAATTAGCCGGACATGGTGGCATGTGCCTGTAATCCCAGCTACTTGGGAGGCTGAGGCAGAAGAATCGCTTGAACCCAGGAGGTGGATGTTGTAGTGAGCTGAGATCACACCATTGCACTCCAGCCTGGGCAACAAGAATGAAACTCCATCTCAAAAACAAACAAACAAACAAAAAACAACAAGAAGCCTGGAAGGAGGCAGGCTGTGTAGTGCTAGGGCAGCGTCTTGACCTCGCCATCACACCCATAGCTGTTGAATCGTGGTTCACTGTCATTAGCGTGTCGTAAATGGCTGCTGAAGTCTGGGCATTGCGTGTGCATTCAGGACTAGAAGAAGGAGGAAGGAGAGAAAGGATGACGACAGCTGAATATGTCCCTTTAATCAGGGAAAAACAGTCTTCCTAAGAAACCACCCATCTCATGGGTCAACACTTAGTCCCATAGGCACACTTGACCATGCAGGAGACAATGAGCATTTAGCTCTTCCAGGTGGAGGAAGCAAAGAGAAGAGTTGAAATAGGGGCTGGCTCAGCAACCAAAGGAGCCTGCCACGGAGGGAAGTCATGTATTTAAGTATGTGCTTTTAAATGCTTGCTTCGGATGCAAAGTGGAGAAGAGTTAGGAGGTCCCGGGCATAGAAGGAAGTCCCCTCAAGGGCTCACGATTTGAGGAAGGAGTAGGCAGACCTCACAGCCTGCATCTAAGGCAGTTCCTGATGTAATGACATTTGTCGCGGAGGTCAGATGGTCCTCACCAGTGCTGTTAGGGAGACAGAGAGAGCTCTGCAAAGGGCTGTTCCATGGGAGAGGTGAAAAAGGAGGCAGAGCCGTCTGCCCAGGAGTCTAGGATGGGCGTGTAGCCGGCCATGTGGGACCAGTACAACTGGAACATGTGGGATTCCCTCGAGGAGACAGCCAGGCCTACGGGTCTCTGCAGCCCCTAGAGACAGGTGATGCTGGTGGGGCAGAGGTAGCGAGGTCCCCCCACCCAACATGGTTCACATGTGGGACTTGTTCCTGGTCCAGGCTCCAACCAGGGAGAAGAGGGCTGTTCTGTCAGCCATAGTCTCAGCATGTTCAGCAAAGTTTGGGGACATGGGCTGGCCCGACTCTGAGTAGGGTGCACACGCTATGAGCCAGCAGGACCCCCGAGGGAAGGGTCGCCGAGATGTTGGAGATGCACGTGCTGCCTGAGCCCCACAGAGGCTGGGGAGACTCTGTACCCACCTCCTGGAACCCCCCCCCGGTTTGGGGAGGGCATCGTTGGAAGTCCTGTTGCCCTGCAGAGGCAGGGCTGACTTCCCGCTCCACCCCTAGCCTGTCCTCAGGGCCCTAGGATCCTGTGGAGCCACTAGGGAAGGCACGAGAGGCTCCCTTAAGCTCAAGGCTGCCTGGAGGCGACCTCCCAACTCAGAGAAATCCCCACCCTCCCTGGTGAATCCTGCCACTTACAGGGTGGTTTCTCCGCCCCCCTCTAGGCGCTACATTCTCAGGGGCTTCTGTCAGGACCCTATTAGAGGGAGTAGATGCACATGCACCAGGGCCTGTGGAGGGATGGGGTAAAGGGACAGGCACCCACAAAACTGAGGGTCGGAGAACGAGAGTTGACAAGGAGGAGAAACAGGACAGGAGCAGGGAGAGGAGAGGAAAAAGAGGAAGACGAGGGGCAGGAGAGGGCTGGCCTGGCGGCACAGAGCAGTGGGGCAGAGCTGACAGGGCAGAAGGAGACACTGAAGGGAGAGACTCCAGGACAGGAGCAGGGGAGGGAGGTAGAGAAATGAGGGAGGGGGCACTCAGAGACAGAAGGGGGCAGTCGAGGAGCAGGGGCAGAGGGGGAAACCGAGTGAGGGAGAGAGGCCAGCAAAGGAGGGCTGGAGAGGGGAGGGGCTAAAGCCCACAGAGGAGATAAGAGAAGCCAGAGCATAGGGTGACATCAAGAGGGGACCAGGTCACAAAGGGAGAGGCCGTGGCGGTTGGCTCTGCTACCTGGCACACCTGAGTCACCCCAGCACTCCCTGGGCTGGTCACTCTGACAAACAGCAGGGCAGTTCTGGTTGGTTGGTTGGTTGTTTTAATAAAAACAACCCTAGGCCAGGTGCGGTGGCTCACGCCTGTAATCCCAGCACTTTGAGAGGCTGAGGCGGGTGGATCACGAGGTCAGGAGATTGAGACCATCCTGTCTAACACACTGAAAGCCCATCTCTACTAAAAATACAAAAAGAAATTAGCCGGGAGTGGTGGCGGGCACCTGTAGTCCCAGCTACTCGGGAGGCTGAAGCAGGAGAATCGCTTGAACCCAGGAGATGGAGGTTGCAGTGAGCCGAGATCGCGCCACTGCACTCCAGCCTGGGTGACAGAGCGAGACTCCATCTCAAAAAAAAAACAAAACAAAAACAAAAACAAAAAAAACAACCCCATAGCATTTACTGTGATCTGATAATCATATAAAAGTGATCAGGCTGGGCCAGTGACTCACACCTGTAAGCTCAGCACTTTGGGAGGCCAAGGCAGGTGGATTGCTTGAGGCCAGGAGTTGGAGACCAGCTTGGGCAACATGGTGAAACCCCGTCTGTAAAAAATTTAAAAATTAGCCAGGCATGGTGGCACACGTCTGCAGTCCAGCTACTCGGGAGGCTGAGGTGGGAGGATCACTTGAGACTGGGAGGTAGAGGCTGCAGTGAGCCAGGGTCACACCACTGCACTCCAGCCTGGGCAACAAAGCAAGCCCTACCTTGAAAAAAGTAAATAAATAAATAAGGCAATCAAAACAGTATGAACAAATATTTTAGAACTGCACTTACAACAAAGGACACCAAAAAAAAAAAAACCCAAAAAACTAAACCTGTATTGCCTTCTCCAAACTTGGCCATGCCCTTGATCATTTCTGGTTGGAGATATTTCATGGCAGAGTCATAGTGTCTCTTCTTCAGCACAATTGGACCTGGTTGTTTTCTTGACCTGGCTTTGGGTGAATCTCTTCTGTATCGGCTACTAAGAGGGTCATATTCTCACCAAAGCCAGCGGCACAGCCCTCTAACCACATACCTATTTGTTACAGGGATGCTGGGGAAGGCCTGCATCCAGGCAGGCTGGGATGAGGGCCCTGGGTCCAGGAGGCCAGAGCCGGCTGCAGATGAGTGGATGTGGGGAAACAGAGTATTAGCCTGCATCCCTAAGCAGGCAGGAAGCCAGACAGACCCCTCCTCTCGGCTTGGGATCAAACTGCCACCCCCCATGGGGACAGGTGGGGTGACTCAACCCCTGATGCCCGCAGAGCCAGAGGCCTGCCCTGCCACTGTCCGCTGCTTCTTCCAAACTGGGGAGTTTAGAGCTTTGGCAGTGAGTCGCTCGACAAATCGGCTCCTGGGGATGAGGACCCAACAGCCAGCCCACGGAGACGGGGCTCTGATGGGGCTCACCTGGGCGCCTCCCTCCACCACCACCCGCAGCTCTGCCATCCTGAGGCCCCTGAGGCCTGTGGTGGAGAGAGCAGAAGGGGGGGCTTGGCCTGGGGTAGAGAGGTAGCACCTCACTCTCATGGGGCTGGGTTTCTCCTCACCAGCCCTGTTTTGGAATCCAACGCACAGTTTCGGAGTCCCAACCCCTCTCCTCCCCTTCCTGAAGCACCAGAGCTGGGTCTTCCAGGCCTCTAGACTCTGCCCCTTCTCCATCGGCTGCCCTGCCCTGGTGGGAGAGGGATAAAAGGGAGGGTGGCCCAGGGCTGCAAAGGTCAGGGGTCAGAAGGCTGAACCCTAGGTGGAAGCAGGGGTCGGCGTCAGCCCCAGGTGGACAGGACCACGCAGTCTCTGGCTAGGCCAACATCCAACCCCCAACCTTAACCCCCTCTGGACCCTTGCTTTCCAGTGTCCCCAGGCATGGGAAAAAACAGACACTGGAGAATAAATAATTTATTGAAATTGGAGGAATAAATAAGATATGTGGGCAGGGTTACAAATACCTATAAAAATCATTAACATTTATATACACAAAAGCGCTGGGGCCCGGGGCGGGGCCGGAAGTCGTGGGGGCGGGGACATGAGGCCGTTGGGCGGGGCCTGATGCCTTGGAGGCGGGGCCTGAGGCCGTCGGGCGGGTCGGGGAGGGGGTTTCCTTTCCGCAGCAGCCGTCCGGGCCCCCAGAGGTAGAGGTAGATGAGCCTATTTACGGCGGGGGAAACCGCCCGAGGCCGCCGCAGATCCAGATCCAGATGTGGATCTGGCCGCCTTTCAGATCCGAGCCCCGCGTCCCGCTGCGCCCTAGGAGCGCGCGGCGGCCCCAGAGCCCTGGCTCGGTGCCCTGAGGGCCCCACCCCCCTGAGCGCGCCCGCGGAGCTGCACCCCTTGCACGATCTTCTCCACCCAGGAGCGGTGCGCAGAGAGGCTGATGTAGACCCCGGGCCTGTTGCGCTCGGCACAGCCCTCGCCCCAGCTGATGATGCCGGCCAGCAGCCAGGCGCCGTCCACCTGGCACATGAGGGGGCCCCCGGAGTCGCCCTGCAGAGAGGAGGCGAGGTTAGGAACCCCCGTGGCACAGGGGGTGGCAGAATCCAGGGCCCGTGCCCTGTCAGGGGGCAGATGAGCCCCTTCCCGGGAGCCCGTTTCTCCTTCCTGGAGGAGACAGGACCTGAGCTCCACCCAGGTGAGAAGTCCCCGGCGGCAGAGTAGGAGCTGCAGCCAGGCCTTAAGACGTCCAGGCGCGGGTGCTGCCGCTGCACCATCTGACCGTCTTCCAGACAGCCCCTGAGCTACAGCTGGCTCTGGGCACTGAGGCGTGGGAAGCCCCCTGAAGGAAATGAAAGCTCGCGGAGGGCGAGGTGGTGCAGCTGGGATGCCCAGTTTAATGTCTGAACAAATAAGTGAGTGGCTGAGCCAGGCTGAGGCTGGTTCTATGGGGACCCGGGACTGTCAGGCACAGCCAGTTCTGGGGAGGAGGCCAGGGAGAGGTTGTGGGGCTCAGTGGGGACAGGACTGACGCTGGCTCCTTCCCGAGGCCCTCCTGGCCAGGGGTGGGGGGCTCGAGGGAGCTCACCAGACAAGCATCCCGCTCCCCCTCCAAGTAGCCGGCACACAGCATGTCCTCAGTGATGGGTCCCTGTCCTGCTCCCCGCCAGTACAGATGGCTGCAGACTTCCGAGTCGATGATAGGAACCTTCAGCTTCTGCAGGGTCTGAGGGTGGGGCAAGGGAACTGGGAGGAAAGAGGACAGAATCAGGTTTGGGGGTCTCCCCTCCTCGTTGCCTCCTCAAAGGACTATTCCCCCCCAACACCATTCCTCTCAGCAGCGGTTCTCAAAGGCTAACAGATTAGCTCTACCAGTCTCTCCCAAGATGCCTTCAGAAAATTGAAATTCCAGGTCTCCACCTCTGGCCCTGCTGAATTAGAACATGAATGTGAAACCTAAGACCCTACCTCTTTAATAAATTTTCTTATATCCACAGATGGTTAGAGCCCTTCCTGTCTCAGATACTGCATTACTTCATCCAGCACTGGGACTGCTATAGAAGAAGTGTTCAATAAATGTCCACTCGATGTTGAAAATTACCAGGACCTGAGGGATCCCCACGCCTTGCCTGGAGCTGGTCTACAGACTGTGGTCTGCAGATTGTGGACTGAAAGTCCGCGATTCTAGCTCTTGAAGAAGCCCCTACAGAGATCATGGAGAGGTTGCAACCTCAGAGTTACTGGGATCCCCACACACCTGAGCTAGTGTCATTTCTCTTAATTATTCTGGAATCTGGTTAAATTTTCATCTGTCTTACACTTTGTTATTACTTAGTCTCTAGCTCTCTCTTTCAAACTCTTTCTTCCAGGTCTTCATTGTATCCTCATTTCTGCCTGTATGTTTCTTTTCCTTGGCCCAGTCTCTATCATCCATCTGCCTGTCGATCTGTCATCTACCTTTCTCTTGCTGCTTCCCTGCTTCTTGCTTTATGTAATCTAGTTTGAGTTTTGAGATGATGTTTTCCAAACCTCCAGTGGTGGTTTGAAAATTATATTTTACAATTAAGGTGGCTGCATTTTCTCCCGAGAATTTTGCCCGCAATTGTGGCATGCTACCACCAGGGGGTGCCTGTTCCCACTCTGGAATCAGGCCTCTTTATATTCACCCTGTATTCAGCTTAGTCCCACACACACCCCCTTTCAGCCATTCCTGTATTGATGAATTGAATAGCTTCACGGGTCTGGCTGTTGCCTCAAAACATAGCCAGATACTTTTGAAGTAGAAATGAGGCCAGGCACAGTGGCTCACACCTGTAATCCCGGCACTTTGGGAGGCTGAGGCTGGTGGATTGCTTGAGCCCAACAGTTCAAGACCAGCCCAGCCAACACAGAAAAACCCTGTCTCTACAAAAAATACAAAAATTAGCCAGGTGTGGTAGCACACACCTGTAGTTCCAGCTACCTGGGAGGCTGAGGTGGGAGGATCACTTGAGCCTGGGAGGCAAAGGCTGCAGTGAGTTAGGATCACACCACTGCACTCCAGCCTGGGTGACAGAGTAACACCCTGTCTCAAAAAAAAAAAAAAAAAAAAGAAGAAGAAGAAAGAAAAGAAAAGAGAAATGGCCTGAAATTGCCCACCAAGGTTTCTTCTGGATTGCAGCCCATCTTTCCTTCCACCTCTGTCATGCTGTGCCTCTGGCCTCCACCCTTTGTTGCTCATGGTGTCTGTGTCCCTGAGTGTCTGCCATCCTCTGTCCCCATCTGCCCCCAACCACCTTGGAGAGGAAGAAGCCGCACCTCCATCTTGGATGCTCCCCCAGCCTGAGATCCAGCAGTGGGTGTTTGGAGGGAGGTGGATAGAGGCATCAGGTAGGCAGATGGGCAGGACCCGCTCTGAGAACTGTATGGAGCGCTCGAGACGCACCAGGGCAATGTCTGCACAGGCACCTTCCTTCCAGGAATACACAGGGTGGGGCTCCACCCAGGCAACACCCACCTTCTGGGACCGAGAGCCAGGGTTCCCCAGCTGCCAGGCCCCCAGCAGCACAGAGAACAGGTATGGTTTGTTCAGGTTGCTGGAAGGAAAGGGAAGGGGAGGATCAGCCAGGCCTGGTCTGGGAGGAGGTACCTGGGGGAACAGCATGGGTGTGAAGGCCCCTGAAGGCAGGAGAGGCTTCTAGGTAGAATCGAGGGGCACCAAGATTGAACAGAGGCCCGGAAGCAGAGCCTGTAAAGGGAGCCCAGGGCCTGGGGCACAAAGCCCAGGGCCTTAGAAGATCAAGTGCCCCAGGCCGGCTGTACATACTCCTTGAAACAGTGGGCAGCAGTGATCACCCAGCGGCTGGTGAGCAGAGAACCTGCGCAGTGGTGGGTCCCATTCTTCTGGATGCTCACGATCCAGGGCCACTCGCTGTCAGTGCTGTCCTCGCCGCCCACAACCCGGTTCAGCTGCTGGGGCTTCCCACAGGCTGGGGGAACTGGAGGGTACGGTCAAGTTTTGTTATCTCCAACTTCCTACAACCCACCCCCGGAATCCCAATCCCTAGGCCTGCACCCCAAGCTTTGCCCACAGCCCAAGCTCCGTTCATGTCCCCAAGCTCTACCCACATCCCAAGTTTCACTTGCACTCCAAGCTCCACCCACACCCCAAGCTCCACCCACATCCTAAGCTCCACCCATACCCCAAGCTCCGCCCACCTCCCCGTCCCATCCCTCCCTCCATCCTCACTCTCTGCTGGTCCTCACCTGGCCCTGGCCTTTCCACTCACTCCTTGTCAGCTGCACCTGGTCTCTCCCTCCCCCTCTTTCCTTACCCTGCTTTCCACTCTGTTCACCTTCCTGGCTCTCTCTCTCCTCTGGCCCTGGCATCTCTCAAGCCTTTCTCCTTGCATCCGTGTCTCCTTCCTGCCTCCCTTCCCCTCTAGCTCTTTCCCCCTCTCACCCCAGCCCCTTTCTGACCTGTGCCCAGGGGACGGACACATAGACACTGCCTGCGCGTGGGCCTCCTCCCTTCTCCCTCCCGTCAGAGCTGCCAGCTCCACTCACCAGGTATCCTGGCCGCATTGAGGATGGCTGAGGGCAAGAGAAGGAAACGGTTAGGCCGGTGAGGGGCCCCAGGACACAGTGGTGAGGGGCCCTCAACGCCCAGTGAGGAAGGCCCCCAACACCCAGTAAGAAGGGATCCCAGTGCCCAGTGAGGTGGAGGTCCCAGCACCCAGTGAGGAGGGTCCCTCAGCGCCCAGTGAGGAGGGGTCCCAGCACCCCCTGAGGAGGGTCCCTCAGCGCCCAGTGAGGAGGGGTCCCAGTACCCAGTGAGGAGGGTCCCTCAGCGCCCAGCGAGAAGCCCCCAGCACCCAGTGAGAAGGGGTCCAGTGCCCAGTGGGAAGGGGTCCCAGCACCCAGTGAGGAGGGGTCCCCAGCGCCCAGTGAGGAGGGCTCCCCAGCGCCTAGTGAGGAGGGTTCCCCAGCGCCCAGTGAGGAGGGGTCCCCAGCGCCCAGTGAGGAGGGCTCCCCAGCGCCCAGTGAGGAGGGGTCCCCAGCGCCCAGTGACGAGGGGGTCCCAGCGCTCAGTGAGGAGGGGGTCCCAGCGCCCAGTGAGGAGGGGTCCCAGCGCCCAGTGAGCAGGCGTCCCAGCGCCCAGTGAGGAGGGGGTCCCCTTGAGTACCTGGTGGTGAGGAACCTCTAGCCCTCCAGTGCCCAGGGAGACTCTCAAGTCTCTCAACCCCAGGGCCCCTACCGGCGGGGCATTTCCTGGGGCCTGGCCAGGCCCTGGCTGCACAGCTGTGACCCTGCCCTCCCGCAGCTTCCCGTCCAGCCTGCCTTCCGGGGACCAGGACCGGCTCCTCGAGGGAGGCACAGACCTGAGCCCCTCGGCTCTGGACGCTGCTGCCGCTGGTGTGCCCTCCCCTGACCTCCTGCGGCAGGAACAACACAAAACGGTGCTTCCCCAGAGGCAAGCAGCGGAGGACGAGGAGATGGGAGAACACGGAGGCGAGAGGGAGCAGGCGATGGCGACGCCGACGGTAACTGGAGACCGAGGCGCGCTGCGTACTTGCTGCGTTTTCTGTTTCATCCTCACAGCCGTAGAAGAAACCGAGGCACAGAGCAGTTAAGGAGCAAGAGATAAACAGAGCAGAAGCGGAAAGGAGATGAGAGAGGCAAGGCCAGGAGGGAGAGAGGGAGGGAGGGAAGGAGGGAAGGAGGGTGGAGGTGAGAGGGAGGAGGGAGGAGCAGCCTCCGGACGTACCTGTCGACGCCAGCAGCAGCAGGGAGGTGAAGGTGCCGAGACAGCCCCCACCCAGGGCTGGGGGCGCTCCAGAAACCACCATGGCTGGTGGGGCGGGGGAGCAGGCAGCAGGCTCGAGAGACCCAGGGCGATGCGGGTCAGGGTGTGTAGGTTCCCTGCAGGTCGCCCCAGGTTTTATCCTGGGAGGCGGAATGCCGTCAGACCAGTCCCCAGGTGGCTCCCGCGGCCACCCCGGCTGTGGGTCCTGGGCAGAGGGCGGGGCTGCGGGGAGGAAGCCAGCCGCTACAGGGCTCTGGGGGGGCTCTAGCTGAGACCCCAGGATGTGGCCTCTGGAAGGGCAGGGGAGGGGGCTTGGGCCCAGAGGTCCCTGACATTAATTGTCCAGGGGCAGAGAAAGGTGCCAGGGCACTGAAAGGAAGGGGTTCCGGGCTGGGGAGGGCCTGGGTTTGGAGAGGCTGAAGTCTGGGGTACTGGGTGTTGGGGGTGGTCCTAGGGCCTTAGGGATCAAGGGGGTGCCCAAAGCTCAGTAACGGCTCCCACCTGCAGGGCCCCAGGCCCCTGTGACTCAGCCCAGAGACCTGGCGCAACCCGGGCTTGGGAATCCCGTTAACCCACTTCCCGAAAGCTGTGAATCAGGTGAGTGGCGACCTTGGTGGCCTCCTGGTGGCCGCCCTCCTGTCGTTCCTGGAGGCGGGGCTCTGCCCTGCGGTTCAGACACCTGACAACTCACCTCACCTGGACTCCTGGGAAGGGGAGGAGCCCATGGGCACCAGGGCTCGGCCAAGCAGGGGGGTTGAGAGAAGAGGGGCCCCGGGAAGGGCTGGGACTCCCAGGATTCAAAGAGCTGCTGGGCTGGGCTGTGGGGGGCCGGGTCCTGGGCTGGGAGTGGATTCTCGGTGCTTCCCCCCAGCGGCTGCCACAGTGGCAACCCGGGGCTGAATCCTGTGAGACCTTCCCTGACTCAGTGCCCTGCAGCGCCCCACACTTGGGACACTCCCACCCAAGCAGGGCAGGCTTCCTCCTCTACAAAGAGGCAGGAGCCTGCGCCCCTTCACTCATTCGATCAACAAGCCTCCAGCAGGGCCCTTGCTACCGCCGGGGGTGAATTAAAAACAACCATAGTGTCTGGGTGGGGTGGCTTATTCCTGTAATCCCAGCACTTTGGGAGGCCAAGACGGACAGATCATGAGGTCAGGAGTTCAATACCAGTCTGGCCAACATAGTAAAACCCCGTCTCTACTAAAAATACAAAAAAAAAAAAATTAGCCAGGCATGGTGGCAGGCGCCCTTAGTCCCATCTACTTGGGAGGCTGAGGCAGGAGAATCGCTTGAACCTGGGAGGCGGAGGTTGCAGTGAGCTGAGATCACGCCACTGCACTCCAGCCTGGGCGACAGAGCGAGACTCTGTTTCAAAAAAAAAAAAAAAAAACCATAGTAGTGAATATGTATGTAATAAATATATTTATACAAATATAAATATAGTATTTATATAATAGAGCAAACATTTAGGAGTGCCATGCATTGCCTCCTAATCCTCAAATGTCTTTATTATTCCCACTCTGCAGATAAGGAAACTGAGGCAGCTTAGGGCGGTTAAGTGACTTGCCCGAGATTGCTGGGTGAGTGGTGGAGCCGGACCTGCACCCCAACACTGGGGGTGGCTGCTGGGACTGCCCTCATGGAGGCTTCGGGAGCCTGGAGGAGGTGCCTCACCCTGCCTGGGGTGAGCCCTAACTTGCTCCCTGCAGAGTCAGGGTGGCGTGGGTCAGGGGCTTAGCAGACCACCATGGCTGCTTCAGGGACTCCATGGCTCTGAGCAGGACGGGTTTTGCCCTGGGGGTGGACTCTGTGCTGCCCACCTCCTCAGTCTGTTAAGGGTTAGGGTGGCAGCAGGACGACTGGCACTTTCTCGTGGCAGAGAGGCCATGCCCTGCTCCACCGAGAGACAAGTCAAACAGCAGGGCCCTGGGGAGCCCCAGAGGATGCATTATTCTCTGTCCCAGGACTCAGAGGGGGTTTGGGGGAACTGCAGGAAAAGGCCACGCAGAGTGGCCAAGGAGGGGCAGTGTCTCTGAGCAGCAGCAGCACTGCAGCAGAAATTTCTGCTGGGCTCCCCCAACCCTACTCACTGTCCCCCGCTCAGCTCTGCACCCAGGGCGTCCAGGGCCCTCCTGCGCCCCACCCCACTGCCTTCTGGAATAAGGTGGGTGGCCTCTCCAGCTCACCCAGCAAACATATATTGAGTACCTGCTGTATGTCAGGCCCTGGTGGGCACCAGGACACATGTGATGAATAAGACGCAGGTCCTGTGCTCAGGAAGCACATGACCTCCTAGGGGTGGGAGGCAGATGACGGATGACAGGGAGGTGTCCGGGAGGTGGGCACAGAACCATGGGACCAGGCGGTGGCTTGGACCCTAGAGGGCCACTGTGAAGCTGGGTGCTGGGGAAACAGTGTGGGCAGGGGGGCTCCCTGTGGACCCCCAGGATCATATTCAGTGCCTGCTGCACCCTGGGGCTCAGCGAGTGTTTGTTGAATGTATAAATGAGTGTGGAAGAAGCAAGTCTGCAAGTGGCTGGGGACCGACCACTCCAGCCTCCCTCTCTGCCTCCCGCCCAGGTTTCCTCTCCATTCCAGCTTTTCTGCCTTTCTGAAGAGCCAGCTCACTGCCCTGGATACCCAAGGGTAGCCATGGGCCCTGCCCAAGATGCCGCTATCCCTGAGACAGGGTGGCCAGGAAGAGAGCCCCGAGGAGAAGGACCTGGTAGGAGCAGGGGGAAGCCCTGAGGAGCTGGGTGAAGATTTCCTGGCACAAGTCCTGGGGAAGGGCCCCAGACAGCAGTTCCTCAATTCCCAGGGTATAGAGGGTGGAGTCTCTGAAAGGCCACGGGGTGGAGACCCTGGCATGATTCAACATTCACTCAACAAAATATTTATTGAGCGCCTGCCAATGCTAGACCCACATGCTGGCCAGCATCCCTGCCTGTGCAAGCTCTGGATGAGCTGTGTGCCCCTGCCACCCACACCCCCACTCCCTGCCAGCCTGGCCTCAGGGCCTCTGATCCATGTGCACTGGAGTGGTGATGACTGACAGGGCCACTGGGGCATTTCCATGTTAACAGCAGCTGCCACTGGCAAAAGAAGTGACTCGCCAATGGTGGCATCTCAGATGTGGGCCCAGGAGTCTGGGGAGCTACTTTGAACAGGGCTATCCATTCATTGTCCCACCAAAGGCTATGGAGCCCACCCACCATGTGCTGGAGTAGTCAAGGGAAATAAGACACTCTCCTTGTCCTTGTTAACTCAATCAACAAGCATTTGCAGAGCACCGCCTGTATGCCGGCGCTGTCCGAAGTGCTGAAGATACAGCAATGAGCAAACCAAAAGCCATGGACATCGGATGAAACAGAGAATTGTAAACAATAAGTACATCATTTAGCTCTATGGAAAACAGGATAGAGATTTCTCAAAGAACTAAAACTAGAACTACCATTCAACCAGCAATCCCACCACTGGGCATCCACCCAAAGGAAAAGAAGTCATTTAATCAAAGAGACACCTGCACTCGTGTGTTCATCGCAGCAACACTGTTCACAACAGCAAAGCCATGAAATCAACCTAAGTGTCCATCAACAGATGATGGATAAAGAAAATGTGGTGAATATATACACAGTGGGATACTACGAAGCCATAAAAAAGAACACAAAACCATGTCTTTTGCAGCAATGTGGATGGAACTGGAGGCCATTATCTTAAGCGGAACAAGTCAAACACAGAAAGACAAAGATTGCATGTTCTTATTTATTTATTTACTGAGATGGAGTCTCACTGTGTCACCAGGCTGGAGTGCAGCGGTGCAATCTTGGCTCACTGCAGCCTCCACCTCCCGAGTTCAAGCAATTCTCCTGCCTCAGCCTCCCAAGCAATTCTCCTGCCTCAGCCTCCCACATAGCTGGAACTACAGGCACGTGCCACCACACCCAGCTAATTTTTGTATTTTTAGTAGAGGCAGGGTTTCAGCATGTTTGTCAGGATGGTCTCAATCTTTTTACCTCATGATCTGCCAGACTTGGCCTCCCAAAAGGCTGGGATTACAGGCATGAGCCAGTGTGCCCAGCCTTTTTTTTTTTTTTTTTTTTTTTTTGAGGCAGAGTCTTGCTCTGTTGCCCAGGCTGGAGTGCAGTGGCGCAATCTGGGCTCACTGCAACCTCTGCCTCCCGGGTTCAAGTGATTCTCCTGCCTCTGCCTCCTGAGTAGCTGCAATTACATGTGCACACCACCATGCCCAGCTATTTTTTATATTTTTAGTAGAGACGGGGTTTCACCATATTGGTCAGGCTCGTCTCGAACTCCTGACCTCAGGTGATCTACCTGCCTTAGCCTCTTAAGCATGTTCTCATGTATAAGTGGGAGCAAAGCAGCCGGACGCAGTGGCTCACGCCTGTAATCCCAGCACTTTGGGAGGCCAAGGCGGGCAGATCACGAGGTCAGGAGGAGCTAGAGACCATCCTGGCTAACATGGTGAAACCCTGTCTCTACTAAAAATACAAAAAATTAGCCGGGTGTGGTGGCGGGCGCCTGTAGTCCCAGCTACTTTGGAGGCTGAGGCAAAAGAATGGCGTGAACCTGGTAGGCGGAGCTTGCAGTGAGCTGAGATCGTGCCACTGCACTCCAGCCTGGGCGACAGAGCGAGACTCCATCTCAAAAAAAATAAAATAAAATAAGTGGGAGCAAAGCAATGTGCACCTGTGGCCACAGAGTGGAATAACAGACATTGGAGACTGGGAGGGTGGGAGGGAGGGAGGGGGCAAAGGAGAAGAAATTTGCTATTGGATCCAGTGTTCACGATTTGGGTGATAGGCACTAAAAGCCCAGACTTCACCACCACACAGTATATCCAGGTAACAAAAATGTGCTTGTACCCTCTAATTTTTTTGGTTGTTTGTTTGTTTTTGAGACCGAGTCCCGCTGTGTTGCCCAGGCTGGAGTGCAGTGGCACGATCTCGGCTCACTGCAAGCTCCGCCTCCCAGGTTCACCCCATTCTCCTGCCTCAGTCTCCCGAGTAGCTGGGACTACAGGCGCCCACCACCATGCCCGGCTAATTTTTTGTATTTTTAGTGGAGATGGGGTTTCACCGTGTTAGCCAGGATGGTCTCGATCTCCTGACCTCGTGATCCTCCCACCTCGGCCTCCCAAAGTGCTGGGATTACAGGCGTGAGCCACCGCGCCTGCCCTTTTTTTTTTTTTTCTGAGACAATCTCACTCTGTCACCCAGGCTGGGGTGCAGCGGCGTGATCTCAGTTCATTGCAACCTCGACCTCCTGGGTTCAAGCAATTCTTGGGCTTTCGCCTCTCAAGTAGCTGAGACTACAGTCATGTGCCACCATGCCTAGCTAATTTTTGTATTTTTAGTACAGACGGGGTTTCACCATGTTGGCCAGGCTGGTCTCAAACTCCTGACCTCAGGTGATCCACTGGCCTCAGCCTCCCAAAGTGCTGGGATTACAGGCGTGAGCCACCGCGCCTGGCCGAACATTACACTTTTAACAGCTTAGTATTATATCTTCAGTGCCTGTCAGTTAGTGGCCTCCCAATATTGTTGAATCAATTGATGAATTAAGTGAAACACCATTTATAAATTTTTACTTAATAAAACAAGCTACAAATTATATTCTTTTTTTTGGATATTATTGGAATCATACTGTGACATTATCTTAATCTGCTTTTAAAATTCAATATGGCATCTTCTCATATCAGTAAACCATTCATAACATGATTATTAATGTCTATATAATATTCCACTATAGAATTGTTACGGTTTGGATGTGTCCCCAAAGTTCATGTGTTGGAAACTTAATCCCCAAAGCAAGAATGTTGAGAGGCGGGACCTTTCCGAGGTGATTAGGTCATAAAGCTTATGCCCTCCTGTATGGATTAATGCCATTATTTTGGGAGTGGGTTGGTTATCATGGGGTGGGTTCCTGATAAAATGTATGAGTTCCACCCCCTTACTCTCTTATGTATATGCTCTCTTGCCACGTGATGCCTCCCGCCATGTTATGAGGCAGCAAGAAGGCCCTCATCAGATGCAGCCCCTCAATCTTGGACTTCCCAGTCTCCAGAACCATGTGCCAATGAATTTCTGTTTATTATAAATTACCCAGTCTCAGGTATTCTGTACCTGAGCAACACAAAACAGACTAAGACAACAATATACCATAATTTACTCAATCCCATGCCCTCTGATACTGGACATTCATTCTTTTTTCTGTTGTATGTAATGTGTCAGTAAGTAACCTTGTTCATCAATCTTTGAAAGAATCTCTGGTTATTTCCTCAAGCTACATTCCTAGAAGGGAAATTGCTAGGATAAAGGTTTTAAATGTATTTACAGTTTTTGATGACATATATTATCAAACTACACTCTTGAAAAGTTATGTAGTGCCTAGGCATAATAGCTCACGCCCATAATCTCAACACTTTGGGAAGCCAAGACAGGAGGATCGCTTGAGGCCAGGAGTTTAAGACCAGCCTGGGCAACATAGCAAGACCCTGTCTCTACATAAAAATTTTTAAAAATCAGCTTGGTGTAGTGGTGCACACCTGTAGTTCCAGCCACTTGGGAGATTGAGGCAAGAGGATTGCTTGAGCCCAGGAGTCCACGGTTGCAGTGAGCTATGATCGTGCCACTGCACTCCAGCCTGGGCCACAGAGTGAGACCCCGTCTAAAAAAACTAAATAAAAGAGATAAAACTTGTATGTGATTTGTTTTTCTTCCCTATCTTTACCATAGAAAAATAGGATCCAAAAATTTCCGCAAATATCCTGGTAGGACTTGGAAACTCAGTCTTTCTTGCCCTTGAAGAAAAGAGAACTAGTTTTTTGGTTTTTAATGATTTGGTGTCAAGGTCTGCTGTAAAAGAGGAGAACAGTGGCTTGAGGACAGAGAAGACAGGAAATACCTCACCTAGACACCTAGACACAGGAAGGAGGAAGGATTTTCCAAAGCACAAAAGAGGGGAGAAACTGAAAACTTAGGAAAGTTCTCTGAGGGGGGCATTGCTCAAACATCCAGGAGCCCCAGGGAGCCAAGGCCCCACTGGTTGACCTCAGGCTTGAGGTTCAAGGGAGTGCCCAGGGGTGCTTCACTGATCAGAATCTGGCCCCCATCCATGCCTGCCCTGCCCAGGGCTGTACTACCAACGTCCACTTGCTCCCACACCTGGTACTCCCATGCTCCCCTAAGCAAGGCAGATTTTCAGCTCTGGTAGAGCCAAACTGAATGTCAACTGTAGGTTGATAAACAGCCATTTCCCCAAGTCCCCAGGTGCCCCTTACTGCCCAGCTGCTCCAGGCCCTCCACTATCCTCAAAATCTAACACTTAAAGAGTGAATGCCTGTTTTCACACAGGGCCTCCAGCATCTCCAGCAAGACTGTTCTGATTGTCTCATGCCTGTAAAGAGCTGGTTGTTAAATATGTGGGTCAGTGCAGAAACTGACCTGAATAAGTCCCAGGCTCCCTGGGCTGGGATCCTCATTTCTCTTGCTTTCTCCTAACCTGATTAACTGTGAGCCTTTACAGACTTGCTATCTATAGGTCCATGGTCTCTCTCAGGGTACATTGTACCAGATCCACAGTTTGCAGGGCTGAAGCCACCCCGGGATCATCTGGGCCTCAGTTCCAAAAACTGTTTGCTACTATACTCAACACACCACCTCGCTTCACCCTTCTTATTCTGCCCCAAGCATTGTCTTCCCCACTGTACACATGAGGAAATTGGCTCAGAGAGGGAGGAGTTGATCCCAATTCACATGGCTAGGAAGTAGAAAGGCCAGGACTCAAGCAGAAAGGAAGTAGAAAGGCCAGTCACAGGGCCATTTTAAGACCTTGATAAGCCTGGAGCATTCTCAGCTTTGAAGCCCCCATCACATGGCTTCGAACACATGAGCATGCACCTCCCTCTGCAGAATAAATGCAATGGACCCACAACCGTGTGCTCTGAGTTGCACTGGACCAGTGGACATAATTATGTCTAGGAGACATTTAACAAACAACTATGTAATTCAACTTGGCAACTCCATTTCCTATTTCAGAGTAAGGATAATTTTCCAGGACTCAGACATTTTTGTAAGCCCTACATTGCTGTAATACCAAAAGCCTACAATACGTTGAAACTTTGGTCTTCTCAAAGCATGCCCAGCTCCTCCCCTTCTCTCTGCAGTATAATCCCCATTTTACACACAAGGAAACCATAACAGGGTGCCTCTGGATACAAATAGCAGAGTACTCCGACTCACAATTGCTGAAGCAAAATAACATGACTCTATTATTGTGACTTTATTATTCCAGGAAATGCTTGCCCAGAAACACAAAAGTTGCAAATAACCTTACTCCTTGAGTTCAGGAAAATCCATTAATAAAACCACACAGCTCTTCAACAGGGAGCATCAAAGAAAGCTCCAAGAGTCTTTGAAGCCCTCACTTCACTGTGACCACCAATACAAAACTGTGACCAACAATCCTAAACTATTATAACATGATCCTTACCCAGCCCTGATTAAGTCCGACATCAAAGGACCTGCCTTAAACCAAACCCCAAAACCTCAGTATCTCAACTTTGCCCTCCCGACCTCCACTCTACAATGACTCTTTCAAGGTGGTGCTTCCCCTTAGCATAAGCAACAACCCAGTTTTGTCTTATCAGCTGCTTGCTTTGATGCTATTTCCAGGAGCCAGCATTTGAAGAGGGAACCAGGACCAACACGGTCGGCTGTGTCCAATGAGGTAGGATGAAGCACTGGAGTAAATTTCCCTGGAGAGGTGCGCACTGCCTGCCAACAAGAAAGGGGAAAGCAGTGAGCTGAGATCGCCCCACTGCACTCCAGCCTGGGCGTCAGAGTGAGACTCTCAAAAAATAATAATAATAAAACATTAAAAAGGCGGGGGAGGGGGGGCGGGGGGGGTACCGGAGAAGCAGGCGTCAGTGTTCTACTACAGTCCCACAGTAGTAGAACGTAGTCATGGTGTCTTTGCTATTCGTGCTGAATAGCTGGTGTTTTCCAAAGTAAGTATAGAATTAACTATACTTATTATTATTATTATTATTTTTCTGAGACAGTGTCTCGCTCTGTCGCCCAGGTTGGAGTGCAGTGGCGCGATCTCCGCTCACTGCAGGCTCCGCCTCCCAGGTTCACGCCATTCTCCTGCCTCAGCCTCCTGAGTAGCTGGGACTACAGCGCCCGCCACCACGCCCGGCTAATTTTTTGTATTTTTAGTAAAGACGGGGTTTCACTGTGTTAGCCAGGATGGTCTCGATCTCCTGACCTCATGATCCACCCACCTTGGCCTCCCAAAGTGCTGGGATTACAGGCGTGAGCCACCGCGCCCGGCCAACTAACTTATTTTCAAAATAAGTATAGAATTAACCAACCATACCTCCTTAATTGATGGTTCTCTTAATCTTGATTCCAAGGGTCTTAACTATCTGGATGTACTCATTGTATGCTAAACAGACACCAAAAGGATTGACTAATCTCATTTTTATGTACAGAGAATCAATTCCCGAAAAATGCTGCAGGTTTTGCATTTGTTTTAAAATTTTAAAGGTCATAATATTTATTAATACATATTTATACCCTTAGAATTCCCAATCTGGCAGCAAATAGAGTCCCATTCTATTATGCCATTGAAAGTAATGATAAAAACCGCAGTTACTTTTGCACCAACCTAATAAAACCATGATTAAAAAAATAATAAACATTTAAAAAGCGGTGGGGGGAGTGGGGCGCGGGGGCGAGCCGGAGAAGCAGGCGTCAGTGTTTGCTAAAGAAACCAAGGCCCAGAAGAGAGTTAAATGTTTTGCCCAAGGTCAGGCAAAGAGTTGGCAGGAGGTCTAGAGGAGAATTCAGGCTTCCTCATCTAAACTCCAAGCTTTTCCGCCCAAGCAGGGCATGCCCTGGGGCCAACCCCTCCAGGAAGCCTGGGTAGTGTCCTTCCCTGCATTTCCCCAGTGGCTGCTGCCTCAAGGTGACTCAGAAGGAAGCTGTTGTCTCTAGTTCCTCCTCACCAATCCAGCTGGTCTTAGGATCGGGAAAAAGATAAGCTAATTGTCTGGTGGTTAATTAACTCCAGCCAACTAATGATCTGAACTTGCCGCGGATACCCAGCCAGCGGAAGTGCGGTTAACTGCCCGAGGGATGCCCCGAACACCGGCCGAGCCAACTTCCGGCCGCAGAGGCTGCCGGGCAGGGGTTATGGCGGCCGCCAGAGTGAGCCAGCTTGGTGTCCGGGGACACTTGGGGCACTGCGGATGGACAGCGCTGGTTTTCAATACCAGGGACCTAAGTCCGGGTGGGGAGCGGCCCCTCAGCGCCCCAGACCCCTGCCACGGTGCCGGTGACGGGCCACGCCCAAAATATCAGGAAAAGCGTCTCAGTCCTCCTTGTGGGCGGAGAAGAGACCCAGCGGCCGAGCCCGGGGGCCTCAGATCCCCAGCTGCTCATTGGCCTGTGTCTGTCGCCCCCCGGTGGCCGCGTGAGGGACTGGAGCCCGGCTTTGCTCCTCCCGTTGGCCTCGTTTCTCTTCCTGGCTTTGCGTGTCCCGACCACTAAAAGCCCCAAACATGACGAAGTAAAATGGGCACCGTCAAAAACCGCATTTGAAGACAGTGCGCATGAGCGCATGGTTAAGTTTTCAGACGTTTTGCAAGCTGGATGTTAAATACATTTTTTGACGTCATTGTTAAAAAATAAATTTTATGAGCCTACAATTAAATACATTATATTAAAAACAAAGGTAGACGCCTGCGCGGTGGCTCACGCCTGCAATCCCAGCACTTTGGGAGGCCGAGGCGGGTGGATCACCTGAGGTCAGGAGTTCAAGACCAACCTGGGCAACATGGTGAAACCCCATCTCCACTAAAAGTACAAAAATTAGCTGGGCGTGGTGGCGCGCACCTGTAATCCCAGCTACTTGGGAGGCTGAGGCAGGAGAATCGCTTGAACCTGGAGGTGGAGGTTGCAGTGATCTGAGATCATGCCACTGCACTCCAGCCTGGGAGACAGAACGACTTACTGTCCAAAAAATAATAAATAAACAAATGAAGAAAGAAAACACTCAAAATGTATCACTGGTTAATTGTTTTGCTGTTTTACTACTATCTGTGTTCTTGGAGTGATTTACATCCATCTTATCTGTATGGTGGGAATACTATATAATAGTGTGCTATTGCACGTTTCTTTCCAACTCTATGTTCAATGACATCATATTGGAGACTTGAAATCGGCTATGGTGGGAATATTTACACCATAGAAATTGGTAAACTGTAGAAATCAGGGCTTTTTTTTTTTCTTCCCAGAAAGTCAGTTGTTAAACATTCAGCAGCATACCACTGGAGTCAGACAATAGCCAACGTGGAGAGACAGAACAAGGTCCGTGTCTTTTTGGGGTCAGCATAGGAACATAATCATTTTCTGCTTTATTAAGATTCAGCGCAGAAACTGACACATGGTGCTCCATGAGTGTTTGAGGAAGAGCAGGAGAGAGGAAATTATGTGCTTCGCTGGGCTCTCAATTTACTTATCAGTTTGCCTAACCTTGACCCTCACCGGGACTCTTACCTCAACCTTTTCTCTCCAATTATCCTAACAGCCCTTGGTGCACCACGTGCAAGGCCTGAATGCTAACAATTGAAAGCGTTTCAAAAGCGAAAGTCAGCCAGGGAAGGATTTTGAGTTGGGGGTGATAAAATCAACTTTGCTTTAGGATGAGAATCAGCCATCTGTTTGTGGAACAGGTTGAGGAGAGGAACAACCAGCAGCAGGGAGACCAAGACTTTGTTCCACACTGACCGTGTGTTAGGCCTGTGTAGAGAGAGATGGGGCTGCAGGGGTGAGCTTAAGCCGCGATCCTTGGCTCCAGGAGCTCAGTCTTCTGAGGCAGGAGATAGTAAACAGACAATCACTGTGACTGTGATGTACACACTGGGGGAGAAGGCAGGTTGAAGTCCTGGAGAGCAACTCACTCTGCCTGAAGGAGGCAAGGAAGCAGTGAGCCAACCCAGAACTCGTAGGGCTTACAGTCAGAGGGACGCTGTCAAAAAAGGGAAGACAGGAGATGACAGCATGTGAAAACTGCCTAGGCAAAGCCTGGAAAGGAAAAACCGCAGGAGACTGATGGGAGATGAAGCTGGAGAGGGTTAGAGTTTCTCACTGCAGACTGAGCATTTTTGAGACGGGGTCTCGCTCTGTCACCCAGGCTGGAGTGCAGTGGTGCGATCTCAGCCTCCTGGGTTCAAGCACTTCTCTTACCTCAGCCTCCTGAGTAGTTGGGACTACAGGCACATGCTACCACGCCCAGCTAATTTTTTGTATTTTTAGTAGAGACAGGGTTTCACTGTGTTAGCCAGGATGGTCTCGATCTCCTGACCTCGTGATCCGCCCTCCTCGGCCTCCCAAAGTGCTGGGATTACAGGTGTCAGCCACTGCGCCTGGCAGGGGAGGTTCTTTACTGTTCTCCAGGCTTGAGCTCTCTTGTCTCCAGCGAACCAGCTCTTCAGCTGTGTCTCCTGCCCTGTCTCTGCAATCTAGCCAAGAATGAATCCTGATTCCGCAGCGTGGCCGAAGGTTGGTGGCTGTATATCTGGCCCACAATGTCCTTTATCCCCAAAGCTCCATTCAAGCATGTCTGTCTGTCTATCCTTTTATCTCTTTTCTCTCTCAGCATTTTGTAAAATTTGCTCAACTTTAGCATATAGCTGGATGCCTTGACTCACAGTGAATCCCTCAGGTTTTTTTTGAGGCAGGGTATCATTATATTATCCATGCTGAAGTGCAGTGGTTATTCACAGACGTGACCATAGTGCACCACACCCTTGAACTCCAGGGATCAAGCCATCCTCTTGCCTCAGCCTCCCGAGTAGCTGGGAACACAGGCTCATACCACTGAGTCTGGCTACCAATAATTTTTATTTTAACAATCTGTAGGTCAAACCTGAAAAACCGCCTCTAAATAACTTATAATTTTGATATATTTACGTTTCGATCCTTATGATGTTTGCATTTTGTTTCTGTATTCCAGGGTTGCAAGCATATTCTACTTTTCCCAATATGTTTATAGTTTGAGGTTTTAAAAACATTTTTATGAACAATATAAAGATATACTATTTTCCAAATATGTTAAGTAATTTTTTCAGCAATGTTTATTGAATCAATCATCTTTTCATTCCCCAGTGATTTAAAATGACATCAACGTAAGATATATCTGTATATATCTGTTAGGGTAAAATTCATTTGTGTGATCGAGGAAGCAGAACCCTCAAGGAGCGATGTAACATAATTACAGCAGGGCACAGTGGCTCACGCCTGTAATCACAGCACTTTGGGAGGCTGAGGTGGGTGGATCCCTTGAGATCAGGAGTTCAAGATCAGCCTGGCCAACATAGTGAAACCCCGTCGCTACTAAAAATACAGAAATTAGCTGGCATGGTGGCACATGCCTGTAATCCCAGCTACTCGGGAGACAGAGGCAGGAGAATCGCTTGAACCCAGGAGGTAGAGGTTGCAGTGATTGTGCCACTGCACTCCAGCCTGGGTGACAGAGCAAGACACTGTTTCAAAAAAAAAAAAAAGAATTAGGCCAGGCTCAGTGGCTCACGCCTGTAATCCCAGCAATTTGGGAGGCGGAGGCAGGAGGATCAGTTGAGCCTCGGAGATAGAGGCTGCAGTGAGCCGTGATGGCAACACTGAAATCCAGCCTGGATAATGGAGTGAGGCCCTGTCTCCAAAATAAATAAAATTAAATTAATAAAGTAAGTATAGGGATTGGATTTTCCGTGACTATGGGAGCAAGCCCAGGGAGCTGCCTCCAGTTGACTTCTGCACCTACGTTGGCTGAAGCTGGTTGTAGCAAGGAGCGCTAATAGGAAAAAATTATGTGTGAAGCAGGGAGTGTGAGAAGATGGAGCCACATCTGTCTCTCACTGCCTACAGCCTCAATATCAAACAGAATAAGCTGCTGCCTGCTACCTCAACTCTGCACACGCCTGGCTCAGACTCTGAGCAGCCAATGGAGGAGACATGGTGGGAGCTGAGGGAGCCGAGGGCCTGGCTACTGCCCAAAGCGGGCAGCACAGTGAGCTACGATGGGGACTCATCCCCACTCCCCACGCTGACCCCAGAGCTGCATGGCTGATGCTTCACTTAAACCTTCTGATCTTGCACAAACTTCTCTTAAGGCCAGTCATCATAACATGGAAGGGAATTCTGAAAAGATATTCCAGGCCAATTCTCATCAAAACCAAGCTGGGGCCAGGTGCAGTGGCTCATATTATTTTATAAATAATAAAAAAGTATTAAAATTTGTTCGCTGGGCGCGGTGGCTCATGCCTGTAATCCCAGCACTTTGGGAGGCTGAGGTGGGCGGATCACAAGGTCAGGAGATGGAGACCATCCTGGCTAACATGGTGAAACCCCGTCTCTACTAAAAATACAAAAAATTAGCCGGGCGTGGTGGCGGGCGCCTGTAGTCCCAACTACTCAGGAGGCTGAGGCAGGAGAACGGGGTGAACCCAGGAGGTGGAGCTTGCAGTGAGCCGAGATCGCACCACTGCACTCCAGCCTGGGCAACAGGGCGAGAGTCTGTCTAAAAAACAAAACAAACAAACAAAAAAATTGTTATAGAGTTGTTACATCTCCCACTATGATTATAGGGGTTACTTTGTCAATTTTTATTTGTAATGTGCCCATTTTTTCTTTATATCTTTGAGGTTATGATGTTAGGTGCATACAAACTCATGATTCTTAGGTCTTCTTCTCAAAAAAAAAAAAAGAAGGAAGGAAAGAAGGGGAGGGAAGGGGAAGGGGAAGGAAGGTTAGGTTCAAGCTATATTTATCCCACGATTGAAACCAAATACTTTAGGAATGTGTGTGCCTAGGCTTTGCGCATTGGTAATTTGATTCTGAGCTGACATCTACTGAAATAAACATTCCTTCCTCACCCATAAAGGCCAGGATTTTTTTCAACACTTAAAACATCTGATTGAAAAAAGACAATGGAACCCCAGAATGAGGAAAGTATCAATATAAAATATATCAGTGAATGTTTTCAACAATGTAACAATTAGCTTAACAATTGACATGCAGTATAAACAAGTAGTAATTTTAGTGTAAAAAGGTTATGAAAATATGCAGAAAATACACGTCTAAAGTCAAGAAGCAAAAGATATTTTAAGGCCAGGCACTGTGGCTCATACTTGTAATCCCAGCACTTTGGGAGGCCAAGGCGGGTGGATCACCTGAGGTCATGGTGAAACCCTGTCTCTACTAAAAATACAAAAATTAGCCAGGCGTGGTGGCACATGACCGTAATCCCAGCTACTCCAGAGGCTGAGGCAGGAGAATCACTTGAACCCCAGGAGGTGGAGGTTACAGTGAGCTGAGGTCACACCACTGCACTCCAGTCTAGGCGACAGAGTGAGACTCCATCTAAAAAAAAAAAAAAAAAGACATTTTAGTTTTACTTTCTGGTATTTAAGATAAATTATGTGGAAAAAGTGAAATTACTGATGTTCAAACCATTTTTGAGGGGCAATTTTAATAGATCTGCCACTTTCTTGACCATTCCTTTCTTCTTTTTAAATTGAGATTTAATTCACATGCCATAAAATTGACCATTTTATTTTATTTTGAGATAGGGTCTCATTCTGTTACCCAGGCTGGAGTGCAATGGTGCGATCTCAGCTCACTGCAGCCTCGACCTCTCTGGCTCAAGCGATCCTCCTGCCTCAGTCTCCTGAGTAGCTGGGACCACAGGCGCACACCACCACACCCACTCTGTTTTTAGTAGAGATGAGGTCTCCCTATGTTGCCCAGGATAGTCTCAAACTCCTGATCTCAAGTGATCCTCCTACCTCAAGCCTTTCAAAGTGCTGGGATTACAGGCATGGGCCACTGAGCCCGGCCAGAAAATTGACCATTTTAAAGTGTACAATTCCGTGGCTTTTGGTCTGTTCACAAAGTTGTGCATTGATAATCATTAATTCCAAAAATGTTTCATCACCCCCAAAAAGAAAACTAGTGCCCTAGTAGCAGTCACTCCCCCAAGCCCCTGGCAACCAACCAGTAGTCCACCTTCTGTCTCTGAATTTGCCCGTTCCAGACATTTCACATAAATGAACTCATGTAGCCTCTCGTGTGTGGCTTCTCTCACTTGGCATCATGTTTCAAGGTTCATGCCCGTCGTAGCATGTATTGTATTTCCATTGCAGGGATAGACCACGTTTCATTTAATTGTTAATCATTTAAATGATTAAATGGACATCTGTATCACTTCATATTTGTTTCACTATCATAAATAATTCAAAAATCCGTGTGGCTAAATCCCTGTCACTTGTGGACAGTCCAAAGCAGTCAAATTGCCATGAAACCACCAAGTTGAAGGGATCAACAGGACCCCTGCCCACCGCGTGGGTGCCTTCAGCAGCCTGCACCCCGGCAAAGCTGAGGTGTTTGGATTAAGAAATGGGGGAGGGGCAGGGCGTGGTGTCTCACGCCTCTAATCCCAGCACTTTGGGAGGCCGAAGAGGGCGGACTCTTTGAGGTCAGGAGTTCGAAAACAGCCTGGCCAACATGCTGAAATCCCATCTCTGCTAAAAATCCAAAAAAATCAGCGGGACGGGATGGTACACACCAGTAATCGGGAGGCTACTCATGAGGCTGAGGCAGGAGAATCGCTTGAACCCAGGAGGTAGAGGTTGCAGTGAGCCCAGATCACGCCACTGCATTCCAGCCTGGGCGACAGGGACTCCATCTGGAAAAAAAAAAGAAAAAAAAAAAAAAAGAAAAGAAAAGAAAAAAGGGAGAGGGGTGTAAAGACGAAGAAAAGGCTCCTCTCTCGTGCATGCAATCTCTGCACTTTTCCTTGAGCTGCACAGAGCGCTGGGCAGGGCCTCATCCGGGTCAGAGCCGGAACCTGGGGACATTCTGGCCGATGCTCTTGGCGGCCAGGAGAGGGCGCGCGCGGACTCAGCGGCCGCCCGACTGCCTCACCAGGACCTAGACCGTGCCGGCCGCCAGGAGGGCGGTTCTGCGCCGCAGCCTCAGTCCCTTCTCAGGATGGGGAGAACTTGCTGATAATGTTTTTTTTTTTTTTTTTTTTTTTTTTAACACAAAAGACCATTATCAACAGTATAAACAAACGCATTTATGATGATCTGTGTCCCCCAATATTCATGTATTGAAACTTTTTTTTTTTTTTGAGACGGAGTGTCGTGGAGGCCAGCGGATAACTGGAGGTCAGGAGTTCAAGACCAGCCTGGCCAACATGGTGAAACCCCGCGTCTACCAAAACTACAAAAATTAGGCCAGGCGCGGTGGCTCACGCCTGTAATCCCAACACTTTGGGAGGCCAAGGCGTGTGGATCACGTGAGGTCAGGAGTTCGAGACCAGCCTGCCCAACATGGTGAAACCCAGTCTCTACTAAAAATACAAAAATTAGCTGGGCATGGTGGCGGGTGCCTGTAATCCCAGCCACTCGGGTGGCTGAGGCAGGACAATCGCTTGAATCCAGGAGGCAGAGGTTGCAGTGAGCCAAGATCGCATCATTGCACTCCAGCCTGGGCGACAGAGAGAGACTCCGTCTCAATTAAAAGGGCGACAGAGCGAGACTCTGTCTTAATTTAAAAAAAAAAATTTAGCCAGGCGCGGTGGTGGGCACCTGTAGCCCCAGCTACTCAGGAGGCTAACGCAGGAGAATCGCTTGAACCTGGGAGGTGGAGGTTGCAGTGAGCCGAGATTTCACCATTGCACTCCAGCCTGGGCAACAAGAGCGAAAATCAAAAAAAGAAAGGAAGGAAGGGAGGGAGGGAGGGAGGGAGGAAGGAAGGGAGAGAAAGAAAAAAGTCCTTGATGAAGCAACACAATCATTCATTTTATTAATTCTTAGCCATTGAGTACACGTCTTTTTAGTATTTTGTTAGTTGAAATGGAAAAGAGGAAATACACATACAGTACCTCTGGGCATACAGTTGTCTCTAGCAGAACAATATGTGCAACTATTTGAATTGTGCTATTAGCTATTTTTTTGTGGAACACTTTTAATTGATAGAACCACTGACAAACTGTGGTTATTCAGATGTGGGTATTTGGCAGCCATCTTCTCAAAAATGAGAAAAGTGAGGGCCAGGTGCAGTGGCTCATGCATGTAATCCCAGCACTTTGAGAAGATGAGGTGGGTAGATCACTTGAGTCTAGGAGTTCGAGACCAGCCTAGCCAATATGTCGAAACCCCAGCTCTACTAAAAATACAAAAATTAGCTGGGTGTGGTGGCACATGCTTGTAATTCCAGCTACACAGAAGGCTAAGGCACAAGAATCACTTGAACCCAGGAGGCGAAGGTTGCAGTGAGCTGAGATCACGCCACTGCACTCCAGCCTGAGTGATGGAGTGAAACTCTGTCTGGAAAAAAAAAAAAAAAAAAGAGAAAAGTGAGAAGTGAGTCTGTCACTTGAAGGAAAATAACTGACAGTATTTGTTGCCAAGGATAAAATTTAAAATTCTAACTTTTGGCTGGGCACAGTGGCTCACGCCTGTAATCCCAGCACTTTGGGAGGCCAAGGTGGGTGGGTCACCTGAGGTCAAGAGTTCAAGACCAGCTTGACCAATATGGTGAAACCCCGTCTCTACTAAAAATACAAAAATTAGCCAAGCGTAGTGGTGTGCCCCTATAGTCCCACCTGCTCGGGAGGCTGAGACAGGAGAATTGCTTGAACGCGGGAAGCAGAGGTTGCAGTGAGCCGAGATCGTGCCGCTGCTCTCCAGCCTGGGCAACAGAGCAAGACTCCATCTCAAAAAAAAAAATTCTAACTTTCAAGCAAAAATTAAAATGTTGGGGCCAGACACGGTGGCTCACGCCTGTAATCCCAGCACTTTGGGAGGCCGAGGCGGGTAGATCACCTGAGGTCAGGAGTTCAAGACCAGCCCGGCCAACATGGCAAAACCACATCTCTATTAAAAATACAAAAAATTAGCCAGGCATGGTGGTGGACACCTGTAATCCCAGCTACTCAAGAGGCTGAGGCAGGAGAATTGCTTGAACCCGGGAAGCGGAGGTTGCAGTGAGCCGAGATCACACCATTGCATTCCAGCCTGGGCAACAGAGTGAGATTCTGTCTCAAAAAAAAAAAAAAAAAGTTAGAAAACTTGTATTTGACACCATTCATTTATATTATATAATAAAATATGTCAACATTTCATAAGATGTGCATTATTCAATGAACCAATATTTTCTAAAAAGCCAATGCATGGTGTTATGAGACCACACATGGGTACAAGATCCCTCCAAAATGCTAAAAGACCAGTGGATTATTATTATTATTTTGAGACAGGGTCTCACTTTGTCACCCAGGCTGGAGTGCAGGGCTCAATCTCGGCTCACTGCTGCCTCAAGCTCCTGCGCTTGAAGGAACCTCCCACCTCAGCCTCCTAAGTAGTTGAGACTATAGGCGTGCACCACCACAGCTGACTAATATTTTTTTTTTTTTTTTGAGACGGAGTGTCATTCTGTGGCCCAGGCTGGAATGCAATGGCATGATCTTGGCTCACTGCAAACTCTGCCGTCCGGGTTGAAGTGATTCTCCTGCCTCAGCCTCCTGAGTAGCTGGGATTACAGGCACGTGCCACCACGCCTGGCTAGTTTTTGTATTTTTAGTAGAAACGGGGTTTCACCATGTTGGTCAGGCTGGTCTCGAACTCCTGACCTTGTGATCCGCCCACCTCAGCCTCCCAAGTGCTGGGATTACAGGTGTGAGACACGGCATCCGACCACACCCAACTAATTTGTAAATATTTTGTAGAGATGGGTTTTCGCCATGTTGTCCAGGCTGGTCTCAAACTCCTGGACTCAAGAAATCCACCCTCCTCAACCTCCCAAAGTACTGGGATTACACGCATAAGCCACGTCGCCTGGCTGACCAAGGGATTCTGATGTAATTGAATACAAAAATTGTACTGATGCCACTTCAGATTCTACACTGCAACTAACCTTTAAGAACCACCACATGAGTTTTGATGTAGTATCAAGGAAGACTATCCACAATTATCTGAAAAGGCTGTTAAAATATTTCTCCCTTTTCCAAATATTTATCTGTGTGGGCTGGATTTTCTTTGTGTGCTTCAATGCAAACAACACATCACAGAAGAGTGAATGCAGAGGCAGTTGTGACAATGCAGCTGTAGTCTCTTAAGCCAGACACTAAAGTGATCTATTTTTTGAGACAGGGTCTTGTCCTGTCCCCCAGGCTGGAGTGCAGTGGCATGATCTCAGCTCACTGCAACCTCTGCCCGCCGCGTTCAAGCGATTCTCCTGCCTCAGCCACGTGAGTAGCTGGGATTACAGACTCGCGCCATTAAGCCCAGCTAATTTTTGTATTTTTAGTAGAGGTGGGGTTTCACTGTGTTGGCCAGGCTGGTCTTGAACTCCTGACCTCGTGATCTGCTCACCTCAGCCTCCCAAAGTGCTGGGATTACAGGTGTGAGCCACCGCGCCGGGCCAGTGATTTTTATTATTTATTTATTTATTTATTTGAGACGGCGTCTTGCTCTGTCACCTAGGCTGGAGTGCAGTGGCGCGATCTCGGCTCACCGCAACCTCCGCCTCCTGGGTTCAAGCAATTCTCATGCCTCAGCTTTCCGGGTAGCTGGGATTACAGGTGCATGCCACCACGTCCAGCTAATTTTTGTATTTTTGATAGAGACAGGGTTTCACCATGGTGGCCAGTCTGGTCTCAAACTCCTGACCTCAGGTGCTCCATCTGCCTCGGCCTCCTAAAATGTTTGGATTACAGGCGTGAGCCACCGCGCCCAGCCACTAAAGTGATTTTTAAAAGTGTAAACACTGCCACTCACTGATTCCTTTGGTTTAAAGATATACAGTGGGTTAATTACCACTGTTTTTAATAAATCTGTTTTTAAATTTATCAGTTTAAGTTCCTTTTTTCCAAGACGGAGTCTTGCTCTGTCGCCCAGGCTGAAGTGCAGTAGCATGATCTTGGCTTACTGTAACCTGCCACCGCCACCCGCGGCTCTGGTTTAAGCAATTCTGCCTCAGCCTCTGGAGTAGCTGGGATTACAGGCACATGCCAAAACACATGGCTAATTTTTTTGTATTTCTAGTAGAGATGGGGTTTCACCATGTTGGCCAGGCTAGTCTCGAACTCCTGACCTCATGATCTGCCTGCTTCAGCCTCACAAACTGCTGGGATTACAGGCGTGAGCCACTGCACCCAGCCGTCTTGTTTTTTTTCCTCACTCTGTTGCCCAGGCTGGAGTGCAGTGGCATTGTTTTGTCTCACTGCAACCTCTGCCTCCCGGGTTCAAGCCTCCCACGTAGCTGGGATTACAGTCGCCCACGACGACCACACCCTGCTAATTTTTGTATTTTTAGTAGAGACTGGGTTTCACCATGTTGGCCAGGCTGGTCTCAAACTCCTGACCTCAGGTGATCCACCTGCCTTGGCCTCTCAAAGTGGTGGGATTACAGGCATGAGCCACTGCACCCAGCCTAAATTTCTATATAGTAAATATTGATAGATGTAACCCACATAACTAAAATCTCTCTGAGCGTCTCAATAACTAACAGTGAAAATGATGGCGGCAGGAGGCAGACAAATCCCCAGGCAGACAGAGACAGATCCCATCCCTGGTGAAACTGGCCTTCAAACCAAAGACATTTTAAAGCCTGAAAACCAAGCTACAAGTCTCTGATAAATTCATGGAACATACTGAGAACCTCTCTTCCCGTGTGGCCCACTTTCCTCTGACTGATCCCCACATTTCACCTATTTTACATACACCTACCCTTCCCTAACTGGTTGTTTACACTGTCATGCCCAATTTTGAGTGCCTTTTAAGCCTTTTTTGCATACTCAGAAACCAATCAGCATGCACTCCCCCATTCTGAGCCAATAAAAACCTCAGACTCAGCCACACTTGGGGTCTACACACCATGGCGGGGGGAACTACCCGACTTTGAGAGGGTCCCCTCTTCGCTGAGAGCTGTTTGTTAGCTCAATAAAACTCTTCACCCTGCTCACCCACTGGCTGTCAGCATAACCTCATTCTTCTTGGATGTGGGACAAGAACTCTGGAGGGTCTACCACTGGTAGGAAAAAGGCTGTAACACTGTAGCCCTCCACCCACCCCCAGAACCTGCCCAGGCAAGAGGAAATAGCAGTGGGCTGGGCCAGCCCTGAAGCTGAGGACCCAAGGGGGGCAGCGGGATTGAAAGAGCTGTAACATGACACAAATGGCGGAATGGGTGGGGTGTCTCCTGCACCGAGCCCAGGCCAAGGGAGGCCTGAACAGGGGTGCTGCTGGCCATGGAGGTCTCTGGCTGACTAAGGGGCACTGAAAAATCCTGTGTCATAAGTGGTTCTGAGACCAGAAAGTTTGAGAATTGCTGGACTAAGGAATATAAATTTTAAAACCAAGACTCACCAGGCACGGTGGCTCATGCCTGTAATCCCAACACTTTGGGAGGCCGAGATGGGTGGATCACAAGGTCAGGTGTTCAAGACCAGCCTGGACAACATAGTGAAACCCCGTCTCTGCTAAAAACACAAAAAAAATTAGCCGGGCTTAGTGGCGGGCACCTGTAATCCCAGCTACTTGGGAGGCTGAGGCAGGAGAATCACTTGAACCCAGGAGGTGGAGGTTGCAGTCAGCCGAGATCACACCACTGCACCCCAGCCTGGGCAACAAGAGTGAAACTCTGTTTCAAACAAAAACAAAAAGAAACAGAAAACAACCAAGACTCTTATCAGTCCACATGACAATACTCTGTGAATTCTCACAATGGCTGTAGGAGGTGGGTGCGTTATCACCCCCATTTATCAGGTGAAGACACTGAGGCACAGAGAGGGGATGTAATTGCTCATTCACACAGCTGGCAATTGACACAGCAGGGACTTGAACCCAAGCATCTAACCCCAAGCTTGTGCACTTCCTTGGGGACAATTTGGCTACATGTTTAAAAAGCTTTTAAAAATATTTGCCTCCTTTGACCTCTTTTAAGACTTTCAAGAAATCTTTGGCTGGGTGCGGTGGCTCACACCTGTAATCCCAGCACTTTGGGAGGCTGAGGCGGGTGGATCACGAGGTCAGGAGTTCAAGACCAGCCTGGCCAAGATGGTGAAACTCCGTCTCTACTAAAAATACAAAAAAATTAGCTGGGTGCGGTGGCAGGCGCCTGTAATCTCAGCTACTTGGGAGGCTGAGGCAGGAGAACCACTTGAACCCAGGAGGCGGAGGTTGCAGTGAGCTGAGATCGTGCTACTGCACTCCGGTCTTGCCAACAGAGTGAGACTCTGTCTCAAAAAAAAAAAATCTTTAATATCTCGACAGGCAAGGTGGCTCACATGTCTAATCCCAGCACTTTTGGAGGCCGAGGTGGGCAGATCACCGGAGGTAACTCCGGTTTGATACCAGCCTGGCCAACATGGTGAAATCCCATCTCTACAAAAATATAAAAATTAAGCATGATTACCGGTGCCTGTAATCTCAGCTACTTGGGAGGCTGAGGCGGGAAAATCGCTTGAACCCGGGAGGCGGAGGTTGCAATAAGCAGAGATCACGCCACTGCACTCCAGCCTGGGCGACAGAGCGAGACTCCATCTCAAAAAAAAAAAAAAAAAATCTTTGACATCAGAGATTCATATACAAAGATATTTATAACATCATCAAGTTAAAAACAACCAGTAGTCTGTGAATGATTAATAGATAACAGCAAATAAATGCACAAAGGTAGCTGGGCACGGTGGCTCACTCTTGTAATCCCAGCACTTTAGGAAGCCGAGGCGGGTGGATCACCTGAGGTCAGAAGTTCAATACCAGCCTGGCCAACATGGTGAAACCCGTCTCTACTAAAAGTACAAAAATTAGCCGGGCGTGGTGGCGGGCGCCCGTAATCCCGGCTACTCAGTAGGCTGAGGCATGAGAATTGCTTGAACCCGGGAGGCAGAGGTTGCAGCGAGCCGAGATCACGCCACTGCACTCCAGCCTGAGCGACAGAGCGCAATTCTCGTTTCTAAAAAAAAAAAAAAAGCACAAAGGCCTTGAATGACACCAGACAATGCCCGGGGAGATAGGATAGTGGGATGGGGGCAGCGGGAGCCTTGGTAGCGGAGTCCACGGTGGGATTCAGAGACCTGCAGAGCCAGGGCCGGGAGGGGCAGGGCAGAGGAAGGGCGTGCAGCGACGCTGGCATTCGGACGTGAGAAGGCGGAAGGTGCGGGAGGCCCCAGAGGATCTCGACCTGGACCCTGGAGCCCTGGGGCGGTGGCACATTCAGCGGCCGCTTTAGAGCGAGGGGGGCGGGGCGCGGAGCCAGGCTTAGGGGGACCAAGGTGGCCGGGGTAGTGGGGGCGACCCCGCGGGGCTGGGAGAGCCGCGGTGAGCCTAGGGGGCTGTGCGGGGGCCGCTCTGGACGCTGCAGCCAAGTGTCCCAGGAAAGCAGCGCCCAGGGCCCCACAGCTCCCTGTGCCCGGACCCAGCCCAGTCCCACTGCAGTGGGTGGCTGGAGGATGGCGAGTGTCCCGGGCACCCCTTGGGCCGGGTGAACGTGGTTGGGCACGGAGAGGGCGGGGCCCGTGGGCACGGGTGGGCCCAATGGGCCAGGGCTGGACCAATAACGAGAAAGGATGAATGGACAGGGGCTGAACTACAGAGAGAGGGCGGGACTATTGGGCGAGGGCTGGACCAATGGGCAGGGGCTAAACTAATAGACGAGGGCTGGACCAATGGCGCGGATGAGGCTGCTGCGTCGTCAAGGATGCAGAGCTTAAAGCAAGGCAGTGGCTTCCATGAGCCTAAACACCTTCCCTCCGCACGCTCGGTATCGCGACGGGGGAGAGCAAAACCTTTAAACAAATGCTCCAGTTTTCCCCGCAGAGAGCCGGAGTCAAATCCGTGAGGAAGCCCGGGGGTCGCAGTGAAGCCCAACCCACTGGTGCTGGGATAACCTCGCCCGCAACCCGGATCCAGGCCGCAGGTCCCCCGAGGCTCCGCCCCTGACGGCGACACTCAATCCCGGGTGTCCCCGCCCCCTTACTGAATTTTGGCCCCGCCTCCGCCCTCCGATTGGCCGGACGCCAGCTCTACGCCGCACGGGCAAGACGCGGAGGAGCGGCCCCAGCCAGAAGACAGGGCACCCGCGGCCTTGCTGCGCATGCTCGCGCTGTGACCCCGGCTTGAGGTAACAGCGCGAGCTGAGGCTGGGGCCCTTGGCGCGGAGGCTGAGGGACCCGCCGCGGCGCTGTCGCCGGAGAGGGAGGGCACCGCTGTCGTCGGTGAGGACGGGCCCTGGCGGGCGGGGAGGGTCCTGCGTCCTCGGCATGGACGAGTCCCCGGCCCGGCTCTCTCGGGGGTCCCGAGGGCTGCGGGTGCTGAGGAGGGGTCCGCGTCCTGGTGCTCAGGCCGCCTCCTGTGGGGTCTCCCGCGATTCCCTCTTTGCCTCTCGCCCCTCCTTCCCCACCCCCTCCAGTCCCTTGTCCAAAGCCTCAACACCCCCACACGAAGGAGGTCCGCACTCGCCCGCCGGTCCCTGGCCGTGTCCGCCGCGCCCAGCGCTGCCTTCCCGGCACCCCCCAACCCCCGCCGGCCTCGTCCCACGGTTGCAGCTCGGGAGGTCCCTGCAGGGACGGCAGCGAGTTGGAGGCGTGAGATACTGGGGCGGGGGAGACACTCGGGGCCTCAGGGTGTGGGTATTCTTGAGAGAGGAGAGAGCCGGGGAGCTGGGACCATTTGGGCGCAGCCCAGCCCGCGTTTGATGCCAATTGCATTGGGTAAAGGAGTGAAATAAAGATTCTGAGCCCTGGTGATTAGGGGAAGGAGCTGCCATGGCTGAAATTGCCATGGTGGGGAAGCTCCGCGCTGCACACCTTAGAGTAGCAGTTCTTGGCCTTCTTGGGGCAGGGGTCACTGCCGGTTTTTTAAATCTCCCTGTGAGGACGTGTACTGCACACCTTAGTGTCCCGTCATCCTGTCGGGGTCAATAACAGCCCCGCTGTGGACTGCGTGGAGCAGTAATTATTGGGGAGCAGCTGTCCATATCGTCTGGGAACTTTTGCGATGACTTCACCCTTGCCTGTCATCTATTAACAGCCCCTGATAAATTCACCACTATTTCCGTTACGCAGATGAAACCTGCTGGGAGGGTAAGGGATTTGTCCTCGCGGCTGAGGATGCCGGTGCTGGTGGACATTAGTGATGTTTCTCCCCCGTGCGTATGAAGATGATTCTGTGGGTCCACCATGAGGCACCAGGCAGGGGTCCTGTCGTCCAGAACATCGTCAGTGAGGGATTGAACCTTGTATTAGTTTCCTGTTGCTGTCCTAACAAATAAGGTGGCTTAAAGCAACACAGGCCGGGCGCGGTGGTTCACGCCTGTAATCCTAGCACTTTGGGAGGCCGAGGCAGGCAGATCACAAGGTCAGGAGATAGAGACCATTCTGACTAACATGGTGAAACCCCGTCTCTACTAAAAAAAAAAAAAAAAAAATACAAAAATTAGTCGGGGCCGGCGCGGTGGCTCACGCCTGTAATCCCAGCACTTTGGGAGGCCAAGGAGGGTGGATCACCTGAGGTCGGGAGTTCGAGACCAGCCTGACCAACATGGAGAAACCCCGTCTCAACTAAAAATACAAAATTAGCCGGGTGTGGTGGTGCACGCTTGTAATCCCAGCTACTTGGGAGGCTGAGACAGGAGAAAGGCTTGAACCCGGGAGGCAGAGGTTGCAGTGACCCAAGGTCGCGCCACTGCACTCCAGCCTGGCCGACAAGAGCGATACTCCGTCTAAAAAACAAAAACAAAAAAAAAACTCCGGGTGATTCTTAGGGATAGTGACATTGGGGAACTGCTGTTCATATGTTCATAGACTCAATTTACCTTTTTCTGAATATTTAACAACTTTATTGAGATAATTCACATACCGTGCAATTTACCCATTTAAAGTGTACATTTCGGCCGGGCGCGGTGGCTCACGCCTGTTATCCCAGCACTTTGGGAGGCCAAGGAGGGCGGATCACGAGGTCAGGAGATCGAGACCATCCTGGCTAACACGGTGAAACCCCGTCTCTACTAAAAATACAAAAAATTAGCCAGGCGTGGTGGCAGGCGCCTGTAGTCCCAGCTACTCCGGAGGCTGAGGCAGGAGAATGGCGTGAACCCGGGAGGCGGAGCTTGCAGTGAGATCACGCCACTGCACTCCAGCCTGGGCGACAGAGCGAGACTCCGTCTCAAAAAAACAAAACAAAACAAAAAAAAAAATATACAGTTCAGTGGCTTTAGTGTGATCACAAAGTTGTGCAACCCTCATGAAAATTCCTTTTAGGACATTTTCATCACCCCATAAAGCACATACCCACTAGTAGTCAATTCTCATTCTCCCCTTCCCCACCCCAATCCCGAGATAACCACAAATCTACGTTCTGTCTCCATAGATTTTCCTACTCTGTAGATTCTCTAGACTCTAAGTAATTTCATGTAAATGGAATCATATAATATGTGGTCTTTTGGGTCTGGCTTCTTTTACCGAGCATAATTTCTTCAAGGTTCATTCATGTTGTAGCATAGATTTTTTTTACTGCCAAATAATATTCCATTTTATACATGCACCACATTGTACTTATTCATTCATCCATTGATGGATATTTGGGCTGTTTTGAATATCCATCGAAACGTTTTGGCTTTCATGAATAATGCAACTGTAACATTCATGTACACATTTTTATGTGGACATGTGTTTTCCTTTCTTCCAGGCATATAGCTAGTAGTGGAATTGCTGGGTCATAGGGTAACTCTACATTTAACCTTTTGAGGAACTGCCAGGCTGGTTTCCAAAAATGGCTGCACCATTTTACATTCCCCTCAGCAGTGTATGAGGGTTCCAGTTTCTCCTCATCCTCACCAGCACTTGCTATTATCTGTTTTTTGTTTGTTTTATTATGTCCATCCTGGTGGTGTGAAGTGATATCTCATTGTGGTTTTGATTTGCATTTCCCTGGTGACTAATGATGTTGAGCATCTTCTCATATATTAGCCATTTGTATATCTTCTTTAGAGAAAAGCCTGTTTGGAGCCTTTGCCCATTATTATTATTATTGTTATTATTTTTTTTTTTTAGACGGAGTACCACTTTGATGCCCAGGCTGCAGTGCAGTGTAGTGCAGTGGCGCCACCTCGGCTCACTGAAATCTCCACCTCCCGGGTTCAAGCAATTCTCATGCTGCGCAGCCTCCTGAGTAGCTGGGATTACAGGCATGTGCCACCATGCCACCAATCCAAAAAAGAAAATAATTTTTGTATTTTTAGTAGAGACAGGGTTTCACTATGTTGTCTAGGCTGATCTCGAACTCCTGACCTCAGGTGATCCTCCTGCCTCAGCCTCCCTAAGTGCTGGGATTACAGGCATGAGCCACCACGCCCTGCCCCTTTGTCCTTTTTTTTTTTTTTTTTTTTTTTGAGGCGGATTTTGCTCTTGTTGTCCCGGCTGGAGTGCACTGGTGCAATCTCAGCTTACCGCAACCTCCGCCTCCTGGGTTCAAGCAATTCTCCTGTCTCAGCCTCCTGAGTAGCTGGGATTACAGGCATGTGCCACCAAGCTTGGCTAATTTTGTATTTTTAGTAGAGACAGGGTTTCTCCATGTTGGTCAGGCTGGTCTCGAACTCCCGACCTCAGATGATCCACCTGCCTCGGCCTCCCAAAGTGCTGGGATTACAGGTGTGAGCCACCATGCCCAGCCGCCCATTTTTAAATTGTTTGTTTGTTTGCTTGTTTATTACTGAGTTGTAATAGTTCTTTATAAATTCCAGATACAAGTCCCTTATCAGATATATGATTTGCAAACATTTTTTCCCATTCTATGGGTTATCTCTTAACTTTCAAAAGTTTTATGGCTAAAACACAAAACTCTTAAACTTAGTTGAAGTCCAGTTTATTTCTTCATTGGTTGTTTGTGCCTTTCATTATATTGAAGAAAGCTTTGCCTAATCTAAGGTTATGAGAATTTAGTTTTTCTTTTAAAAAAAAGTTTTATTACTGTAGCTCTTGTAATAAACTATAATTTTTTGTTTTTTTGTTGTTTTGAGACAGGATCTCACTCTGTTACCCAAGCTGGAGTGCAGTGGTGCAATCTCGGCTCACTGCAACCTCCGCCCCACTGGCTTAAGCAATCCTTCCACCTCAGCTTCCCAAGTAGCTGGGACCACGGGTGCACACCACCATGCCCGGCTTTCTTTTTTTTTTTTTTTTTTTGTATTTTTAGTAGAGATGAGGTCTCGCCATGTTGCCCAGGCTAGACCTGAACTCCCGAGCTGAAGAGATCTGCCCACCTCAGCCTCCCAAAGTGCTAGGTTTATAGGCATGAGCCACCATGCCTAGCCATATAATTTATTTAGAGTTAATTTTTGTATATGCTGTGAGGAAAGCATACAACTTCATTCTTTTGTATTGGATATTCAGTGGTCCTAGCATTTAATGTTTGTTTTTATTATTATTATTATTATTTTTTGAGACAGAGTCTTGCTCTGTCACCCAGGCTGAGGTACAGCAGCACAATCACAGCTTACTGCAGCCTTGACCTCCCAGGCTCAAGCAACGCTCCCACCTCAGCCTCCCAAGTTGCTGGAACTACATATGTGCCCCACCACCCTGGTTAATAATATTTTTTTTAGAGATGAGATCTCACTATGTTGCCTAGGCTGGTCTGGAACTCCTGGGTTCAAGCGATCCTCCTACATCACCCTCCCAAAGTACTGGAATTACAAGCATGAGCCACCACGCCTGGCCCAACATTTGTCGTTAAGACTATTTTCCCTCCACAGAACTGTCTTGCCACCTTTGCTGAAAATCAGTTCACCATATATATAAGAGTGTATTTCTGGACTCTCAGTTCTATTCTGTTGATCTCTGTGTCTGTGTTTTGTTTGTTTGTTTGTTTGTTTTTTAAGAGGTGGAGTCTCGCTCTGTTGCCCAGGCTGGAGTGTAGTGGCGTGATCTCGGCTCACTGCAACCTCCGCCTCCCGGGTTCTAGCAATTCTCCTGCCTCAGCCTTCCGAGTAGCTGTGACTATAGTTGCATGCCGCCACACTCGGCTAATTTTTTGTATTTTTAGTAGAGACGGGGTTTCACCATGTTGCTTATGCTGGTCTCAAACTCCTGAGTTCAGGCAATCCACCCACCTTGGCCTCCCAAAGTGCTGGGATTACAGGCATGAGCCACTGTGCCCGGCCTGTGTCGGTCTTTATGCCAGTACCACATTGTATTGATTACTGTAGCTTTGTGATAATATATTTTGAGATAGAGATGTGTCAGTCCTGCAAGTTTTTTTTTTTTCAAGATTGTTTTTGCTATTCTGGGTTCCTTGAATTTTCATATGAATTTTAGGACCAGCTTGTCAGTTTCTCCAAAAAAAAAAAAAAAAAAAGCCAGCTGGAATTAAGAATCTATAGATCAATGTCAGAAGTGTTGTCATCTTAACAATATCAAGTCTTCCAATCCATGAACATGGGATGTCTTTCCATTTGTTTAGGGCTTCTTTAATTTCTTTCAACAATGTCATGATCTTCTTGGGGAACCTGAAGCCCAGTAGGTGCTCCAGTCCTGTGGGCTGACCAGCTTGACCAGCTAAGCCTCTTATCCTGGAGGAAGTCCCAGGACTGGCTTCTTCTTGGCTACCTTGTCCTCCAAATGGAGAGTATGAGGAGATCTTCATAACCTTCACTTCTCTGAGATTCTGTGGAATTATTTCTCTGCAGCTTCATGAGCTAGAGCAAATATCATGGTTTTTAAGAGCAGAAGTAACTTTTTAAGTTAAAAAGTCATGGAAGCAAATTTATTATTGCACTACTTAGGAGGTGTGCATGGGACTAATTGTAGAAAAGAAATATTTGTCATTTTTGAAAATGAGGTATTAAACACTATGATTAACTGAAATTTGATATTCAGAAAAGTATCACTTGTGTTTTTCCAGAACGCATAAAAATGATTCATAAAACACAGTTCCTACCAGGCAACCTTTGTCAGGGCCATTTTGCTCAAAATTTGGTGTTTTTTTGTTGTTGTTGTTGTTGTTTGTGTGTGTGTATACATGTGTATACAGTCATTTTTCAATCTGTTCTTCTAACCTTTACTTTTTTTTTTTTTTTTTTTGAGACGGAGTCTCGCTCTGTCACACAGCTTGGAATACAGTGGCCCGATCTTGGCTCACTGCAAGCTCTGCCTCCCAGGTTCACGCCATTCTCCTGCCTCAGCCTCCCGAGTAGCTGGGACTACAGGCGCCTGCCACCATGCCCGGCTAATTTTTTGTATTTTTAGTAGAGATGGCATTTCACCGTGTTAGCCAGGATGGTCTCAATCTCCTGACCCTGTGATCCACCCGCCTCAGCCTCCCAAAGTGCTGGGATTAGAGGCGTGAGCCACTGCGCCCGGCCAACCTTTACTTTTAAAGAAAAAGCACTAGGAAAGACTATATTAAAAAAAAAAAACAACCTGAAAAAGAGCAAAGTTGCTTATGCTGGGTTTTCTGTGATAAAATAGTTAATGTTTTGGGTCATATTAATGCAGCTAGCTACTTACCTTTAAAAAAAACTTTTTATTTTGGAATTATTTTAGCTTTATAGAAAAGTCCGAGAGGCAGTACAGAGTCCCTATAGATCTTCCCCACCCCCAGCTTCCCCTCATGTTAACATCTCATATAATAAATTATTGTTGGTACAAGACTACAGAACTGGGCACAGTGGCTCACACCTGTAATCAAGAACTTTGGGAGGCCAAGGCAAGCAAATCTCTTGAGGTCTGGAGTTCGAGACCAGTCTGGACGACATGGTGAAACCGTGTCTCTATTAAAAATACGATAATTAGCCAGGCGTAGTGGTGCGTGTCTGTAGTCTCAGCTACTTGGGAAGCTGAGGTGGGAGGATCACTTTGAGCCCATGAGTGTGAGGTTACAGTGAGCCATGGTTGTATCACTGCACTCCAAGCAATATACCAAGACCCTGTCTCTCAAAAAAAGAAAAAAGAAAACTAACCTATAGACTTTATTTGGATTTCATCAGTGTTTTCACTAATGCACTTTTTGTGTTCGGAGGTGTAATCTGGGATCTGATCCCACATTCATTTTTGTGTGCGTGTGTGTGTTTTTTTGTTTTTGTTTTTTTTTTTTTGTTTTTGTTGTTTTTTGGTTTTTTTGAGTTGGAGTCTCGCTCTGTTGCCCAGGCTGGAGTGCAGTGGTGAGATCTTGGCTCACTGCAACCTCTGCCTCCCAGGTTAAAGCAGTTCTTCTGTGTCTGCCTCCTGAGTAGCTGGGATTACTAGGTGCACAGCACCATGCCTGACTAATTTTTTTTTTTTTTTGAGACAACGTTCTGCTCTTGTTGCCCAGGCTGGAGTGCAGTGGCGCGATCTTGGCTCACCGCAATCTCCACCTTCTGATTTCAAGCGATTCTCCTGCCTCAGCCTCCCGAGTAGCTGGGATTACAGGCGCCTGCCACCACGCCCGGCCAATTTTTTTTTTTTTTTGTATTTTTAGTAGAGACGAGGTTTCACCGTGTTGGCCAGGTTGTCTCGAACTCCTGACCTTGTGATCCACCCGCCTCAGCCTCCCAAAGTGCTGGGATTACAGGCATGAGCCACTGCGCCCAGCCACGCCTGACTAATTTTTATATTTTTACTGGAGACGGAGTTTAGCCATGTTAGCCAGGCTGATCTTGACCTCTTGACCTAAAGTAATCCACCCACCTCAACCCCCCAGAGTTCTGGAATTACAAACGTCAGCCACCTCGCCCAGCCCAGATTGTCATCTTTGGAAATGCACTAAGCCCAGCCAACAATCAAGGGAGGGGACTTAAGCTCCATTTCCTGGAGGGGGAAGTGTCCGCACATACTGTTTAGAATTCCTCTTAAGGAAGATTTGTCCCTTCTCCAACATTTATGTATTCAGTTATTTGTATCAGCTTGGACTCATGGATATTTATTTTGTTATCTGGGTTATAATCCCGACCACTGGCTTCCAAGGCAGGACCTCAGCTCTGAGGATCAGTTTTCTTTGTAACTGGCATTTCTGACTTCAAGCATCTGCTGCCCAAGGCCATTGGCTCTGGACCAGGCCTCCATCTCCCCAGGGACAGAGTGGAGTGATGGGGACACTGGGAAGGGAGGTTGTTGGGTAGCAGTAATAGAGGTCATGGTTGACATAATAGGACTTTTTTTCCTGACTCAGGTCCCAGGTCAAGGACCAAGGATGTGGCTCTGGGCAGATCACTTCTGTGCCAGGCGCAGGCAGGAGGACCAGAGTGGCAGGGTTCTCTCTCTCTCTATTTTATTTTTATTTTATTTATTTTTTTTTGAGATGGAGTCTCGCCCTATCGCCCAGGCTGGAGTGCGGTGGCGCGATATCGGCTCACTGCAAGCTCCGCCTCCCGGGTTCACGCCATTCTCTTGCCTCAGCCTCCGGAGTAGCCGGGACTACAGGCGCCCGCCACCACGCCCGTCTAATTTTTTTGTATTTTTAGTAGAGATGGGGTTTCACCGTGTTAGCCAGGATGGTCTTGATCTCCTGACCTCGTGATCCACCCGCCTTGCCTCCCAAAGTGCTGGGATTATAGGCGTGAGCCACCGCGCCTGGCCTCTCTCTTTTATTTTATTTAATTTGTTTATTTTTTATAGTGATGAGGTCTCGCTATGTTGCCCAGGCTGGTCTCGAACTCCTGGGCTTAAGTGATCCTCCCGCCTTGCTCATGCTTCTGACCAGCCAGCTGCAATCTCAGGTTGCTATGACCCCTTCCTTGGGTTAAATCATTTCCTAGAGTGGCCCAAAGAACTCAAGGAAACAATGCCAGGCACGGTGGCTCATGCCTGTAATCCCAGCACTTTGGGAGGCTGAGGCGGGTGGATCACTTGAGGTTGGGAGTTCGAGACCAGCCTTGCCAACATGGTGAAACCCTGTCTCAACTGAAAATACAAAGATTAGCTGGGAGTAGTGGCCGGCGCTTGTAATCCCAGCTACTCGGGAGGCTGAGGCAGGAGAATTGCTTGAACCTGGGAGGTGGAGGTTGCAGTGAGCTGAGATTGCGACATTGCACTCCAGCCTGGGTGGGAAGAGCGAGACTTCATCTCAAAAAAACAAACTATTTACAGGCCAGGTGTGGTAGCTCATGCCTGTAATCCCAGCACTTTGGGAGGCTGAGGCGGGTGGATCACCTGAGGTCAGGAGTTCGAGACCAGCTTGGCCAACATGGTGAAACCCCATCTCCACTAAAAATACAAAAAATTAGCCGGGCATGGTGGTGCACACCAGTAATCCCAGCTACTTGTGAGTCTGAGACAGGAGAATATCTTCAACCCAGGAGGCAGAAGTTGCAGTGAGCCAAGATCACACCACTGCACTCCAGCCTGGGAGACAGAGCGAGACTCCATCTCAAAAAAAAAACACAATTTATCTACATTTACCATTTTATTATAAAGGAGACAGATGAAAATATAAATGCAGTCGGGCACAGTGGCTCATGCCTGTAATCCCAGCACTTTGGGAGGCTGAGGCGGGTGGATCACGAGGTCAACAGATCGAGACCATCCTGGCCAACATGGTGAAACCGCGTATCTACTAAAAATATAAAAATTAGGAGAGCATGGTGGCGTGTGCCTGTAGTCCCAGCTATGTGGGAGGCTGAGGCAGGAGGATCACTTGAACCCAGGAGGTGGAGGTTGCAGTGATCCGAGATCACGCCACTGCACTCCAGCCTGGCGACAGAACCAGATTCTGTCTCAAAAAATAACTAAAATTTATATATATTTTAAATATATATAATATATAATGTATATATGTCATATAATATATATTATATATGTCATATATATACCATATATGTTGTATATGTGTCATATATCGTATATAATATATATTATATATGTCACATATATACATATATTTTATTTATATATATACACACACACACACATATAAATGCAGCAGCACGTATGGGAGGGGCTCACTTTCCATTCCCACCCCACTCCCAACTCCCACACACCCGTCCAAGGACTCCATGTGTTCCTGGAAGCTCTCGGAACCCTCTCCTTTTGGGTTTTTATGGAGGCTTCATTACATAGGCATGATTGATTGAACTATAGGCCATTGGTGATCAACTTAACCTTCAGGCCCTCTCCCTTTCCTGGAGTTTGGAGGAGGGGCTGAAAGTCCCAACCCTCTAACCCTGCCTTGGTCTTTCTGGTGACCAGCCCCATTGAAGCAGCCCAGGGGCTGCCAGCCATCAGTCAGTGCCTAAGCATACAAAAAGACATCATTTTGGAGATTCCAGGAATTTTAGGAATTATGTACTGGGAGAGAGGGTCAAACACCAAATATATATTTCACAATATGAAAGAGCCCAATTTACGTATTTCACGATTCCCTTCTTGTTACAGCTTAACGAGATTTTTTTATTTTCCTGACTTTTCGCTTTGGAGAATTAGTCAATAGTTTAGGTCTGTCTTGTTCGTTTAATATGGGGTTTGAATTTGAGATGGGGCTGACGTCACTTTGGGGCCCTTTTCTTTTCTTCTTTTTTTTTTTTTTTTTTTTTGAAACGGATTCTCGCTCTGTCGCCCAGGCTGGAGTGCAGTGGCACGATCTCGGCTCACTGCAAGCTCCGCCTCCCAGGTTCACGCCATTCTCCTGCCTCAGCCTCCCGAGTAGCTGGGATTACGGGCGCCCGCCACCACGCCGGGCTAATTTTTTGTATTTTTTAGTGGAGACGGGGTTTCAACATGTTAGCCAGGATGGTCTCGATCTCCTGACCTTGTGATCCGCCCGCCTCGGCCTCCCAAAGTGCTGGGATTACAAGCGTGAGCCACCGCGCCCGGCCCCTTTGGGGCCCTTTTGTACAGCTCAGAGTTGGCCTGGCTGCAGGGCTGGGACTATGGAATGGCAAGGAGGTGCCTCAGGTGCCAAATATTAGGTTGGTGAAAATTAATTGCGGTTTTGTCATTGAAAGCAATGGCAAAACCGCAATTACTTTTGCACTAACCTAATATAAGGAGGCGTGCAGTCTGGGGGTCAGAGTGAGTGTGGAGGTCTCGGAGAATGGCTGCTGGCCTGGAGGAGGCTGCTAGGTCTGGGTCCCTGCCAGCCTTGTGGGGACCAACTGCTGTATCTTGCAGGAATTTGCACGCTGGGTATGCAAGAGGCTTCATCTTTTTTGGAGTCTGGGAGCGCTGCAGTGGCAGAACCGACACGGCGGGAGGCGCTAGAGGACCCGGGGTGGACTCGGACGTGGGGTCAGGGAACCTGGCATTTATTCCTGCCCGGACTGCCCACTCATGCTGCGGAGTGTGGGAGGCGTGGGGAGATCGGCCGCCAGAGGGACGTGCGCCGTAGCCAATCAGCGTGTGAAGCAGGGCGCTATGTGGTTGGGGCCTCCCGTAACTCTTTACGGCCCCAGAGTGGCCCCCAGGTCCCCGGCATCCCCACATCGCCCTGTGAGGCAGATGAGCAGAGCCGGAAGGGCCGCACGGGAGGAACAGGGGTTGGCTTGTCCGGAGGCGGACGGATAACGCGACCCCGATCCCTGCGGTACTCTGCAGTCATGTGACTCGCCGCCTGGCGCATTTCTTCAAGTGCCCACCCCCTCGAGAAGGTGCCCCTGGGGTGGGGGCTTCACATCTGCTTTTGTTTAGTGGTCAGAGGACTACAGAGGGAAGCTCTCAGGACAAGGCCCCCAACCCTGTACTCCAGTCCTGCATCCTTAGGCCCCTCTCATGGACAATAGGGTCTTAGAAAAAGCGCCAGGGTGCTGGGCATGGACCCCTCAGGACAGACGCATTGGGAGGGGTCCAAGGAAACCATGAGAACCTCAAGCCCAGGTTGGGGAATCGGCCCGAGGGGAAAGTGGGTGTCTCTGGGCCTTGTCCTGCCTGGGTCCTGGACAGGGGGCTAGGTGGCTGCCCAAGCTGCAGTCTTGTGTCTAGGCTAAAACTGTAAGCTGGGAAAGACCCCATGGTCTGCCCACCACCCAGTTGACCCCCAAAAGACAGAAAGGCCACCCCACACTGGCCTGGAGCCCCAGTCCTGAGGTGCTGCAGCACCAGTGTGGGGTGGCCCGGCACTTGCCCCTACAGGGTTACAACCCATCCTTTCTGCTTCTCCAGGCCAGAAGCCAAGGAGTCCTCAGTGACGGTGGGATCCACAACATCTCCACATCGCTGTCCCCACCCAGCCAGGGCAGCGCCAGCACTAGCTCAGACGCAAGGTTGGTGTGAGAACCAGTGGGTGTGGCCAGGCGCGGTGGCTCACGCTTGTAATCCCAGCACTTTGGGAGGCTGAGGCGGGCAGATCACGAGGTCAGGAGATCGAGACCACGGTGAAACCCCGTCTCTACTAAAAATACAAAAAATTAGCCGGGCGTGGTGGCGGGCGCCTGTAGTCCCAGCTACTCGGAGAGGTTGAGGCAGGAGAATGGCATGAACCCGGGAGGCGGAGCTTGCAGTGAGCCAAGATCGTGCCACTGCACTCCAGCCTGGGCGACAGAGCGAGACTCCGTCTCCAAAACAAACAAACAAAAAGAACCAACGAGCAGAGGAGCATGTGGGCCTTCAGACGGGGATGTGGCTGGATCTGGTTGTCCCACCTGCCAGGGCCAGCTGCAGTGCTATGGTCTGCAAAGTGCTGGCAGGTGCCTGGCCCATGCTCCCTGTGACAACACAAACTGAGCTAATGTCCCCAGAGTGTTTAGCTCTGATGCTTGGTGCCCAGGGACACTGATGTCTGTTAACATGGACAAAGTACACCAGATGCTGTGTGGTCATGGGCTCTGTGTCCACTCCATCTCTGCCACTCTGTGGCCGTGTGGATCACCCTGGCATGTCTCAGTGTCCTCAACTGTGACTGGGTCCATAAGAACAGCCTGCTGTCATAACAGGGGTGGGAGGTGGGACTGGAAACAGTCCTCAGGGTGGAAACCCTTCGTCCGTGCTCAGCATGTGGGAGGCCCATTGGTAGTGGCTGAGTTCTTAGTCCATTAGTCATTCTGATGGCCCCTTGTGGAGGGTGTTTACTGTGCACCTTTTCCAGATGGGGAAAGTGGGGTTGGATGGGGCTGACGTTCCCAAGGCTGCCAGGAGAGGAACTGGCAGAGCAGAAGCCTAGTTCCATCAGGCCCCCTGTCAGTCTTGGCCCCAGCGAGCAGTGAGGCAGCCCCATCTGCCCCACCTCCCTCCCAGATCCACGTCTAGAGCCTCCCAAGGGCTTCCACCACTGACGGGATTTTGCTTCCTTCCTTAGGACGGAACCGCTGGACTCCAGGTTCCTTGCCTGGGAGTAGGAGAAATCCACCTGCTGGGGGCTGAGTGTGGCCTGAGGGACAGGCCCTGGGTCCCGGGATGCCCCTGCCCGAGCCCAGCGAGCAGGAGGGTGAGAGTGTGAAGGCCAGCCAGGAGCCATCCCCCAAGCCAGGCACAGAAGTCATCCCGGCAGCCCCCAGGAAGCCCAGAAAGTTCTCCAAACTGGTCCTGCTCACAGCCTCCAAAGACAGCACCAAGGTGGCGGGGGCCAAGCGCAAGGGTGTGCACTGTGTCATGTCCCTGGGGGTGCCCGGCCCCGCCACCCTTGCCAAGGCCCTCCTCCAGACCCACCCCGAGGCCCAGCGGGCCATTGAGGCAGCCCCTCAGGAGCCTGAGCAGAAACGGAGCAGGCAGGACCCAGGTGAGGCTCCACAGCGGCCCCCCAGGACAGCTCGGCACCTCCCAGGGTGGCCCCCACAGCCGCGCTGGCTCCATCAGGCGCTTCTCCCTGGCATGCGGGTCCTTGTTCCCTGACTTTGACCACGTGTGGAGAGCAGTGGCACAGGGGTTAGGGCACAGGCCTGGGCATCCGCCGACCTCCAACCCTGCCTCTGAGCGGCCTTGCCTCTCTGTGTCTGTTCCCCACTCTGGAATGCGCTGCCTACTGGCTCCTTCACAAGGGAGGGTCTGAGGGTGCGGCGGGGCCCACAGGCAGCTGCCGTCAGCTTCAAGGTCTTGGCTCGCAGCTGTTCGATGAGGGTCTCTAAGACCGGGGGCTTGATGGGTCACCTTTCCATATGTTCTAGAAAGCTTCTTTGGTCTCACTCACCGTTCAGTCACTTAGTAACATCCACTGAACAGCAGCTGTGTGCAGGCTGGGCTCTGGAGACTCGAGTCACGCAGGATGAGACTCCCAGCAGACTAAGGCAGTGACCTCAGCCTGGCTCTCCGGGACTGCCCCTGCTCTCCCTACCTCCTCTGCACAATCACCCCCCACCAAGCCTCCGGGGAGATACAGCTCAGGGCTCACAGGTCCCATGGGAGAGTGGGGCTGGGGGTGTGGCCCTAGCTGCTGCGGGCTGGCTGGAGGTGATGGGGCAGGTTCATTCCCTGTGCTTTGCTGTGGGAGTGATGGGATGGATGGAGGCACTGAGCATCTTCAGTCCCTGCTCCCACTCCCCAGGGCCCTTGGCTCTGCCCCTGCTGTGTACTAGACCTTTCAGCTAGACTTGGGGAACATAGTCAGGTGGGCCATGGTAGCAGAGATGGGATGAGAGCAGGGCTGCCCCTTTCCCTGCACCCAGCTCTCCCTGAGGTGGCCCAGGCCATGCCCTGCTGTCCCCTGCAGGAGGACAGGTCCCCTCCTGGCCCCACAGCAGGTCCTGCCTCTGGGCTCTACCAGGGCAGGCAGCGGTGGGGGCAGGGCCCTAGGCAGCAGAGGAAATGGGCTGGGTACACCTTTTGAACTGGAAGTTCCAGGGAGATGGGGCAGGGGGCTGCCCAGTGGGTGGGAAGAAGGTGAGTTGGGGTTTCTTCCCAACTGGGAGTGGGCTCTGCCGTGCCCTGAGAAGAAGAGGCGTAGCAGGTGGCCTTGGCTTGTGACCTCTGAACAGGTGGTCCCCTGGGGTCAGCCAGAACAGGTGGTCCCCTGGGGTCAGCCAGGGCACTCAGCCTGGCAGCCCATTGTGAGAAAAGGTTCCTTCAGTTTGCTGGCCGTGCAGGGACCCTGCCTCACTGATGGAAATTGAGGGGTGAGTGGCCTGAGGTCACAGAGGGTCACAGCCCCACAGCCTCCCTGGGGCTGAGACCCCAGAATGCCTGAGATGGTGGTGTCCGCAGCCACAGGCTTGGAGCTTTCAAGGAACCTAATGGACCCCTCGGCCTCCATCCCTCTGCTGGAGTCTCAGGCCTGGTGTGAGCAGTGCTCTGGGACTCAGAGGGACCCCGTCCTCCCAGAGCCGGTGGGAGTGCCTGGCTCTTACTGCGAAGCCCCCACCATCCAGTCCTGCTCTGAGAGCCTCTGCCTGTCCCCCTGGCTTCTCCTGCCAACCTTGGGCAGAGGATGCAGTCCCCATGGCCTGTGGGAGGCAGGGCTCAGAGGAGCGAAGTCGCCACTCTGAGGCCACCAGGAGGTCCCTGCAGAGGGCAGAGGGGGTTGGAGTCTGGCTCAGGATCTGTTACACCTGAGCTCTGTGGAATGAGACCATCTCAAGGTCCTCCCAGCCCCTTTGAGACTCCTGCTCACTGCTGGGATCCATCTAGGCCTGGGGCCGTGGTGCCTTTGTGAGAATTGGAGCACAGCCATCTTCGCCAGATGAAAGGCAGAGCAGGGCTCCATCAGGCGCCAGGGGTCCCGCAGGCAATCACCCTCAGGCATCGACCACCCCCATCTGCCAACTCCTCCATCCTTCCATCCCCACCCCAGGTCCAGCAGAGGCGATGGCTGCGGCTTCCCAGTGCTCAGCACAAACTTGGCCTCAAGTTTCCTGGAAATGACTTTAGCAGCTTTTGTGGCCCTGGCCTGGTGGCCTTGGGAGCAGCGTCCCTGAGTGGCAGTCACTTCTCAGTCAGGCAGAGGCTTCTGGCCCTGGAGCATCCACTGGTTGGGGTGAGAGTGAGGCCTGGTAGACCCCCAACAGCCAAGCTGAGCCCTCCCATCTCCATTGACACCAGCCTGATCCACCCTCTTCTCTCGCAGGCACAGACAGAACAGAAGACAGTGGATTAGCAGCGGGGCCTCCTGAGGCTGCTGGGGAGAACTTTGCCCCCTGCTCTGTGGCGCCCGGCAAGTCCCTGTAACCTTGACAACAGGCGCATCCTCCCAGGCCACCAACCCAGCCATAGGCTCTTCTCTGTCCGCAGGGCTTCTGGGGCCAAATGGGTGAATCTTTGCTTTTAACATTGTGTGATTTCTTTTCTTTTTTTTTTTTTTTTTAGATCAAGTATAAGTTACTTTTGTAAGCAGAAAAATACTTTCAAACAAGAATAAAAGAAGCTGTTCGCTAGACCCCATAATGGGCAGGTTTTAAACATCCCAGGCTTCTGGGTCCTTTGAGGCTCAGCTCTGATGCCACCACCCCTGGGTCTCCGCACCCCAGCCCTTACTGGGCCCTTCCAAAGTGCCCCTTAGTCACTGCCCTCCCTGACCCAAGTCTCGCTTCCTCCATGAAGCCTCCCAGACTGACAGCTCCCAGGCACTAAGGGAGCTCAGGCTTGCTGAGAATGGTAGCTCCAGGATTCTGCTGAGGGAGAGGTAGGCCTGCAGCTCATGGGTGGGTTCAGGGAGGAACCTGACAAAAGCACATGCGGCCTGCCTGTCATGTTTTTTCCAGGGGATTTGTGGGCTGAGGAAACCTGAGTTCCTGCCCTGGCCCCCTGGGTGCCATCCCTGCTGGAGGGGAGATGAAGGAAGCACAGCTACCCTACTTGAGCTCCCAAGTCAGCGAGCCTCCAGGAGGCTTCCCATGAGTCCTCATTCTTTGACAACTGCCTCTGGGCTCAAGGCAATGTTAGGGTTTTGTTTGTTTGTTTTGAGGCGGAGTTTCACTCGTCGCACAGGCTGGAGTGCAGTGGCACGATCTGGACTCACTGCAACCACCACCTCCCGGGTTCAAGCGATTCTCTTGACTCAGCCTCCTGAGTAGCTGGGATTACAGGCGCCCGCCACCACGCCCGGCTAATTTTTATATATTTAGTAGAGATGGGGTTTCACCACGTTGGCCAGGCTGGTCTTGAACTCCTGACCTCAGGTAATCTGCCTGCCTCAGCCTCCCAAAGTGCTGGGATTACAGGCATGAGCCACCATGCCTGGCCCTGATTTTATATTCAGATGGTTTCTGTGTTCTCCACCATGCTTTCTCCTTTCCCAAGTGTTTTTTTGTTCGTTTGTTTTGTTTTGTTTTTTGAGATGGGGTCTCACTCTGTAGCCCAGGCTGGAGTGCAGTGGTGTGATCTCAGCTCACTGCAACTGCCGCCTCCCAGGTTCAAGCGATTCTCCTGCTTCAGCCTCCCAAGTAGCTGGGATTACAGGTGCGCACCACCATGCCTGGCTGTTTTTGTATTTTTAGTAGAGATGGGGTTTCACCATGTTGGCCAGGTTGGTCTGGAACTCTGGACCTCAGGTGATCTGCCTGCCTCGGCCTCCCAAAGTGCTGGGATTACAGGTGTGAGCCACTGCTCCAGGCCTGTTCCCAAGTACCCTTGGCTGTCTGTTCTTGTCAGATGTTAAGGACACCTGAGGATGTCAGGGCAGGACGTTTCGGGTGCAACCTCAAGAAGTGGGAGTGAGGAAGAGGAGGCCGGGGTGGGTCAGAGGGCAGGGTCACTGTGGGGCGCGTCTGCCCTGTACTCAGTGTGGCACCATCGGGCCCCTCCTGCTGTTGCCTGGGAAGCCTTACCCAGCAGTGAGGGGTGGCTGTGGAGCAGCAGGGCCGGGAGCGGGGGAGCATTTTTGCTGCCACCTTTTAGTGGAGTTGGGGGAATGACAAAGGTGCCCTGGGCCTGAGTCTTTCAGTGGCGCTGGCAGTCGGCCGGGAGGGAGACGCATACTGGGGAGCTGGAGCCTGCACACTGGGCCTGGCCACATCACTGTTTTCCTCACCCTCTGGTTTTATTTTGAAACATTTGGAGCATAAAAGTTGCAGGAGCACGCAGTGCATACTGTATCGCCCTGGCCTGGGTTCCCCGGCTCTCCTTCCCTCTCTCTCTCCTCTTTTTTCTCTCTCCCTCCCTCTGTCTCTCCTCCACACACTTCTCTTTTGCCAAACCATCCAAATGCAGGCAGCAGACTCCAAAACCATTCTGCCTGCACCTCTGAGCACACCCTTCCCAGTCATAGCCATGTTAATGCGAGTGTGCCTGAGAGGATCGCCGCTGGTTCCGTGATATCACCCAGCATCATCCACACCACATCCCAGTGAGCAGTGAGGACAAAAATGGCCAGGTTAGGACCCCATGTTGCCTTTTTTTGCCACCCATATCCCGGAGCCCCTCTCCTGTTCTTTATTTTTTATTTTTACTTTTATTTTTATTTTTTTTTCGAGACAGGGACAGGGTCCTGCTCTGTTGCCCAGGCTGTAGTGCAGCAGACCTTCCAGGCTCAAGCAATCATCCTCCCACCTCAGCCTCCTGAGCAGCTGAGACTACAGGCAGGCTACTTTTTTGAGTTTTTGAGGAGATGGGGTCTCGCTGTGTTGCCCAGGCTGGTCTCAAACTCTTGGGCTCAAGCGATCTTCCCATCTCGGCCTCCCAAAGTGCTGGGATTACAGGTACAAGCCACCGTGCCCAGCCTAGTGTTAGCAATTTGATATTAAAATTGAAATAATAGGCCAGGTGCAGTGGCTCATGCCTGTAATCCCTGCCTTCGGGAGGCTGAGGCGGGCGGACCAGCTGAGGTCAGGATTTCAAGACCAGCCTGGCCAACATGGCGAAACCCCGTCTTTACTAAAAAAAAATACAAAAATTAGCCAGGTGTGGTGGTGGGTGCCTCTAGTCCCAGCTACTCGGGAGACTGAGGCAGGAGAATGGCTTCAACCCGGGAGGTGGAGGTTGCAGTGAGCTGAGATCACACCACTGCACTCCAGCCTGAGTGACAGAGTGAGTCTCCATCTCAAAAAACAAATAACTGTTTAAAAAATTGCAATTATGGCCGGTCATGGTCACGCCTGTAATCCCAGTACTTTGGGAGGCTGAGGCAGGTGAATCACCTGAGGTCAGGAGTTGGAGACAAGCCTAGCCAACATGGTGAAACCCTGTCTCTACTAAAAAATACAAAAAATTGGCCAGGCGTGGCAGTGGGCATCTGTAATCTCATCTACTCGGGAGGCTGAGGCAGGAGAATCACTTGAACCCAGGAGGTGGAGGTTGCAGTAAGCCGAGATCATGCCATTGCACTCCAGCCTGGGCGACAGAGCGAGACCCCATCTCAAAAAAAAAAAAATGCAATTATGGATATCCATTCACATTTTAAATCCAAACACAAATTTTAAAACATTAATTTTTTAAATTAAATTGAAAATTTTAAAAATTCTGCCACTTTCTTGCTCCTTCACTTCTTGGGGACTTTGATGTACAGGCCCAAGCAGGGTTCCCGGGATCTAGTGGTAAACAGGTCACAACCCATCCCCCGCAGAGCCACAGAGGAAACATAGAAATCCCTGACTGATGAGTCTATGAACCTGAGGCTAAGGGCCACCGAGGAGTCTGGGTGCCGCGGGGTGTATGACAGAGGCCAACCCAGTGGGGGCCAGCCTGGGCAACATAGTGAGACACTGACTCTACAAAAAAATACAAAAATTAGCTAGGTGTGGTGGTGCGTGCCTGTAGTCCCAGCTACTGGGGAAGCTGAGCCAGGAGGATCACCTGAGCTCACCTATAGTCCAGCTACTCAAGAGGCTGAGGCTGGAGGATTGCCTGAGCCCAGGAAGTCAAGGCTGCAGTCAGCCATGATGGCACCACTGAGCTCCAGAGTGGGTGACATGATGAGACCCTGTCTAAAAAAATGTATATAAAGTGGATTTTTGTAGGAGGGGGTTGCAATAGCAGCTTACTTAGTTCACTCCATGCATCGACCTGGTATTGCAGTAGCTCCAAGAACGGTGCCCCCCGCCCATGTGTGTGGTTGCTGAGTGTAGATGTCATTAATTTTAATTTTGAAAAGGGGACAAAAATTACAAATTACCTCCAGTAATTCCACTACTTAGAGGTAAATTTTAAAAAATATATGTGTGTGTGTGTGTATATAATATATATACTCTGGCTATATATATATTTATATTTATACATATTTATATATATTTATATATATTTATTTATATATTTATATATATTTATTTATATATTTATATATATTTATATTTATATATTTGTATATATAAACTCTGGCTATATATATATATTTAGCCAGAGTTTCACTCTTGTTGCCCAGGCTGGAGTCCAGTGGTGCGATCTTGGCTCACTACAAACTCTGCCTCCTGGGTCCAAGTGATTCTCCTGCCTCAGTCTCTCCAGTAGCTGGGATTACATGCATGCACCACCACACCTGGCTAATTTTTTATTTTTAATAGAGACAGGGTTTCTCCATGTTGGTCAGGCTGGTCTCGAATTCCCGACCTCAGGTGATCCACCCGCCTCAGACTCCCAAAGTGCTACGATTACAGGCGTGAGCCACCGCGCCCGGCCAAAAAATATATATTTTTAAAATTTTTTTATTTTCAGAAAATCAAGGTGATGCCACACATTTGTTGTTGAGACAGAGTCTCGCTCTGCCGTCCAGGCTGGAGTGCAGTGGGGAGATCTCGGCTCACTGCAACCTCCGCCTCCCGGGTTCAAGTGATTCTCCTGACTCAGCCTCCCGAGTAGGTGGGAATACAGGCGCGCGCTAGCGTGCCTGGCTAATTTTTGTATTTTTAAGTAGAGACGGGGTTTCGCCATGTTGGCCAGGCTGGTCTTGAACTCCTCACCTCAAGTCATCCTCCCGCCTCGGCCTCCTAAAGTACTGGGATTACAGGCATGAGCCACCGTGCCTGGCCCACATATGTTTTTTCATAATGTGTTACAAATGTCTTCCTTCTTATGAATGCTGCACAACATTCTTTTTGCTGCTTGATGCCCACTGCAGGGATGCGTGAAATCCACTAGCTCCAGTGGCCAGACACATCCCGGTTGCCTCCAGGTTGTAAGCAATCCTGAAATAGCCTCGTATGTTCCTAGGACAGAGTTCTAGAAGTGAGATTGCCGAACTGGAAGAATGCAAGTTACATTCAACCCACGTCCTGCGAATGCCGATCTCTCCGGCATTTGTCAACACCTGGTTTTATCATCAAGAAGAAAACAGTAATAACGCGTCCTCCGCTTGGCCCTAGCGTGCACAGCCTCTGCGCTTTTCACCTCGAGGTCTCATTTTCCTTGGACAGCACCGAGCGCTGGGCAGGGCCTCATCCGGGTTCAGGGCCGGAATCTGGAGACGTTCTGGCCGATGCTCCTGACGGCCGGGAGAGGGCGCGCGCGGACTCAGCGGCGGCCCAGCAGCCTCCCCAGGACCCAGGCAGTGCTGGCAGCCAGGAGTGCGGTTCCGCCCCGCAGCCTCAGTCCCGCTCCGCCCACCCGCCTGACCCCCACCCGGGCTCCTTACGGCCCAGACACCGGCTCTAAGGTGGCTTCTGCAGGGATGGGAGGTGGGCGACTGGGAGGGGTGGAGGGGGCCTGTGTGTTGACCCTGCGGGTGGCAGCCGTTGGGAAATTGCAATGGCGTCCACACTGTCGCTGCCCAGGGCGCGAGCCGCAGCCTCTCCTCCCGTCTCGCTTCCTCCGACAGGCGCCCGACTCGGACACACGGCGCCCCTGTGGTTACCACATCCACTGCTTTTTGGTCTCCTCACCCAACCCCTTAACATAAACTCGACACCAGGGAAGGCATCTTGGACGATTTTGGTCCCTGAGGGTCCTAGTGCGAAGGGCAGGGAGAGAGGGAGCGGTGTGGTGCAGGGGGATACAGAACGCGGAGGACATCTAGGGGCTGAGGATGCGGGGACGAGGAGCGCGCGGAAGAGCCGAGGTTCCGGGGTTGGGGGGTGCGGATTTCAGAGGAACCGCCGGGGATGTGGACGGACTCGGAAGGAAGGGGTCCCAGAGAGGACGCGGGCGGCTGCAGGACACAAGAGGTGCGGGACGCAGGAGGCCGTGGGGTCGTGCGGGAGCCCAGGGCACCTCGACATGGACCCGCCAGACCTGTGGCTCCTCCAGCGGCCGCTTTAGAGCGAGAGGAGGTGCGCAGGCCGTGAGGCGGGTCTCCCTGGGGTCTCCCAGGGAGGAGCGGCGCCCTCCCCGAGCCAGCCGAGGACGCGCAGCCAGAGGGGGGTCGGGCGGAGAGAAGAGTGCGGGCGGACCGGGACGACCCCTGGGTGATAGGAGAGCCGCAGTGAGCCCAGGGCACGGTGCTGGGGCCGCTCTGGCCGCCGCCGCCAAGCGTCACAGGAAAACAGCAACCAGGACCCCGCGGCTCCTGGCGCTTGGACTCAGCCCGGTACCGCACCGCGTTGCTGGAGAATGTGTCCTTGGCGCGCGCTGAGCCAGGAAGGGACAGCGGGAAGGGCGGGGCCCGTGGGCAGGGGAGGGACCAGTGGGCGGGGACCGAATCAATTCGCTAGCGGTGAGCCAGTGGTCGAGGGCTAAACCAATGGGCAAGGCGTGGACCAATGGGCGAGTGCTGGACATCAATGAATGGGGCCTGAACTAATGGGCGGGGTGGGGCCAAGGGGCGGAGCTGAGCCAATAGAAGGGAGCGGAACCAATGGGTGGGGCTGAACCAATGGGCGGGGCGGGGCCAATGGGCTAGGGCTGGGCCGGGGCGGGGCCAATGGGCTAGGGCTGGGCCGGGGCTGGGCCAATGGGCGGGGCTGGACCAATGGGCGGGCCGGGCCAAGGGCGGGCACTAAGCCGACGGAAGGGGTGGAACAAAAGGGCGGGGATGGACCAATGGGCGAGGGATGGGCTGGGCCAATGGGCGTGGCTAGACCAATGGGCGAGCGAAGGGCCAATGGGCAGGGCGGGGCCAAAGGACGGGGTCTGAGCCAATGGAAGGGGGCGGTACCAATGGGCGGGGCTGAACCAATGGATGGGTTGGACCAATGGCAAGGGCTGGACTAATGGACGAGGGATGGGCCGGGGCTGGACCAATGGGCGAGGGCTGGACCAATGGCCACGGGCTGGGCGGTGGCTGGGCCAATGGGAAAAGGAGGATTTCACCTCGTGGAATGCTCAGGGGATGAAGGGAGTATTCCTTTATCTAGCTTCTACTTTGACATAATTTCTCACCTACAGAAAAGTTGCAAGAATCCCAAAAGGAGGTTGACTGGGGTGGCTCACGTCTGTTTCCCAATGCTTTGGGAGGCCAAGGAGAGAGAATCGCTTGAGCTCAGGAGTTTGAGACCAGCCTGGGGAACATAGGGAGACCACGTCTCTAGTAAAAATTAAAATTAAGACCGGGAGGGGTGGCTTACGTCTGTAATCTCAGCACTTTCGGAGGCCAAGGTGGGTGGATCACCTGAGGTCGGAAGTTAGAGAGCAGCCTGACCAACATGGAGAAACTCAGACTCTACTAAAAATCCAAAACTAGCCGGGCGTGGTGGCGCATGCCTGTAATCCCAGCTACTCAGGAGGCTGAGGCAGGAGAATCACTTGAATCCGGGAGGCAGAGTGCAGGGACCAGCCCCACAGGGTCTGTGGGTCTCTCCCCGTGTGCGGCGATGAGAGAGTGTAGAAATAAAGACACAAGACAAAGAGATAAAAGAAAAGACAGCTGGGCCCGGGGGACGACTACCACCAATGTGCGGAGACCGGTAGCGGCCCCGAATGTCTGGCTGCACTGTTATTTACTGGATGCAAGCAAAAGGGGCAGGGTAAAGAGTGTGAGTCATCTCCAATGATAGGTAACGTCACGTGGGTCATGTGTCCACTGGACAGGGGGCCCTTCCCTGCCTGGCAGCCGAGGCAGAGAGAGAGAGGAGACAAAGAGAAAGACAGCTTACACCATTATTTCTGCATATCAGAGACTTTCAGTACTTTCACTAATTTTCTACTGCTATCTAGAAGGCAGAGCCAGGTGTACAGGATGGAACATGAAGGCAGACTAGGAGCATGACCACTGAAGCACAGCATCACAGGGAGACGGTTAGGTCTCCGGATAACTGTGGGCAAGCCTGACTGATGTCAGGCCCTCCACAAGAGGTGGAGGAGCAGAGTCTTCTCTAAACTCCCCCGGGGAAAGGGAGACCCCCCCCCCCTTTCCTGGTCTGCTAAGTAGCGGGTGTTGTTCCTTGACACTTTTCGCTACAGCTAGACCATGGTCCCCCTGGCAACGGGTGTCTTCCCAGACGCTGGCGTCACCGCTAGACCAAGGAGCCCTCTGGTGGCCCTGTCCGGGCATAACAGAAGGCTCGCACTCTTGTCTTCTGGTCACACCTCACTGTGTCCCCTCAGCTCCTATTATGGTATGAGGCCACCACTTCTCCTGTTGTCCTTCCCAGTTTCTCCCCAACCTCCCCTTTTCCCTAGTTTATAAGACAGGAGAAAAGAGAGAAAGCAAAAAGTTGGAAAGAAACAGAAGTAAGATAAATAGCTAGACGACCTTGGCGCCACCACCCGGCCCTGGTGGCTAAAATAATAATATTATTATTAACCCCTGACCAAAACTACTGGTGTTATCTGTAAATTCCAGACATTGTATGAGAAAGCACTATAAAACTTTTTGTTCTGTTAACTGATGTTTGTAGCCCCCAGTCACGTTCCTCATGCTTACTTGATCTATTACGACTTTTTCACGTAGACCCCTTAGAGTTGTAAGCCCTTAAAAGGGCTAGGAATTTCTTTTTCAGGGAGCTCGGCTCTTAAGACACGAGTCTGCTGACGCTCCCGGCCGAATAAAAAAACCTCTTCCTTCTTTAATCCGGTGTCTGAGGAGTTTTGTCTGCGACTCGTCCTGCTACACTATCTCTGTATGGCCTGGTTTTTCCTAGGTTATGATTATAGAGCGGGGATTATTATAATATTGGGATAAAGAGTAATTACTACAAACTAATGATTAATGATATTCATATATAATCATGTCTAAGATCTATATCTGGTATAACTATTCTTGTTTTATATTTTATTATACTGGAACAGCTTGTGTCCTCAGTCTCTTGCCTCGGCGCCTGGGTGGCTTGCCGCCCACAGCAGAAGTTGCAGTGAGCTGACATCGCGCCATTGCACTCCAGCCTAGGCAAGAAGAGCGAAACTCCGTCTCAAAAAAAAAAAAAAAAATTTAAAAAATTAAAAAATTAGCCGGGGTGGTGGTGCGCACCTGTAATCCCAGCTACTCGGGAGCCTAAGGCGGAAGAATCGCTTGAACCCGGAGGCAGATTTGCAGCGAGCCGAGATCGCACCATTGCACTCCAGCCTGGGCAACAGAGCGAGAGTCCCCCTCAAAATAATTATAATAATAATAATTGCGGCCGGGCGTGGTGGCTCACGCCTGTAATCCCAGAACTTTGGGAGGCCGAGGCAGGCAGATCACAAGGTCAGGAGATTGAGACCAACCTGGCTAACACGGTGAAACCCTGTCTCTACTAAAAATACAAAAAATTAGCCGGACTTGGTGGCGGGCGCCTGTAGGCCCAGCTACTCGGGAGGCTGAGGCAGGAGAATGGCGTGAACCCGGGAGATAGAGATTGCAGTGAGCCGAGATCACACCACTGCACTCCAGCCTGGGCAACAGAGCAAGACTCCGTCTCAAAAAAAAAAAAAAAAAATTGCGGTGGTCTCAACGATGTAAAATTAAAGGTAGTGATTCATTTTCACAAAGATTGACAAGAAAGATGACAACTGGAAACTCAAAAGACCCAGAGTAGGCAAAAGAATATTGAAAAGGAATAACAGGCAGGACGCAGTGGTTCATGCCTGTAATCCTAGCACTTTGGGAGGTCAAGAGGGCAGATCACCTGAGGTCAGGAGTTCGAGACCAGCCTCGCCAACATGGTGAAACCCTGTCTCTACTAAAAATACAAAAATTTAGCCGGACGTGGTGGTGGGTGCCTGTAATCCCAGCTACTTGGGACCCTGGGGCAGGAGAATCACTTGAGCCCGGGAGGTAGAGATGGCAGTGAGCCAAGATCGCACCATTGCACTCTAGCCTGGGCAAGAAGAGCAAGACTCCGTTTCTAAATAAATAAATAAGTAATAGATACATCAATGGAATAGAATCAAGAATCCAGAAACAAACCACATTTATGATCAATTGGTTGTCAACAAGGGTGCCAAAGGTAGGGCGTGGTGGTTAGCACTTTGGGAGGCTGCGGCGGGTGAATAACTTGAGCCTAGGAATGTAAGACCAGCCTGGGCAGGATAGGGAAACCCCGTCTCCACAAAAAAAAAAAAAAAAAAAAAAAAATTAGCCGGGTGCGGTGGTGTGCACCTGTAGTGCCAGGTACTTGGGAGGCTGAGGCAAGAGGATCAATGGAACCCAAGAGTTTGATGGAAGCTGCAGTGAACTGTGATCTCACCACTGCACTCCAACCTGGACGACTGAGGGAGATTCTGTCTCAAAAACTAAACAAAACAAACGAAGAAACAAAAACAGCATCCTGGCCGGGCATGGTGGCTCATGCCTGTAATCCCAGCACTTTGGGAGGCCAAGTCGGGCAGATCACCTGAGGTCAGGAGTTTGAAATCAGCCTGGACAACGTGGTGAAACCCCGTCTCTCCTAAAAATACAAAAATCAGCCGGGCATGGTGGCGCACGCATGTAGTCCTAGCTATTGGGGAAGCTGAGGCGGACAATCTCTTGAACCGGAAAGCAAAGGTTGCAGTGAGCCAAGATAGCGCCATTGCACTCCAGCCTGGGCATCGCAGTCAGACTCCTCTCAAAAAAAGCTGGAGGGGCTGGGCGTGGTGGCTCACGCCCGTAATCTCAGCACTTTGGGAGGCCGAGGCGGGCGGATCACAAGGTCAGGAGATCGAGACCACGGTGAAACCCCGTCTCTACTAAAAATACAAAAAATTAGCTGGGCGCAGTGGCAGGCGCCTGTAGTCCCAGCTACTCGGGAGGCTGAGGCAGGAGAATGGCGTGAACCCGAAAGGCGGAGCTTGCAGTGAGCCGAGATGGCGCCACTGCACTCCAGCCTGGGCGACAGAGCGAGACTCCGTCTCAAAAAAGAAAAAAAAAAAAAAAAAGCCGGGCGTGGTGGCAACTGTCTGTAATAATCCCAATCCCAGCTGCTCAGGAGGCTGAGGCAGGAGAATCACTTGAACCCGGGAGATGGAGGTTGCAGTGAGCTGAGGTCGTGCCACTGCACTCCAGCCTGGGCGACAGAGCAAGACTCCATCTCAAGAAAAAAAAAAAGTAATTAAGTTCTGCTACTATTTTATTTTTGAACAGGGTCTTGCTCTGTCGCCCAGCCTGGAGTGCAGTGGCATGAGCGCAGCTCACTGCAGCCTCCAGCTCCCAAGCTCAAGTGATCCTTCCACCTCAGCCTCCTGAGTAGCTGGGACTACAGCGCATCACCACATCCAGCTAATTTTCTCTTGTTCCTCTTTTCTTTTTTTCTGTAGAGAAAGAGTCTCACTATGTTGCCTAGGCTGATCTCAAACTCCTGGGCTCAAACGATGCTCCTGTCTCAGCCTCCCAAAGTGCTGGGATTACAAGCAAGAGTCACTGTACCCGGCCAACATGGATGAACTTTGAAAGTGCTATGCTAAGGCTAGGCGAAAGAAGTCAGTCACAAGAGACCACATATTTGTTGCATGATTTCATTTATATGAAATATGCAGAATACGCAAATCTATAAAGACAGAAAATAGATCATATTACTTAGGGCTGGGGTGATTAGCAAATTGGAGGGTGGTGGCTAAAGGTTTCTTCTTGGAGTGATGAAAGGTTTTAAAACTGACTATGGTGCTGTTTGCACAACTCTCTGACTATACTACATATCATTTAATTGTACACTTTAAATGGGAGAAATGCATGGTATGTGAATTATATTTCAATAAAGATCTTACCAAAAAATAGTAAGCTGATTGTGTTAACATAGTTTTATGAAAAAGTACAATATTTTCCCAAAGAAATTTAGTGAGACGAGTGACATAGTTATACATTTTTGCAAATATCTTTGTTGCGGGCTTAAAAGAAGACTACTGGCTCTCATACCTGCTTCTACATTCAATGTGTTACATCACACGTCATGCAGACTTTGTAATACTATGTAATATTTCTGCTTTTTTTTTTTTAGACACAGTCTCACTCTGTCGCCCAGGCTGGAGTGCAGTGGCGCCGTCTCGGCTCACTGCAACCTCCGCCTCCCGGGTTCAAGTTATTCTCCTGCCTCAGCCTCCCGAGTAGCTGGGATTACAGGCGCCCAGTACCACGCCCGACTAATGTTCGTATTTTTAGTAGAAACGGGGTTTCACCATGTTGGCCACGCTGTTCTCGAACTCCTGACCTCAGGTGATCCACCCGCCTCGGCCTCCCAAAGTGCTGGGATTACAGGCGTGAGCCACCGCGCCCGGCCCAGGTATTTTTTTGTCGTTGTTGGCTTTCTGATGTAAGAAACAACTGTCCCTTCTCCCCCGTTGACTTATTTCCTTCAGTTTGGACTCATATCGTAGTCAAGGTTATAATCCGTTGCTATCGCTGTTTATTTGAATCTCACACTGGTTCCGCTCTGGGGTAGGGTCACTGGGGGCGTCAATGAGATGCATGAGAATCGCCTTCCCACGGGGTCAGGAAACTGACAGGCCCAAGAGTGCATCTCAGCAAACGCTCCGTTTCCTGCGGGCAGCCTCAGATACTGGGGACCGTCCTGGGGTCTCAATTAAGCGCCCCCTACCCCAGCCCCTTTACGCCAAGAGCGTCCTGTTCAGCTCCCCCATCCTAGCTCCGCCCCTGGACGCCGCCGTCCAATCTCGGGATGGCCCCGCCTTTTCCGTGAGTTACGTCCCCGCCCCCATGCGCTGACAGGCCAGGCCTGCGGCTCGGCGCCGCGCAGGGAAGACCCGGAGCAGCGGTTTACCTAAGGAACGGGCCGCGCGGTCTTGCTGCGCATGCTCTGAAGTAGCGCGCCTGAGCGTTCCGCAAGGCCGGCTCCCCGGCGGGGTCGCGCGCGCGGTCACGGGGCTCGCTCCCGAGGGGCAGGTCGGGGCTGGGAGCTGGTGCCCGGGTCGGGGTGGCGGCGGCGGCCTGGGTCGCGGGGTCGACGCTCGCTGCTGCAGCGGCAGAGGCTGAAGGATCCGCCGCGGCGCTGTCGCGGGAGAGGGAGGGCCCCGCTGCCGTCGGTGAGGACAGGCCCCTGCGGGCGGGGAATGTCCCGCGTCCCCGGCGTGGACGCGCCCGCAGCCCGGCTCTCCCGGGGGTCCCGAGGGTTGCGGGTGCTGGGGAGGGGTCTGCGTCCCGGCGCTCAGGCCGCCTCCTGTGGGGTCTCCCGCGATTCCCTCCTTGCTCCTCGCCCCTCCATCCCCACCCCCCCGTCCCCTGGCCTAAGCCCGACACCCCCACATCAAGGATCCCCGCACTCGTCCGCCGTTTCCTGGCGGTGTCTGCCCCGCCCAGCGCTGCCTTCCTGGACCCGCAGCATCAGCCCCGTCCCACGGTTGCAGCTCGGGCGGTCCCAGTGACCTTGCACTTTTGCGGGTCGGGACGCACCCCGCTCCCGCTTCTGACCCTATAGATCTCCGGTGACGGCTTTCGAACTTTGTTGACCCACAGCCGACACTGAGAAATGCCTTTTACGCGTGTACTCTGTGCCTGTGGGTCTGGATGACTGAAGCACAAGTTTAAAGGGAGACGCTTGTTTAAGCTCACATGACGCAGCTGGATCTGTTCGGATTAAATTCCGTTCCATTCTCTTCCACCCCGTTCCAAAAGGCTGCTGCTAACCCATGGAGCCTGCACATAACGGGTCTGACGTAGTTGAAACCCTCGCTCTAAACCCTGCCTGTTGTTCCTTTATTCCTTGTACTGGAAGCTGAACTCCCATAGTCAGATAATCATGTGCAAACTCCAATTCCAACGAAATGGCTTATTTTTATTTGCATATTTCTGCTTTCCAAGGGCCAATATGATTTCCAGGGCTTGATCTAGATTTTCTCGTGTGATTATATCATGTTTCTCTTGTTCCTTTCCCAAGTGCTACTGGCGGGACGTGTGGAAGGAACAAGGCTGAGGTTGGGGCTAGATTGCGGAGTGTTTATGACGCCCAGCTGATGATGCACTAAGGCTGGAGATGGAGATGATTTAATTGGGGAGAGACATGCTGAAAGTTAAGCTTTAGGAAGAGTGACCTGTCAGCACCCTATGTGGAGAATTGGAGTGGCTGCTTGCCAAAGCTGGCAAGATCGTTCAGAGGCTTTGGCTTGGGCTAAAGAGGTCGTGGTAAGGGATCATGTCCTGAGTTGGTGGGAGTGGGAAGGAGAGGGAAGATGGGTATATCAGGCATAGAGGGAGAGAGATTTGAGGATGCATTAGGCTGTGGGAAGGAGTAAATAAACTTATATTATGATGGAGGGTGACTGGGGAATACCGGGCTGGGGGGGTCTCATTGGCCAAGCTCTCCCTTTCTGTGCGCTCTAATTTCTAAGTTGCTTTGGAGCTGTGGCTCTTGGGCAATTCTGCACCCCAGGGAACGTTCTGCAGTGTTGGTGGTCACAACGTGTGGTAGGGCATGACAGTGGGATCTGGCAGGTAGAGACCGGGGTTGCTGCTGAACACCCCACGCTGAACAGGACAGCCTCCCACAGCAGAATCATCCGGCCCAAAATGCCAACGGTGCTGAGATTGTGAAGTTCATTTTTAGAGTAAATTTTAATTATCTGGGCATCTCTGCCACCTTCAACCTCTTCAGGAGGAATGTCTGTGTGCACCCACTGAGCCTGTGATGTCACCATAGTGGTTCATGTCTGAGGCAAGTGCACCTCCAACGCTCATGGTTCAGTTGCGGGTAGGTGGGAGGTGGGTAGACACTGGAGTCATCCAGGAGCTTTAAAAAAAAATTTTTTTAGTAGAAATGGTGGGGGCGAGGGGCAGGTCTCACTATGTTGCCTAGGCTGGTCTCGAACTCCTGGGCTCAAACAATTCTCTCACCTGAGCCTCCCAAACTGCTGAGATGACAGGTGTGAGCCACCGTGCCACCGGCCCATTCAGAAGCTTTTTAAACAGAGGGCCTTCCCTCCTCCCGCTCCTATCACTCAGGACCCCTACTGCACCTGGATGCTGAACACCTTGTTCTTGTCTAATGGTCGACAGTTCATGGAATAATTTCACCTGCAGTATTTCATTTGCCACTTTACTTTCTTCACAGGTGAAACCAGCCCAGAGAAGTTACGGGATTTGCCCCCGGGGCTCCTGCCCAGCAAGCCAGCGCCGTGACCCAGGTGTGGGGGATGATGGTGACGCTTCTCACTCACGTGTGAAGGTAATTCTGTGGCTCCATCAGCTGCCGACAGAGCCGCCTGGTTTTCGAGCCTTACTGATTAGAGTTTGGACCCCTTGGTGTCTGAGAGACACCTGACAGTTGCTAACATGTGACCCTTAGGTCTACGCTGAGCCCTTGTGGTCACCAGCAGGACCGCAGCGTCCCAGTAGGCCATCTGGCATTGCACTCAAATTGCTCCGCACCCTCAATTCTGGGAGAAGGGGAGAGAGGACAGGAGAGTGATGCACCATGAACTGAGACTTTGGAGCTTTCCATGCAAATCTGCCGGCCTGTGCTCCATTCACTTAAGAAATCTGTACTGAGTGCAGCCAGGCATGGTGGTTCACGTCTGTAATCCCAGCACTTTGGGAGGCTGAGGTGGGCAGATCACCAGAGGTCAGGAGTTTGAGACCAGCCTGGCTAACATGGTGAAACCCTGTCTATACTAAAAATACAAAAAATTTAGCTGGGCGTGGTGGCGCACACCTGTAATCCCAGCTACTCAGGAGCCTGAGGAGCAGAATCGCTTGAACCTGGTTCAAGGATTCAGCGGAGGTTGCAGTGAGACAGGATCGAGCCACTGCACTCCAGCCTGGGCGACAGAGTGAGACTCTGTCTCAAAAAAAAAAAAAAAAAAAGAAATTTGTACTGAATGAAGATTGAACATTACAAAAGAAACACATTAGGGCCCCTGTATCTACTGTAAAACAATGGGTATCTACTGTAAAAAAAAAAAGCACTTAAACTAGAGTAACAAAAGTTTCTAATTTTTATTAAATGAGATATTTATTGAATTTATTAAATAATATAAATGTATTAAAATATACTCATTTTTATTACATGCACTGAAATTTTTTTTTTTTTTCCTGAGACAGTCTCATTTTGTTGCCTAGGCTGGAGTGCATTGGTGTGATCTTGGCTCACTGCAACCTCCATCTCCCCGGTAGGTTCAGTGAGTTCTGCCTCAGCCTCCTGAGCAGCTGGGATTACAGGCATGCACCACGACCGACTAATTTTTTTGTATTTTTAGTAGAGACAGGGTTTTACCGTGTTGGCCAGGCGGCAAACTGGGATTACAGGCCTGTGCTACCAAGCCCAGCTAATTGTTGTATTTTTAGTAGAGACAGGGTTTCACCATGTTGGCCAGGCCGGTCTCAAACTCCTGAGCTCCACCTTACTGGCTAACGGTAAGTAAAATCTTTAACATGTGTTTGCTTTATATGAGTATAAAAGAATTGTATTTCCTTTGTTTTGGTCTAGGGCACTGTTTTTGAAACTGCTTAGTCATTGGTCCTAAAATCATTAGGTTCCAGTCAGCAATTTTTAAAATTACATGGGCTGGTCGCAGTGGTTCACGCCTGTAATCCCAGCACTTTGAGAGGCCAAGGTGGGCGGATCACGGGAGGCAGAGGCACCAGAATGGCTTGAGCCTGGGAATCGGAGGTTGCAGTTAGCTGAGATCTAGCCACTGCTCCCCAGCCTGGGAGACAGAGCAAGACTCTGTGTCGAGAGAAAAAAAAAAAAAAGAGAGAATCCAAAGAAGAATCTACAAGATTCTAGATCAGGAATATTGAAATGAATGTGCAAATGGAGGCAAAACTGGCCTCTTCTACAGTGGCCAAGGAAACATATTTTTGATTATAAGGCTGATTTCATCATATTTGGCCTGATTATGTAGTGCAGCAATAGTACTGATTCACCAGATAAGCCTACCTGAGTTTGCCTGCCTGGAAGTCTCCATAAGGAAACTTAGACTTTTTAAAGTCTGTTGTTTTGGCCAGGTGCCGTGGCTCACACCTGTAATCCCAGCATTTTGGGAGGCAAAGACGGGCTGATCACTTGAGGTCAGAAGTTCGAGACCAGCCTGGCCAACATGATGAAACCTCATCTCTACTAAAAACAAAAGTTAGCTGGGCGTGTTGGTGCGTGCCTGTAATCCTAGCTACTCAGGAAGCTGAGTCAGGATAATTAACCTAGGAGGCAGAAGTTGCAGTGAGCTGAGATCATGCCACTGTACTCCAGCCTGGGCAACAGAGTGGGACTCCATCTCAAAACAAAAATACAGGCCGGGTGTGGTGGCTCACGCCTGTAATCCCAGCACTTTGGGAAGCTGAGGCAGGCGGATCACGAAGTCAGGAGATAGAGACCATCCTGGCTAACATGGTGAAACCCCGTCTCTACTAACAAAATACAAAAAATTATCCAGGCCTGGTGGCAGGTGCCTGTAGTCTCAGCTACTCTGGAGGCTGAGGCCGGAGAATGGCGTGAACCCAGGAGACAGAGCTTGCAGAGAGCCGAGATCGCACCACTGCACTCCAGCCTGGGTGACAGAGCGAGACTCCATCTCAAAAAAACAAAACAAAACAAAAAATAAAAAAAAGAAAAAAGAAATTTAAAAATTCGTTGTTTGATATCCTGAGACACAGAAGGCAAGTCCAGGATGCTTTCTCCATCAGATTTTACCTGTAGTACTTAAAATTTGGGCAAATTCCTCTCTTCTTGAGGTTCCCCAAAATACCCCTAAGGTTCCTGAAACTTGTTAAATTGCTAATACTTTCAAAAACGAGGAAATCGGCCAGGCATGGTGGCTCACTCCTGTAATCCCAGCTCTTTGGGAGGCCGAGGGGGGTGGATCATGAGGTCAGGAGTTCGAGATTAGCCTGGACAACATGGTGAAACCCCATCTCTAGTAAAAAAAAAAAAAAAAATAACAAAAATTAGCCAGGCGTGGTAGCGCGCACCTGTAATCCCAGCTACTTGGGAGGCTGAGGCAGGAGAATCGCTTGAAACCAGAAGGCAGAAGTTGCAGTGAGCCGAGATCATGCCACTGCACTCCAGCCCAGGTGAAAGAGCGAAACTCTGTCTCAAAAATAAAAAAAAGTAAAAAAAATTTTTAAAAAGCCATGACTTTCCCAATAATACAAAGTAAGCTTGTTAATAATTTTTTTTTTTTTTTTGAGATGGAGTTTTGCTCTTGTCACCCAGGCTGGAGTGCAATGGTGGGATCTCTGCTCACTGCAACTTCCACCTCCCGGGTACAAGCGATTCTCCTGCCTCAGCCTCCCGAGTAGCTGGGATTACAGGCGCCCACCACGACGCCCAGCTAATTTTGTATTTTTAGTAGAGACGGGGTTTTGCCATGTTGGTCAGGCTGGTTTCGAACTCCTGACCTCAGGTGATCCGCCCATCTCAGCCTCCCAAAGTGCTGGGATTACAGGTGTGAGCCACCATGCCCGGCCGTTAATGATTTTCTGTGACATTAATGAGGAAACCTGTATGACATTAAAGAGTAAATGAGATGATGTAGATAAAATACTTCAGGTATTTTAGTGCCCAGCACAAAGCAAACCTCAGGTGTTGCTTAGGTTCGTCGCTTAGCTGCAGTCTTCTGTTTCCCAAGGTCATCTATTCTAGTGTTTGTCAAAGTCTAGTTCACAGTCTATCAGTATCAGGAGGATTTGTGAAAAATCTAGATTCTTGTTCCTCCCTCTTCCTTTGGCCTCCCTCTTCCCCTCCCCCGATCCTCTCCCCACCCCCCAAAATCTGGAGTCTTTTCTTCCCCCTCGAGATGGAGTCTCACTGTTGCCCAGGCTGGAGTACAGTGGCACGATCTTGGCTCACTGTGCAACCTCCACTTCCTGGGTTCAAGCAATTCTCCCTGCCTCAGCCTCCTGAGTAGCTGGGATTACAGGCGCCCGCCACCATGCCCAGGTAATTTTTGTATTTTTTGGAAGAGATGGGGTTTTGCCATGTTGGCCGGGCTTGTCTTGAACTCCTGACCTCAAGTGATCCACCCACCTCGGCCTCCCAAAGTGCTGGAATTAGAGGTATGTGCCACTGTGCCTGGCCTTGGATTCCTTTTTTTTTTTTTTTTTTTTGAGACAGTGTCGCTCTGTCGCCCAGGCTGGAGTGCAGTGGGGCAATCTCGGCTCACTGCAAGCTCCGCCTCCCAGGCTCACACCATTCTCCTGCCTCAGCCTCCCGAGTAGCTGGGACTACAGGCGGCCGCCACCGCGCCCAGCTAATTTTTTGTATTTTTAGTAGAGACGGGGTTTCACCGTGTTAGCCAGGATGGTCTCGATCTCCTGACCTCGTGATCCGCCTGCCTTGGCCTTCTAAAGTGCTGGGATTACAGGCGTGAGCCACCGCGCCAGGCTTTTTTTTTTTTGAGAGGGAGTTTTGCTCTTGTTGCCCAGGCTGGAGTGCAATGGCAGGATCTTGGCTCACTGCAACCTCCACCTCCCGGTTTCGAGTGACTCTTCTGCCTCAGCCTCCTGAATAGCTGGGATTACAGGCATGCACCAACATGACCATCTAATTTTTGTATTTTCAGTAGAGACGGGGTTTCTCCATTTTAGTCAGGCTGGTCTCAAACTCCCGACCTCAGGTGATCCGCCTGCCTCGGCCTCCCAAAGTGCTGGGATTAGAGGCGTGAACCACCGTGCCTGGCCTTAAATGTTTTTAAGTTATAAACATGTAAAATAAAATTCGCCAATGAATAACAAATATGACCAGAATAGAAAGGAAATAGTAGGAAAGACCAGTGGATTGAGGGCTAGAACGTAGTGTCTTGTCCAAGTAATATTTTGGTCTTTTTTGGAAACAAAAACTTGTTTAGAAAGATAGTCTTTACTGAATTTGTTAATTGGATTTTGCTTTCTTTTTTTTTCTTTTTTGAGGCAGAGTCTCCCTCTTTTGCCCAGGCTGGAGTGCAGTGGCATGATCTCGGCTCACTGCAACCTCCAAAGCAATTCTTCTGCCTCCACCTCCCAAGTAGCTGGGATTACAGGTGCTCACCACCACTCCTGATTAATCTTTTGTGTTTTAGTAGATGTTATCCAAGGTGGTCTCGATCTCCTGACGTTGTGATCCACCCACCTCAGCCTCCCAAAGTGCTGGGATTACAGGCGTGAGCCACCACACCCAGCTGCTCTCTGATATATGCGTGTATATTTATTCATTTGTTTTAATTTTTTGTTTCTTTTTTTTTTTTTGAGACGGAGTCTTGCTTTGTCTCCCAGGCTGGAGTACAGTGGTATGGTCTCGGCTCACTGCAACCTCTGCCCCCTGGGTTCAAGCGATTCTCCTGCCTCAGCCTCCCGAGTAGTTGGGATTACAGGCATGCGCCACCACACCCAGCTAATTTTTGTATTTTTAGTAGAGACGGGGTTTCACCATGTTTGCCAGGATGGTTTCGATCTCTTGACCTCGTGATCCGCCTGCCTTGGCCTGCCGAAGTGCTGGGATTACAGGCGTGAGCCACCGCGTCTGGCCTATTTTTTGTTTCTTGAGATGGGGTCATGTGATGTTGCCCAGATTGGCTTCAAACTCCTGGGCTCAAGCCATTTTCCTGCCACAACCTCCCAAGTGGCTGGGACTACACATACGCACCACCATGCCCAGCTCGAAGTACTACTTTTTGTAAATATAACATTTTGGAAATCCTCTTGAATTTTTTTTCCAACTTGGAAAAATTTCCAAATTCTTGTTTGAAAACATTGCCACCCGTGTAATTTTACCAAGGCAATAGGAACATTTCAGGAGCAACACCACCATCTTGTGGCCATATGGAGTATTGCTGCTGAGGATTTAAATTTGCGCTTCCCCCGTGACGGGTGGTCCTGCCTTATGTAATGGTCCTTTGGAAAGACTCCAGGTGGCCTCTGGTGGGGGCTTCCTGCTCTCGAGGGGGATACAGTAGCAGACATGATTGAACGCAGTGTGTGCTACAGAAAAGCAAGCGCCTTAAAGGCATTAGTTCAACAATGGAAGTAGTTGTGCATTTGAGTGGCAGGATTAGGGGTCATTTTAGTATTATAGTCTTAACATTCTGAAATAGTTTCTATATATTTTTAGAATATGATATTAGAACTTAGAAAATTTCACAACATATAATGCATGCCACCCCTTCTTTGATGAGTAAACCAAACCCAAGAACAAGAAGCTTCTGATGTTTAGTAGAGCACCTGTAATCCCAGCACTTTAGGAGGCAGGTAGGTAACTAGAGGCCAGGAGTTCGAGACCAGCCTGGCCAAAATGGTGAAACTCCATCTCTACTAAAAATACAAAACAAAATTTAGCCATGTGTGGTTTCAGGTGCCTATAATCCCAGCTACTCAGGAGGCTGAGGCCTGAGAATCGCTTGACCCAGGAGGCGGAGGTTGCAGTGAGCTAAGATTACGCCATTGCACTCCAGCCTGGGTGGCCGTGAGACTCTGTCTTAAAAAAAAAAAAAAACACTTTTCCACCAAGAGACCCTTGGAATCTGAGTCATTCTGACCATTGTTTGTTTGTTTGTTTTTGTTTTTTTGAGATGGAGTTTTGCTCTTGTTGCCCAGGCTGGAGTGCAATAGCGTGAGCTCCTGCCTCAGCCTCCCGAGTAGCTGGGATTGCAGGCATATGCCACCATGCCTGGCTATTTTTGTATTTTTAGTGGAGACGGGGTTTCTCCATGTTGGTCGGGCTGGTCTCAAACTCCCCACCTCAGGTGATCTGCCCACCTTGGCCTCCCGAAGTGCTAGGATTACAGGCGTGAGCCACAACGCCTGGCCTTTTTTTTTTTTTTTTTTTTTGAGACAGTCTCACTCTGTCGCCCAGGCTGGAGTGCAGTGGCGCGATCTCAGCTCACTGCAACCTCTGCCTCCCGGGTTCAAGCGATTCTTCTGCCTCAGCCTTCCGAGTAGCTGGGACTACAGGCGCCCGCCACCACGCCCAGTTAATTTTTTGTGTTTTTAGTAGAGACGGGGTTTCACTGTGTTAGCCCGGATGGTCTCGATCTGCTGACCCCGTGATCTGCCCGCCTCGGCCTCCCAAAGTGCTGGGATTACAGGCGTGAGCCACCATTCCCAGACAGGGATTGTTTTTCAATAACTTTCCTGAGATATAATTTACATAATACCATATGATTTCTCCATCTAAAGTCTACAATTCATTGCTTTTAATATATTCAGAAAGCTGTCCAAGTATCACCACCATCAATTTTAGGACTTTTTAAGTCTACAATTCATTGCTTTTAATATATTCAGAAAGCTGTCCAAGTATCACCACCATCAATTTTAGGACTTTTTTTTTTTTTGCTTCTAAAGCCAGAGGGAGGATGGTTGCTCCCTTTCTCTGGACAGGGAAGCGGGTGAGAAGAGCTTATAGAGGCATCCATCCGGTGCTTGGGAGGCTGAGGTGGGAGGATCGCTTGATCCCAGGAGTTCAAAACCAACCTGGAAATATAGCAAGACCCTGTCATTACCAAAATATTTTTTTTTAATTTAATTAAAAAACCAGGCTGGGCAACCTGGCAAAACCCCGTCTCTACAAAGAATACAGAAATTAGCCGGGCATGGTAGTGTGCGCCTGTGGTCCCAGCTACTCTGGAGGCTGAGGTGGGAAGATGGCTTGAGCCTGGGAGGCAGAGGCTGTAGTGATCACGCCACCACACTCCGGTTTAGGCTGTAGTGAAATCCTGCCACTAAAATAAAAAATAAAAGGTATTCATTCTGGCCGGGTGTGGTGGCTCACACCTGTAATCCCAGCACTTTGGGAGGCCAAGACAGGCAGATCATGAGGTCGGAAGTTCGAGACCATCCTGGCCAATATGGTGAAACCCCATCTCTACTAAAAAATACAAAAATTTGCTAGGTGTGGTGGCGCGCGCCTGTAGTCCCAGCTACTCAGGAGGCTGAGGCGGGAGAATCACTTGAACCCGGGAGGCAGAGGTTGCAATGAACTGAGATCGTGCCACTGCACTCCTGCCTGGGCAACTGGGTGACAGAGTTAAAAAAAAGAATCCATCTTAAATGGGTACATTTTGAATCAGATAAAAATCATATTCTGAATCATGGCGGGATAACTTTAGTTACTAGAAAATCTACCTTGTAGGGAGAAGCTTATTCACTGATAATGTTAGGGAAATGGGGTGTTTTGTGTATAGTTTGTTACAGATGGCTCGTGTGTGTGTGTGTGTGTGTGTGTAGGGTTAAATATACATGACGTAAAATTTACCATATTGGTCATTCATGTAAATTGCATCCTACAACCCTTGGTCTTTGTGAGCAGCTGCTCTCCCTGAGCCTCGATGTTGAAGTGTCCAGGTCAGCGGTTCACATTCATTGTTCATCCGTCACCACCGTCCATCTCCAGAACCTTTTCATCTTCCCCAACGGCTGCTCTGTGCCCATGAAACACTCCCTCCTCATCCTCCTGCCCCTGGCACCCCCATTCTACTTTCTGTCCCCATAAGTTTGACTGCCCTGGGGACCTCATACAAGTGGAATCAGACAGTGTTTGTCCCCTTGTGCCTGGCATGTCGTATGTTGCAGATTTTTTTATGGTGAAAAGATATACATATATTTAGAATTAGCCAGCCGGACTCGGTTTACATGATCTCCATTTTGTTGGCCACACCCAAAGCATCCTGATCAGGAGCCAGTGGAACATGTGCCTTCTTCTCTCCATCAGGCCCAATCAGGGTATTGACCTGGGCCACAACCACCTCACAGAGTTCTTCACAGCCTGTTTGAGCTGGTGCTTGTTGGCTTTAACATCCACAGTGAAGACAAGTGTGTTGTCTTCTGTCTTCTTCATGGCAGACTCAGTGGTCGGTGGAAAATTGATGATCGCATAGTGGTCAAGCTCGTTTCTCCTGGGGGCGCTCTTCCGAGGATATTTGGGCTGCCTCCGGAGTCGCAGTGTCTTGGGCTGCCAGAAGGCGGGTGACGCGCGGATCTTTTTTTGGGGGGGCTGTTGTGTGGATCTTTTTTTGTGTGTGTGTGGCTGTTGTGCGGATCTATTTTTTTTATAGTTTGTTTTGTGTGTGTGGCTGTTGTGAGGTTCTTTTTTTGTGTGGCTGTGGACGCCTTTCAACGCTGCCGCCTTGGCCTTTAAAGCCTTTGCTTTGGCTTCAGCTTTACAAGGGGCAGGAGCTCCCTTCTTCGCTTTCAGCGCCATCTTGTGAAGAGGCTGTTTTTGTTTATTTTTATTTTTGAAATGGAGTCTCGCTCTGTCGCCCAGGCTGGAGTGCAGTGGTGCGATCTCTGCTCACTGCAACCTCTGCCTTCTGGTTCAAGCGATTCTCCTGCCTCAGCCTCTCGAGTAGTTGGGATTACAGGCGTCCGCCACCACGCCCGGCTAATTTTTGTATTTTTAGTAGAGACGGGCTTGCCTATGTTGGCCAGGCTGGTCTCGAACTCCTGACCTCAGGTGATCCGCCCGCCTCAGCCTCCCAAAGTGCTGGGATGGCAGGCGTGAGCCACAGCGCCCGGGCAGTGCAGATGTTTTAAAATGCATACTTCTCCTTTGCTGTCCCTTATACTTCATATTTTTGTTTCCCTCGTTACAAGCCATTTATATGCACCCATCTGGGGGATGTGGTGTTTGTGTTGCACAGCATATGGCAATCTGGAGCTCACACATAGTTTTATGTCAGATATTTCATAACCGTTTGCATTATTCCATCTATTAAAAAGCCAGAATCGGCCCGGCGTAGTGGCTCACACCTGTAATCCCCGCACTTTGGAAGGCTGAGGCGGGTGGATCACTTGAGGTCACGAGTTCGAGACCAGCCTGACCAACATGGTGAAACCCCATCTCTACCAAAAAATACAAAAATTAGCCAGGCATGTTGGCGGGCACCTGTAATCGCAGCTACTTGGGAGTCTGAGGCAGAATAGCTTGAAACTCAGGAGGTGGAGGTTGCATTGAGCTGAGATCGTGCCACTGCACTTAGCCTGGGCAACAGAGAGACCCTGTCTCAAAAAGGTAAAAAGCTGGCCGGCACGGTGACTCACGCCGGTAATCCCAGTACTTTGGGAGGCCGAGGCAGGCGGATCACGAGGTCAGGAGATCAAGACCATCCTGGCTAACACGGTGAAACCCCGTCTCTACTAAAAATACAAAAAATTAGCCGGGCGTGGTGGCGGGCGCCTGTAGTCCCAGCTCCTCGGGAGGCTGAGGCAGGAGAATGGCGTGAACCCGGGAGGCGGAGCTTTGCAGTGAGCCGAGATCCGAGCACTGCACTCTAGCCTGGGTGACAGAGCGAGACTCCATCTCAAAAAAAAAAAAAAAGTAAAAAGCCAGAACCCACTAGAGTCACTTACTTGCCAAGCATATCAGCTATTGTGTAGCATACGACCCATGATCTTACTGGCTTGAAATAATAGGAGTTCCCCAGTGAACAGGGTTCTGTGGGGTTCCCAGGCTCCTTCATGTCTGCAGGCATCTAAGAGACTGCTGGGCTGCAGGGTACAAGGTGGTTTCCCTGAATGTGGCAGTGCTCTGCACATGGCCTCTCCTACAGCTGCCTTCCCTGCAGACTCAGGGCCCTGGCCCGTGAGGCGTGGGAATGTGTACCCTACGCTCCTGCCACGCTGTGGGTCACGCAACCCCCCCAGGCTAGTCAAGGTTCAGGCAGGTGGAGACAAAGCCCGGTTGCTGAGGGGCCTGTGGACTTTAACGGGCGGAGTGGCGGTGGGTCAGCATCTACCATCCAAGAGCCTGAACGGGCAAGAGTGGGAACGGGTCCTCAGCCTTCCACAAGCCGGCGGTCAGGGCCTTTTCTTGTATTGGAACTTTTTCCAGATCTGTTGAAGCACATGTGTCTTGGAAGCCCTTTAAACAGAAGTGGGAAGTGGTCGCCAGAGGACTGCGCTCTCTCCTGTCACTTCCTGTGACTCGGGTACAGCTCCATGGGAATGTGGGGCTTTCCTTGTCAGGCCAAGCTTGACGCAGTCCCCACCTTCACTCTGACGGCCTGGGACAGGCCCCTGCCCGCCTGCACTCCCATGGCGCAGCTGTGTCCTGCAGGACCAGCTGGCGGGGTGAACAGTGTGCGAGTCACTGTGCCAGCCTGCATAGTCTGGGAGGCCTCTGTCAGGAGCAACCTGGCGTCCCCATGCCTCGCCCTGGCTGGGAGGGAGGCCGGGAATCACGGCAGTTCTCAGGGAGGTGCCTCCCCAGGAACAAAGGGGACTTTCTCCAGAGGGCGGGGGCCTCGCGGGACCTGGGCTGGGGGGACCCCGGGAGGGTGCAGGGTCAAGGAACTGCCACGTCCATCGTCCATCCATTCCCATACATCCCGGTTCATGCTGTCCTGCCTCGTCCTGCCCTCATCCTCATCCTTCCTGGTTTAGCCTCACCCGGTCCCACCCGGTCCCACCCAGTGCCATTCAGTCCCACTCAGTCCCACTCATCCCCATTCATCCCTGGAGCTCAGAGCGAGGGAGCGGGAGGGGCGGGCTGCCGGTAGAAGGACTTGTGCCCAGGCCAATCAGCGCGCGCGGGGTAGGGGGAGTTGCGGGGGGAGGGGGGTACGGGGCTTTCCGCCCTAACCTTTTCCTGCCTGGAGCCGCTCTGCTCGAGAGGCGCCTGCGAAGTCAGCTGGGGTTGCCCCTGCACCTCGTGTCACCCTGTGGGGCGGCATGAGTAGGCCCAGAAGGACGGCATGGAGGAACAGGCTGGGCCGGGGCTGGGGGAGGTGTGGTGGGACTGGCCCTCCTGGTACCTGTGATTTCCTGGGGACCGGGCCTTAATGGAGTTAAGGAGCCGCTCCCCTCTGCGTTGTCTCCGGAGCCGACCAGGCCTTCGGGAGTGGAATGTGGGGCCCCAGGCCAGGGAACTTTGGATCAAAGTGGGAGACCAGTGGGAACTGGAGCTGCAGCATGTGAGGTGGGGGTGAGGACGCTGAAAATGTCAGGGACTGCAGTCTCGATTCCAGGCTGAGAGGTGGGAAAGACCCCACCATCTGCCCACACTCAGTTGCCCCAAAAAAGCCCCACCCCACACCATGACTGCCACTGACTGCCCCCAGGTCCCTGCCCCATTCCCCATTATTTGCCCTTTCTGCCTCTCCAGGCTGGAACCCGTGGTGACCACGGGATTAAGTTAGAGCCTGTACAGAAAATCTAACTATGCTATTTCAAACAATAGAACAATTCTGCCCATGGTTTCCAGAACAAGGAACTTTAGATCTAAAGGATTGGGAAAAAATTGGCAAAGAATTAAAACAAGCAAATAGGGAAGGTAAAATCATCCCACTTACAGTATGGAATGATTGGGCCATTATTAAAGCAGCTTTAGAACCGTTTCAAACAGGAGAAGATAGCGTTTCAGTTTCTGATGCCCCTGAAAGCTATGTAATAGATTGTGAAGAAGACAAAGGGACAGAATTCCAGAAAGGAATGGAAAGTTCACATTGTAAGTATGTAGCAGAGTCTGTAATCGCTCGGTCAATGCAAAATGTTGACTTAAACAAGTAAGGGTTATTTGCCTCAGGGCCTGGGAAAAAAATTCATGGACCCAGGAACCACCTGCCCGTCTTTTAATTCAATTAGACAAGGCTCTAAAGAGCCCTACCCTGACTTTGTGGCAAGATTGCACGGTGCCGCTCCAAAATCTATTACAGATGATAACACCCAAAAGGTTATTGTAGAATTAATGGCCTATGAAAATGCAAATCCGGAATGTCAATTGGCCATAAAGCCATGTTGACTACAATCAATTACAGGAGGTAACATATCCTGAATCATCAAAATTGGGGGGAAAAGTGGGGCCATCAGAGTCTAAACCACAATGGCCAACTCCTCCTCCCGTGGTTCAGATACCTGTAACATTACAACCTCAAATGCAGGTTAGACAAGTACAAACCCCAAGAGAATATCAAATAGAAAAGGATAGTCTCTATCTCGGCAATGCCAATCCAGATACAGTATCCACAATATCAGCCAGTAGAAAATAAAACCCAACCGCCATTAGCTTATCAATACTGGCTGCCAGCCGAGCTTCAGTATTGGCTGCCTCCAGAGGTCCAATACAGACCTCAAGTGGTGTGTGCCATGCCAAATTGCACGGCATCGTACAAGCAACCCATGGCGGTGGTGTTTAATACGTCAGCACCACAGGGCGCGGCGCTGTGTCCTCAGCCGCCCACTATGAGACTTAATCCAACAGCACCACCTAGTGGACAAGGTAGCACACTGCACGCGATCATTGATGAAGCTAGAAAACAGGGAGATCTTGAGGCGTGGCAGTTCCTGGTAATTTTACAATCGGTACCGGCCGGGGAAGGGGCTCCAGCAGGAGCACCTGCGGTGGCTAATGCTAGATATGAACGCTTCACCATGAAAATGTTAAAAGACATGAAGGAAGGAGTTAAACAATATGGACCCAACTCACCTTCTATGAGAACATTATTAGATTCCATTGCTCCAGCAGGAGTTGATGTAGTTACAGAATATGTGAAGGCTTGTAATGGGATTGGAGGAGCCATGCATAAAGCTATCCTAATGGCTCAAGCAATGACTGGGGTTGCTTTAGGAGGACAAGTTAGAACATTTGGGGGGAAATGTTATAATTGTGGCCAAATTGGTCGTCTAAAAAAGAATTCCCCGGCTGGCTCAGTCAGTAGATCATGAGACTCTTAATCTCAGGGTCGTGGGTTCACGCCCCACACTGGGCGCCAGGTGAAGGAGGCCTGCCGCTCCACACCTATGGATATTTCTCGTCAGGTGGAGATGAGACTGATAAAAGAAATAAGACACAGAGACAAAGTATATAGAAAACAGTGGGCCCAGGAGATGGGCACTCTATGTGCGAGGACCCGCACTGGCGCTGGTCTCTGAGTTCCCTCAGTATTTATTGATGACTATTTTTACTATCTTGGCAAGGGGAGTGTGGCAGGGCAACAGGGTGATGGTGGGGAGAAGGTCAGCAGGGAAACATGTGAGCAAAGGAATCTGTATCATGAAGAAGTTCAAGGAAAGGTACTGTGTCTGGATGTGCATGTAGGCCAGATTTGTGTTTCACTTCACACAAACATCTCAGTGTAGCAAAGAGTAACAGAGCAGTATTGCTGCCAGCGTATCTTGCCTCCAGCCACAGGGTGGTTTTCTCCTATCTCAGAATAGAACGAATGGTCGGCTTTACACTGAGACATGCCATTCCCAGGGACGAGCAGGGGACAGAAAGCTTCCTCTTACCTCAACAGCAAAGAGGTTTCCCTCTTTCACTCCTCCTCCTCAGCACAGACCCTTCACAGGTGTCAGGCTGGGGGATGGTAAGGTCTTTCCTTTCCCATGAGGCCATATCTCAGGCTGTCTCAGTGGGGGGAAACCTTGGACAATACCTAGGCTTTCTTGGGCGGAGCTCCCTGTGGCTTTCCACAGTGCATTGTGTCCCTGGTTAATGGAGAATGGCAGTGACTTTTACCAGGCATACTGTCTGCAAACATATTGTTAACAAGGCACATCCTGCACAGCCTTAAATCCATTAAACCTTGATTCAGTACAGCACATGTTTCTGTGAGCACAGGGTTGGGGTTAAAGTTACAGATTAACAGCATCACAAAGCAGAGCAATTTTTCTTCGTACAGATCAAAATGGAGTTTCTTATGTCTTCCTTTCCTACATAGACACAGTAACAATATGATCTCTCTCTCTTTTCCCCACACAAAAAGCCCCACCCCACACCATGACTGCCACTGACTGCCCCCAGGCCCCCACCCCAGCCCTGTGCTGGTTCCCCATTATCTGACCTTTCTGCCTCTCCAGGCTGGAACCCGTGGTGACCTCAGAATTCTCCAGACACCACCACAGCCCCGTCCCCGACCAGCCGAGGCAGCCACAGCAACAGCTCCGGCACAAGGTGGCTGCCACTGTGGGGCCCTGGTATCTCCTGAAGTGGGGGTGGCCTGGGGCCTCCAGGCTAGGATAGGGACTGGGTCTGCCTGAGCCCAGAAAGGGCTTTCTGCCTCCCAGGCCGTGATGTGGTGCCGTCCTCTGGAAAGGGCTCTGCGTACCAGGCCCACATGCCTGAGACAGGTGCCTGGCGTCCTGGTGAAGCACATGGTTTCCAAAAAGGTCCTGACAAGTCCCTGGGCATCTGAGCAGAAACGGGTCTCAGCTTCCCGCCTCTTCAGCCTCAAGTGTATCACAGGTGTCTGTGCCTCACTATCCTCGTCTATAACTGGGTCAATAAGAACGTTCTGCCGTCATAATGTAGGGACTGGAGGGGGGACTGGAAACGCGGGTGGAAACCCTTCGTCCGTGCTCAGCATGTGGCTGAGCTCTTAGTCCATTAGTCACTCTGATGGCCCCTTGTGGAGGGTGTTTATTGTGCACATTTTCCAGATGGGGAAAGTGGGGTTGGATGGGGCTGACGTACCTAAGGCTGCCAGGAGAGGAACTGGCAGAGCAGAAGCCTAGTTCCATCAGGCCCCCGGCCAGTCTTGGCCCCAGCGAGCAGTGAGGCAGCCCCATCTGCCCCACCTCCCTCCCAGATCCACGTCTAGAGTCCCCCAAGGGCTTCCACCACTGACGGGATTTTGCTTCCTTCCTTAGGACGGAACCACTGCACTCCAGGTTCCTTGCTGGGTGCTGAGCGTGGCCTGAGGGACAGGCCCTGGGTCCCGGGATGCCCCTGCCCGAGCCCAGCGAGCAGGAGGGCGAGAGTGTGAAGGCCGGCCAGGAGCCATCCCCCAAGCCAGGCACGGACGTCATCCCGGCAGCCCCCAGGAAGCCCAGGGAGTTCTCCAAACTGGTGCTGCTCACAGCCTCCGACCAAGATGAGGATGGGGTGGGATCCAAGCCCCAGGAAGTGCACTGCGTCCTGTCCCTGGAGATGGCTGGCCCCGCCACCCTCGCCAGCACCTTGCAGATCCTGCCAGTTGAGGAGCAGGGAGGGGTGGTCCAGCCAGCCCTAGAGATGCCTGAACAGAAGTGCAGCAAGCTGGATGCAGGTGAGGTGTGGCTTCCCGCCCCTGCCCAGCCACCCCGTGGGTTCCAGCGCTCCCAGCAGGCCCTGTACACCCTGCTTCAAGCATAGTGTCTTGTCCTTGCTCCAAGCTCAGCCTCTTGGTCTCTGATCCTGAGCGTGTCCGAGGCTGGTGGGATGATCACAGTCAGGTACCAGGAGCTCCTGGGAGTTGCAGTGACGTGCAGAATTCCTTCAGCTCCCTAAAAACATCCACTACCACCCCCAAAATAAAAACCAGCCCTGAGAGTCTGGGCTTCTTGCTTGGGAGCAGGAGGAGAAGGCACCTGCCATACTCAGGATCCCCACGCCCTCCCTGGCTCTCTGTGCCTGCGACCCTGAGCTTTGCTCTAGCTTAGCTAACCTAGCCTTCCCGTTCCCCCAGCAGCCCCTCAGTCCCTGGAGTTCCTGAGGACACCATTCGGGGGCCGCCTCCTGGTGCTGGAGTCCTTCCTGTACAAGCAGGAGAAGGCAGTGGGGGACAAGGTGTACTGGAAGTGCCGCCAACATGCTGAGCTGGGCTGCCGGGGCCGGGCCATCACCCGAGGCCTGCGGGCCACAGTGATGCGGGGCCACTGCCACGCGCCCGATGAGCAAGGCCTGGAGGCCCGGCGCCAGAGGGAGAAACTGCCCAGCCTGGCCCTGCCAGAGGGCTTGGGAGAGCCCCAGGGTCCTGAGGGCCCTGGAGGCCGAGTGGAGGAGCCCCTGGAGGGGGTGGGCCCGTGGCAGTGCCCTGAGGAGCCCGAGCCCACTCCTGGGCTGGTGCTGAGCAAGCCGGCCCTGGAGGAGGAGGAGGCACCCCGAGCCCTGTCACTGCTGAGCCTGCCGCCCAAGAAGCGCTCGATCCTGGGGCTGGGTGAGTACAATCCACTCCCCTGCTGCGTCCACTCGGGGCAGGGGACCCGAGGGCCCTTCCTCAGCCCAAATAGAAATGTGGGGTCCCACAGGGTCTTTTAAAATGTACTCAAAGCTAAAATGACTTTTAAAAATATAAATGTGGCCGGGCACAGTGGCTCACGCCTATAATCCCAGCACTTTGGGAGGCCAAGGCGGACGGATCATGAGGTCAGGAGTTCGAGATCAGCCTGATCAACTTGGTGAAACCCTGTCTCTACTAAAAATACAACACTTAGCCGGGCATGCTGGTGCGCACCTGTAATCCCAGCTACTCAGGAGACTGAGGCAGGAGAATCGCTTGAACCCAGGAGGCAGAGGTTGCAGTAAGCCCAGATCGCTCCACTGTATTCCAGCCTGGTGACTGGAGCGAGACTCCATCTCAGTAAAAAAAAAAAAAAAAAAAAAAAAATACATAAATGTGGGCTGGGCACAGTGTTCATGCCTATAATCCTAGCACTTTGGGAGGCTGGGGCAGGAGGATCACTTGAGCCGAGGAGTTCAAGACCAGCCTGGCCAATATAGTGAGACCCCATATCTACAAAAAATCAGCCAGCTGTTGTGGTGTGTGCCTGTGGTCTCAGCCACTTGGGAGACTGAGGTGGGAGGATCACTTAAGCTAGGGAGATTGAGGCTGCAGTGAGCCGGGATCACGCCACTGCCCTCCAGCCTGGACAAGAGACCTGGACCCTGTCTCAAAAAAAAAAATCAGAATTTTATCTGGTTCCCATGCAATTCTAGTGTCCATTAAGTTCAGGAAAGACACCTAGGCCTGCTGCAGTGATTCATGCCTGTAATCTCAGCACTTTCGGAGGCTGAGGTGGGCGGATCATGAGGTCAGGAGTTCAAGACCAGCCTGGCCAACATAGTGAAACCCTGTCTCTACTAAAGATACAAAAAACTAGCCTGGCGAGGCTGGGCGCTTTGGCTCACGCCTGTAATCCCAGCACTTTGGGAGGTCGAGGTGGGCGGATCACGAGGTCAGGAGATTGAGACCATCCTGGCTAACACAGTGAAACCCTGTCTCTACTAAAAAAATACAAAAAAAGATTAGCCAGGCGTGGTAGCGGGCGCCTGTAGTCCCAGCTACTCGGGAGGCTGAGGCAGGAGAATGGCGTGAACCCGGGAGGCGGAGCTTGCCGTGGGCCAAGATCGTGCCACCGCACTCCAGCCTGGGCAAAAGAGCAAGACTCTGTCTCAAAAAAAAAAAAAAAAAATTAGCTGGGCGTGGAGGCGCCTGCAATCCCAGTTACTCGGGAGGCTAAGGCAGAATTGCTTGGAGGCGGAGGTTGCAGTGAGCCAAGATCGAGCCATTGTACTCCAGCCTGGGCGACGTGGCAGGACCCTGTCTCAAAAAAAAAAAAAAAAAAAAAAAAAAGATGGCTGGTGGGAGAGTCTTGGGTTTTGGGTCCTAGGTTCAACTTTCAGCCCTCCCTGATGGTAGCTCTGTAGCCTCAGAAAATTGGCTTAATTTCTGGAGTTTCAGGAGCTTTATCCTAAGGTGGCTGTGATAACCTGGATTGTTGTGTAAATTGCACATTTGGGGCTTGGCAAGTGGCAGATGGGAGTTCTGGCTGTTTTATTACCAGTAACTGGGACATGGGCTTGGGTTCGAGGAGGCCACGTGGCTCCTGACACAGCCTTAAGGATCTGAGGTGGCCCCTGCCCTGGGCACCTGGGGTGGGAAGGGAGGTGCAGGGAACAGGGAGACTTATTTTTCACTGTGATCTTTTCGAACCATTTGAATGTATTATACCTTGTGTGTTTTATTCAAAAATGGGTAGATTTGTTAAACAAAACCTAAAAAAAATATGAGCAGGAGTGACAGAAAACAGAGACCACTGAGTCTGAGTCCAGGTTGGCCCCTCCCGGTGTAACCTTGATGCAACATTGAGCAGGCCTGAGCTGGGGTGACCTCACTGACAGCTAGGAGAGGAATGAGACTCTCCTCTGGGTCACTCGGTGGTAGGGGTGAGCTGGGGTGGCCTCACTGACCGCTAGGAGAGGAATGAGACTCTCCTCCGGGTCGCTTGGTGGTAGGGGTTCAGTGGGAATGGGTTTGGGGCCTCTGACATATCTGGCTCAGGAAGCCAGGGTAAATTTCAGCCTTAAAGGAGAAAGGCTCGTGTCAGCCCCCACAGTCTGCAGGGGCTGTCCCTCCTGGGCTCCTCTCCACCCCTGGTGATGTGACCACTTGGGTCTCTCCTCTAGGACAGGCCCGGCCCCTCGAGTTCCTGAGGACGTGCTACGGGGGCAGCTTCCTGGTACACGAGTCGTTCCTCTACAAGCGGGAGAAGGCTGTCGGGGACAAGGTGTATTGGACCTGCCGGGACCACGCGCTGCACGGCTGCCGGAGCCGGGCCATCACCCAGGGACAGCGGGTGACTGTGATGCGTGGGCACTGCCACCAGCCCGATATGGAGGGCCTGGAAGCCCGGCGGCAGCAGGAGAAGGCCGTGGAGACGCTGCAGGCTGGGCAGGACGGCCCTGGGAGCCAAGTGGACACGCTGCTCCGAGGCGTGGATAGTTTGCTCTACCGCAGGGGTCCGGGTCCCCTGACTCTCACCAGGCCTCGGCCCAGAAAGCGAGCAAAGGTCGAAGACCAGGAGCTGCCAACCCAGCCCGAGGCCCCAGACGAGCACCAGGACATGGACGCAGACCCGGGTGAGCTGCCTTCCTTTGGGGCTCACCGGCCCTGCCTTGACTCTTGCCTCCAGAGGTCCAGGGAGGGAAGGGGGTGCGATCAGGCCTACCCAGCCCCTGTCCCCTCCCCTGACTGCCTCTTGAACCTCCCCAGGAGGCCCTGAGTTCCTGAAGACGCCCCTGGGGGGCAGCTTCCTGGTGTACGAGTCCTTCCTCTACCGGCGGGAGAAGGCGGCTGGGGAGAAGGTGTATTGGACCTGCCGGGACCAGGCCCGCATGGGCTGCCGCAGCCGCGCCATCACCCAGGGCCGACGGGTGACTGTCATGCGTGGTCACTGCCACCCGCCCGACCTGGGAGGCCTGGAGGCCCTGAGGCAGCGGGAGAAACGCCCCAACACGGCGCAGCGGGGGAGCCCAGGTACCTGGGGGTGGGCTGGGAGCTGGGCCCCAGGAAGCAGGCAGGAGCCCCACACTGCCTTTCCCTCTCCATGCTGCGGCTCCCCCTGGCAAACGTCCTCTTCCCTTCTTTGAACATCCTAGAAGGAACTATGGCCCTGGCCTCCTACTCCTTGGCCCCCCTGATGCCGCTTTCAATGGGTCTCACCTTCCTGCTCAGCCCAGCCTCCCCCTTCCAGCCTGACCTGCCCCACAGTAGCAGCAGCAGGGATAGACCTCCCTGCCCTCCTCTTCCTCCGTTTGTCTTAAGAGTTCATAGTAGTAATAGAGGGTGTTGACTGCACATGGTCAGTCTCGTTGCTATGGTGGAAGGCTGTCTTAACGTCTGAGTGGTTAAGGATTGAGGAGGTGATATTTACTTACATGCAGCCGGTTTCTCCTCTCGGCCCGCTGTTCCATAGACACCCATAATGTCCTGAAACGCTGGCCCGAGGAGGGTCCCGGCTGTCTCCATCTTTATCCACACGGTCGGCCCCCCGCAGTGCCTGGTGTTTTGACTTCACAACCACAGTTGCGTAAATGTCCCCATAGCGTCTGGCTGAGGAGCCATTTCATCGTGGCCTCCTCCACTCACCTGCTCTTCCTTCACGCCCCAAGGCGCTGGCCTCTCTTTCCAGTGGCTCTTCCGGATCCTGCAGCTTTTGGGTCATGTGAGTTGCCTCATGGCCCTAAAGTTCTCTCGGACTTGAGAGCTGTGATTGTCTTTCTCTTTTTGTTCCATCTCCAGAGAGACAGTGCTGCGAGGTCCCCGCCTCGTCCTCACCCCCGCTCCTGACCCCACAAGTAACTAAGCAATTGTTTCTTAGGGTCTTGGCTGCCCTATTTCCTAAAATGTGCCTCCACTACTATTAATTGGTTTTTCCATTTCCTTGTCAGCTACTCAGTGCACTTCTTGCACAGGCTTTTTTTTTTTTTTTTTTCTTTGAGACGGAGTCTTGCTTTATCACCCAGGCTGGTGTGCAGTGGCGTGATCTTGGCTCACTGCAACCTCCGCCTCCCGGGTTCAAGCAATTCTCCTGCCTCAGCCTCCTGAGTAGCTGGGATTACAGGCGCCTGCCACCTCGCCCAGCTATTTTTGTATATTTAGCAGAGACAGAGTTTTACCATGTTGGCCAGGCTGGTCTCAAACTCCCAACCTCAGGTGATCTGCCTGCCTCGGCCTCCCAAAGTGCTGGGATTACAGGCGTGAGCCACCATACCCGGCCACGTTTGGTTTCACTTTAGCCTAGAAACCTGCTCGCGGCTGACTGGGGGGTGCTCTGTGGTCCCATCTTCCTAACACAGCTCTGTCTTCTCTGTGGGGTGGCAGCTGCTGCGTTTGTTTGCCTGCTTTTGTGTGTCCAGGTCGACCCCACCTGGATCCGATCATCCACAACCGCAGGTTGCTGGAACCTCCCAGTGCAGCCTGGCCTGGGGGCAGAGGCCGGGCCCAGCTGTCCCTCGGGGTTCACTGTGCTGACTCCCTGCTTCTGGGCCTGCCTTTCTCTTTCTTGGTTTTCTTTATAATTTTGTGGTTTGGAGAAGTCCTGCCTCCCGTCGTTTCCTGGGCCGGTCCCGGGAGGTAGCACGTTGAGGCCTTTCATGTCTGAAATGTCTGTCGCTTCCCTCCGCCGGAGGGGCAGCCTGGCCTCCGTGGTGTCACAGGTGCAGAGCCTGCCCTTGAACGTCCCTGCCGCTTTTGCGTGACTGATCCTCTGTGTGCCGTCAGCTTTGCTTGAGGTTTTAGGGTCTTTGCTCCCTCCCAGCTGTACCTGGCTGTGCTGGGGGCCTTTTTAGGCTTTGGGCTTGTGTCCTTCATCGTGGGGTCATCCTCTCGTGCTCTTTGTTAACTTCCCCATCATCATCCCTTTCTGTTGCTCCTGTTAATCAGATGTTGATCCTCCCAGATGAGGGCGTCTTTTTTTTTTTTTTGAGACAGTTTCACTCTTGTCGCCCAGGCTGGAGTGTAGTGGCGTGGTCTTGGCTCACTGCAACCTCTGTCTCCCAGGTTCAAGTGATTTTCCTGTCTCAGCCTTCTGAGTAGCTGGGATTACAGGTGCACACCACCACGCCCAGCTAATTTTTTGTATTTTTTTAGTAGAGATGGGGTTTCACCATGTTGGCCAGGCTGGTCTTGAACTCCTGACCTCGTGATCCGCCTGCCTCGGCCTCCCAAAGTGCTGGGATTACAGGCGTGAGCCACCGTGCGCAGCCCCTTGCTGGATATTTTCATCCGTGTGGAAGGGGATAAAGCGTGCCCCATGGTCACACCACCCCCTCCCGTGGCCTGGCGTCCCCACCTTCGTCCTGACCTCTTCTGTCTCGTGGTCCCCAGGCTCCTGTGCTGCTGTGCCCCTCAGGGTCCTCCTGCCTCCCGAGCCTCCCTGCTCCACATGGCCCCTGCCCAGCCCTCTCCATCCCTCTTGAAGGTAGTTCCACAGCCAGACACCCTCCCGCCCCCCGCTGGCCTCTCCTCTAGGGCTTGCTACCCACCCCCATCCCCTGCTTCCACTGCCACCCGATGTGTCCACGATGCCCCAGGCCACCTCCCCACCTCTGTGGCCCCTGAGCCTGCACGGAGGAAAGGGTATCCTCTGGGCAAGGCACAGCCACCCGCCAGGTCCTCCCTCTCACCACATCCAGGACAGTGGACGCTGCTCCCTGCCTCTTCCTCAGAGTCCTGGGGTCACACCTCTACCTGCGCGGCTCTCGGGGGCCACCCCTCTCAGCCCCATCCGGCTCCTGAGCAGCTTTGTCCCCAGAGGGCCCCGGGTCATTCCTCTGACCAACCAGGCACGGCGCACCCTGCATGCAAGCCTGGGCGGGTGCTGGGGACGGACGAGTGACGCAGCAGACACTGCCTCCCTGAAGGCATGGCAAGGTGGGACGCTTGGCCGCCACCTGCAGGGGCCTCACCTGACCAGTCCCCAGCCTCAGGAGGCGGACCCCAGCAGCTGGAGCCCCAGCAGAGTTGGGGGGATGGTGGCATCTGTGTCCTGGGCTCCGGGGCCACCTCACTGTGAGGAGGAGGTGTGGGCGTTGTGGGAGGTCTCATCTCGGGGCCATGCTGATCTGGGCTCTGAGAGCTGGTGTCCGCTGCTCCTCCCCTCCCATTTCTCAACAGGAGGCCCCGAGTTCCTGAAGACGCCCCTGGGGGGCAGCTTCCTGGTGTACGAGTCCTTCCTCTACCGGCGGGAGAAGGCGGCCGGGGAGAAGGTGTATTGGACCTGCCGGGACCAGGCCCGCATGGGCTGCCGCAGCCGCGCCATCACCCAGGGCCGGCGGGTCATGGTCATGCGCAGGCACTGCCACCCACCGGACCTGGGCGGCCTGGAGGCCCTGCGGCAGCGGGAGCACTTCCCCAACCTGGCGCAGTGGGACAGCCCAGGTGCGTGTGGAGGGTGCTGGGCTGGGTCTGCCTGGTCTCCCAGGACCTGTGCCCCACACGCTGGCTGGAGGCTGCCCGTGGGGTGTTGTGTGTTGTGCATGGTGGTCTGACAGCCGGGGCCATAAACTCCCCAGGGGCAGGAGGCTCCATCTGCGGGCTCCGAGCTCCTGCAGCTGGTCCTCTGGGTAGTGGGGACTGGCTGTCGGAGGTAGAAACCCACTCAGCTCTCTAGAGGAAGAGGATGGTGGCCAGGGGTGGCATTGGCAGCCACAGAGAGTGCTTGGCATCTGCTGACGGGCCGTACGGTGGATCCTGGACACTCTTGGTCTACCCCCACGCCACCCACACTGCTTCTAGTCTCACGGGGTTCTCTCTGGCCACCCCAACATCATGTGACCTTTTAGTTCAGCTTGTTAAAAGTCAGCTGCCAGCTGGCTGAGGGGTAGGTGGACAGGGAGCCAGGAGGCCCTGGTGCCCAGCCCAGAAAGGCTCAGCCCCTGCCCTGGGGGATGCACCTGCAAGCATGAGGTCTGAGGGGTTGGGAGAGTCCTTCAGGAGCATTCAGGGTCCAGTGCTTGCCAGGCCACGTGCCCAGTCATCCCCAGAGCCCTTGGAAAGGGCCAGCCAGCGTGGGAGTCTGGGCTGCAGGGCCCAGAGGGGAGGAGGGCAGGGACCACCGTGCAGCGTGCTAGGGGATCGCAGATTCCTGGTGGGGCCTGGCTGGGGGATACAAATCAGACCCCCAGCCCTGCCACCCAGGCCCCTGTGGCCCCACTCACAGTGTCACTTTCCCTTTCAGATCCTCTCCGGCCCCTGGAGTTCCTGAGGACTTCCCTGGGGGGCAGGTTCCTGGTGCACGAGTCCTTCCTCTACAGGAAGGAGAAGGCGGCTGGGGAGAAGGTGTACTGGATGTGCCGGGACCAGGCTCGGCTGGGCTGCCGCAGCCGCGCCATAACCCAGGGCCACCGCATCATGGTCATGCGCAGCCACTGCCATCAGCCTGACCTGGCAGGCCTGGAGGCCTTGAGGCAACGGGAGCGGCTCCCCACCACGGCCCAGCAGGAGGACCCAGGTACAGGCAGGCTGTGGGGCAGAGGCAGGGCTGTGGGCATCCTCATCTCTTCCAGCTCAGAACTGATGCCCCAGGCCAGGCACCCACTGAGCAGACTGCTTTTGTGCACACACAAATTATTCATATAAACAGAATGTGAAACCAGTCTTTGTTTTTTTTTTTTTTTTTTTTTTTGAGACTGAGTCTTGCTCTGTTGCCCAGGCTGGAGTGCACTGGCGCGATCTCGGCTCACTGCAAGCTCCGCCTCCCGGGTTCACACCATTCTCCTGCCTCAGCCTCCCGAGTAGCTGGGACTACAGGTGCCTGCCACCAAGCCCAGCTAATTTTTTGTATTTTTAGTAGAGACGGGGTTTCACCATGTTAGCCAGGATGGTCTTGATCTTCTGACCTCGTGATCCGCCTGTCTTGGCCTCCCAAAGTGCTAGGATTACAGGCGTGAGTCACTGTGCCCAACCTTTTTTTTTTCTTGAGTCAGAGTTTTGCTCTTGTTGCCCAGGCTGGAGTGCAATGGAGCCATCTTGGCTCACTGCAACCTCTGCCTCCTGGGTTCAAGTGATTCTCCTGCCTCAGCCTCCCGAGTAACTGGGATTACAGGTGTGCACCACCACACCCGGCCAAAACCAATCTTTAGAAAGCATTGTGTGTCTCACTGTCATTCATGTGAATATTAAGGGCCATGTCCTGTATAACAGTAACAAATCCAAGTTGGCCAGGCACAGTGGCTCACGCCTGTAATCCCAGCACTTTGGGAGGCTGAGGCAGGCGGATCACCTGAGGTCAGGAGTTCGAGACCATCCTGATCAACATGGAGAAACCCCGTCTCTACTAAAAATACAAAATTAGCTGGACATGGTGACGCATGCCTGTAATCCCAGCTACGCTGTAATCCCAGCTGCTTGGGAGGCAGGAGAATCACTTGAACCTGGGAGGCGGAGGTTGCAGTGAGCCAAGATCGCGCCACTGCCCTCCAGCCTGGGCAACAAGAGTGAAACTCCATCTCAAAAAAAGAGAAGAAAAGAAAACAGCCTGGCCAACATGGTGAAACCTTGAAAGAAAACAGCCTGGCCAACATGGTGAAACCCTGTCTCTAAAAAAAAAGTTTATAAATCAGCTGGGCACAGTGGTGCACGCTTGTGGTCTGAGCTCCTCAGAAAAGGGGAGGATCACTCTAGCCCGGGAGGTTGAGGCTGCAGTGAGCCATGCACTGCAGTCCAGCCTGGGTGACAGAACAAGACCCTGTCTTTACAAGAAATTTTTTTGAGAAAAGGATTTCTTTGAGAAAGCCACTATCGAGCTTACAGAGAAAGTTGTGCTGGAGGCCTGGCCTTTCATCTTTGATGTCTAGTTGACCCCCACTATTTTCCATGACAGCAGCTGAAGGTCAACTCTTAGGAGCTCAAGTAGCTGCTGTTACCTGGGAAGGTAATTGATGCGTTGAATTCCCAGCGTTGCTTCACCCGGTTGTCTTTCTCCTCACAGCCTTGAGGGCGTCGTTAACAAGGTGTGTGTCCTTGGTTCTGTCAGCTTCAACAAGAGAAGAATTATTAATTCATATTTTCAATTATTTTTCCACAGAAAAGATTCAAGTTCAGCTGTGCTTCAAGACGTGTTCTCCTGAAAGCCAGCAGATTTATGGGTAATTGTATTTGTTATCTAATGGTGCATGACCAATTACAACAAAACGTAGTGGGCTTAAAACAACAAATATTTGCTGTCTCAGCTTTTGTGGGTCAACATTATGGGAGTGGTTGGGCTGGGTGGTTCTGACTCCTGAGGTTGAAGAGAATTTGTCAGCCAGGGTGGCAGTCATCTGAAGGCCCAAGTGAGGCTGGAGGCCCTGCTCCTCACCATAGGGACCCCTCCTTGGGCCCACTTGAGCATCCTTCACATGACAGCCATGGGACAGAGAGAGAACAAGAGGGAAGCTGCCAGCAGCAGAATTCAGGTTCTTCTCAACCACAGCCAGGCCATAAAGCAAGAGTCCATTATTTTATTTTTTGAGATGGAGTCTGTGTGTGGCCCAGGCTGGAGTACAGCGGCATGATCTCAGCTCACTGCAAACTCTACCTTCCGGGTTCAAGCAATTCTCCTGTCTCAGCCCCCTGAGTAGCTGGGATTACAGGCATGTACCACCACACCGAGCTGATTTTTGTATTTGCAGTAGAGATAGGGTTTTATCATGGTGGCCAGGCTGAGTCTCAAACTTCTGACCTCAAATGATCCTCCTGTCTCGGGTCTCCCGAGTGCTGGGATTACAGGCAAGAGCCACTGTGCCCAGCCTTGTTATTGGTTTGTAATTACATCCCACTATGGTCAAAGAACATACTTTGTATCATTTCAGTCCTTTCACGGCTGGATACAGTGGCTCATACCTGTAATTCCAGCACTTTGGGAGGCCAAGGCAGGCAGATCATTTGTAATTCCAGCACTTTGGGAGGCCAAGGCAGGCAGATCATTTGAGGTCAGGAGTTCGAGACCAGCCTGGCCAACATGGTGAAACCCCATCTCTACTAAAAATACAAAAATTAGTCAGGCATGGTGGTACATGCATGTAATCCAAGCTATTCGGGAGGCAGAGGTTGCAGTGAGCCAAGATTGTGCCACTGCACTCCAGCCTAGGTGACAAACAAAAACCAAATCAAAAACAGAGAAATTTGGGAAACTCAGAAATACGTAGAAATTAAAGAACACACTTATAAGAAACCAGTGAGTCAGACTGGGCATGGTGGCTCACGCCTGTAATCTCAACACTCTGGGAGGCAGAGGCAGGAGGATCACTTGAGCCCAGGAGTTTGAAACCAGTTGGGGCAACAGAGCATGACCCTGTGTGTAATTTAAAACAAACAAAACAATGAGCCAAAGAAGATAATTATAAAATACTTTGAAATAAAACTTATGGGATGCACTGAAAGCCGTGCTTAGAGGGAAATCTATAGCTAAAAACACTTCTATTAAAAAGGAAGAAGCCTGGGCAACATGGTGAGACCTCGTCTCTGCCAAAAACTCAGCCAGTCATGGTAGCATGTGCTGGTAGTATCGCTTGAACCTGGGAGATTGAGGCTGCAGTGAAGCATGATTGTACCACTGCACTCCAGCCTGGGAGACAGAGCAAGATCCCATCTCTAAATGAATAAACAGGGCCAAGCATGGTGGCTCACACCTGTAATCCTAGCATTTTGGGTGGCTAGGGTGGGAGGATCGCTTGAGCCCAGGAGTTCCATACTAGCATGGGCAAGACCTCATCTCCACAAAAAATAGAAAAACTAAAAAAAAAAGAACTAAAAGTCTGGGCGTGGTGGCTCACACCTGTAATCCCAGCACACTGGGAGACCGAGGGAGGTAGATCACGAGACCACGGGTTCAAGACCAGCCTGACCAACATGGTGAAACCCCATCTCTACTAAAGATAGAAAAATTAGCCAGGCGTGGTGGTGGGAGCCTGTAGCAGGAGAATTGCTTGAACCCAGGAGGTGGAGGTTGCAGTGAGTCGAGATTGCGCCACTGCACTCCAGCCTGGGCGACAGAGCAAGACTCATCTCAAAAAAAAAAAAAAAAAAAAAAAAAAAACTGAAGCAGAAGGAAGGAAATAAATAATAAATGAAACCAAAAGTTGGTTCTGTATAAGGATCAATAAAATTGACAAATATTTAGCTCTATCTACAGATCAAAAAAATTGAAAAGCAAGAATACTGAAAATACTAAAATCAGGAATAAAGATGAGACCTTACTATGGACCTCATTCTGGCAGAGTCTCATTCTGACACCCAGGCTGGAGTGCAGTGGTGCCATCTCAGCTCACTTGAACCTCACCCTCCTGAGTAGCTGGGACTACATGCACGCACCACCACGCCTGGCTAATTTTTCTATTTTTAGTAGAAACGGGGTTTTCCCATGTTGTCCAGGCTGGTCTCCAACTCCTGGGCTCAATCAGTCCACCTGCCTTGGCCTCCCAAAGTGCTGGCATTACAAGCATGAGCCGCAATGCTTGGCCCCAGCTCATTCTCTAAGACCAGTATCACCCTGATATCAAAACCAAGCAAAGGAATCACAAAGAGAAAACTACAGACCAGTATTTCTTAGGAACGTAGAATACCAGCAAACAGAATCCAGCAACATAAAAAAGGATTATATACCATGACCAAGTAAGATTTATCCCAGGAATGCATCAACATGCAAAACCAATTAATGTAACACAGCAGGCCTGAGACTGCTGCCCTAAGAACAGCCTGTGTGCAAGGTTCACCCTTGGCTGGCATCTGGGAACTTTTTTTTTTTTTTTTTTTTTTTTGAGACGGAGTCTCACTCTGTCGCCCAGGCTGGAGTGCAGTGGTGTGATCTTGGCTCACTGCAAGATCACTGTGAGTGATCCCAGGTAGCTGGGATTAGAAGTGCGCACCACCACGCTCAGCTAATTTTTGTATTTTTAGTGGAGACGGGGTTTCGCTATGTTGGCTAGGCTGGTCACGAACTCCCGACCTCAAGTGATCCACCCGCCTCGGACTCCTAAAGTGCTGGGATTACAGGCATGAGCCACCACGCCCAGCTGGCATCTGGGAACTTGACTGGTAAAGAGCTCCTATGTGGATACAATACTATCCCCAAATAACAACTGCTCACTCTTTTCTATACAAATCATGTGATATTTGCTGAACACTTGCTTTTCTTCTGAGCCTGGCATTTCGGTGACCATATTCAGTCACGCAGGCACAACGTACCTACATGAGCAACCCCCAGTGAAAACCCTGGACTCCTGGGCTCAGGCAGGCTTCCCTGGTAGAGAACACTTTGCACATGTCACAGCTCGAGGCTGGAGGATTCAGCACATTCTGCGGGAGGGGACCCCAGGGGAGGGGACTCTGGGGGCTTGTACCTGGTTTCCTCCGGCCCTCACCCCAAATGCATCTTCCTGTTACTAATTCTGCGTCGCATCTTTTCACCGTAGTAAATCCCAGCCACTAGTATGATGGTAGGCTAAGTCCTGTGAGTCCCTCAAGTGCAGTCACCAAGCCTAGTGTGTGATGGGGATGCCTGCATACCAGATCAGTAGAGAAAAGGACAAAAACCGTGTGATCACTGAATAGACACAAAACATTTGACAACCTCCAACACGCTTTCATGATAAAAACATTCAACAAACTAGGAATAAAAGGAGTTTCTTCAGCCTGATCAAGAGCATCCGTGAAAACCCCCACAAGCAGGCCAGGCGCGGGGGTTCACGCCTGTAATCCCAGTACTTTGGGAGGCCGAGGTGGGCGGATGACCTGAGGTCAGGCGTTCGAGACCAGCCTGGCCAACATAGTGAAACTCTGTCTCTACTCAAAATACAAAAAATTAGCCAGGCGTGGTGGCGAGCACCCGTAATCCCAGCTACTTGGAAGGCTGAGGCAGGAGAATCACTTGAACCCGGGAGGTGGAGGTTGCAGTGAGCCAAGATCACGACATTGCACTCCAGCCTGGGCAACATAGTGAGATCCCGTCTCTACAAAAAAATTTAAAAATTAGCTGTGTGTGGTGGTACATGCCCAGCTACTTCGGAGGCTGAGATGGAAGTGTCACCTGAGCCTGGGAGGTTGAGGCTGCAGTGAGCTGTGATCATGCATCTACACTCCAGCCCAGCGGACGGAGAGAGAACCTGTCTCAGAAATAAAAGTAGAGCACGACAGCTCCCACCTGTCATCCCAGCACTCTGGGAGGCTGAGGCGGGCGGATCACCTGAGGTCAGGAATTCCAGACCAGCCTGGGGAACATGGAGAAACTCCGTCTCTACTAAAAATACAATAGCCAGGCTTGGCTACAGGTACAGCGCACCTGTAATCCCAGCTACTTGGGAGGCTGAGGCAGGAGAATCGCTTGAAACTGGGAGGTGGAGGTTGTGGTGAGCCGAGATTGTGCCATTGCACTCCATCCAGCCTGGGTGACAAGAGTGAAACTCCATCTCAAAAAAAAAAAAAAAAAGATCACATACAATTATGTATAGTACCTAATATTTGATAATGATAATAAATATGTTATTAGATTATTTACTATACTTTTTATCATTACTTTAGAATATACTCCTACTTATTTAAAAAGTCAACTGTAGGCCAGCCACAGCATTGGCTCACACCTATAATCCCAGCACTTTGGTAGGCTGAGGCAGGCAGATCCCCTGAGGTCAGGAGTTCCAGACCAGCTTGGGAAACATGGTGAAACCCCGTCTCTACTAAAAATACAAAAATTAGCTAGGCATGGTGGCGCCAGCCTGTAATCCCAGCTACTTGGGAGGCTGAGGCGTGAGAATCGCTTAACCTGGGAGGTGGAGGTTGCAGTGAGCTGAGATGGTGCCACTGCCCTCCAGCCTGGGCAACAGAGTGAGACTCTGTATCAAAAAAAAAAAAAAATTTTTTTTAACTGTAAAACGGCCTCAGGCAGGTCCTTCAAGACTTTTTGGAGGTATCCAAAAGAAGGCACTGTCGTCATAGGAGATGACAGCTCTAAATGTATTATTGTCCCTGAAGACCTTCCAGTGGGACAAGATGTGGAGGTCGAAGATGGTGACATGGATGACCCTGACCCTGTGCAGGCCTAGGATAGTGTGTGTCTTAGTTTTTAAGCAAAAAATTCAAATCCTTGGCCGGGCATGGTGGCTCACACCTGTAATCCCAGCACTTTGGGAGGCTGAGGTGGGTGGATCACTTGAGGTCAGGAGTTCAAAACCAGCCTGGCCAACGTGAAGAAACTCCATCTCTACTACTAAAAATACAAAAATTAGCCAGGTACAGTGGCTCACGCCTGTAATCCCAGCACTTTGGGAGGCCGAGGCAGGCGGATCACGAGGTCAGGAGATCAAGACCGTCCGGGCTAACACGGTAAAATCCCGTCTCTACTAAAAATACAAAAATCAGCTGGGCGTGGTGGCGTGTGCCTGTAATCCCAGCTACTCGGGAGGCTGGGGTAGGAGAATTGCTTGAACCAGGGAGTTGGAGGTTGCAGTGAGCCGACATTCATGCCACTGCATTCCAGCCTGGTGGCAGAGCGAGACTCCATCTCAAAAAAAAAAAAAAAAAAAAATTAGCCAGGCATGGTGGCACACACCTGTAATCCCAGCTACTTGGGAAGCTGAGGCTGCAGTGCACTGAGATCGTGGCAGTGCACCGAGATCGTGCCACTGCTCTCCAGCCTGGAAGACTACATCTCAAAAAAAAAAAAAAAAATACTGTCTCAAAAAATTAAAGTCCAACTTAAAAATTTTAAAATCCTTAAAAATAAAAGCTTATAGAGGCCGGGTGCGGTGGCTCATGCCTGTAATCCCAGCACTTTGGGAGGCCAAGGTGGGCAGATCATGAGATCAGGAGATCAAGACCATCCTGGCTAACATGGTGAAATCCCATCTCTACTAAAAATACAAAAAATTAGCCGAGCGTGGTGGCAGGTGCCTGTAGTCCCAGTTACTCGGGAGGCTGAGGCAGGAGAATGGCGTGAACCCGGGAGGCAGAGCTTGCAGTGAGCCGAGATTGCGACACTGCACTCCAGCCTGGGCAACAGAGCGAGACTCCATGTCAAAAAATAAATAAATAAAAGCTTGTAGAATGAGGTTCTAAAGAAAATATTTTTGTACAGCTGTACAATGTATTTGTGTTTTAAACTGAGTGTAATTAAAAAAAGCAAAAAGTTTAAACATCAAGTTACAGTAAGCTTAGGTTAATTTATTACTGAAGAAAGTGTTTAAAAATGAGTGTAGCCTGAGTGTTGAGTGTTGTATACTAAGTGTGCAGGACATACACTAATGCTTTAGGCCTCCACGTTCACTCACCCACCCACAGCAACTTCCCACCCTGCAAGCTCCATTCATAATTCATGCCCTGTATAGGTGGGCTGTACTTTTTTTTTTTTTTTTTTTTTTTGAGATGGAGTCTCGTTCTGTCCCCCAGGCTGGACTGCAGTGGTGAGATCTCGGCTCACTGCAACCTCCGCCTCCCAGGTTCAAGCGATTCTCCTCCCTCAGCCCCCTGAGTAGCTCGGATTACAGGCGTGTGTCACCACACCTGGCTAATTTTTTGTATTTTTAGTAGAGATGGGGTTTCACCATGTTGGCCAGGCTGGTCTCGTACTCTTGACCTCAGGTGATCCACCTGCCTCAGCCTCCCAAAGTGCTGGGATTATAGGAGTGAGCCACTGTGCCTGGCCCAGAATTCTTACAACAATGAAAAGACAACCCAATTAACAAATGGCCAAAGGACCTGAATATATAGTTTCCCACAGAAGATTTGATTTCTGCCATGAATTCAAAGATATACAAATGGCCGATAGGGATAGATTCTCAACTTCATCAGTCTCAGGGAAATGCAAATCAAGACCACTGTGACAGACCACTTCACACCCACTGGGATGGCTATTTAAAAAGACAGCTAACAAGTGTTGGTGACGACATGGAGAAACTGGAACCCTCATACTCTCTTGGCGACGATGCAAAATGGCCCAGCCACTTTGGAAAACACTCTGGGAGTTCTTAATGTTCAACATAGAGGTACCCTATGACCCAGCAATTCCACTCCTAGGTATGTACCCAGGAGAACTGAAAACACATGTCCACACAGAAGTATACACAAATGTTCATATCAACATTATTCCTAATAGGCAAAAATTGAAAGCCCAAAATGTCCATCAATGAATGAAATACAGTCTATTTATACGATGAAATATTGTCCATAAAAAGGAACGAAGTACTGACGCATGCTACAATGAGGATGCACCTTGAAAACACCATCTTAAAGAAGCCAGTCACAAAGCACACAGAGTGTATGTAATTCTGTTCTTACGAAATGCCCAGAATAGGCACATTTAGAGAGACAGAAAGATTAGTGGCTGCCTGGGGCAAGGGAAGCTGAGGAGTGACACTAAGGATTTGGGGTTTCTTTTGGTGGGAGGTGAAATGTTCTAAATGTGATTGCAGTGATGGTTGTACAACTCTGAATTGTACACTTAACGGATTTTATGGGATGTGAATTATAGCTCAGTAGAGCTCTTAAAAAGCAAAAATCCCAGCCAGGTACAGTGGCTCACGCCAGTCATGCCAGCACTTTGGGAGGCTGAGGAAGGTGGATCACCTGAGTTCAGGAGTTTGAGACCAGCCTGGCCAACATGGTGAAACCCCATCTCTACTAAAAATACAAAAAATTAGCTGGGCGTGGTGGCACGCACCTATAATCCCAGCTACTCATGAGGCTGAGGCAGGAGAATCGCTTGAACCTGGGAGGTAGAGGTTGCAGTGAGCAGAGATTGCGCCATTGCACTCCAGCTTGGGCAACAAGAGCAAAACTCTTATCTCAAAAAAAAAAAAAAAAAAATCCCTTACAGTACTAAAACAGAACCTGATCACATGAGTTCAGGAGTTCGAGACCAGCTTGAGCAACACAGGGAGAACCCCATCTCTACAAAAAAAAATTTTTTTTTTAATTAGCCAGATGTGGTGGTGTGCACCTGTGGTCCCAGCTACTTGGGAGGCTGAGGTGGGAGGATCACTGGAGCCCAGGAGGTGGAGGCTGCAGTGAGCTCTGATGGCACCACTGCACTCCAGCCTGGGTGACAGAGTGACACCATATCTCAAAAAAGAAAATTAATTAAAGGAGAACTTTGTGTTTCTTGATGAAGAACCTTGAGGCTTGGGTGTGATGGCCTGTGGCTTCTAGGGCACGAATTGAAACTTTTTGGAAGTGTTGGGTGGTTCTCCCCCAAACATGCTGGTGTGGGAAGCAGGGAATTCCCCAGGTGTGTGTCACGAAGCAACCTCATGTTGTAAAGGAATTGATACGGATGGATGGATGTGTGTGTAAAAATGATCAGCCAGGTGAGGTGGCTCATGCCTGTAATCCCAGCACTTTGGTAGGCGGAGGTGGGTGGATCACCTGAGGTCAGGAGATCGAGACCATCCTGGCCAACATGGTGAAACCCCGTCTCTAATAAAATACAAAAAAAAAATTAGCTGAGCATGATGGCATGCACCTGTAGTCCCAGCTACTCAGGAGGCTGAGGTGGGAGAATCACTTGAACCCAGGAGGCGGGGGGTGCAGTGAGCCGAGATCGCACCACTGCACTCCAGCCTGGGTGACAGAGCAAGATTCCGTCTCAAAAATAAATGTTCTAGACTGTGGCATCCCCAGGAAAAAGGATTCCAGGAATCCTGAACTTTCTGTGTTATCTATTTCCACCATGTTTTGATGTGTGCAATGAACATGTGTCTCTTTGTAATTAGGGACATCAAAGACGTCAGACTGGATGGCGAGTCCCAGTGAGGCGATGTGGGCAGAGGAGCTCCGAGCCGCCCACCCAAGGTGGCTTCACATCCACACAGGCACTTCCCATCCACCTAGGTTTGGCTTAGCAGAAACTTCTTTTCATTCTTCCAAAGCATCGATGGTCTTCGCGTCTCCTCAGGAGGTCTCCCAGGAGGAATTCTTGGATGGTGTCCTCATGTCGGCGGAGAACAGTGCTCAGAGCTGGCGCTTGCAGACGCAGCTGTCGTGGGGCAGGGCGGTGGCGCCTTCCTGACCTTTGGAAGACATGACAAAGCTGCCTGGACACGGACGCCCCTGCTGTACGGCCACAGCACCCCTGGGTTTGCAGAGCACGCAGCCTTCCTAGGGCTTTCCACCTGGCGAGGCCCCGCTCTGCTCAGCACGGTGCAAAGTGAATGCTGCTGTCTTGGAGCCTGGGCACGTTTGGGGAAGTTCCTGCTTCAAACTGAGCTGCCCCGCATAGGCCAGGTCAACCCACACCAATCTCTTCTGGACAGGTGCTGGGTAGGCCTTCCTGGTCTCTGGCCGCCTGCTGCCAGGGTGTGGCCATCCCCAGCAACCGGAGCTGGCCAAACCAGAGGCCTCGCTCCGCACTCCACACTTTCCTTTCTGTGCTCCTTCCAAGTTAAATTAAACCCCCTCTCCACGATTCCCACGGCAGGCGTCATTCCCGAGATGGGAGCCAGTCCAGGGGTCAGCAGGAGCCAGCGCTGGGCACACGTGCCCTGGCTGAGGCCAGCGGCATCCTGGGTGGCCCAGGTCCATCCTGGGCAGCAAAGGCGTGTCCCCTTCTGTCAGACAGCTTCACAGAGTGTGGCTTCACCAGTCAGAGGGAGCAGTCCGGAGAGGCAAGATGACCCCACCGGGACTGCAGAGCCTCCTCCTTACTAACAAGGACCTGTCCGCAGCCGCGAGGTCCTTCACTCCCACCCTGTAATTGTGGGGGGAGTGCCAGCAACAGGCCTGTCCCCTGGCAAGTTGGCCACGGAACCCACCATGCACTGCAAGGCTGTGACAGCCTGGGCACCCCTGCTTCTCCTCTGCTTGTACGGTTCCCCCAATAAATCCTATTTTCCATCTCACCGTGTGGAGCTGGTACTTGTTCACATCCCTCTTGCAGCAACAGTTGGCCGCCGTGAAACCACACTCCGTCACATCTCCATGCCAGTGCCCAGGGGGAGACCCCTCCCCATGCCTGGGCTGTTACAGTCACCTGGCCCAGACGTAACCTGGACCAAGAGTGGACGGAGACACCTGGGGTTGGGGCCTCTGGAAGGGCTGCTGGGGGGCCAGCTGCAGCCTGTGGCCTCTCCCAGGCCCGGATATGGCAGGACATTTGCGTCGTGTTGCTGGAAGAGGCAGGATGCTCTGTTCTCGCCATTAGCCTGCGTTACGCCTAGACTCATCTGCATAAGCCTGGGCAAGTGGCACCCCTGGGCCAAGGGCAGACTTGCCCACCCGTCCATCCTTTGCCTATGGCAGAGGACACACAACACAGTGGCTGCGCTTTGGGCACTGTTCTCGGCCCTGAAGCATCCTGCCCCGAGGCTGACCTAACTGCCCCCAGCTGGACTCATGGCCAAGGCTACAGACCCAGTACTCCAATCCCGACTCCCACTGTGTGGTCCAAATGTGTACGCCCACAGGAGGCAGCCATGCCCGAGGAAGGTACTTGCTGAAAGATGGTCCAGTTCATGCCGCCACCAGCTGGACCTCTGATCAGGCCCCCTGCAGAAGGGGAAGCTCTCCACATGCCCAAGATACGAGAGAAACGCCCGGGTCACAGCAGCCTGAGTCACTGCAGCCTCTGCTACCTGCCAAGCCTGCGCCCTCCACCTGTGGGCTCCTTGCCTCTGTGATGGGGCCTCCACGGCCAGCATCTTCCCGCCATGGTCACATGATGCCATGCCCTGCTCTGGGCACCCCTAAGCGGGTATGAGGCGAATCAGAGGAAGAATATCGGCTTCTCTTCCCTTTTGGATATTTGCGTCATTGACCGGGACTGGCCCACTCTTCCTCTGCCTCACGCCTGCTTTGACCTTAGAAGACAGACGGCAGCTCGCGTTGCTGGGCTGAGATTCTCCAATGGACGTGAATTTAGATGATGCTGTTGCCTTGGGTGGCTTCATGGCCACCAACCCGCACCCTGGTGGCCACTCAGCCATGACAAGGGCCTGACAGCCACTAAGTGAGCTTCAGAGCCTTCCCCTTGCAAAGTTCCAGGGCCACCAGATGTCGCCTGCCCAGTCACTGTCACAGAGTTAAAGCGTGCGGGTGAACGCTGGCCGCGGAGCGTGCAGCCCGGCAGCAGCTCAGCGGGGCAGCTCCTGCTTCCAGCCCTGCCTCTGCTGGTGCTTCGCCCACAAACCCTGCTGTATGACATTTGCACCACATGGTGTGTGTCCGTGCCCTTTGACATGACAGTGCCAACAACATCTCATGAAATTTAAAATAAATCCCCAAGGCATCAGAAACGTATCAACTAAGAACTCTAAGTTTGAAAATGGGGGTGGGGCAGTGGCCAGTTCCGGGAGCCCCTGGCCCCCCGGGACCTGACCCACAGTCATAAGGTGGGCCCCATTCCCCAGTGGTCCCAGCCTAGCCTCCTGTCCCACCTCCTCTGCCAAGACAGAGTGGCACAGGACCCCTGTCGCTCAGGCCAGCAGGTGTGTCTCTGAGCTGGCCGTGGGCACTGACCGCCCTCCCAGGTCCCCTCCAGTGCCAGCTCTTCTGGCTTCCCCTCCCAGCCCCCTTCGTGAGCGCCTTGATCCAGCCCAACCTTGGAGTGGGGGTTGGTGATTTGGGGGCTGGACCTCAGCCCTCTTCTGCTCTGCCACTTTTGGGGTTCACGGTTTGTCAGCCCTCCCTTCTGCAAATGAGACCTGGACGTCATGTCCAGCTGCCTCCTGGGCCCTGCCCGGCATCTCCCATAAGCACCATGCAGCACAGGTGGCAGAGGGGATTGTCCTCCATCCTCTTGTCTGAGGGAGGAGACCACAAATGAGTGAGACAGTCATCCTCGCTGCCCTGCCTGTCCTGTGTCCCATCAGTCATCAGGGCCTGCCACCTGCCTTTGTCTTTTATTTATTTATTTATTTTTTAAGATGGAGTCTCGCTGTGTCGCCCAGGCTGGAACGCGATGGCGTGATCTCAGCTCACTGCAACCTCCACCTCCCTGGTTCAAGCGATTCACCTGCCTCAGCCTCCCGAGTAGCTGGGACTACAGGCGCACGCCACCATGTCCAGCTAATTTTTGTATTCTTAGTAGAGACCGGGTTTCACTGTGTCGGCCAGGATGGTCTTGATCTATTGACCTCGTAATCCACCCGCCTTGGCCTCCCAAAGTGCTGGGATAACAGGTGTGAGCCATAGAGCCCGGACCATCAATGGCTTTTAGTAAGTTCCTAGGGTTGTGCATCCATCACAACTATCTCATTCCAGAACATTATCATCACCCTGAAAGGCAGCCGCTTCCCCATTAGCATTTCCTCTCCTCTGCCTGTTTTCCTTTATTTTTTTTAGTTTTATTTTTTTTGAGGCAGTCTCACTCTGCTGCCCAAGTTGGAGTTGAGTGGTGTGATCGTGGCTCACTGCAACCTCCACTTCCTGGGTTCAAGCAATTATCTTGCCTCAGCCTACCGAATAGCTGGGATTACAGGTGTGTACTACCACACCCAGCTAATTTTTTAACTTTTAGTAGACGAAGGGTTTCAAAATCTTGGTCAGGCTAGTCTTCAACTCCTGGGCTCAAGCAAACTGCCCCCCTCAACCTCCCAAAGTGCTGGGATGACAGGTGTGAGCCACCATGCCCGGCCCCTCTGTCTGTCTCCTTCCCTCGTGTGCTAAGGAGCTGATGGGGCCCCTTTCTCTAGAGTGTAATGCTGAGAGGATCTGGAGAATCCGGGGAAGGCACTAGGACAGCAAAGGAGACCCTTTCCTGGGTCCCCGTATTCATAAACATTCCCATCCCTCAGCCCCTCACTCACGCAGGGCACTGCCACTGGCAGGTGTGGCCACATCAGTCTCCAAGCCTGTCATCCCTCAGCCCCTCACACATGCAGGGCACGCCCACTGGCAGGTGTGACCACAGCAGTCTCCAAGCCTGTCATCCCTCAGCCCGGCACTCACGCAGGGCACAGCCACTGGCAGGCGTGCACAGCAGTCTCCAAGCCTGTCTCCCGCCTGCATTGTCCCTCTGCCAAACCCGGCCCCATCACAGCTCAGCGAGAACAGGATGAGCTCAGCGCACACGCCAGCTCACACACCTGCCCAGGCACACTTTCCCCGGCCTCCTTTTTGAAACAGTCTCACTCTGTCACCCAGGCTGGAGTGCAGTGATGCCACCTTGGCTCACTGCAGCCTTTAACTCCTGAGCTCAAGCAATCCTCCCACCTCAGCTTCCCAAATAGCTGGGACCACAGGTGTGCACCAGCACACCCAGCTAGTTTTTTAATTTTTTTTTTTTTTTTTTTTGAAGCAGAGTTTCACTCTTGCTGCCCAGGCTAGAGTGTGGTGGTGTGATCTCGGCTCACTGCAACCTCCACCTCCCAGGTTCAAGCGATTCTCCTGCCTCAGCCTTCCAAGTAGATGGGATTACAGGCATGTGCCGCCACCACCCCCGGCTAATTTTGTAGTTTTTTTTTTTTTTTTTTTTTTTTTTTTTTTTATAGAGACAGGGTTTCACCATGTTGGTCAGGCTGGTCTCGAACTCCTGACCTCAGGTGATCCGCCCGCCTCGACCTCACAAAGTGCTGGGATAACAGGTATGAGCCATGGCCTAATTTTTTAATTTTTTGTGGAGACAGAGTATGTTGCCCTGGCTGGTTTCAAACTCCTGAGCTCAAAAGATCCACCGCCTCAGCCTCCCAAAATGGTGGGATTACAGGTGTGAGCCACCGCTCCTGGCTCTAAAAGTGGAAATCGAAGCGCATAACACCTGCCCCAGGTGTACTCGCCCTGTTTTTCCCATCAGGTGCGACTACCTGGTTCAAGGACCAGAAGCCAGACGTACCCAAGGGGGTTCTCAGGAGACAGAGGGTATGAGAGTCCCTGGCCTCAGGCTGCTAGCACCAGCCACGGTTGCCTCCAGATACCCGTTCCACCGGCCCTCCAGCCACCTGCTCTGCTTCCCGGCCTGCGTGGCCAACAGAACACATCCGGCTGCCGAGGAAGGAGGCCAATCACCCCCTTCCCCATACTGAAGCCCCAGAGGAATGGGCCCAGCTGGAGGCACTTAACCGTAGCCGGGGCCATTTTGTGCACAGGGCCTACCAGGCCCCCACTGACGAGGAGGGTGTTGGACCTGAGCGGGCTATCACTGCAGCCTTTGGGGGTCCACAACCTGCCTAATGAGCCTCGCCCCTCACCACCCCCCATCCTGCCAGCCCCTCTGCGCTCCAGCACACAATTGCTGCAGAACAAATCACTAGTAATTTATCATCTCGAAACAACACCCACTTACCTCATGGCTTCTGTGTGGCAGGAGTCCGGGGAGGGGACTGCTGAACCTCTGCTCAGGGTCTCACAGGCTGCACTCAAGGTGTCAGCCAGGGCTGGGATCTCAACCGAGGCGCGAGGTCCCCTCCTGAGCGCATGTCGTTGTGTGCATAATCTTTCTCGCAGCTGTGGAGCCGATGGCCATATGCTTCTTTGGCATCAGGAGGGGGCGGCTCTGTGGCTTCCAGCCTCTTAAAGGGTGCACCTGAGCTAGCCAGGCTCGGCCAGATCAACCTCCCTTCTGATGAACGCCAAGTCACCTGATTAGAAACCCCGGTCACACCTGCAGAAATCCCGCCACTGCAACACCACGGGAGAAGTAGAAAGAAAAAAAGTAAAAAGTCCTTCCACCGGTGCCACACAGAACAATCACAGGAGAGGTGGCCCATACTCCAGGGAGGGGGTCATGGAGCACAGAGACACCGAGGGGGGATCCTGGGGCCACCTCAGAATCCCGCCGGCCACAGCTCCCAGCCCACCCCTCACTAATCACCAAACTCCCTCCCTGACCTGGGAGGCGGTGTTGGGGGCCCTCCTGTGGAAGTGCCTTGGCTCGGAGGGACCCCACTGGGCTGTGCCCTGCCAGCCATGTGGTTCCAGACAAGTCCCTGTGGGCCCCACCCTCCCCCGTACTGCCCAGTCTAAGGCAGGAAGCCTCGGGGGCTGTGTGGGGTGCCCAAATGGCCCTTCCTGGGGTCCTGAGAAGAGGCCTGCCTGGACCTCACAGATCTGCTGGGGAGGCGGGGGTCGTGGGAAGGCCCCGGGGGGCAGGCCAGGGACCAAGCCGTGTCCCCCGTGAGGCCCGAGGACAGCATGGGATGCCAGGACCCAGAGGCCCCCACCTGCTCGGTGCTGCCCAGCCCTCTCCTCACCTGTTCCGGCCCCCACCAGCCCCTGGCTTGCCTCCGAGGTGCCCATCCACCCCTGCGGGGGGGTGGGGGTGCCGCGCAGCAGGGAGGAGCGGCCTCTACTGTCTCCCTCGGTGTCTCCCGGAAAGATCCCAAGCCCCAGGCCGGGGAGGGGCCGCTTCTGCCCAGTCCCTCCCTCCTCCACGCCTGACACCTGTGGGGCCAGTGCAGGAGCCCCACCTGTGTCTACACCGCCCTCCCCTCCTGGATTCCCTGTCACTCCGGCAACAGGAACAGTTGTTCTGAGCACTTGTCATGTTCGAGGCAAATACTCCTCCTTTCTGTGAAGCAATGTGGGGTGGGGGTCCTCCTTCTATCCAAAGCTGAGGGCCCTTCTAGTGCCCGTCAAGCCCTCGAGGTGGGGATGGCGGGGTAGGCAGCTAGGAGGGACTAGGCCCCCCTGAGGGGGGCTTCCAGTCACCCCTCATTCAGACTGAGTGGAGACCAGCTGCGGCCTTCCTGGGGACAGGACACCCCCAGCCCTGCCAGCGAGTGAGCCCTCACCGGGCCTGCAGGCCTGAGGCAGGGGGAGCCGGGGAGCGGGGTGAGCCGCTGAAAGTCCGGGGGGTGGGCACTGCTTTTTAGACAGCAGCAGGTCAAAGTCAGGAGGGTGAGGGTGGCCAGGACTCTGAGGGCAATGAGGGTCCCCGGGACATGCGAAGCCCCGCATCTGCCATGGTGCTGGGGGAGGGGCCCGTGGAGGAGGGGGTGGGCGGGGTCGAGCAGGTGGCTCACCTCCTTGTTCCGCCTTCCAGGAACCAGGTCATGGTCGTCCTCACTTGCTGGGAAGGGCGGGACTGGCTCTGCTCGCCCCCACACCAGCCCCCAGACCAGCTAAGGCTCTTGGTCTCTCACCTTCCAGGGGTCCCGTGCCCCCCCACCCTACTCAGGCCATGCACCACTGACCGGGCCTGGCCCTACCTGTGGACAGCCTCCCTCCCCAGGGTGCAGGAAGGGGCCTCTCTCCATGGAAAGTGAAGCCTCAACCTGAGCAGGAGGAACAGGAAGAAAGGGCTTGGCTCACCCGCCCCCAGCCCCTGGAGCTGCCCGTGTGGGCCCCTTCCTGCCCCTGTGCAACAACACAGTGAGCTGTTCGGACAGACAGGCAGACAGACAGACAGACAGACTCCTGCATTCAGAAAGAGCCCCAGCCCAGCCAGGGCAGGGCAGCTTCCAGCAACTCTTGCAGACATTTTGGAGGCCAAGGCCGCTAGCGCCCCAGCAGCCATTCCGAGCCGACTGGCCTGGGGCCCAAATGAAGCCAGCCAGCCCTGGGCACTCCCGGGCCCTGCCAGCCTTGGGGTCCTCATCTGAGAAGGGCGGGTCCTGCAGGCCAAGCCACTGGGGTGACAGCCAGTCATCCAGCATCCCCATGGGAAAACCCCTTCAAATCCACCCAGGAGCTCAAGGGCTGAGTTGAACTCTGAGTTTCCAAATCAGGGCCCCTCCCTGGCTCTGCCCACGCTGGTGACCAGAGCATCTAGGACAAGCCGGCAGCAAGTGACCCCATCCCACCGAAATAAGCCTGGCTTTGGTCATCTCGCCCCCTGCTGTGTCCCACTGTCACCCATTCCTCAGGTGGTGGGGGAGGCGCAGAGGAACCAGGCAGCTAAGGAGGCAATGGCGGGCGGGGCAGACAGCAGGCTGGAGGGGTAGAGATCAAGGAATGCTTCTCAGAGGAGGCAGCTCTGAGCTCCGCAGCACAAATTTATTAAGTGAAGATGTAGGGAGAAGCACATCAGGCTGAGGGAACCGCAGTACAGCAGCCCAGAGCGGAGAAAGGACCGGACCTGGAAAACCAGGAGGAGATCATGCTGGGGTGTGGGGAATGTGGTGGGGGTGAGGTCACGGAGGGAGGCATGAGCCAGCCCAGGCAGCACCTTGAAGTGTTCTGAGAGCTTCCAGAGCATTCTTTTTTTTTTTTGCCCCTGCTCCCTCACCCAGCCTGGAGTGCAGTGGCGCGATCTTGGCTCACTGAAACCTCCGCCTCCCAGGGTCAAGGGATTCTTTTGCCTCAGCCTCTTAAGTAGATGGGATTACAGGCGTGTGTCACCACGTCTAGCTAATTTTCGCATTTTTAGTAGAGATGGTGTTTCACCATGTTGGCCAGGCTGGTCTCGAACTCCTGACCTCAAGTGATCCACCCACCTCGGCCTCCCAAAGTGCTGGGGTTACAGGCGTGAGCACCTGAGCCTGGCCAGTTTCCAGAGGATTCTTATCGGACCAGAGACACAATCTGATTTAATGTTTAATGACTCTCCAGTCATGTATCTGATAGTTCAGTGTTTAATTACCAGAGAAAAGACTGGTTGCTGGCAAGGATGGCAAAGGGTGAGTGTGAGGAGTTAGACGTCAATCGGGTGAGCAGTTGTCCAGGCAAGAGCAGGAGGTTCCAGCCAGGGTGTAAAAGAGACCAGAGATTGTTAAGAGATGTTACACGTTAAGTTGTGTCCTCTAAAATTTACATGTTGAGGCCAGGTGCAGTGGCTCACGCCTGTAATGCCAGCACTTTGGGAGGCCAAGGCAAGTGGATGACTTGAGGTTGGGAGTTCGAGACCAGCCTGGCCAACATGGCGAAACCCCGTCTCTACTAAAAATACAAAAACTAGCCGGATGTGGTGGCGGGTACCTGTGATCCCACCTTCTCGGGAGGCTGAGGCAGGAGAATCACTTGAACCCAGGAGGCGGAGGTTGTAGTGAGCCCAGATGGCACCATTGCCCTTCAGCCCGGGTGACAGAGCGAGAATCTGTCTCAAAAATATATATATACGTAAAAATAAATAAATAAAATTCACATGTGGAGGCCAGGCGTGGTGGCTCACGCCTGTAATCCCAGCACTTTGGGAGGCTGAGGCAGGCGGATCGCTTGAGCCCAGCAGTTCAAGACCAGCCTGGGCAACATAGCGAAACCCCATTTAAAATAAAAAAATAGGGGCCGGGCACAGTGGCTCAAGCCTGTAATCCCAGCACTTTGGGAGGACGAGGTGGGTGGATCACAAGGTCAGGAGTTTGAGACCAGCCTGCCCAACATAGTGAAACACCATCTCTACTAAAACTACAAAAAATTAGCTGGGCGTGGTGGTAGATGCCTGTGATCCCAGAAACTTTGGAGGCTGAGGCACGATAACCGCTTGAACCCGGGAGGCGGAGGTTGCAGTGAGCCCAGATCACACCACTGCGCTCCAGCCTGGGCCATAGTGCAAGACTCCGTCTCAAAAATAAATTAATTAATTGAATAAAATAAAAAAATAAGGCCAGGCGTGGTGGCTCATGCCTGTAATCCCAGAACTCTGGGAGGCTGAGGTGGGTGGATCACCTGAGGTCAGGAGTTCGAGACCGGCCTGGCCAATATGGTAAAACCCTATCTCTACTAAAAATACAGAAAAGTAGCCGGGCGTGGTGGTAGACGCCTGTAATTCCAGCTACTCAGGAGACTGAGGCAGGAGAATCTCTTGAACCCAAGAGGTAGAGGTTGCAGTGAGCGAAGATCACGCCATTGCACTCCAGACTGGCCAACAAGAGCGAAATTCCGTCTCAAAAATAAATAAATAAGCTGGCCGGGCGCGGTGGCTCACACCTGTAATCCCAGCACTTTGGGAGGCCGAGGCAGGTGGATCACAAGGTCAGGAGTTCAAGACCAGCCTGGCCAAGATGGTGAAACCCTGTCCCTACTAAATATACAAAAATTAGCCGGGTGTGGTGGCACATGTCTGTAATCCCAGCTACTCGGGAGGCTGAGGCTGAGGCAGAGAAGTGTTTGAACCTGGGAGGCGGAGGTCGCAGTGAGCCGAGATCATGCCACTGCATTCCAGCCTGGGCGACAGAGCGATTCTACATCTCAAAAAAAAAAAAAAAAAAAATTAGCTGAATGTGGCAGCACGCCCCTGTGGTCCTGGCTACTTGGAAGGCTGAGGTGAGAGAATTGCTTGAGGCCAGGAGACTGAGGCTGCAGTGAGCCATGATCACACCACTGCATTCCAGCCTGGGCGACAGAGCAAGACCCTATCTCAAAATAAAAAAAAAAGAAAAGAAATAAAAGGTGACAGGGCAGGGGTGGAATTTGGACACAGAGCTGCACACATGAAGAACACCGTGTGAAGATGAAGGCAGTGAGAGTGAGGCTTCCACAACCAAGGAAGGCAACACAGAAGAAAAGAGTGGGATGGGCAAGGGAGGAGGGACTGGGCCAGGTGCCGTACCCGGCAAGCCCGCGGTCTTGGTGACTTAACCCACAGATGTTTGTTTTTCAGTCATTCAGAGATTTGTGCCGAGACTTCCGGTTGGCAGGCACCTTCCACCAGGTCACTCGGGGATCCAGCTCCCTCCACCCTCCCCAAGGTATCCCCTCCGCTCAGTTGGTGAATGGAGAAGAGAGAAGCTGAGGCTGTGGCAGGCCAGACCTGGCAGGGACTTTCCAGGGATCCTGTGAAAGTGTTCTAGCCCGATATGGTGTGGCTCACACCTGTCATCCTAGCACTTTGGGAGGCCAAGGTGGTGGATCACTCGAGCTCAGGAGTTCCAGACCATCCTGGGCAACATCGGTAGACTCTGTCTCTATTTATTTGTTTGTTTATTTTTATTTTTGTTTTTTTGACATGGAGTTTCAGTCGTCACCCAGGGTAGAATGCAATGGTGCCATCTCGGCTCACTGCAACCTCTGCCTGCCGGGTTCAAAAGATTCTCCTGCCTCAGCCTCCCGAGTAGCTGGGATTACAGGCATGCACCACCATACCCAGCTGTTTGTATTTTTAGTAGAGACGGGGTTTCACCATGTTGGCCAGGCTGGTCTCAAACTCCTGACCTCATGATCTGCCCACCTCGGCCTCCCAAAGTGCTGGGATTACAGGTGTGAGCCACTGCACCCAACCAAGAATGAACCAACCAACCAACCTACCTACCTACCTACCTACCTTCCTTCCTTCCTTCCTTCCTTCCTTCCTTCCTTCCATCTTTGAGACGGAGTTTCGCTCTTGTTGCCCAGGCTGGAGTGCAGTGGCACGATCTCGGCTCACCGCAACCTCTGCCTCCTGGGTTCAAGCGATTCTCATGCCTCAGCCTCTTAAGTAGCTGGGATTACAGGCATGAGCCCCCACGTCCGGCTAATTTTGTATTTTCAGTAGAGATGCGGTTTCTCCATGTTGGTCAGGCTGGTCTTGAACTCCCAACCTTAGGTGATCCGCCTGCCTCAGCCTCCCAAAGTGCTGGGATTACGGGCGTGAGCCGCCGTGCCCGGCCCAAGAGCCACATTTCTAACAAGCTCCCCGGTAATAATGGCGCTGGTCCAGGCTCCGAACTTTGAGTACTGAGAGATGCCACTCCTGCTATTCCCCCGCTAGCCACACCTCATGTAGGGGAAGTGGGGAAATGAGTCTAGTGTTTGTGCAGGAGCTGGAGGAACTGGGATCAGTAAACACAGGTAGGGAGTGCAGCTAGGAAGCAGGCAGGAGGAACACAGCTGTCCCAGGAAGGGGGACAGGACAAAGTATCATTGCTGCTGAGGATGGGTGAGGTCACAACTGGGACTTGCAGCCCCTCAGCAGGGGCCTCTTTCTGAACCCCTGGGAAGGCCCCGAAAGATCCCCCAGGGCTGCTCTCAGGGTCTCAGAGGGGCCCACGAACCCCTACCCCACCCATTCCTCATCCAGCTGTCACCCAGGAGAGGTGGTCCACTGACCCACCGCCCTCCTGAAGACAGAGTGTGGAGGTGAGGCCTGGCCTGGTTCATCTCTCCCAGGGCCTCCCCAGCGGCCTCCAGGGGGACCCCCTGCCCACAGATTTCTGGGGCTTCCTTTTGCCTTGGTGGCCCTGATGTGCCTCTGCCATGAGGAGTGGGCCCCAGGTGGAACACTGTCACCACCAGAGAGATGAGAAAAAGGAAGGAAGGGCCGGGCAAGGTGGCTCACGCTTGTAATCCCAGCACTATGGGAGTCCGAGGGAGGCAGATCACCTGAGGTCAGGAGTTCCAGAACAACCTGGCCAACATGGCAAAACCCCATCTCAAGATTGCAGTGAGCCGAGATGGCGCCAATGCACGCCAGCCGGGGCGACAAGACAGCGACTCTGTCTAAAAAAAGAAAAAAAAAAAAGTCTCTACTAAAAATTCAAAAATTAGCCAGGCGTGGCGGCGCCCACCTGTAATCCTAGCACTTTCGTAGGCCGAGTGGGGGGGCAGATCACCTGAGGTCATGAGTTCGAGACCAGCCTGGCCAACATGGCAAAACCCCGTCTCTACTAAAAATACCAAAATTAACCAGGTGTGGTGGCACCCACCTGCAATCCCAGCTATTCGGGAGGCTAAGGCAGGAGAATCGCTTGAACCCAGGAAGCAGAGGTTGCAGTGAGCCAAGATCGCGCCACTGCGTTCCAGCCTGGGTGACAGAGCAAGACTCCGTCTCAAAAAAAAAAAAAAAAAAAGCAAGAAGACCAAGGGCAGCTGAGCAGCCCCAGGTGGAACCCAGGCGTCCTGACTGCACCGGGTCTGGCCCTGACCCAGAGCTCCCGGCAGGAAAGGGCTGGGCTCAAACACGGCCACCCTGCACCGCCTTAAGAAGGGCAGGGCTGAGCCTGCTCCTCCCCTTCCTGGGGGGCTGACTGGGGCAAAGTGGCCTGGTCCCTCCTCTTGCCCAGGTCCCCCAACTTCTCACCTTCTCCCTACTTGGGCAGGGCAAATCCTGTGTTCCATGTCCCATAGGAGAGAAATGCCAGGCTGGCCCCTGGGTTGCTTCTGCACCTACCTCTTTGGCTCCTTTCTCTCTGCCGCCCCCATGTGGCCAATCTGCACCTGTGCATCTGCTTCCCTCAGAGATGACATGCCAAGCCTGTCAGGCCCTAGGGACCCCAGGCCGACCCCTGCCCCAGTCTGGCCTCAGTCTCCCTGTCTGTGAAATGGGCTGCTGGAGATCCTGCTTCCAAAGTGTCAGCTGGCGGCAACGACATTCGAGGGGTGAGGAGCCCCTCAGAGCATGTGAGAGAGTATCTCTGTGTGCCCAGAGGTCCCTGAAGAATCAGAGACCCTGGAAGCGACATGGAGGCATGAATCAGCGCCCAGCCCCTGGATCAGACCAGGCGGAGCTTGAAGCCCAGTTCCAACGCTTAATAGCTGGTGACGCCCACGAGTCACCCAGTTACCACCTCTGCGCCCCATCTGCAGAATGGGGAGATGAGCCTGTCCCCTCTCGCAGGGCGTCAGGAGGGCAGACATGCCGCTGCTTGCAGAGCCCTGAGTGCCAAATGCTGGGGAAGTGGTGGGGGGTGGGCTTCTTAGTTCTGGAAGTTTCCGTGAGTGACCTGAGACTGAAGTTTGCCGCAGGGATACTCCACCCCACTCCATCTCAGTGCCCCAGCCTCAGCACTGAGCACCCACTTCCTCTCACCCCCTGCCCCCTCTGGAGGAGACAGGCCTGGGCCAACCGAACCGGGTGTCACAGTGCCAGGGACAGAGGGACGGTTCTTTCAGACCCTACTCTCTCAAGGGAAGGGGCTGATTCCTCCACCAGCGTCCCAAGCCGGCCCCCTTTCCGCACAGAGTCCTTAATTGTCCCTGTCGCCACCTTGCCCCATCCTCAGATGGCTGTGGCTGTGGGGGTGAAGCTCCCCACGCACCGCCATTGTGCAGGCCTGCCCCTAGGACATCCTCTGTGGACTGGAGCCCGGGAGGACTTCACTGAGCCCCCGCCAAGAGAAACCGGGCAGACAGGTGGTCCCGGATGCTCCCTCGTCGGGAAGCGCAGTTGGGTTCCAGGGAGCCCGTGGGTGCTGGAGGCCCCAGCTCAGGGCTCAGTGAGCCGGGCCAGCCTGGCCTCTGAGAGGGCTCCCGGAGGAGGCGACCAGGACCCTGGCCTAGAGTCTCAGCAAGTCCATCTCCTTCAAATGCCCCCACCTCGGCTCCACGCCCCTCCTCCAGAGCACACTCGCGTGAGGCGCCAGCTGGAAGATCCTCGCGGGTCCCAGCACCGCAGTGGGTGCCTGGGCCTGACAGAACCTCCCTGAACCCCATCTTTCTTCTCCATCGACACCGGGGCAGAGACGGTGTGGGGGCTGCAGGGCGGGGACTGGTCGGCCTGGGCTCGACAGCTTGGCGAGGGCCTGGTGCGGGCTGGGCAGGCTGGACTGAGGGGCAAAGAGGTCTGGGCGGGGCGGGGCCGCTCTGGGCGCCCGGCCCCCACCAGTTCCTTCCCCCGGCCCCCGCCTCCGCCCTCCCACGCACCTGCGCTGGCCTCCCCCCAAGCCCTGGGGGCAGCGGGCGGGTGGCGCTGGGAGATCAGAGGACTCGGAGGAGTCGGGCCCAGGGGGAGGGGGCGGGGAATTTCCCCCCACGCCTGCCTGGGCCTGCTCCCCTCCCCCTCCCCCGCCAGGTGGGGGGCACGGCTGGGGGAATTCCACTGCAGTGTGAAGGCTCGGGAGAGTCTGGGCTGGGGGTCCCAGGGAAGGGCGGGGCAGGGGGAGGAGGAGGGGACAGACTGGGACCTGGGGCGCAGCTGCCTTTCTCCCCAGACACCAGCTGCCCCTGCCTGTCCCGGACTGAGCGTCCACGACTCCCGCCTGTCTCGTGGGCGCGGGGGCAGGGAGTGGAGCTTCCTCCGTCAGGCCAGCGGCATCTGGACCAGGGGCGGGAGGGGCGTGCGGATCCGAAGAAAGTGTGCGCGTGAGCGCCTGGCAATGAATGGGAGAGAGTGCGAGCGCGTGCGTGCACTGGGAGGAGGGCGCTTGTAACTCGGACATTCCGGGTGTCCTGGGGCGCGTGCGACCACGTGAGGGGGTTCTGTATCTCCCATTTTAAGGGCCTTCCGTCCGCTTGCCCCGCCTGTCCCCCTCCACACCTTCCCACTTGAACCGGCACCGACCTGAGGGAGAGGGGGCCGGGAAGCGCTGGACGCCCGGGGTCGGGGGAACGGGCGTGGGAGGCGTCTGGACCTGCTGCCTCCGCTCCAGTGCTGGGCGGGGCTTCCCGGCCTCCCATGGGGGGAGGGAGAGACCCAGGGGGAGGGACCCACGGAGGGATGCGAGGCGGGCAGGAGTCAGCCCGTTGGAGACCTGGGCGAGGGAGACGCCGAGAGCTAGGCTCAGTGGGAGGGGGCGGGCGTAGAGGCTGAGGCACCGCCCAGAGCTCGCTGAGACAGAGACTGAGAACGCCCCCGGCCAGATTCCCCCCGGAGAGACCCGGGTAGGGACAGGGACAGAGAGACGCCTCTAGGGGCAGAGGCCCTGGGAGGCAAAGACCCCCAGGAGAGATTTACCCACCCCAGACGGAAAGCGCGGCTCAGAGTCGGACGAGGGGAGACTGTCAGAGGACAACGCCCCCTAGGTCTCCTGGGAGACCCCGAAGCGACCCCGGGGGCAGCCCGGGCCGTGTCCGGGCGAGGGTGACCTATCCTTGGTTGAGAGCGATGGGGACACAAGCCCTGCAGGGCTTCCTCTTTCTCCTCTTCCTCCCGCTGCTGCAGCCGCGTGGGGCCTCGGCTGGGAGCCTGCACAGTCCAGGTAAGTCCCCGCACGGCTGTCGGGCCGTGTTCACCACCCCTTCCTCGGCCTCCGCCCCCAGGGCCAGGCCCCCAAGGCTAGGGAGGGGGACAGAGCAGGTGGCCGGAGCAGCTGAGCAGCCCGAGGGCTCCTGCAGGGGCGGGTGCGGGGTCGCTGGCTGGGGACCCAGGCGGGAGGTGGCGTAGGGGCGCGAGGATGCCCGGCGTGGGTCCGGACCTCCCCAGGCCCTGCCTTTGCCGTGCAGGCCTGTCCGAATGCTTCCAGGTGAATGGGGCTGACTACCGCGGCCACCAGAACCGCACTGGCCCGCGCGGGGCGGGCCGCCCGTGCCTCTTCTGGGACCAGACGCAGCAACACAGCTACAGCAGCGCCAGCGACCCCCACGGCCGCTGGGGGCTGGGCGCGCACAACTTCTGCCGGTGAGGGGCGGGGCCTGCGCTGGGGGCGAGGCTGGGCTCACCATTGCAGGGATGGCCCGAAGCGGGGCCTCCGTGCGGGCGGGGTGGAGGTCTGCCGTGGACTGGCAGCCCAGCCTCCTGGAGAACCTGGGGGCGGGGCCAGAATGAGGGGCGGGGCGGGGCGGGGCGGGGCGCGCGGAACCCTGGCGCAAAAGGGATCCTCCTCAGGTGAACAATTTCTGCAGAGCTCCAGTTCAGGGCCAGGAGAGAAACGGACCTGGGCACTCAAAGGACCCGTATGGGCGGGGCCTGGTCAGAGCGGGGGCCGAATGGGCGGGGCCTTGTCAGAGTGGGGCTCTTGTCATACAACTTATTTTGGGGTTCAGAGCCACAGCTACGGTCTGAGGCAGGATGGACCCAGCGGGAGGAGAGCCGCAAAGCTCAGGAGCTCACTTCTGCTTTTAAGTGGGGTTGGAGGCCAGGCGCGGTGGCTCAGCCTGTAATCCCAGCACTTTGGGAGGCCAAGGCAGGCGGATCATCTGAGGTCAGGAGTTCGAGACCAGCCTGGCTACCATGGTGAAACCCCATTTCTACTAAAAATACAAAAAATTAGCGGGGCATGGTGGCGGGCGCCTGTAATCCCAGCTACTCAGGAGGCTGAGGCAGGAGAATCGCTTGAACCCGGGAGGCGGAGCTTGCAGTGAGCAGAGATCGCGCCAATGCACTCTAGCCTGGGTGACAGAGCGAGACTCGTCTCAAAAAAAAAAAAAAAAAGTGGGGTTTGAGGGACGGAAGTGGCTGAGGCCCATGCCGGGTGGGGGTGAAGAATACAGATGGCCTCAAAGTCCTCATATATGGAGTCAAGTCTAGCAACAGCTGAAGCCTAAAAACAGCTCTCAAGTCCCCTTTAATGACTTCCCGCTGTCCACTCGGAAGTCGACGTCCAGTTCCTTCATCAGGCAGAGTTCTGCGTAGACAAAACTGGAATTTGTGGGTGTACAGCAGGCAGCACAGCCGCTCACAGGCACAGAGCCTTGAAGGCCACTTTGAGCATAGGCTGCGGGGCCGGGCCTGGGTTTGCTATTCTTGGGGTGGTGGGAGCCCCACCACCTCCCTCCCACCCGCAGTAACCCAGACGGTGACGTGCAGCCGTGGTGCTACGTGGCTGAGACAGAGGAGGGCATCTACTGGCGCTACTGCGACATCCCCTCCTGTCACAGTGAGTAGCGCGGCTGGACAGAGGTGGGAACGCTGCTGCATCTGGGAGGAGGGTTGTTTTCGGAGTCACGGAAGTCTGACTCTGCCCCCTCAGTGCCAGGCTACCTGGGATGCTTTGTGGACTCAGGGGCACCCCCAGCCCTCAGCGGCCCCAGCGGCACCTCCACGAAGCTCACGGTCCAGGTGTGCCTACGCTTCTGCCGCATGAAGGGGTACCAGGTACTGCTCACGGGCCCAGACCAGTGACCCCTGACCTGGACCTAAAGACCACACTCAACTCCCAACACTCGGTTGCCAAACCCAGACACCGGTTTCTGAACCTCCAGCCCGATTCCCACCCCGACCCCAGGCCCCCACCACTTCACCCCTACCCCAGCCCCTGCCCTGGGGTCACCCAGTCTGTGCTCCCAGCTGGCGGGCGTGGAGGCCGGTTACGCCTGCTTCTGTGGCTCTGAAAGCGACCTGGCCCGGGGACGCCTGGCCCCCGCCACCGACTGTGACCAGATCTGTTTCGGCCACCCTGGACAGCTGTGTGGCGGCGATGGGCGGCTGGGCGTCTATGAAGGTGAGGAGTGGGCGGGGACCAGGGGCCTGGGCGGGCCTCGAGGTGGGGCCTGGCCGGGCAGGGGAGCCGCCGTGTCCTGGTCCTCAGGATGCTGACTGCCGGCCCCGCCCGCAGTGTCGGTGGGCTCCTGCCAGGGGAACTGGACAGCGCCTCAGGGCGTCATCTACTCCCCGGACTTCCCGGACGAGTACGGGCCGGACCGGAACTGCAGCTGGGCCCTGGGCCCGCCAGGCGCCGCGCTGGAGCTCACCTTCCGCCTCTTCGAGCTGGCCGACCCGCGCGACCGGCTGGAGCTGCGCGACGCGGCTTCGGGCAGCCTGCTCCGCGCCTTCGATGGCGCCCGCCCACCGCCGTCCGGGCCGCTGCGCCTGGGCACTGCCGCGCTGCTGCTCACCTTCCGAAGCGACGCGCGCGGCCACGCGCAAGGCTTCGCGCTCACCTACCGCGGTGAGCCTCAGCTCGGCGCGCCCTGCCCGCTGTTCCCACCCCGCTCTCCCCACCCCGCCTCACGCCCCTCTCCGCAGGGCTGCAGGACGCCGCTGAGGACCCAGAGGCCCCCGAGGGCTCGGCCCAGACCCCCGCGGCGCCCCTCGACGGGGCCAACGTGAGCTGCAGCCCCAGGCCTGGGGCTCCGCCGGCCGCGATTGGGGGTGAGGCGGGCGCGCGGGACGGGAGTGAGTCAGGGAGCCGCCCCCTCGCGCCCATCCTCACCGCAGCCGTGTGCCCGCAGCCCGGGTCTTCTCGACGGTGACGGCTGTCTCGGTGCTGCTGCTGCTGCTCCTGGGGCTGCTGCGTCCGCTGCGCCGACGGTGCGGGGCGCTGGGGCAGGGCCTGAGGGCGGACCGGTGGTGGGGAGCTGGAGCCCCAGAAGGGAACAGAGCTAGGAAGGAACTCCTGGGTTCTTAAGGGAGCGAGGCTTTGGGTCCACGCACAGGATCGCGCGCGGGATCGCAGGTAGAGCAGGACGCTGCAGCGGGATTGGACCGGCTCGGCTGATGTCTGCTCCCTCTCTAGGAGCTGTCTGCTGGCTCCGGGAAAAGGGCCCCCGGCGCTGGGGGCTTCCAGGGGCCCCAGGAGAAGCTGGGCTGTGTGGTACCAACAGCCCCGAGGGGTGGCCTTGCCCTGCTCCCCCGGGGACCCCCAGGCTGAGGGTTCTGCCGCGGGCTACCGGCCTCTGAGTGCCTCCAGCCAGAGCTCCCTGCGCTCGCTCATCTCCGCTCTCTGACTCTGGGCCCCGAGGGTCCGCTGGGCCCGCCGCCGGCGAGATGGACACCTGAGATGCTGTGCTGCGCCCTGCCTCGGCCTTGCGCCTGTGTAGGGGCAGCTCGGCCTCTGGTCGCCTTGGGGAGACCAAAAGTCGGACAGGAAACATCTGGTGCTATTATCTGGGACTTGGCCTGACCGTGGGGGTCCAGATGGTCCAGGCCCTCTCCATGGACCTGTATGTGGGGGTGGTCTCTGGTTTCGGAGGTCTTTGAACCCCTCTGGGGGTGGTCCTGGACTGCCGTCCTCAGTGAGAGGTCACAGGTCAGCAAAAACAGTCAAAAAACCCCCACAGATTTTGAATAAAGGATCTACTTTGGTACGGGCCTCGAAAGTTCTTCCGTGGTGGGAGGAGCATGTTAATGACCATACAAACGCCGAGGGTTGCGTGTGTCCATGCAAATGAAGGGCGTTGCACGCAGACTTTGGTGGAGCTGCCTGGAATGCAGAGAAGGACCTAGAACACAGACAGATGGGTGGGTGGGTGGAGTCCTGTAGAAGGCGGGGGGTGGAAGGGGAGGAGGATCGTGGGCAGCGTTATGCTGAATAAGGGGTGCCTTCCCGGTCCCTGCTCAGGGTGGACGGGGCGGAGGTCGACTTTGCTCCCCTGGCCTCCAATCTGTTTCCTGTCTATCCTCGGTAGGGCCCCGCAAGGGTGCTCCTTGTGGGCGATAACTGGGAGCAAGTTGGGCCGGGCCCACGCTCCGAGAAGCCTAGCGCGAAGGATAGGGCCTCTCCCGACGGCTGCGGGCGCGTGAGGCACGCCTTCAGAGGCCTGGGTACCGTGGAGCGCCTTGCTGCACTCGGGAGTCCAGCCTGCGGAAAGATCACTTTGGAGCGGGGGCGTACCGGATGTAGGCCGGACCCGTCCGGCAGCACCTTGGACAGAGCCCCGTCTGCAGGGTAGGGCTAGGTGGCAGGACTATGCCCCCGAGGGTGGGTGCCCAAAGGTACGGAGACCTGGGTGTCACGCGGAAAGCCCGGATGCACAGTTCTGAGGGACGCGAGGTGCCAGGGTCACTCTAGCGCAGCCCGCAGGACCCAGAACGTTGGGTCGCAAGCCCACAGCCACCCCATGCAAATGAGGCTGGGAGCGCGCACACTATGCTAGGAGGCGAGGCCTGGGCGGCCTCGGGGCGGAGCCTCCCCGCCGGCCACGCCCATTGGCTCTCGCTGCGCCGACGTCAGGAGCCCGGCGCGCGAAACGCTGGCCGGCCGGCGGGAACTAGGAGCCTGGGCGGAGCCTGGCGTCCCCTCCCGCGTCCGGCCGCGCCCGTCCTCCTGGCTGCAGAGAGACTACCGGCCACCGCCGCCGCCGCCGCCGCGAGCTGTCCCTGCGGCGCGTCTGCCTTGGCGGAGCCGACCGCAGTGCGCTCAGGCGTCCGGTGCGTCCCCAGCCTCCGCCCCGGCGCGGGGGCGACGGACTCGCGCGTGCGCAGCGCCGGAGGGGCGCGGGCTGGGACCCCCTAGCCAGCGCGTGCGCCGATCGAGCGCAGGGCGATGGGTGGGCGCCGGGCGCCGGGCGCCAGGCAGTGATGGGCCTTCCCGCGCTGCGGCCCCACTGAGGAGGAGGCTCGGGGACAGCAGGAGCACGGGCTGCCCGCGCGGTGCGGACCATGGCGTTCCTGGCCGGGCCGCGCCTGCTGGACTGGGCCAGCTCGCCGCCGCACCTGCAGTTCAATAAGTTCGTGCTGACCGGGTACCGGCCCGCCAGCAGCGGCTCGGGCTGCCTGCGCAGCCTCTTCTACCTGCACAACGAACTGGGCAACATCTACACGCACGGTGAGCCGCGTCCCGCAACGCGCTTCCCACACCCCCGGCCGCCCTACCTGCGTTGGGCCGGGGGCACTGAGGCCGAGGAGGGCCCCAGCGCCCAAGTCCAGGGCTGCCCCGGCCCTGGCACCGCCAGTAGCCGCGGTGACAAAGCTGCCATTGTCCCGGGCCGCGCTGCCAGCTTCCGTTTTCCCGGCGGGTGGGGGCCGGGTCAGGAGAGGGGAGCAGAGTAGGGTCTGAGCCTGCTTAATCCCTCTGAGCCCCAGGGGTAGGGAGCATGGTGTCCGGCCTCTGTAATCCCAGCGCCCTGGGAACCCCCTCCCGCCAGCACCCAGCCGGGAGATGGTGTTGACTGCGATGAGGAGGGCCCGGGAGGAGCCTCCCAGCGCCGCCGTCCTGACGCCCCCGCCCCAAGCCGCTCTGTCTTGGGGCTCCGCCTGGTGGCGGCTCCTTCTTCCCCCAACAGGCGTCCGGCCCCTCCTCCGCGCCCCGCGGAGCTCTGCTGACACAGCCCTGCCCGTCCTTGAGCTGCCCCAGGCGGGCAAGGGGCCCTGAGCGGCCTGGCCCAGCCTGGGTGCCTTTCCCGAGCTTTTGCCAGGCCACATTCTCACAAGGGTGGGCAGCCTTCGGAGCCCCGTTTGGCCCCTGGGAGGCCAGTACTAGAGGCCGGCAGGGAGGGGTGGAGACCTCCCAGAAAGGGCTAGGCTGGAATCAAACTCCCCAGGGAGAGGTCTGGGGAGATGGGACAAGCCCCTCGAAGCCCCCTTCCCTTCATTCTGGACTTGTCTTCCCCCACCTGGCCTCACCCCTTTATAGAAGATAAAAAGGCCCAGTGCCTCCATTTGTCTGGACACTTATGGAGAGGGGAGGACTTGGGTTGGGAAGAGCAAGCCAAGTGGCCCCGGGCTGGCATCACTGCTCATGTGTCCTCTTCACAACTCAACTTGAGGTTTCGCTGCCTTAGCCTTCTCCTGTGACCTGCTTGTATGGGGAGAGCAGTGTGGGAGTGGGACGGCCTAGGCCTGTCCTCTGCCATTGCTTACCTGCTGGGCTCACCCGGGGCCGGTCACTCAGCCCCTCCAAGTCTGTTTCCTCACCTGCAAAGTGGGGATCATGGTCTCTACTTCCCAGACCATCCTGAGCCATGATAAGTAACCAGTGCCAAAAGCCTTTTGCCCAGGGCCTGTCTCTGGCCAAGGCCAGGCCGCCAACTGGATGACAGCATTACCTGGACCTGTCTTGCCCTGTCCTGTGTTGTGTCTGAACCGTGGTCCCCTTGAGGATGTGACTGAAACTATCTGGTAGATGACTGTCTCCCTCCCTAGGGCTGGCCCTGCTGGGCTTCCTGGTGCTGGTGCCAATGACCATGCCCTGGGGTCAGCTGGGCAAGGATGGCTGGCTGGGAGGCACACATTGCGTGGCCTGCCTTGCACCCCCTGCAGGCTCCGTGCTCTATCACCTCTTTATGTGCCACCAAGGGGGCAGCGCTGTGTACGCCCGGCTCCTCGCCCTGGACATGTGTGGGGTCTGCCTTGTCAACACCCTTGGTGAGTCAGGGCCCAAGGGATGGGAGCTGGAGCCACCGGCGGGAGAGGCATGGGGCACGCATACAAGCCATGGGTAGGGAAGGGCGGGTGGACCCTCACAATGACATGCCCTCTCCTGTTCTCTCCTCTTGTGCAGGGGCCCTGCCCATCATCCACTGCACCCTGGCCTGCAGGCCCTGGCTGCGCCCGGCTGCCCTGGTGGGCTACACTGTGTTGTCGGGTGTGGCCGGCTGGCGTGCTCTCACCGCCCCCTCCACCAGTGCTCGGCTCCGGGCATTTGGATGGCAGGCTGCTGCCCGCCTACTGGTATTTGGGGCCCGGGGAGTGGGTCTGGGTTCAGGGGCTCCAGGCTCCCTGCCCTGCTACCTGCGCATGGACGCACTGGCGCTGCTTGGGGGACTGGTAAATGTAGCCCGTCTGCCCGAGCGCTGGGGACCTGGCCGCTTTGACTACTGGGGCAACTCCCACCAGATCATGCACCTGCTGAGCGTGGGCTCCATCCTGCAGCTGCACGCCGGCGTCGTGCCCGACCTGCTCTGGGCTGCCCACCACGCCTGTCCCCGGGACTGAGCTGCCATGCCAGCCTGCCCACAGCAGCCTCCTAGAGTTAGCAACACCAGGTGTTCCTCCCAACTCGTCTGCAAGGGGCTGGCTCCTTGGATGCTTCCAGCTCATGAGATGTCTCAGCAGGAGCCCTGTTCACCCGTTCTTCCCTGTGGACTGACCTCTTCCACCCACGCCGTGGCGCTCCAACTTCCTTCCCTGCCTTTTCCCTCCAAGCTCCTATTTTACTGTGTCAGCTGGAAGGAAACCTTTCCCTCTTGGGACCTCTTTACCCTCTGTGACCTGTGGGGTTAGACCAGAGAGGGACTCTGGGGTCACGTCTTGCTCTGAGAGTTCAAGTCCTGCCAGGCCGCCAGCCCAGAGCCTCCTCACCCTATCCTGTTCCTCCCACCAGGCCTGTGGCCAGTCTTCCTGATCTCCATCTTTCTGCCCTGCATACCAGCCCTCCCAGCAGCCACAAGCTTGCCCGCCCTGGCTCCCTCTGCCCAGAGACTATGGAGTAAGGCATTCAGGACAAAAGGACCAAGGGGGCGTGGACCCGTCTTGTACCAGCTGGCCACAGGCACAAGGGCTGCAGCTGCTTCTTCCAGGAAACTGACACAGGGAGCTCAGCGGCCTCAGATCCTGGGACCCCTGGGCCGTGCCTGCCCTCCACCTTGAGTGCCATACTCCCAACAGCTCCAGGTACCCACCGGGGGATGTGCCTGCTCAGGAAACCTCTTTGCTCCACACAGCATGGGGCTTCAGCTGCTGGCCCAAGGCCAGGAGCGCTGGGTTCTGCAGCAGGGCTCAGCCTCAGGGGCGTTAAGACCCTGGATGACATCAATAAAGGGACAGGAAGGGCCATGTTGCCACATGAGCAAGCTTGGGTGCTCCCAAGGTTCAAATACTTTTTATTAGACACGGCCAGGCAGAGAAGACCATGGGAGTTCCCGAGGGGCCCCAGCTTTCAAGGGCGACGGGAGAGACACAGGATAAAAGGTTAAAAGTGCAGAGGCAGAGTCTGGGGCTCAGGTTGGGTCTAGGGTGTCCTCAAACAGGCTGAGGAGGTTCCGAGGCTCAAAGGAGGGGAAGGAGCCCCGAGGAGGCTCTGAGTTGATGTCACTTAGGTCCAGGGCATCCCTGGGAGGAGAGAGTAGTGACACTCAGGATCCAAAAGCTAGCCCTGCCCACCCCAGCCCCTGGACCTGCTTACCTGGGTGTGCACCTGCTCCGGGGGGTGGAGGTGCTCCCCACAGTCCGGGCCAGGACAGCCTCAGGGGAGAGTGAAGGCCTGCAGGAGGGCAGGCGAGACAAGGAGGGTGTCCAGGGCTAGGGAGTGCCGGATGAAACCAGCTCTGTCCCTGTGCAGGCTCCAGGCTCCCGCCTGACAAACAGGCAGGGAGCCACAGTCAGGGACAATAAAAACTTGGTGCACTCTGAAAGCAGCACTTGGACAGCCTTCAAAGTCCTTCCATCTGGCTGCACTCCAAGGCCCCCTCTGTCCTTTTCAGAACACATGGACTTGGAGGCAGATTTGAAATAAACTTTTAGTAAATGTAAGCCTTTCTGGAACTTCTTGTCTGCTATCAAGTGCCCCGAGGGATGAGGTGATGTGTTTGTAAGGAAGGGGCTAACGGCAGAGTCCCCAAGAGCTGTCTGCCCTGAGCGTGTGGTTTCCTAATTACAGCCTCTCACTCAAGACACCAGGCCCCAGGGACCAAGGACTTGTTCCCAGGGCAGGGCTCCCCAGACTCCAGAGGCTTTCTCTTCCCAGAGAAGGGACAATGTTTTATCCCTGGGCACTGGCAGCCTCCACTGGGGTCGGGGCTGCGCGGCCAGCCACTCCCTGGGGTGCTGGTGCCCTAAGTGTGAAGCCATGCCCTGAACGGCCAGTCCACATGCCCAGCTGCATTAAGCCTGGCCAGGCCACACACCCCCAGTCTTGGTCCCCTTCCCCAGGATGTGATGGGGGCCAGGTTTGTGGGAGTGGTCCCCATTCACCACGAATCTCCATGGAGCCCCGGTGATATCCCCCACCTTCCCCCTAGCCCCCCATACCCTGCACTTGAACCCACCCTAGGCTGTCGTCATCCCAGTTGCTGGAGAGGCTGCTGTCCAGGAGCAAACTGCAGGGTGGTGAGCCAGGCGGGGTGGCTGGCGGGCCCAGGGGCTGTAGCCAGCTGGCAGGGTGAGCCAGCCCATGCCAGAGCCAGCAGAGCAGGGCAAGCAGGGCCTGTGGGGGAGAGGAGCTCAGGATGTGGGTGGGCGGACCCCCGGGGCTGGGGAGCAGGGCAGGCAGCCGCCACTGTCGGGAGCTTACCTGCCACAGGGCCCACCCTCGGCTCAGGGCCTCCGCTGCCATGCACCACAGCACACCCCAGGCCCGCGGCTGCCTCAACACAGGCAGTGCCAGCAGGGCCTCGGCCGTGGCCCGCAGCTTGGGGTCTGGCTCCAGCATCATGACAAGGACAGAACGCAGCTCGGAAGACAGACCTGCCCATGAGGAAGGGCCACATCGGGGTCCCAGAACACCGACTGCACCCTGAGCCCAGCAGTGCCTCCATGGCCAGCCACTATCTCCCCAGGAGCCCGTGGCAGCACCCCCTCCCGCCCTCACCTACTCACCGGCAGTGAACTCAGGGGGCAGGTAGCCCTGGCGCAGCTGCTGCCAGCCCTCCCCACCGTGGGGCAGCTCCATGTTGCATGCCACTTCCAGGATGGTGAGGCCCAGACTGGCAGGGACGGGATGGGGACAGAAAGGGGCAGGGTTGGCCCTGGGACACAGACCCAGTCCAGGGCTGCCTCTTGGAGGTGGGTGGGAGAGGGCTGCTGTCTTCATCAGTCAGGGAGGGGCGGAAGCAGGGGGAAGGGACACCCCAACAGGCCTGATCATGAACCCTGGGCAGGATGGGGACATCATGGAATATGGGCTCTGTGCCCAGGGAGCCCACAAGCCACAGTGGTGAGTCCTCCCAGTGCCCTGATGGACAGGCACCACAGTTACTGCTGGCAGGTATTACTATCCTGATGATCAGGGCAGTGGTTACCAGTGTGGACCCTGGAACCCAGCACCTAGGGCCAGTCTCAGCTATGCCACTTGCTAGCAGTGGGCTCCGGCAAGGCCCTTAATCTGGCTGTAAATGGAGTGACAATTGTTTCTCCTGTGGAGCTGTGAGGAGGCAGGTTACACAAAGTGGCTCTGGAGGGTTCGAGGCTCACAGGCAGCCTGACCAGAGACGCTCTCCACTGGAGGGCAGGGATGGCGTCTCAGCCTTGTGGCTCTGAGGCCGGGTGTCCTGGGCTAGGGTGGAGCTTCCCTCCTGGGGAATGGAGCTTCCGTCCCAGGAAGGGCCTCCCACAGCCTGCCAAACACCTGGCGTGCCCCGGTCCCCACCTGAACACATCCGCTGCTGTCCCATAGGAGCCCTGCAGCAGCTCGGGGGCCATGTAGCGGGGGTCTCCCTCCTGGACCTCACCAGCTCCTGCTGTACCCAGCTCCACCAGCAGTCCGAAGTCACCCAGCTTGCAGCGGCCCCGGGGCCCCAGGAAGATGTTGGCAGGCTTGACATCAAGGTGCACCAGGCCCTGGCTGTGCAGATGGGCCAGGGCAAGCAGCGTGTCCCGCAGGTAGCCCCAGACCTGGGCCTCAGGCAGGCTGGCACCCCAGGCCTCACAGTGTTGCTGCAGGCTGGGCCCGCACAGCTCCGTCTGCAGGTACAGGATGCCGCCCTCCTCCCAGGCCTGCTCCAGCCGCACGCAGCATGGGTGCTGCCCCACCTTCTCGTGGCTGCCCACCTCGGCCAACTTGCGGGCCCGGTCCTTGGGGCCCCGGAATGGTGACATGGAACGCTTTACCGCATAGAGCCGGCCGTCCTCCTTGGAGCGCACCTGGAAGGGAGGTGGTACCCACGCACACAGTGAGGGTGAGCCACAAGTGGCACAATCACATAGGGGGACAACCTGGCAGACCCCATTAAGGGTTCACACACGGGGCACGGTGGTGTAGCTGGCATCTGTCTCAGACCCCTGCCCAGGGTAATAACAAAACCAGACAAACCTCCATCCCTCGGGCTGGGTCTGTGGAGACCCAGCGACGGAGGAGCCAGGGCCGACCTGCACTGACCCCAGGGGACCTCTTGGATGTGTCACGAGGTGGAAAAAGCAGCTGCAGAGCAACACAGGCAGCCCAGGCTGTGGTGTGAAAAGTGGGCTCCCCTGTGAGAAAGCTGACCTGGGGGCCAATGTTGTTTGTACTTTTTAACAAAATTGTCTTCATACAGGACTCATACAAGGGAAAACTCCTCTCTAAAAGAAAATATAAATGACTGGAAACTGTGTTTAAGAAAAGCAAGATGGCAGGCAGGGGGTAGCTCAAAGCCTGCCAGCCTGGGGAGGGCTGGCCAGGCACTGCACTCAGGGCCAGTGCCAGAGGCTGGGCCGACTCGCCAAGGACGCTGCACAGCTGGCGCCAGGGCCGGAGGAGATGGCACAGGGGCTGCTGCAGGGCGTGCCAGACTCTGGACAAGGGGCCAGTATGCACAGAGCAACCCCTGGAGGGGCCTGCATTGGGGATGATGGGAGCAGCCAAGTCAAATGTGGAGGGAGCCTGTGAGCCCAGCAGGGACAGGCTGTAGGGAACGGAAGGGGATCAGGCTGCCCAGGACACTGTCCTGCCAAGGGAGGTGCAGAAACACAAAGGAGGTCCCCCAGATGGGCCTAGAAGCCGTCCCCTCACTCACCTTGAAGACCTCTCCGTAGGAGCCATGGCCCAGGCGGCTGAGCCTCTGGAAGCTCTGCTGGAAGAAGGACTCTGGCCGGCTTGGGTCATACCCAGGGCTCTGCAGAGTCTCTGAGGCCTCGCCCCGGAATGACACCCGCCGGGGCTGCAGCTGGTGCCAGCCTGGGGTCCGAGGAGGGAAGAGGCGGCTGATGGGAATGCTGCCCTTGGCAGGGGGCGGAGGTGGGAGGCTCCGGCTGAGCCCCCTGGGCCTCTTGAGGGAGAATCCAGGTTCTGCGTGGCGGAAGTAGGCTGGGACTGGGATGGGGGTGCCACTCAGAGGTGGCGGGGTGCCCTCCGTGGGCATGGGCATGGCCAGTGCAGGAGGCCCTGGGGGCAGAGACAGAGGCTGAGTACAGGGCAGCATGTCCACTCTGATACCACCTGGCCCTGTGGCTCCAAAGAGGCCACAGAAGAGAGCTATGTCTATACCACACACTTATTCTACTTTAAACGGCAATGGGAGCAATAAGCACCTACCAAGAAAAGGCAGAGGACAGATTCATACTCACCTGCCCACCAGGCTGTTGTATTTTAGAGATGATAGAAACATAAGAGGAAAACCATGGGGCCCGTGTTCTTGAGGGTCTTGCAGTCGGGTTAAGAGCAAGGCAGTTTGGAGTCAGACGGGCTGCGCCTGCATCCCTGCCCTCATCACGGCCAGCTCTTTGATCCTAAACTACACAACCTCTTCCGAGACTACACGGGCCCACGATCCCTTATCTCCAATTCCAAAGTGAAAACCCGGAATCCCTCAAGTGTCTTTCTTTTTCATAACTGTCGTGCCAAAACCCAGTTAGTGGTGTCCACTTCCAGAATGGCAGTGTGTGCAGCTCCGTGGACCCCTGCCCCAGTGAAACAGCACAACTGATGACGATTATTCAAAAGCAAGCACTGAAAGCCTCTGGGCATGGTGCCCAGGGCACACAGCAAACAAAGGTTTACACAAGAAAACCTGCCAAGGCCTGGGAATAATGGCAAGCCTGTTGGCACCTGAGCCATGACACTCCTGCCCTCCCACCTCCAGCACCCCTCTCCCCCCGCCTAGCACTGGGGGCAGGTGTGGCCAAGAAGAAGGGCTCCCTCTCCCCCAGCTCCCCGTCAAGGGTTAGGGTGTTTGCCCAGGAGGGCCAGGTTCTCAGCACTTCTCAACCCTCCCAGCTCCACATGGCAGAGGCTAAATTCCAGCTGAGTGTGGCAGACAGGCCAGGGGCTCCTTTCTTCCACCTGCCCCCAAGCATAGAATAGAGGCTATATCTCAGGCCCGGCAGGCTGGGAACATGGAGCCCCAGCTCATTTGTAGGAAGGAGGCTCCACACTGGGAGAGGGCAACCAAGAAGGCCAGAGGCTCCTGCCCAACCCAGCGACCTGCTCCTAAAGCAATAGCAGCACTCAGAGAGGTGCCCCGCTGTCCTGCCCCCAGTTCCACAGCATGGCTCAGACAGAGATTTAGCCTAGGGGTAGACGTAGGTCATAAATAGAGCTCTCCCCACCCACCAACCCCCTGAAAATTGGCTTGATTTGAAACAGTGCGTAGGGAAGTTCAAGTTTAAAGGGGCTGTCAAAATCAGTGGAAGTTTTGGTGGTGCGCCATTAAGAAGAGACTGGTACCCGCATTAGGGCAACCAGCTGAACCATAGGCCAGCTAGTTTACCACAGAGAAGTGGAGAAAGAGCTAGCTAGGAAGAGCCTGCCTGCTGTCAGAACAAACCTCACTGACCTCAAAAGCCACCCTGTCAAAGGAGCTCAAAATTAATTGGATCTGGCCAGGCACAGTGGCTCATGCCTGTAATCCCAGCATTTTAGGAGGCTGAGGTGAGTAAATCACCTGAGGTGAGGAGTTCGAGTCCAGCCTGGCCAACATGGTGAAACCCCATCTCTACTAAAAATACAAAAATTAGCTGGGTGTGGTGGTGCATGCCTGTAGTCCCAGCTACTCGGGAGGCTGAGGCAGGGGAATTGCTTGAACCTGGGAGGCAGAGATTACAGTGAGCCAAGATCATGCCACTGCACTCCAGCCTGGGCAACAGAGCGAGACTCTGTCTCAAAAAAAAAAAAAAATTTAATTGGATTGGACCGTGGAACACTTTATGCCCCAAGGTATTGTTTGTTTGTTTGTTTTTGAGACAGGGTCTCACTCTGTTGCCCAGGCTGGAGTGCAGTGGTATGATCTCGGCCCACTGCAGCCTCCGACTCCCAGGTTCAAGTAATTCTCTTGCCTCAGCCTCCTGAGTAGCTGGGATTACAGGCGTGTGCCAACACACTAGAATAATTTTTATATTTTTAGTAGAGATGTGGTTTCACCATGTTGGTGAGGCTGGTGCACCAAAGTATTATAAAAAACAATAGAGCGGCTGGGTGTGGTGGCTCACGCCTGTAATCCCAGCACTTCGGGAGGCAAGGTGGGTGGATCACTTGAGGTCAAGACTTCGAGACCAGCCTGGCCTACATGGTGAAACCCCATCTCTACTAAAGATACAAATTTTTGCCGGGCGTGCTGGTGCATGCCTGTAGTCCCAGCTACTCAGAGGCTGAGGCAGGAGAAATGCTTGAACCCAGGAGGTGGAAGTTGCGGTGAGCCGAGATTGCGGCATTGCACTCCAACTGGGCGACAAGAGCAAAACTCCATCTCAAAAAAATATACATAATAGTAAATAAAAAATTAAAAAGAGCAGTCTCCAGTACCTGAGGGAGTACAGGGGTGAGGGGAGCGATGCTACCTGGGCCTGGCTGGCAGGCTGCCCTCCATCTTGTGGAGACTCTTCCTCTGACTCTAACTACCTCAGAGTCCCAGCCCAGGGTTTCTCCAAGTCAGGAGCCAGGGTGTTGGGATCCTGGAGGTCACTGGTCACAAGCACAGCCTCCAGGCCCAACCCTGGCACACTCGGGGACCTGGGCCTGTGCATCTTAACCCAGTTCTCCCACCGTCCCTGCCCTACGACTTACGTTCTAGCATGACTGGCCTGGCCCAACAGCCTCAGTGGTGGGACGGGGGAGGCAGGAGCAGGGGCTCCCACGTGAATCCAGGGTGTCCCTGAGCTAAGGCCAGGCGGGGGTGACCTCCGCAGCTTCCGGGGCCCTGGGCGATCGGGCCGTCTCGCCTCACCCTCTCACCAGGCCCGACACATCTGCTGGCCACCTTTCCCGGTAGACGGTAAGTTCCTCCCAGGCAGGGCCGCGGCTGACTTCACTCCGTGGGTGTGGGGAAGCCCTGGCGAACAGAGCAGTGGACGGGCTGTCACGAGGGAAGAGGGGCTGTTGCAGAAGAAGAGAGGCTGTCCCGGGGCAGGGGCTGTCACGGAGGAAGGACTGTCACGGGGAGGGCGGCGGCGCGGGGTTGATGGACAGCAGGCGGGGTCTCCGGGAGGGGCGAGTAGGGCGGGACCGCCGCTGGGAAGGGGCTCGAGGCAAGGGAACCAGGAATTGGGGAGGACGGGAGGCAGGGGCTCGCGGGGGCGGGCCTGAGGGGACGCGAGCGGGCCGCCGGGGAGGCCTGAGGGGCAGGGGTAACGCAGACCTGGCGAGGCGGAGGGGAGCGGCGAGGTGGCCACGCCGAGGCCCCTCACGGCGGGGTCTGGGCTCACCTGGGGCGACTGGGCGGGGCGCGGGTCCGCGAGGGCCCAGATTCCGGGTCCGCGGAGGCCACGGGACCCCTCGGGTGGCTCAGCGGGCCGGAGTCTGCCGTCGACTGTTCCGGACGCCCGGGCGGAGGACTCCCGTGAGGGGGAACGGCCCGTGAACGCGCGCGGAGCTGCTCGCGCCAAAAATTCCAAACCGGCCTCGAGGCTCCTCCCCCTCCCCAGTGCAGCCCGTCAGGGGTGCCCGGGCTCCGAGGCTCCGCCCCTCGTGCTGCGTGCGCGCCGCCGAGCCGCCCCGCCGCTCACTGCGCAGGCGCACAGGATTCTCCGCGCTGGCCCGGGGCGTGGGTGGCGGCCTGGTTCTGAGTCGCTGCGCGGGGCTTCAGCCGCCCAGTCCCTGGGACGCCCACTGCCCTCCAGGCCTCGCACCCGACACCCACCGCCCTCGCTGGGCTGGCGTAGTGTTTGGGTCCATAAAAGGGACCGCCATCCCGGTGCTCGGAGCAGGCGTAGCCCCAGGGTTACTCCGGGTAGGACCAGGAAGTCCCTACGGCCTCCTGGGTCCCGGCACCCCCCTTCTCACTCCGGCCGTGTTCTGAACCAGGGTCGCGGTGGGAGGCCAGACGCACGACCCCCAACCCCTAGCGCACGGCTTCGGGAGCCAGAAAAAGCCGCCTCTTCCAGGAAGCTCTCCAGATAGGCAGGACTCTGCTTGGCCTGACCTCGCCTGCCTGCAGCTTCCCTGCCAACAGGCCTCAGATACTTTTTTTTTTTTTTTTAGACAGGGTCTCACTGTCACCAAGGCTGGAATGCAGTGGTGCAGTCCCCAGGTTCAGGCGGTTCTCCCAACCTCAGCCTGCCGAGTATGTGAGATCACAGGCGCGCGCCACCGCACTCGGCTCATGTATTTTATTTTTAGACAGGGTCTCATTCTGTTGTCCAGGCTGGAGTGCAGTGGGGCGATCTCGACTCACTGTAACTTCCGCCTCCCCCGCTCAAGCGTTCCTCCCACCTCAGCCTCCTGAGTAGCTGGGACCACAGGCGCGCGCCACCACACCCAACTAATTTTTGCATTTTTTTGTAGAGACGGTGTTTTACCATGTTGGCCAAGCTAGTGTCGAACTTCTGACCTCAAGCGATCCGCCCGCCTCGGCCTCCCAGAAGGCTGGGATTACAGGCGTGAGCCACCGCGATTGGCCGCAGGATCATAGTTCACTGCAGCCTCGAGCAGCCACTTCCGGGGCAGCTCCTCCATTCTCTGAGTTTGAGACTTGCTCTCAGCTCAGATCCCTTCAGCGCTCTCCTGGCTGAACGACCTTGGGAATGCACTGAGCCTTTCTGAGCTTCGGATTAGTCTCCTCTCCTGGAAAAAAAAAAACAGCTGAGGACGCTGGGATGATCCCCTAAAGTGATTAGCAGGGGCCCTCGCGGAGCAAGTCGGGCTAGGGATTGTTCCTTCCCTCACCGAGGGGCTCTTTATCTGTTTAACTGGGTGGGAGGAGTACGCTTCCGGCCAACCCTCCCCCAAACGCTGGCCTTCTCACTCTCACCTCTCCTTCCGCCTTATTTTTGCTATTGCCCTGATCTCTGTCCGATGTTCTATCTTTTGTTTGTGAGTTTACTTGTTGACTACCTGCTCCTTCTAGCCCTGGCCTCCAGAACCAGTCCCCCAAACCCTCCATCCTCCCCAAGTCTCTGACAGGTCATGGACTGCAAAGCTTCCCACCCATTCAGTTCCTGCACCCTCTGTAAACGTTCTGTGCATGGAGCAGCAGTGTGGGGGAGGAGAGGCTGGGATCCTGGCTGGGGGCGGCAGCCCACCTGCCTGCACCTTTCCTTGTCCTTCGCATCTCTGGCGGCTGTGCCCCAGTGACTCAGGCAGGATCCTTGTTGATGACTCCAGACTGGCCCCCAGGAGGCCTGGGGCACACACAGGCCCCTCCCCAGCTGCCTAGGGCTACCTCTGCCAGCCCCATCTCCCCAACAGGTCCCCTTCCAACCGCCCATTTTTTAAAGTCTGATTCACAATGATAATTAAAAAAAAAAAAAAAAAAGCATGGAAACACATGCTTCCGATGTAAATTTCACTGTGTGAGGAAAGGCTGTAATATAAATATATGTAAATGGAAATAAGTAGATGGAGCAGATAAGTGCGTGGTGTGAGGGAAACTAGGGCTGCGATCCTGCCTGCCCCAGTTTCTGCGTGTGTAAAATGGGGATAAAAATAATAGTTTTCTAGACTAGGCAACATAGCAAGGCCCTGTCTCAAGAAAGAAAAAAGAAAGAAAAGGAAGGGAAGAAAGGGAAAGAAAAAGAGAAAGAAAGAAAGGAAAGGAAAGGAAGGAAGGAAAGAAAGGGAGAGAAAAAAAGAAAAGAAAGAAGAAATAAAGCAGTGAGGCACAGTGGTACACACCTGTAGTCCCAGCTCCTCAGGAGGCTGGAGTAGGAGGATCACTTGATCCCTGGAGTTAAAGGCCGCAGTGAGGGCCGGGTGCAGTGGCTCATGCTGGTAACCCCAGCAGTTTGGGAGGCTGAGGCAGGTGGATCACTTGAGCTCAGGAGTTCGAGACCAGGCTGGCCAATATGGTGAAACCCCTTCTCTACTAAAAATACAAAAATTAGCTGGGTGTGATGGCAGGCGCTTGTAATCCCAGCTACTCGGGAGGCTGAGGCAGAATTGCTTGAACCTGGGAGGCAGAGGTTGCAGTGAGCCCACATCGCACCACTGCACTCCAACCTGGGTGACAAGAGCGAGACTCTGTCTCAAAAAAAAAAAAAAAAAAAAAGGCTGCAGTGAGCCTGGGCAACAGAGTGAGACCCTGTAAAAAATATAAAGTGATAATAATAGTAGTTCCTCCTTCCTCGGGGAGTATGAGCACCACATGAGAAAATGCCTGTGAAGTGCTTAGCACAGAGCCGAACACACAGTAGGGGCTTACTCATTGTTTCAGAATAACAGGCTGGGCGAGGTGGTCACGCCTGTAATCCCAGCAATTTGGCAGGCTGAGGCGGGCAGGTCACTTGAGCTCAGAAGTTAGAGACCAGCCTGGGCAATATGGCAAAACCCTGTCTCTACAAAACATTCAAAAATTAGCTGGGCATGGTGGTGTGTACCTGTGCTCCCAGCTAGTCAAGAGGGTGAGGTGGGAGGATCGCTTGAGCCCAGGAGGTGGATGCTGCAGTGTGCCGAGATGGCGCCACTGCACTCCAGCCTGGGCGACAGAGCGAGACTCGGTCTCAAATTAATAATAATAATAATAATAATAATAATAATAATAATAATAATAAAATAGTAAGACCCCCTCATCTGTACAGTCTGTTGCAGTTTTCAACGCTGCAGTCTGGGCCAAAAAGAGGCCCCAGGAGGAAAGAAGCCCGGACTCCTCTAACCACCTTGGGGTCACAGGGACCGAGGCACGGGCCCACAGGGTTCCGGACCAAAGCGCTTTGCCGACCTCCTTCCAGGAGGAATCCTCCCAGCCGCCGCCCAGGCACCCGGTTCCCGCGAGTCCCACCCGCGCGACCAGGCGCGGGCCGCGCGCGCCCCCGTGTGTCCCGTCGCCGCCACAGCACCCGCGGCTCCGCCCAGACTCTCCAAGGAAGACTCACTCATGCGGTTTCGGCCACAAAAGGAAAGGCGAGGCCGGGCGCGGTGGCTCACGCCTGTAATCCTAGCACTTTGGGTGGCCGAGACGAGCGGATCACCTGAGGTCAGGAGTTTGAGACCAGCCTGGCTAACATGGTGAAACGCCGATTCTACTAAAAACACAAAAATTAGCCAGGCGTGGTGTCGGGCGCCTGTAATCCCAGTTACACAGGAGGCTGAGGCAGGAGAATCGCTTGAACCCGGGAGGCGGAGGTTGCAGTGAGCCGAGATGGCGCGACTGCACTCCAGCCTGGGCGACAAGAGCAAGACTCCGTCTCAAAAGAAAAAAAGCGAGGGAATGACGACCACAAGTGCAAACGTGGCTATCCTAATGGGAGGAAGGGGACTGTGATGGGTGCTTCTGCGGAACTGGCTATGTTCTACTTCTTGACCCAGGTGCTGGGTGCATAGGGGTTTGTCTCATAAGTACGATAGCTGCACGGCACATTCACATCTCATGTGTGCTAATCTTTGCATGCTATGTTTCACACTTGAATAAGGTTTTTTATTTTATTTATTTATTTATTTATTTATTTTCAGACGGAGCCTTGCTCTGTTGCCAGGCTGGAGTACAGTGGCGCGATCTCGGCTCACTGCAACCTCCACCTCCCGGGTTAAGCGATTCTCCGGCCTCAGCCTCCCGAGTAGCTGGGATTACAGGCGCACACCACTATGCCCAGCTGATTTTTTTATTTTTAGTAGAGACAGAGTTTCACCACGTTGGCCAGGATGGTCTCAATCGCTTGACCTGGTGATCCACCCGCCTCGGCCTCCCAAAGTGCTGGGATTACAGGCGTGAGCCACCGCGCCCAGCCTGTGTTTTGATTATTTTTGAGACAGGGTCTCACTCTGTTGCCCAGGCAATAGTATGATCACGATTCACTGCAGCCTCAACCTCCCAAGCTCAAGTGATTCTCCCACCTCAGCCTCCCAAGTAGCTGGAACCACGGGGGTGCACCACCCAACCCTGGCTAATTTTTAATTTCTTGTAGAGACGGGGGTCTCATTATGTTGCCCAGGCTGGTCTCGAGCTCCTGGGCTCAAACAATCCTCCTGCCTCGGCCTCCTGAAGTACTGGAATTATAGGCATGAGCACTGTGCCTGGCCACACTTGCATAAGGCTTTTATTTTTCTGACACTACACCAAAGGAATTGCATAAGGTTTGGTTTTGTTTTGTTTTGTTTTAAGACGGAGTTTCACTCCTGTTGCCCAGGCTGGAGTGCAGTGGTGCGATCTCGGCTCACCGCAACCTCCACCTCCCGGGTTCAAGCAATTATCCTGCCTCAGCCTCCAGAGTAGCTGGGATTACAGGCATGTGCCACCACGCCCGGCTAATTTTGTATTTTTAGTAGAGACAGGTTTTCTCCATGTGGTCAGGCTGGTCTTGAACTACCGGCCTCAGGTGATCACCCCACCTCGGCCTCCCAACGTGCTGGGATTACAGGCATGAGCCACTGCACCAGGCCTGCATAACGTTTTAACAAACTGGCAGATGGGTGGGGAGAAGGAGTTTGTAGAGGTCACCTTTGCTGGTGTGAGTTGCCTTGGGATGCCTAGGAAGGTATACTGGAGGCTCCGATGCTTGGGTTTGGGCTGAAGAGCTGCCCAAACAGAGTGGCCTGCAGGACGCTCAGCACAGCTGCGAGTGTAGAAGCTGTCCGCCCGGCTGGCGCCTGGCCACCGCTCCAGCTGTCCTCCCCAAATTCCTGCCCTCACGGGTGCCACTGGTGTCAAGCAGCTGGCAGGGAGTCTCTTGCCATTTTAGGCAATGCACTTCCTGGGCCTGGGTCCAGCACTTCCAACACCCCTGCTCTCACCCTGCCCTTGGCCCTCAGCCCTAGCCCCTCATAGCTGCTGCTCTGTTCCGAGGCTGTGCTGTGTCCCCTCAGGCCAGGGTGCCTGGGAGCAAAGGGTAGCCCAGGTCAAGACTCCATCAGGGGCTCTCCCAGCCCACACACAGTCTCTGTGCTGTCAGGCAGGCCCTGCCTGGGTGGGTCTGGGGGTGAGCAGAGAGGACTGGCTGTGCTGGGAGTCGGAGTGGCGGCATTGCAGGGGCTGGGACACCCGACTGGGTCCAGCCTGGTCCTGAGTGGCTGTCAGGCTGGCCCGAGGCCCTGGGCTGGCTGGCATTTTCCAAGGTCATGCCAGCACCAGGCAGCCTGGCAGTGGTAGCGGGCACTGGTGTTCCCTCTGGCAGTGGCCAAGCAGGCGCCCATCCGTTACCTCCCACAGGGCGTCTCCTGGTTTCCCGCCTGCCTCCTCTTGGGCTACGCTTTCCCAGCGCCCTGCAGGGCAAGCCATGTGTCTGTGTAGGAGCTCTCAGCCGGCCCAGGTCTGAAGCAGACACCTCGTCCCATCTGGCATAACTGGGCCTACTGCCCGCCTGTAAGCATGTAAGGTGCTTGAGAGCAGGGACAGCAGACGTGGGGACTGCCAGACTGCTGGGGTTCAGATCTCAGCCCCACTGCTCCAGAGTTGCACAATCTGAGCCAAGTCCCTTCCCCCTGCCTTTGTTTCCCCATCTGCAAACGAGGATAAGCAGCAGTTCCTCCCAGTAGCCCCAACACAGAGTTGCTCTTCTTGTCATTTTAGGGGAGAGTGAACACACTCGGGAAGGCCCCGAACCAGATGGAGTGGGTGTTTGCACCCTGTGTGAATCCAGCACCCAGCTGCTAGCCCCGGGGCTACTCGGCTGCCCTCCGTGAATACACGGGGGACATGCGCCTGCTGCCATGGGCGGGGCAGGTGGCCTGGCAGGAAAGCCCTCTCCAGGAGTCTGAATGGACCGTCCCAGCTACCCTGGGCACTCATAGGATGGATGGGGCCAGGGAGCATCCCTGAGCCCCTGTCAGCAGCCCATGAAGGTCCAGCCTCGGGGACCCCAACTCATGGCTGTCTGCCAGGCAGGACGGTGGGGGGGCGGTTCAGGGCACTGTTCTGAGGCGCTGGGCTGAGGGGGCCTGCCGTGAGCAGACAGTCCTCGTGCACAGGTGGGTCTGTGGTTGGGAGGTGGGCACCGCAGGCATCGTGGTGTGCCTGTGGGTGTGAGCCCTGGGGATGGCTTCATGTGTGGGCAGAGCAGCAGTGGGGCACAGCCTACGATGTGGGTGAGAGGGGAGGCAGAGAGGGAGGGGGCACAGGGACCTCAGTGCTGGGCTGGCCTATGAGTGAGGGTACCTGGTGGTAATTAACCCTGTAGTCTATTGGCGGCTGGACCTGGCCGCAGAGGTGTGGGCTCAGTAGCCTCTCTCGGAGAAGCCCCTGCTGCCCCTTCCTCATTATAGCCCTTCTGCAGACCCCCAGCCTAGCTGGGCTGACTGGCTTGGCAGGCTGGACTCCTTAGCCAGAGGTACCAGGAGGGGCTGGCTGGGCCAGGGACAGGCCAGCAGACAGACAGGGTGTGGGGCCTTCTGGACCAGGGTGCAGGGGCTAGGGGTTGAGTCACTGCCGTCCCCAGCCAGCCTGGTGGGGTCTGCAGGCTCATTGGGGCGTGATGCCTGTTGTCCAGACCCCCATGCCCAGTGCCTCCCTGCCAGGCCCCCAGCACAGGGCCCCGGCTCCAAGTCCATCCACCCAGCCCCAGGCATGGAGAGCTGCTCGCAGCCCCCCACGTCCTCTCCTCAGCCTCTCCTGCGGTCCTGCCCCCCAACACTGTGTGGTGGCTCCCCTAGTCTGTGACCCAAAGTTAGAGTCACTGCTGGGGCAGGAGACGAGGCAGAGCTGGAAGGCCTCCGCGGACTCTCAGAGAGGCTGGGCACAGCTGGCCCGTCCTCCTGTGTCCCTGCCCCTCATGGAAGGAGGAGGGAGGAGGAAGGGGTGGCTCTGAAGTTGGGGGCTCTGGCCCACTCTGGCAGGCTGAGCCTCCATGAGGACAAAGGGCCCCCTGGTGGGGTCTGTGTGGTCTCAGGACTAGACGGGATGACACCTGGCTTTTGTTGGGAACACCACCCGCCTGTCAGACAGGGTCTGAGATGCTGTCACCCCCACCCCTGCTGTCTGCAACACTCCAAAGCCCTGGTTCCCGCCCTCTCCCCAGCTGTGTTTGGGCTGGGCCTAGGGTGCCTGCCTGCCCCTTGCTGGGGGGACATCTGAGCCCTCTGGGCCTGGCGCCAGGGCCTGAGTCGCTGACAGGGGCGGAGAAGTCTAGGGGGCCTGTCCTGCTGTCAGCGCCCATGATGGATGAGGGGCCAGAGCTAGACTCCTGCCACAGGGGGAGGTGGGGGTGACCCCCCAGGGTCTGCAGGCAGAGCCTCTGCCTCTCACAGCTGGGGGGCCTGGGCGAGGGTCCCCACCCAGCCAGGGGTGTTTAAAGGCCCAAAGGGCGTGGGCCCTCCCACTCTGCCTAGAGTCATGGGCGCCTGGGCCTTCCCCGCAGCCCTTTTCCTTCTCTGCCTGACTTCCGAGAGCCTGCAAGGTGGTGAGGGCAGCTTGGGGCTGGGGGTTGGAGAATGGGCATCTGTGACTGGGGCTGGGGGTCCAAGTGGGGCCCTGGCCAGATGCTGGGGTTCTGGAGACAAGGAGGGCTGGGGTGTGGAAAGCCTGGTCTGGGCAGAGAATTCAGACAGTGAGGGTTTTTGGGGGCTGGAGGATAGATGCCTGGGCGCTGCCCCATCTCAGCCTCTGGGGTCCCCAGCCTTGAGTCAGCACTGTCTTGCTTCCGCAGGGCTGCCCCTTCTGCCTCCTGGCCTGGGGAAAGGTAGGTGGGCCCTCTGGCACTGGGGTCAGGAAGAGTCTCCCATCTCTCCTGCCCTGGGGGTGTGGGAGCTCTCTGGGACTCCCGATGCGGGGCCCAGGAGAGCTCAGGGCCCTTGCTGTCTTCCGGGCAGGGAGTCTCATCAAGTGTCCACTCAAGGGTGGGGAGCACAGACACCCTGCACTCTCAGAAGAGTCTCCCGGGGCAGAACATGCAGCCCTGAGGACGGGCCTGGGCAGGCTGAGAAGGGTGGGCAGGTGTGACAGGAGGGGCGGACCCACCGGCAGGCCAAAGGGGGCCGGAGGGGGAGAGGAGGGAGGGGACAAGGAGAACTGAGCCTGCTGAGGGGCAGGAGGTGGAGTGTCATGGAAGAGTCTTTACTTCAGGGACCTGGGGGGTCCTAAGGGTAGAAGGAGGGGCTGCCCCTGAGCCCTGATGCATCTGAGCTTCAGGAGAGAAAGATGGGGGGCAGAGGTGGTGAGAAGAAGAGGAGGAGATTTCCATGAAGGGAGAGGAGCCCAGTACTGAGAATGGATGGGAGAGGAGAGGAAGAGGGTGGAGTGGGCTCTGCCCCACAGTCCCCCAGAGCCCTGGCTCAGACACCTTCCTCCAGGCCCAGGGGCCCTCTAGCCTCCACTGCCCTAGCCCCAGACTGCTCACCTCCTCTGCCCTCTACCCTCCTGTGACAGCAGGGAAACTGAGACCTGGAAAGGGAGGTGGCATCCAGATTTGGGCCCCTTTGTCCCCTTGTAAGTTCCCCTGCTTCCCCCTGAACCCCACAGGCTTAGGGAGCCCAAATGGCTACAGATCTGGTAAAGCTGGTGGCGGGGTGCTTGGGGAGGGTGGCACACCGGCTCCCAGCTGCTCCAGCACCCCGGGCTCAACATCTCACTTCTCCCACAGTCTATGGCCCCCACAGTGGCCTGGGAGCAGGTGAGGCCTGGCATAGGGAAGGGAGGCGTCTGAGGGCAGGGCACGGGGCAGGGGGGAGGCAGGACAGGAACAGGGAAAGCTGGGCGGGGGGCAGGTAAAGGGGGAAGCAGTCGTCTCAGAAATACATGGGGACAGAGCATAGCCCCAGAGTGTCCCCCAGGCACCCTGGCTGGGGAGAGGGGAAGGCAGGCAGGAAGAAATGGAGCGGGGAGGGAAGAAAGGAAAGAGAGCAGAAAGGAAGGAGAGAGGGAAGGAGGGAGGGAAGGAGGCTGATAGCACCCACCTGTGCCCCACAGCCCTCCCCCATCATGGGAAGGGACTGAGTTCCCACAGGCCCACTGCTTGGATAGGCTGTGGGCCAGGTGTGGGGCTCTGGGGAGATCCTGGGGGAGGGGTGTCCCTCACCTCCCTGTCTCTCCAGGCTATGATGGGGGCGTGAAGCCACAGAAGCCAGGTGAGCCCTGCCCCGGCCCCAGCTCTTTGTCTCCCCCTCTTTCTCTCACACTCCTCACCTCACCTCATCTGTCTCTCCAGGATTCGTGGTCAGGCATGGGCTGGGAACCCAGCCAGGTGAGAGCCGTGGGGTCCCCTCCTTCCCTCCCTCCCAGGCCTCAGACGGAAGAGGCAGGATTGGAGAGATTGTTGGGGGGAGGCGCAGAGAGCCTCTCAGGTTTGCTGGTGTCTGGCTTAGTCCAAGGGGGGGTTCAAGGGTCTTGTACCCCCACCTCAGCTGGGACCCCAAACCTCCTCAGCTCACCTCTCTCTCTCCCACGAGCCCTTCCACTAAGAATGGCTATGGAGCAGGTAGAGATGGGAGTGGGGGAGCTGGAAGCCAGGATTCTAGGGGTATCCCTGGGATGGGGATTCCTGAGCCCCTCATCTGATCCCCCTCTCTTTCCCAGACACTGAAGGGGGCATGAAACCCCAAAACCTAGGTGAGGCTCGCCCAGCCCCTGCCTGCCTCCCTCCTCCTGACTCCCTCCTGCCTTCTCGCCCCAGGGTTCAGGACCTTCGCAGGTGCTGCAGCCCAGCCAGGTGAGGCTGGGGGAAGCGGGTAAGGAATGGGAGGGGCTTGGGGGTGCCTAATCTTTGCCTGATACTGTGGGGGAGGGAATGCAGCCAGATCGGTGTTTCCAGGGTCTTCTCCAGGCTCCCAGGCCTCAGAGAGGGCAGAACAGGTGGGTGTCTCACGGGAAGTGGGCAGGAGGGGACGGTGAGGAGTTCTGATGTCTGGCTTGGTAAGGGGACAGGGGCACCTGGGCCTCACCCCTGCCTCAGCTCGGTGTGGCTGTGGAGCAGGGAGCCCAGGGCGGGGAGGTGGGGCCCCTTCATCTGCCCATCTCTCTTCCCAGGCTTTGGAGGGGCTGAGAAGCCCCAGAAGCCAGAGGCGAGGCCGCCCCACACCTGTCCCAGTGTCCACTTCCCACCCTCTGTCTCTGTCTCTGCTTGACGCCCCATTCCCCCTCCTCATGTCCCTCTGGCTCTGTCTCCCCAGGATATGGAAACGGGCTGGGAGCAGCGGCCTTCCCAGTGGCCGGAGCCCAGTCAGGTGAGGAAACGTCGGGTGTGGCAGGACCTGGGCTTCCAGGAGGGAGGGGGAAGGGGCAGAGCAGAGTCAGGGCACCAGGAGCTGGGAGAGCTGGGCTCTGGAGGGAGGGCAGGGCTCAGCCACTCTGTCCCTTCCCAGGCCTGGGAGTGGGCGTGAAACCTCCGAAGCCAGGTGAGGCAGAGCCCTGCCCCGCCTTGCCCACTTATATCCAGGCGCCTCTGGGTCCCTCAAGCCTGCCCACCCCACCGCTCATGGCCCTCACCAATGTCTCCCCAGGATTGGGGAGCAGAAGTGGTTTGGGCGCTGGCACTCTTCCAGGGGCAGGAACCCCACCAGGTGAGGGTGGCTGGGCAGGGGCCGCAGGGAGGGGCGGGCAGGAGGGTTTAGGGTCCCAACCCTCATTCTTAGGGGAGGAGCTCTTAGGGTCAATGTCAGCCTCTTTCTAGCTCTCCCCAGGCCTGGGGAAGAGGGAACCTCAGAAGCGGATGAAGGGAGGACCCCGCCCGTGTGCCACCTCCATGCCACACTCACCATGTCCTGTCCCTCTCTGTCCCCCTCTCGGTCTGTGTTACCCTCCCCAGGCACTCGTCCCTCTGTGGCCTGCCAATGCCATTCCTGTGGGTGGGGACTCCTGTGGAGGCCTCTGAGCTGCTTCCTGGGCATGCGCCCTTAGTGAACTGTCAGGGTGTGGAGCACAGTGGCCCTGGGTGGTGTTTGGACCACGGACCCGCACTCCACATGGCCTAGGTCCAGCCTCTGCCTCCCTCACCCCACAGGCCCAAAACCAGGTCAGGGAGGGTAGGGTGTTGCGGAGGGCCTGGGCTTGGGTCTGGGGGCTCCAGGGAGCTGCAGCCTCCTTTACCTGGTCTCTCTCTCTATTCCTGGCATGGGGCGGGGGGTGAAACCTCTGAAGACAGGTGTGCCTGCCCTTTCCTGTGTCCCTGTCCTCCACTCCCCACATACACACATCCGGCCCTGCCTCTGCTTCCTCCTTCTACTCGGTCTCCCAAGATCTGGTGATGGGAATGGGATGGGAGCTGGGGCCTTCCTAGGAGCTGGAGCCCAGCCAGGTGAGGGCAGCTGGACCACACTGGGATTCTAGAAGACACAGGGAAGAACCAGGGGATATCAGAGGTCCAGAAGGCAGAAAGTTTATTTCTGGGGGAGGACAGGGGATGGGTGGGGTCCGTGAGCCCCTGCTCTCCTCTCCCCTATCTTGACTGTTTCCCCTGCATCTATGGCCTTGTCCCACCCTCAAGCCCTCCCCAGATCCACCCCTCACACACTGCTTCTCCTCCCAGGATACAACAATGGAAACGGACCGGGAACCCAGCCAGGTCGGGGCCGAAGGGGCTGGGGTGGCTGGGGGAGAGGTCAGGGGCCCAGGGCCACACTCTGGGTCCCAACAGATGGGCTCTTGGGGGTTCATTCATTCACCCAATCTCCCCTGAGCACCCGTCCCAAGCCAGGCCTCGGCTGGCCATGGAGGACACCCAAGCTGGTCAAGGGTGGCCACGGTCTGGACTCCCGGGCCAAGAACCAAATCCAACTTTGACTGCAGTCAGGCCTGGGAGGGAGTTCACACAAGACAGAAAGGCAGAGGGCAGGGGTCACGCGAGACAGAAAGGGAGAGGGCAGGGCTCCAGGCCCCAGCTCATCCCCACTGCACCACCTTCCACACTCCTGTGTCTGCCCTCAAACAGGTCCTGCCGCTCAAAATGGCTTTGGACCAGGTAAAGAGGGTGGGGACGGAAGCGGGGAGCCTGGGGCTGAGATTCTGGGCACAGGCCCAGAGGAAAGGATCCCTCACCCTCTCATCTTCCCCCCAGGCTTTGGAGGGGGTGGAAAACCCCAGAAGCCAGGTGAGCCACTCCCTGTCCCTGTCTCCCTGCCCATTTCCTATGCATCTGCCGCTGCTTCCCTAGAGTCCCTGATCTCCCCATTCTCTTTGGCTCTGTCCCCTGGGATTTGGGAATAGGAATGGGTGGGGAGTCGGGGCCTTCCTGGGAGCTGGAACCCAGGCAGGTAAGGCCCTGGAGTTCTGGGAGCATGGAGGTCTTAGGGGTTGGGGGTTACTGATGTAGGGGCCTGGCCCTGGTCCTGAGCAGAGAGGAAGGGATGGGTGGACTCACAGGAAGTCCTTCCCCTTCTCTTCCCAGGCCTGGGAGGGGGACTAAAGGCTCAGAGAGCAGGCGAGCCCCAATCTCTAGCCTCCCAACTTGGTCTCACACAACAAACCTCATTCGACAAACCAATCCAGGCCTGGAGCAGTGGCTAACACCTGTAATCCCAACAGTTCGGGAGGCAGAGTTAGGTGGATCAATTGAGCCCAGGAGTTCAAGACCAGCCTGGGCAACATTCCCAAGCTGGTCTTGAAATCTTGGGCTCAAGCAATCCATCTACAAAAAAAAAAAACCTAGCCAGTTGTGGTGGCACGTGCCTGTAGTCCCAGCTACTCTGGAGGCTGAGAGGTGAGGATCACTTGAGCCCAGGAAGTCGAGGTAGTAGTGAGTGGAGATCTTGCCACTGTACTCCAGCCTGGGTGACAGAGAGAGATCCTGTTTAAAAAACAGACAGGCCGGGCTCAGTGGCTCACGCCTGTAATCCCAGCACTTTGGGAGGCTGAGGCGGGTGGATCACAAGGTCAGGAGATCAAGACCATCCCGGCTAACACAGTGAAACGCCGTCTCTACTGAAAATACAAAAAAATCAGTCGGGCGTGGTAGTGGGCACCTGTAATCCCAGCTACTCGGGAGGCTGAGGCAGGAGACTGGCGTGAACCCAGGAGGCGGAGCTTGCAGTGAGCCGATCGTGCCACTGCACTCCAGCCTGGGTGACAAAGCAAGACTCCGTCTCAAAAACAAACAAACAAACAAACAACAACCAAAGTAATCCGTGGACCATGCCTGTTCTGAGCCAACCAGGTGCTGGGGACAGGCCCTCCCCAACCAGGGCCACGCTGGGGCATACAGTATGGGCTGAGGCTGCCCCAGAGCTGGGCTCTGGGAGTTCTTAGGAGGCAGTGGAGGCCAGGGAGGAGAGAGTGGCCCAACCCTCTGAGAAACTGAACCAAAAGGAGAGTTTTGAACAAAGAAGGTACAGGCTCCAGCAAGATCTCAGACCTGGCCAGGCGCAGTGGCTCACGCCTGTAATCCCAGCACTTTGGGAGGCCTAGGCGGGCGGATCACTTGAGGTCAGGAGTTCAAAACCAGCCTGGCCAACATGGTGAAACTCCGTCTCTACTAAAAATGCTAAAAATTAGCCAGGCGTGGTGGCGGGCACCTGTAATCCCAGCTCCTCAGGAGACTGAGGCAGGAGAATTGCTTGAACCCGGGAGGCGGAGGTTGCAGTGAACCAAGATCACGCCATTGCTCTCCAGCCTGGGCAACAAGAGCGAGACTCCATCTCAAGAAAATAAAAAAAAGAGCTCAGACCCAAGATGTGGCAGGAGCTGGAGCTTGACAGTTGGAGGCTGCTGAGGAAAGGAACCTGCCTTTCTGGCTCGTTGAAGTTGGGGGTGGGGACACCCCTGCCCGAGGTGGCTGGAGATGGCATCCAGGGCTCCGGAGGGCCTTAACCCTTTCTCTCCTCCACAGGCCCCACCACTCAAAATGGCTATAGACCAGGTAGGGGCGGGGCTGGGGTTTGGGGAGGCCCAGAGCTGGGGCCCCAGGTTCCTCACCTGCTCCCTGTCTCTCCACCAGGCTATGTGGGGGCCGTCAAACCCCAGAAGCCAGGTGAGCCCTGCCCCGGCCTGTCCCTCTGCCTCCCCAAAACCTGAGCTCCCTCCCCTCATTCATACCCCGCCTTGATCTATTCCCCCAGGATTCCAGTACAGAATTGGGCTGGGAGCCCAGCCAGGTGAAGGGGGTACAGTCTGGGGTTCCAGGGTCTGCATCTGGGCGGCCTCTTCCTCCCAGGGGCGGGATTGGTGAATGATGGAGAGGGGTGACGGGGCGTCTCCAAGATCCTTGGCTTCTGGCTTGGCCCTGAAGGGGAACCATAGGCGCTGTGTCCCCAGCTTAGCTCAGCCCTCCCACCCCGACAAGCCCCCCACCTCAGAATGGCCCTGGAGCAGGTCCTGAGGGGGATGGGAGGAGCTGGGGTCCAGATGCTGGGGTTCTGGGGTGGATCTGAGTTGGGGGCTCCTAGGTACCTCATCTGCTCCCCATTTTCCCAAAGGCTTTAGAGGGGACATGAAGGCACAGGAGCCAGGTAAGCCTGGCTCTCCCGGGCTTCTGTCTCCCCAGTGTTCAGAGCCCCCTTCCCCCTCTCACCCCCACCTCCATCTGTCCCCCAGGATTAGGGAATGGGAATGGGCTGAGTGCTCAGCCAGGTGAGACAGATGGGGTCTGGGGTTCTACCCCTGGGGCGTCCTCTCCCTGCCTCCCTTCCCAGTCTCATGGGGGGCTGAGCTGGTGAATAACTGAAGGGCTGCTGGGAGGAAGCCTCCAGGATTCCCTTACCTCCACCTCAACCAAACCCCAAATCCCCACCCCACCCTCCTCTCCCCATAGTCTTGACAGCCCAGAACCGATTTGGATTTGGAGCAGGTAGGAGCAGGGGTGGGGAGGGGCTGGGGGAGAATGTGGGTGGGGCCCCTGAGTCACTCACCAGCCCCCCTATATCTCCTCCAGGCCTTGGAGGGAATGTGAAGCCTCTGAAGCCAGGTGAGCCCCGCCCGCCCTGGTCTGCCTCTCTATGCACGAACCCCTGAAGCCATAAGCACTCTACTCATGCTCCCTCCCTCTCCAGGATATGGGAAAAGGCTGAGAGCAGGGGCCTTCCCTGGGGCTGGAACCCAGCCAGGTGAGGACACCTGGGGTAGGAGCCCAGGCTTTTTTTTTTTGAGATGGAGTCTTGCTCTGTCGCCCAGGCTGGAGTGCAGTGGCGCAATCTCGGTTCACTGCAACCTCCACCTCCTGGGTTCAAACAATTCTCCTACCTCTGCCTCCCAAGTAGCTGGGATTACAGACACCCACCACCGCACCTGGCTAATTTTTGTATTTTTGGTAGAGACAGGATTTCACCATGTTGCTCAGGCTGGTCTCGAACTCCTGACCTCAGATGATCCACCTGCCTTGGCTTCCCAAAGTGCTGGGATGACAGGCGTGAGCCACCGCACCGGGCTGAGCCCAGGCTTCTTAGAGGGAAGGGGGAAGACAAAGATCGGGCCAGGGGGCCGGGAGGGCAGAGTGTGGGTCTGAATCCTGGGGAATTAAGTGCCACTGGCTGGCCGGATGTGGCTCTGCCTCTGTGTCTCTCTGTAGGCCTGGGAGGGGGAGCCAGGCCCCCTCCCAGGGCCCTGGGCCCCCGCCCTGTCTCTAGGGCTGCGTCCTCCTGACACCCCCTCCGAATGCCGCCGTCTCACACCCTCCCCGTCCCTCCCCCTAGAATATGGCCATGGAAATGGACCGGGAGTCCAGCCAGGTGAGGGCAGCTGGGCCTGGCTCGCGAGGGGTCGGGAGGTGGGACGGGAAGAGAGAAGCTGAGGCCACAGGGACAGAGAGCTGGGGTCTGGGGATCAGCAGCACTGGCTGGAGTTGATGTCAGCCTCTCTGTCTCTCCCAGGCCTAGGAGCGGGGATGAAGCCTCAGATGCCAGGTGAGGGGACTGCCTGTGTCTGTGGCCCCACCTCCCCTAGATCCTGGTGTTCTAGCTGGGTCTGCGTGGGACTCCCAGGGGAGGGGTGACCCCTGCCTCATGAGTGAGGGGAGGTCTGTAGGAGCACCGAGGACCGAGGGGAGAGGAGGTTGGGGAGAGACTGAGAGCCCCCTTCCTGGCCCCTGCCTCCCTGTCCCCCAGTGGCTCAGCCTTACCACGTTCCCTTTTTTGCCCCACAGGCCTGGGAGCTCCAAACGGCTATGGACCAGGAAGGGGCAGGGCTGGGGTTCCAGGAGGTCCAGAGCGGAGGCCTTGGGTCCCTCACTTGCTCCCTTTCTCTTCACCAGGCTATTTGGGGGTTATGAAGGCCCAGAAGCCAGGTGAGCCCTGCCCCGCCTGTCCCTCTGCCTCCCCCAAACCCTGAGCTCCCTCCCTCATTCATACCCCACCTCAGCTCCATCGGCATTCAGGAGGGGGCTGGGAGCCGAGCCAGTGAGGGGGTGTCGGGCTGATGTCCCTGTCTCCCTCCCAGGCCTCCAGAGCAGGTGGACACCAAAATGAGGGAGGAGAGGTGGCGCCAGGATCCCTGGTTTCTGACTTGGCTCTGAAAGGGGATCCAAAGGCCCTTCGCCCTCTCCTTAGCTAGAATCCCAAACCCCCTGCTCACCCCTCCCTCCCCACAGGCCCCTTAGCCCAGAATGGCTACAGAGCAGGTACTGGGGGGCTGGAGTTGCTGGGAGTGCAGAAAGGAGGAAAGAGGTGGGGGCCTGGCTCTCCCCTGACCCTGTACTGAGGGTTTTCTTGGGGGCTCCTGCAGCCTTAGACGGGGTAGAGTCTGGAGAGGAGGCGGCACAAGGGGGAGGGAGGTGCTGGGAGCTCCAGTTCCTAAATTGGGAGGAAAGGGGGGCCAGGCTCCAGCCCCCTTCTGTACCCCAACCTCTCCCCATGCCGCCCCCACAGACCCTGCAGTTCCCACTGGTCATGGACCAGGAAGGGGAGGTTGGCATGGGCACCAGGTGGGGGACAGATGCCAGGTCTGGAAGAGACCCCTCAGTGAGGAGTGGGCATGGGTCCCTCACCTACTCGCATCTCTCCAGGTGCTGGAGAGGGCATGAAACCTCAGAAGCCAGGTAAGCCCTTCCCACTCCTCACTCTCCCTACCTGCAGAAACTGCCTACCCCTCCACCCTTTTCCCCTCCCAAGCTGTACCCTGTCTCCCCATGGTGCAAGAACGGGCTGGAGCTGGAGCCTTCCTGTGGGAAGGAGCCCAGCCAGGTGAGGGAGGTGGGTGGGACCTGGAGCAGAGGGGAAGGAGGACAGGCTCCAACGGACAGAGTTGGGTCTCAGTGGGGGAAGGGGTGGGGTGGGGTGGGCCTGTCCATTATTCTCCATGGGTCTCTGGCCTGGGAGAGAGCCAGAAACCTCCAAAGCCGAGTTGCTCTCTGCCCCTCTTCCTGCCTTCTCCAAGGTCCCCCACTCCAACCCCGCCCTCATGCCCTGCTCTCCCTCCCAGGATACACACCAGGGACCTGGCTGGGGCTCCTGCCAGGTGAAAAGACGGGGCTAGGGGGATCAGCAGGGGAGAGAGGGGTTCACTACACTCCTCGGGTGGGCTGATGTCTGAACTGGCCTCTTTCTGTCTCTCCCCAGGCCTGCGAGGGACCTTGAAGCCTCAGAAGTCAGGTGAGTGGGGGACCCCTGGCTCTGCCCCACACCTCCTTCTGCCTCTCAGCCCTTCTAGCCTCTGCCCCCAGTGTTGCCACACTCATCTCTGCTTTCCCTCTCCAGGACACGGCCATGAAAATGGGCCCTGGCCAGGTGAGGCCACTGGGACCAGGGGTGGGGGCCCAGGAGGAAGGGAGAGGGAGGCTGCTGGAAGACGGAGGGGCCTCCATCAGGAGCCCCATCCCTGCCAGATCCCTACATCCCTCTATCCCCTGCCTGGATCCCCAGGTCCCCCCAGGAGAGTGTGGACCAAGGGAGCTGGGCTTTTTCCAGCCTGGCTAATGTCCCCCTAAGGTGCTGGGTCTGCCCTAGAAGCCACTACAGGCCGGTGGCTTGGCCAGGCCAAGGCCTCCTGGGTGGCGTCGGTGAGGACTGGCCTGGAGCATAGCCCCACCCCTCCCTTCCTTCCCATCGTAGGTCCCTGCAATGCGAGGGTCGCTCCGATGCTCCTCCCCAGGCTTCCCACTCCAGGGGTCCCTTCGGACAAAGAGGGTGGCTGGGGCCTGAAATCCCAGCCCCCTTCCGCAGTGCAGAATGGCAAGTTACCAGGTCAGTGTGGAGTGGGGGTGCCTAGGGGGCACTGGGAAGCACCTGGCCCTATGAGGGTCAGGGCCTGGCTGCCATATCCCACTCTGTCCTCGGATGCCAAGGCTCAGAGAGGGCAGTGACTTGTCACACAGTGATCTGCTGAGGAGAAGCCTGAACTCTGGCCCTGGGACCCCATGTGGTCCCCAGTATGGGAGTCCTTTCCATCCCTGCCCCATGGCATCTGCAGTCTCTCAAGCCCTCGGCTGGGCTCACTCCTGCCCCTAACCTTCCTCCTAGCACCAATGCCAGCCATCCAGTGGGGACTGAAACCTCAGAAAGCAGGTGTGAGTCTGTCTGCCCCCAGGCCCCACATCCCAGAGGGACAAACTCTCAGCTAGGTCTATCCTCTGTCTCCACCCCAGATCAGGGTCACCCCTCCATCACCCTTTTTCCCTAGGCTGCCTAAGCTATTCAGGCACCCGAAGGCCAGGAAGTCCCTCCCCGAGTCTACCCTCTTGCTCTTTTTTTTTTTTTTTTTTTTTTTTTGAGACAGTCTCGCTCTGTCGCCCAGGCTGGAATGCAGTGGTGCAATTTTGGCTCACTGCAAAATACGCCTCCCAAGTAGTTGGCATTACAGGCACGCACCACCATACCTGGCTAATCTTTGTATTTTTGTAGAGTCGGGGTTTTGTCACATTGGACAGGCTGGTCTCAAACTCCTGGCTTCAAGTGATCAGCCCACCTCAGCCTCCCAAAGTGCTGGGATTACAGGCGTGAGCCACTGCGCCCAGTCTCTTGCTGCTCTCCAGATTTCTTCTGGTTCCATTCCCTGTGGACAGGAAAAGTCTCTGCTTCCCCTTCAGAGTCCCTAAGGTCGATCTTTGGCCTCCAAGGAGTCAGGGGAGACCTGGGTCCCCCGCACTGACTTCCTTTCTCCTCACAGGGCACCAGCCTCCAAATGGCTATGGACCGGGAGCAGAACCAGGTGAGGAGGCCCTTCCTGGAGTTCCTCCCCTCCCTTCCCTTCCTCTTCCCTCCTCTTCCTTCTGCCATCCCAGGAAGAGGGGAGGCCAGGGCTGTGGCTCTCGCTGACCCCCATCTCTGAGTCACAGTTTTCTCTCCCCCAGGTTTTAATGGTGGCCTCGAGCCACAGAAAATTGGTGAGTCCTCCTGGGCCCCCGACCCATGTTGAGCGGAAGCTGGCATCTCCCTCATGCCTGAGTCAGTCTGTCTGTCCGCATCCCCCTGTCTATGAGCTGGTCACCTGGCCCTCCTGATGCTGTCCCTGTTCCACTAGCCTGTCCCTAGCTCCTCTCCAATCTCTGTCCTGCAGGTTTAGGTTATGGGAATGGTGTCCTGGGAGCCAGGGTCTTCCCCGAGGCCCACCCACAGCCAGGTGCCTGGGGAGCAGGGGTCGGGGTGGGAGAGTTGGGCTCAGGGCCCCAGCCCAGCCTCTGACACCCTCTTTCCTCCTCCAGGGTTCCATGGGGCCAATGGTTTTAGGAATAGTGAGTCAGACCCAGGGGACAAAGTGCAGTGGAGTGGGGGAGACAACAGCCCAGGGGCTAGGCGGGAATGACCAGAGTCTCTTGGAGGGGATGGGGTGGAAGCTCTGGTGTACCCCAAAGCAGCAGCTCTAGCCCCTGAAGGAAATGGTAAGAAATGAGCCTTCTGGGAGCAGAGCCAAGCCCAACAGGGGCCAGGGGTCCCAGCTCCTGTGGGCAAGGGTACCCCTGCCAGCTCTCCTCCCCACAGGGCAGGCCGGGGTGCTGTGGAACTCTCGCTGGCCCACCCTCCAGGCCTGGGGGGCCGGCTTGAAGCCTGGATATCAGGCTGGAGATGAATATGCTGAGGCCAGGAGCCAGCCAGGTAACGGGATGCCTGGATGAGTGTGTTGGGGCCATTAGAGGTGGCTTCAGGGAACTGGGCCCTGGGCCCAGGTCTACCCACAGCCCCACAGAGATAGAAGGTACAGCCCTCTTGGCGGAGGGGATGGAGTGAGTGAGAAGAGGCCAGGAGGGCATAGGCAGGAAGGAGCAGGAAGGAATGGAGCTGGAGGAGAGGCCAGAAGAGCCCGGGACCCTGAGAGCCAGCCCAGACACTGGACCAAGAAGGGGAGGTGATGGAGTTGGGAACGAGGGCCATCACGGACTCAGTTCTCCATACTCTGTCCCTCTCCCCCCGGTCCTCTGAGAAACTGAGGCAGAGCTGAGCCCTGGGCCCTCCGGGGAGGGGGTGTCTCCCACAGCCTGGGTTGAAGCTGGGGTGGACGGAAGCTCTCTGGTGACCCGAGTGCTCCTGGTCTGTCTGTCTGTGCCACAGGGGGCCCCGACGTGAAGAGAGGCAGCAATGGCCAGCTGGGGAATGGCTACGGAGGTGAGAGGGAGGCGCAATGGCCGAGCCGCCTGCCCAAAGGCCCCCCGTGGTCACCCCTCCAGCCATACTGGGGGACACCCAGCCCTTGGGAAGGATAGCAGGTTCTGCCACCTGTAGGTGGCTGCTGAGTGACTGACCCCAGAAGCTCAGGTCCCTGGGAGGGGAGGAGGGGGCAAGGCCTCACCAGGGCCCCGCCCCTCCCTAGCCCAGCTCTATGTCTTCCCAGGCCGCTGCCCTCTGGGGAAATGCTGAGCACTGCAATGCCCCTCGCCTGCCCAGCAAGGAAGACAGACCCTTGGGCTTGGCCTCTGGTGCTGCCTGGCCGGGGGTCTCCTCCATGCTAGAACCACAAACGTGCTTCCCTGCTTGCCTCCGCGTGCCATGCAAGGGGCTTGCTGACCAGGGTGGGAGTGGCATGGGCCTGCAGCCACCACCCAGCACCTCATTCATTCATTTGGCAAACATCAATGAGGCCATGTGCCAGGGACCATGTTCCCAACAGGAGAAATCATGAGAAGAAAACAGACTCGATCAACGCCTGCCCTCAGGGAGGGCATCACTTGGTGACCGCCTAGCGGGGGAACCACATCCAAGTTAGGGGCCTTGTGCATGGAAAAGAACACTTCATTCTTTGTGTTTTCATTTATAATCGATTTATTAAAGTTGTTAGATAAAAATCTCATTTTCCTTAAGCTTTTATAGTGGCCTTCCAGATATTGTATTGACTAATAATTTGGATGTAAAACTCACTTTCACAATCTTTGATGAATGCTTAATTAGTTTATAAATTTCACAGCTCGGCCAGGCATGGTGGGTCACGCCTGTAATCCCAGTATTTTGGGAGGCCAAGGCAGGAGGATTGCTTGAGCCTACAATTTAAAGACCAGCCTGGGCAATATAGTGAGACCCCCATCTCTATAAAAAATAAATAAGTAAATAAAAACAAATACGAATTTCACAACTCGACTTTTCCCTAAATATTTTGCGTGCCTTAAATGCCTGATTAACGAAATAGCCTTAGACATCTCAAACAACAATTAGAAACATAATCGACTTGACTCTCTTGATTCTCTCTCTCTTTTTTTTTTTTTTGAGACGGAGTCTCGCTCTGTCGCCCAGGCTAGAGTGCAGTGGCGCAATCTCGGCTCACTGCAAGCTCCCCCTCCCGGGTTCATGCCATTCTCCTTCCTCAGCCTCCCAAGTAGCTGGGACTACAGGCGCCTGCCCAGCTAAGTTTTTGTACTTTTAGTAGAGTCGGGGTTTCACCATGTTAGCCAGGATGGTCTGGATCTCCTCCTGACCTCGTGATCCGCCCGCCTCGGCCTCCCAAAGTGCTGTGATTACAGGCGTGAGCCACCGCACCCGGCGACTCCCATCTCCACAAATAAAAAACTTAGCCTGGCAGGGTGGCGCATGCCTGTAGTCTCAGCTACTTGGGAGGCTGAGGTGAGAGGATTACTTGAGCCGAGGAGATCGAGGCTGCAGTGAGCCATGATGGCACTACTGCACTCCAGCATGGGCGAAAGAGCAAGATCCTGTCTCAAAAAAAAAAAAAAAAAGTTTCTATATTCCAATTTTGAATAGATTGACCATTTTATCCTTTTTGTTCTGAGCTACCAGATTCGCACCCATCTGTCATTTACAATTGTTCTTAGGAACTTTAACACAAATGCTAAGTATATTATCACCAAACTTTACTTTTGAATTGTGATATCGTTTTATCTTTCTTATAAGATAACTGAATGGAAATCTGTGCACCTTGACCCATCCACACAGGATCCTCATACCTGAGTTGCAATGGGTAAACAGCAACGAGAGGACAATCTCACACTCCACATCGGTGGCGTCGGGGGGCGGGCGCGGTGGGTCATGCCTGGAATCCCAGCACTTTGGAAGACTGAGGCCGGCGGATCGCTTGAGCCCAGGAGTTCGAGACCAGCCTGGGCAACATGGTGAGACTCCATCTCTACACAAAATATAATAATTAGGCCGGGCGCGGTGGCTCACGCCTGTAATCCCAGCACTTTGGCACGCCGAGGCGGGTGCATCATGAGGTCATGAGTTCGAGACCAGCCTGGCCAACATGGCGAAACCCCGTCTCTACTAAAAACACAAAAATTAGCCGGGCATGGTGGCGGGCGCCCGTAATCCCATCTGCTCAGGAGGCTGAGGCAGGAGACTCGTTTGAACCAGGAGGCGGAGGTTGCAGCTGAGACTGCGCCAATGCACTCCAGCCTGGGGGATAGAGCGAGACTCCGTCTAAAAAAAATTTTTTTTTTAAATTTAAAGACCATAATAATTAGCCGGGTGTGGTGGCGTGCACCTGTAGTCCCGGCTACTTGGGGAGGCTGAGGCGGGAGAACTGCTTTAGTCCGGCAGGTCGAGGCTTCACTGAGCCAAGACCGCGCCACTGCAATGTAGCCTGGGCGCCAGAGTGAGGGGCTCAGTCCCCAAAAAAGCCACCTAAAAAACAAACAAAAAAAAAATTGGTGAGGCGCCGCGCCTCGGTGTCGCAGCGAATCCGCAGATCCTCAAGCCAGGTGGGGGCGCCCACTGCGCGTGTGCAGCGCCTGATAGCCAGGCTAGCTGAGGGCGGGGAGCAGCTGCGGCACCTGGGACACAGCGATTGGCTGGGACCAGGAGAGGGCGGGAAGAAGAACTTGGCGGAGCGCGCTCATATCTCTGATTGGCTGCCAAGGGTAGCCCTTGACAGCTGCCGGGTGGGACCCGTAGACCGCGAGCGCACTGGCCCGTGATTGGTTGGGGTGCGGCGGCGAGCATCTGCGATTGGCTGGGCCGCTCGGAGTGCGGCGCTTGGCCACCTCCCGAGGTACCAGGTCACGGCTGGCGGCGCGCTCTGGGGCCCTGGGCTGGCGGCCGCAACCGGGGTGGCGGCCGCAGCCAAGCTGGCGGCGCGGCTGCCCCGCTCCAGCTCGCACCCGCGGCTCGCCCGCGCCCGCGCCCACTCGCGATTGGGCCGGGCCCGCTCGACGCTGCCGCCCACCCCGCTGCCCCCGCCGTCCCTGCCGCACCCGCCGTTGCCCGGCCTGCCGCCCGGCCTGAGCCCCGGGCCGCCGACGCCCTCCGCTCTCGCCCTGGCCGAGCTGCCACCGCTGCCCGCGCTCCCGCTGCGGCCCGAGCCGCTGGCGCCCTGGGGCCCCGGCGCGCATCTGGCACTGCCCGAGCTGCCGCCCGAAGCCTGCTCACCCGCGCTCTCCGCCGCCGTGCTCGCACTGCAGGACCTGCCGCGCCTGCCCGCGCCCGCGCGCTCCGCCCGCGCTCCTACCGCTGCTTCCGCTGCCCGTGTCCGCCGTCGCCTCAGCCCCTGGGCCCGTGGGCGCGCTCGTCCGCCCGCCCCTGGTCTCCGAGCCGCCGCCGCATCCGCTTCCGCCGCTGCCCGCGCGACCCTCTCCCTTCAGCCTGCTGACGGCCCCCGAGACCCGCGACCCATGGCTGCTGTCCGCCTTTCCCCTGCCACCGCCCGTGCCCCTGTCCCCGCATTTCTTCCTGTCGCCGCCCTGCTGACCTGGCCCCTCCCGCGGCGGGTGAGTAGGCAGCCCCCGACAGGGCCAGTGCCCGTAGCCACCTTCCCCGGGCATGGATTCAGAGGACGGGGGTTAGAGCCCAGTTTGGGGAAGAGAGAAGGAGAATCGGAAGCAGCTCAGGTTTGGTAGAGAAAGGAGCGAGTCTGAAAATAGACTTGTCTAAAGATTCGGGTCTTCCATTTTCCCCTGCTGCCCTCCAGCAGGCCTCTTGCTAGGTTATTTGAGAATGTAACCCGTCCCCTGGGCTGATAACCTGGCTAGTGATCAGGGCAGCGGGCGGGGCCCACAGCACGTGTCCAAGGAAATGGGGATCAAGGGTATGAAAACAAAAGTTTAAAGTGCTGGGCCGGGCGCGGTGGCTCCCGCCTATAATCCCAGCACTTTGGGAGGCTGAGGCTGGCGGATCACCTGAGGTCAGGAGTTTGAGACCAGCCTGACCAACATGGAGAAACCCTGTCTCTACTAAAAATACAAAATTAGCCGGGCGTGGTGGCACATGCCTGTAATCCCAGCTACTCGGGAGGCTGAGGCAGGAGAATCGCTTGAACCCGGGAGGCGGAGGTTGGGGTGAGCCGAGATGGTGCCATTGCACTCCAGCCTAGGCAACAAGAGCTAAACTCCGTCTCAAAAAAAAAAAAAAAAGTTTAAAGTGCTTTAACTATATCCAAATATTTCATTTCTCTTATAAATAAAGGGTCTGGATGCCATGGCTAAGGCCATCCTCAGTGTATGGCTCTTGAAAATTCTGATCCTGCCGCAAAAGTCTTTTTTTTTTTTTTTTTTTTTTTGAGACGGAGTTTCGTTCTTGTTGCCCAGGCTGGAGTGCAATGGCATAATCTCGGCTCACCACAGCCTCCGCCTCCTGGGTTCAAGCGATTCTCCTGCCTCAGCCTCCTGAGTAGCTGAGTTTACAGGCATGCGCCACCACGCCCAGCTAATTTTCTATTTTTAGTAGAGACGGGGTTTCTCCATTTTGGTCAGGCTGGTCTCAAACTCCAGACCTCAGGTGATCCGCCCGTCTCCCAAACTGCTGGGATTACAGGCATAAGCCACTGCGCCCGGCCTTTGAAAAGTCTTCAGAAGTCAAATTTTCAACTGAAACAGATCCAGGGGTCGGGCTGGCTGTGCGCACCAGGGAAGCAGTGGTGGGGATCGATACTGGACCCAAGGGTCACATGCAAGGGCTGTGAAGTCATCCCCATGGGACAGGAGAGCTTCCCCCACCCCCACCCGGGCTGGGCCCTGAGAGGAAGCTCCTGTTCTCTCCAGCTTTGCCTGCACCCCACCTGCCAGTTTCTGTGCAGCCTCTACAACTTAATAAAGTTCTCTTTGTTCCCTAGGTGGCCTGAGCTCAGGTAATCAGGCGAAAATTCTTTCTCAGTGGGCTCTTCTCCAGCAGCCTAGGACTGGTATCAGAAAGCCAACCTTGACCCTGGGGGACCTCGGAGAGCCCGGGACCCACCACCAAGAAGGGCAGTGTACTAGTTCTTTGTGACTGCAGTAAAAATTTTATTTTTTAATTTTTTTTATTTTTGGTAGAGATGCGGTTTCACCATGTTAGCCAGGATGGTCTCGATCTCCTGACCTCGTGATCTTCCCGCCTCGGCCTCCCAAAGTGCTGGGATTACAGGCGTGAGCCACCGCGCCCGGCCTGACCGCAGTAGCAAATTTATACACACTGCATGGCTTCAAACAACAGAAATGTATTCGTTACAATTCTGGAGGCCAAAAGTCAAAAATAAAGGTGTGGGCAGGACCCTGTTCCCTTCACAGGTGCTAGGGGAGGATCCCTCCTGCCTCTTCCAGCTCCTGGTGGCTCCAGGCCCTCTGTGGCTTGTGGCCGCATCACAGGAGTTCCTGCCTCCGTCTTCACATGGCCTTCTCCCCATGTCTGTCTCCAATCTCCCTGTTTTTATGTTGTAAGAGGTTGGATTGTCGTTGAAGGTAGGACCCGCCTGAAACCTAGGATAATCTCATTTTGATATCCTTAGTTTAATTACATGTGCAAAGGCCCTTTTATCAAGTGAGGTCACATTCACAGATTCCAGGGCTTAGAGGGTGGAGGTATCATTTTGCGTGCCCCCATCTGGACATGCAGTGTCCTCTCCCCTGTGGGGCTGACCTACCTTCCTAGCCGTCTTCCCAGAACGTAATGTGTCTTAAATCCGTCATGCTGACCTGGGGCCCTGGGTGCCCTTGGGCAGGAGCTGATGGCACTAGTACCTTGATAAAGTTCTTACTGGCACCAGAAGAGAATAAAGTAACTCTCCTTCCCCTTCTCTGACTTATGGCCAGGTGCCCATTCCCACTGGCTTGCCGCTCCCCAGCTCCCTGCGCTTTATATTGTTGAGGCCTCCTCTCTCAGCTAAGAAACAGGAAGTACACAGATGTGTATTCTTAAAGACAGCATTAGCCACGGGGCCCCCACCCTCAAAGGGTGGGAGCGATAACTGCTGCTGGTTGAAACTGACAGTTACTACTGATAATAAAGTTAATTGTTACCCAGTCAGTGGAGTCTGCCCAGGTGTACAAGTGAAACCTCCATTATGCTTTTGACAAAATATGCTTGTCTTGAGTCAATACCCACCTCGATCCCCAAGGTGCCAGTCCAGGGATGTGCCAGGGTTGAAGCAGAGCTGTCTCCTCTCTGCTTTACAGCCAGGAGCACCTGAGGTTTGGGCAGCTGTGACTTGCCCAGGGAGCCCTGGGGTGGGGCTCGCATGAGGTTCTGGGAGTCCAGCCCGCTGCCCCCTGCAAGTGGGGAGCAAAGGGCACTTCCCTTGCCAGGGACATGGCAATGAGAGTGAGCCAGCTGGTGGAGGGGGCCTCTTCCGTAATCAGATCCAAATGCAGTTTTCTGCAGAGGTTTCCCTGTACTGGGAGCCTCGAAGAATTTGGGACAAGGAGGAACGGGATGGTGCTTGGGAGGCCCAGAAGAAGGAGAGGCCCTGCCCCGCTGCCCTGTCGGGAAAGAGGTTCAGGAGGCTCTCTTAGCCCACCTAGGGGGGCTAGCTCCAAAGTCAGGGTCTGGGTTGGTGTCAGGTGTGTCCTGCTTCCCGCTGTGCACTTGGTCAGGTTCGCTCAGCTCCCTGAGCTTGTTCCTGTCTGTGAAGGTGGGCAGTGAGCCCGTGAGGGTGACAGCTGCAACACCGAGATTTAGCTGCACCTTTTGGTTTGGGAGCTAGGGGACCAGCTTCTCTACCTGTAAGATCTGGGTCTTGGCTCCTCCGGGCGCAGTGGGTGACTCTGCCCTTGGGGTTCTTAGTGTGCTGCCCCCACACCCACCCCCGCACTGTTCCTGGCGCATGGTAGCTCCTGGTAACTTCCTTCCTTTCCTTTGTGGTCAGGCCACACTTCCCCCTCTAAGAGGCGCGGGTTAACCCACTTCGACCCTATCTAAGCTGATCTCTGGTTTCTTCTGCCCACCTGAGCCTCCCTGCCCCTCTTTCCTCCTAGACGGAACAAAAACGAGGTCCATTTTGTCGCTCCAGGAAGGGACTGGTGGAGAGCCGGCTTCCTTTCCTCCCAGGGTAGTACAGTGGGGAAGGTTCCCCTCCCCCACCTCTTTTCCCAGACGTGGTGGATGGGGGAGGGGACTTCGCTGGAGGTGTTAAAGTGCCATTGAGATGGTAACCACACCAAGGGGCCCCCACTTTTCCATATCAATGGCATTCCAGTCCCTGATTAGGCCCCAACCTTAACCCTTCCTTTCCCAAGATCCAACTGAATCCAGGTGCACGGGGGCCTAGGAGAGGGTCTAGGACCTCCCAACCTAGGTCTAGTGAGGGCTGAGGACAACAGGCTAATTGCTACCCATGTGTCCTGGGAATCCTCCCACCATGGGCAGCTCCCCAACCACCCTCTTCCAGCCTCTCCTAGGCTCCAAGATGTTTCTCCACTTTTACTCTCCCCAAGGGGCTTGGGGAGATACTGTGTTTTATCTTAGAGACTTGGGGTGGGAGGAGCCTGAAGCCGCACAGGGCCACTGTGAAGGCAAGTCCAGTGGGTTGGTCACTGAGGTGGGGGTGTGCGCATTTGCTGAGCAGCCTCCACCCACTCTGCTGGCTAGTCCCTGGAGTGTGGGCTTGCTTTCCTTCTTGCTCCGGTGTGGAGATGTTGGGCCAAAGAGGAATTGGGGTCTTAAAAACCTGGGGTCGGCTGGATGCGGTGGCTCACACCTCTAATCCTAGCAGTTTGGGAGGCCGAGGCAGGCAGATCACGAGATCAGGAGTTCGAGACCAGCCTGGCCAATATGGTGAAACCCCGTCTCTAATAAAAATACAAAAATTAGCCGGGTGTGTTGGCACATGTCTGTAGTTCCAGCTACTCGGGAGGCTGAGGCAGGAGAATCGCTTGAATCCAGCGGGCAGAGGTCGCAGTGAGCCGAGATCACATCACTGCACTCCAGCCTGGGCAACAGAGCGAGATTCCGTCTCAAAAAAACAAAACAAAACAAAACAAAACACAAACCTGGGGTCCCCGAGCAAGTGCGGTGGCGCTTGCCTGTAATCCCAGCACTTTGGAAGGCTGAGGCAGGCGGATCACCTGAGATCAGGAGTTCGCAGACCAGCCAGACCAACATGGTGAAACCCCGTCTCTGCTAAATACAAAAAAAGAAAAAAAATAGCCGGGTGTGGTGGCGCATGCCTGTAATCTCAGCTACTTGAGAGGCTGAGGCAGGAGAACAGCTTGAACCCAGGAGGCAGAGGTTGCAGTAAGCCGAGATTGTGCCATTGCACTCCAGCCTGGGCAACAAGCGCAAAACTCCGTCTCAAAACACAAACAAAAAAACCCCTGGGGTCCTCTTATGCCCTTTCCGGGCACAGCGCTCACTGGATGTGTGCAGCCCGCCACTGGGCTACAACGTAGGGGTTTAGAGCTGAATGTGGAACCGGTGAGTCACCGAGGCAGGGCCCGACAGCAAGTGGACCAGCCGTCCCGGTTTCCCTGGAGGACCCAATATTCAAGCTGGGAATGTCCCTCAAAAAAGTGGGATGAGCCGATCACCTTAGGCCCTAGGACAAGGAGGACTTGTTCCGGCCCAGGGAAGAGAATAGCCCCTGGGTTGGGGCTGCTGGGTGGGGGGACTTCCAGGGAGGCAGGCTTGCTGCTGCCTCCTGACAGCTGCCCAAACCTGTGTGGCTGGATTCCTGGAGGCCCCTGGAAGGCTGCGAGGGAGCCCGCTGACCGGCTTGCCTCCGTCTGCAATCTCTGCTCTCCCCACCCCAACCCTGTGAAATCTGAGCCCCAGGGGCTGGGTGAGCTGGACAAACCTGCCACAAGATTCCCTGAGTCCACTGATGGCCATTTTCCAGCCTCTGTATCACCCCCCCATCTTCCAGACTCTGTGGGGCCACCAGGTCAGCCCCCCTCGTACCGGAGGAGCCCCCCTCAGTGGAGAGGCCCAGGGGGTGGTGAAGAGGAGGCCAGGCTTCTGTTTACCTTACAGACCAGCTGATTGGCGCTGGCCTGTCTCTGTGTTTGCAGGGGAGGATCTTAAGCTGTTTTGGGTCAAGGCCCCTTTGCAAATCTGAAGGAAAGTATAAATCTCTCTTCCAAAAGTATCATTTTTTTTAAGAGACAGGGTCTCACCTAGGATGGAGTGCGGTGGCATAATCATAGCTCACTGCAGACTCTAACTCCTAGGCTCAAGAGATCCTCCTACCTCAGCCTCCCGAGTAGCTGGGACTACAGACAGGAACCACCTAACTCAGCTAATTTTTGTGTATATATATATATATATATTTTTTTTTTATTTTAGAAATGGGGTCTCACTGTGTTGCCCAGGTGGGTCTCAAGCTCCTGGCCTTAAGCAATCCTCCCACCTTGGCCTCTTAAGCGCTGGGATTACAGGCGTGAGCCTCAGTGCCCGGACCCAAAAGATGCTAAAACCCTTTCGCAGAAGCGATGCTCATACCCCTAGGTTTGAACCCTGACCGCTCCTTGAGGTTAGAGCCCTTTATACACAATGTCCCACCCACTAGGTGAGGGGCACTGAGCAGGGGTGTGCCTGGCCACTGGCTCCCCGAAGGCAATGCCGTGAAGTGGTGCAGCCACCAGATGTGTGTGGTGGGCACCTCCAGCCCTGCCCGCACTGGCCAGTGGGCTCCAGCACACCCCAGCCCTCCCAGCACCAGGCAGGTGAGAGGCAGTCCCAGGTGAGGGCCCACTCTGAGGATCCTCTGTACCTCCCTGGAAAGTGTATGAATGGAGACAATGTTCCTCACATCCCTTTTCCTTTTTTTTTTTTTTTTTTTTTGAGACAGAGTCTCCCACTGTCACCCAGGCTGGAATGCAGTGGTGCGATCTCGGCTCACTGCAACCTCTGCCTCCGGTTCAAGCGATTCTTCTGCCTCAGCCTCCCAAGTAGCTGGGATTACAGGCACCCGCCACCACGCCCAGCTAATTTTTTTTTTTTTTTTTTTTGAGGAGTCTCTCTCTGTCGCCAGGCTGGAGTGGAGTGGAGTGGTACGATCTTGGCTCACTGCAACCTCTACCTCCCGGTTTCAAGTGATTCTCTTGCCTCAGCCTCCAGAGTGGCGAGTGGCTGGGACTAGAGGCTTGTGCCACCACGCCCAGCTAATTTTTGTATTTTTAGTAGAGACGGGGTTTCACCATGTTGGCCAGGATGGTCTCGATCTCTTAACCTTCCGATTTACCTGCTTCGGCCTCCCAAAGTGCTGGGATATCTAATTTTTTGTATTTTTAGTAGAGACGGGGTTTCACCATGTTGGCCAGGCTGGTCTCGAACTCCTGACCTCGTGAATCGCCCACCTTGGCCTCCCAAAGTGTTGGGATTACAGGCGTGAGCCACCGCACCTGGCCGTCACACCCCTTTTTCAGACAACAATCCTCAGAGGTTCTTAGCACCCAGGCAGGGGCTTGAAGGAGTTCATGAACCCTCCCCCACAAATGAGGGGCACATGTTTGTGGGTGCATGTTCTGTGAGTCCCACGGGGTTTCTCAAGTGGGTCTTTGACCAAAGGAGGTTAAGGACCTCGACCTTCCATGACCTGTCCCAGGTAGGGGTCAGGATTTGAGCTTTGGTCAGTGGGACTCCCAGGCTGTCCCCATGAGTGGAATCACAGGCTCTGAGGGGGTTTTTCCGGAGGTAAGGCTTTCCTGCAAACTGGAAGGCAGGTCTTGGGGACACTTGAGTCCCTGGACTTAACCCCCGTGCCCACCTCTGGGGTGTTTTGGCCCGGGAGGCCTGACTGGCCACTCACTCACCCACCCATGGAACATAACCGGGTCCTGGGCTGTGCCCCACCCTGGGTTCCAGCCCCAGCCCGTCCCGCCTCCATCCCCCTTCCTGAGTGCCCCCCAACCTCCACAACAGGCCCCTCATCCTCTGGCCTCTGGAGATCTTAGGCAGCTCAGCTCAGCCTCGGTTTCAGCAGCAGGGGTGGCAAGAGCGCACCTGAGCTGAGGTTGAAGTGGGGGGTAGTTTTCTAGGCCGTTGCCAGGGCGATGCCACCTGAGCTGGGCGCCAGGCACCTGTCGTCTGGGGAACAGTGCAGGCGGGGACCTTCCCCCGGGAGCTAGCGGGGCCACTGGGCTGAGACGGGGGATGGATCAGATTCCAGAGAGTCCCAGGCGGGCGGGAGTGTGCGATACTCGGGGAGCTGGGGCATGTTTGCATCACGAAACTCGGCTGGGGGAGAGCAGAGGCAGCTGGGGAGGGGCTGCGGAAGGAGGAGGCTCAGGAAGGCAAGCCGACGCCCCCTGTGTGTGTTTCTGTCCTGAGCCTGTTACTTTTTTGACCCCCGATCCGTCTCTTCTTCCTCAGCTTGTCCTCCATCTTCCCCTCCTTTACCCTTGGTTCCCACATGCACAGATGCTACGGACGCTTTTCCTCCCCTGTCCCCACTCAGCCGCAGCATCCCCCGCTGGCCCCCAGGCCCCTCATCCATCCGCTGCCCACGAACCCCCAGCCCCGCACCCTCCCCGTGGCTCAGGTCTCCCCTATCCCGGCCTCCCTGCACTTCACTCTGCTCCTCCCCTGCCTGGGCCTTAAAACCCCGCCTGCAGCCGAGAGCCCGCAGAGTCCCCAGGTGGCACTGTCAGAGTCGCTCAGTGGGAACCTGCGCCAGCCGGCAGGAGACGTGGCTGTCCTCAGCCTGGCAGTGCGTCTGGAGGGCCTGTGCGAGCTCAGCCCAGGTGTGACAGCGGGGTGGTAAGAGCAGCAGCACCCTCAGGGCATCCGATGGGCGGAGGCCCCTCGAGGTGACACCCACCACTCAGCCGAGCGGGACTACGAGTCTGCTTTGTGCTCCGCGAGGACCAGAAACACCTGCAAGAGGCACGGAGAGGAGGCGCCTTTCAAGAGGCGCCTTTCATGGAACTGAGGACTGGCCTGGCTTGGGGACACCAACAAGCCTTCCCCCTCCTGCTGGACACAGAGACACCCACCCAGCACACCAGACACACCCTCTGAGTCACCTAGGCCGCCTGGGGCTGAGAAGACCTAACCGAGGGGCCAGATGGCTTCGACCGGCTTAGAACTGCTGGGCATGACCCTGGCTGTGCTGGGCTGGCTGGGGACCCTGGTGTCCTGCGCCCTGCCCCTGTGGAAGGTGACCGCCTTCATCGGCAACAGCATCGTGGTGGCCCAGGTGGTGTGGGAGGGCCTGTGGATGTCCTGCGTGGTGCAGAGCACGGGCCAGATGCAGTGCAAGGTGTACGACTCACTGCTGGCTCTGCCGCAGGACCTGCAGGCCGCACGTGCCCTCTGTGTCATTGCCCTCCTGCTGGCCCTGCTTGGCCTCCTGGTGGCCATCACAGGTGCCCAGTGTACCACGTGTGTGGAGGACGAAGGTGCCAAGGCCCGTATCGTGCTCACCGCGGGGGTCATCCTCCTCCTCGCCGGCATCCTGGTGCTCATCCCTGTGTGCTGGACGGCGCACGCCATCATCCAGGACTTCTACAACCCCCTGGTGGCTGAGGCCCTCAAGCGGGAGCTGGGGGCCTCCCTCTACCTGGGCTGGGCGGCGGCTGCACTGCTTATGCTGGGCGGGGGGCTCCTCTGCTGCACGTGCCCCCCGCCCCAGGTCGAGCGGCCCCGCGGACCTCGGCTGGGCTACTCCATCCCCTCCCGCTCGGGTGCATCTGGACTGGACAAGAGGGACTACGTGTGAGGCGGAGGTTTCCCCTGGGAGCCCACTGCTCCCCACTGCCCCGCCCTTTCGACCTTGGCCTGATGACCAGATGCCCTGCTCCATCACAACCTCCTTCCCCAGGAAAACCCACTTTCCAAAAGCCCAAGCTACACCTGGCTGCAGGGCTGGGTCAGCTGGCCTGGCTGAGCTCTTCTCAGTGGGGTCCCCTTTGATGTTCTCCCCCAAGTTGGGCAGCCTAGAGGTGTTGGGAACCCTGGCCTGCCCCCACCTCCCCAGTAATTGTTTCCTTCCGTTGCCCAGGACACTGGCTGGCCTTCCTTCTCTTCTGAGCCCTCCCCTGCCCCAGGAACCCTGGCCTCACCAAAACAGCAGCAGCTCGTTGGCTCCAAAACCAGGGAGCAGACCATGCCCTCCCAACCCTGGAGTTGTCAGGGAGGGCCTGCCCATCACCTCCCTCTCCCCAACATCCCCACCCTCGAGTTGGAAATAAAGAGCATTTGTAACTGGGCTCCCTCTAATCTGTGCGCCGCCGCTGGGGCTGGGCAGGCACAGCCAGGTGGCCTCCCTTGGTGGCTGTCAGGCCAAGGTCTGGCTCTAGGTTCTGCCTGGTGGGTATGCTCACTCAAGCCACGGGGAGAGGGGATCGTGACTCACTTATGCCCATCTCTTCCCCTAGCCAGGGTGGGCACTCAGTAACCCGCTGCAACACCAAATGCACTAACAAAACATGCTTTATTTGATAAAAATGTGAGTGTAAAGGGGGTGAGACGAGGGGGGCAGGGCAGAAGGGTGCAGTGTTGGAGGTGGGGGCGGGGGTCTACATAGCTGGGACCTGGCCCTGGGGGGTGGACGTCTTATCAGGACGGAGGAAACAGAGGTCAGAAGTTCCGGAGGTGGGCAGTCCTTTGTTAACAGATCATTTGTTTTTCCAGGGGTGAAGAGAGGAGCTCCAGAGACCTGAGTAGGATGGGGGGCAGCTGTCCAGTGACATCTAGGGAAGCCCAGCCCCCAGCAGCAGCAGGAACTCTTGGGGACAGTCTGTCTTGTTGCAAAGCCAGCACAGCAAGCAGCCTCCGCATTAGTTCCATAGCTTGACTGGCTTCTAAGATGGGCATGTCAAGATCCAGAATCTCAAAGCATCCCCTCTTTGGCTCCATCATCCAAGGGTGAGAAACAGCAGAGCCTAAGTGAGAGTCTGAGTCAACACCTTGGCTCAGTTTTCAAATGAATTTTAAATATCCTCAGTCAAAAGAAAAATAGCAGGAGGCAGAAACAAAAGGTACGAACCCATCCCAAAGCTGTTGGGCACTGCCACTTCTGGATGGCTCTAGCGCCAGCGGAGCCCCCATTCCCCTCCACGTCAGACGTAATTCTTGGTAGGGTACTCAGAGGGCCCCCGAGAGATGGCAGGGGCAGATGTTGAGTAGCGGGCCATGTAATGGCTGGGGCCCTGGGACCCCCCCGAGGGGCAAGTGCAGCACAGCAACCCCCCACCCAGCAACAAAAGGCCTGAGGCCGCCCAGCCCAAGTAGAGGGAGGCCCCCAGCTCCCGCTTTTGGGCCTCAGCCACCAGGGGGTTATAGAAGTCCCGGATGATGGCATGCGCCGTCCAGCACACGGGGATTAGCGTCAGGACCCCTGAGATGACAAAGACAATCCCAGAGGTGAGCACCAGGCGGGCCTTGGAATCCTTCTCCTCCACACAGGTGGTACACTTGGCCCCAGCAAGGTAGACCAGCAAGCCGAACAGGGCCACAAGGAGGGCGATGACACAGAGGGCACGTGCAGCCTGCAGGTCCTGTGGCAGCGCCAGCAGTGAGTCGTACACCTTGCACTGCATCTGGCCGGTGCTCTGCACCACGCAGGACATCCACAGGCCCTCCCACACCACCTGGGCCACCACGATGCTGTTGCCGATGAAAGCGGTCACCTTCCACATGGGCAGGGCACAGGAGACCAGGCCATTCACCCAGCCCAGCAGTGTCAGGACGACTCCCAGGATCTGCATTCCGGCAGAGGCCATGGCGAGGTTGAAGGAGCTGCACTGTGTTTGGGACAGAAGCACAACAAGGTGAGGCCTGGCAGGCCCAGACCTCAGGCCACATGTGGACAGGACTCTAGGGGCATGCACCCTGGAAAGTGGTCATCACATCCTGGAACTCAGTCAAGACATGCTCCCTGAGCCTCACTTCTCGTGGGCAAAATGGACACTTAATGCTTTAGCATTTATTATTCTTTCTAGTTATGTGACAGGCACTGGCTGATGACAGTGACTGTGCAAGCAGCCCTGCCCTGGCTATCCTGAATGCAAATGAAAGATAACAGGATGAAACCTATACAATGACAGTCCAAGGCCAGAGCCAGTGATCAGGCTGCAAGGCGGCAAAAAGCAGGATGACAGGACGGTGCGATTTCCAAGCAGTTTCCGTGTAGAATGGTTCAATTCTAGCCCTGAGTTTAAGGCTCAAAACTTGTCCATTTGTTTTGTTTGTTTGTTTGAGACGAGGAGTCTCGCTCTGTGGCCCAGGCTAGAGTGCAGTGGTGCCATCTCCACTCACTGCAACCTCTGCCTCCCAGGTTCAAGCGATTCTCCTGCCTCAGCCTCCCAAGTAGCTGGGATTACAGGTGCACACCACCACGCCCGGCTAATTTTTTTTTTTTTTTTTTAAGACGGAGTCTCGCTCTGTCGCCCAGCCTGGAGTGCAGTGGCGGGATCTCGGCTCACTGCAAGTTCTGCCTCCCCGGTTCACGCCATTCTCCTGCCTCAGCCTCCCGAGTAGCTGGGACTACAGGCGCTCACCACCACGCCCGGCTAATTTTTTTGTATTTTTAGTAGAGACGGGGTTTCACTGTGTTAGCCAGGATGGTCTCGATCTCCTGACTTCGTGATCCTCCCGCCTCAGCCTCCCAGAGTGCTGGGATTACAGGCATGAGCCACCACACCTGGTCTTAATTTTTGTATTTTTAGTAGAAACAGGGTTTCATCAAGTTGGCCAGGCGGGTCTCGAACTCCTGACCTCAGGTGATCTGCCCGCCTCAAGCCTCCCAAAGTGCTGGGATTACAGGTGTGAGCCACCGTGCCCAACCAAAACTTGTTAATTTCAACACTAAGATTGGAGATCCTAAGCTTCCTCCCACCACCCAATGTCCCTCACAACTTGGTTCCACACCCCAGGCTGGCAGACACCAGGACCAGGAGAGATGAAGAAAAGCATCATTAATCCCCCATCTAAAAGCAGTTCCTCCCCCAAAGCCAGTGGATAACTCCCTGGCCCCACCCTTCTGACCTGCCCTAGGCGCCGGAGAGCATAGCCTCAAGGCTGAGGGCCTTTTCCTATGAATTCTAGACGAAAATGCCGTGCTAGACTCCCCTCAACACCAGTTCTCCCACCGCCACCTGGCCTGCACCTGTGTCCCCTCAGTGTTGGAGGTCGTGGAGGGAATCACTTCTGACTAGGGCCGGGCTGTGGCCTCCCACTGCCCAGAGTACTTTCATTGTACGGCTTGGACCTAAACTTTTCCCGGCCGGCAGCGGTCGGAGGGCAGGCTCTACTCATTAGCCGGGGGCCCCAGGCCTGGGCGGAGCAGACCACCTTGGGGAGACTGGCTGGGGCACGGTGCCCCAGCGCTCAGGTCCGGCCCTTAGGCCTCTGGCCGAGTTAGGGTCGGGGCCGCGCTGGTATAGGCGCCCAGGCCTCTCCCCTCTGAGTGTGCCCCTGCCCCTTTCTTTTTCATGCACTGCATGAAAAAGACTCTGTCCGAGGGCGCCCCGGCCCACCCGACCACCCCAGCCTGGGAGCCGCGCGCCCTGGAGGGGTTCTATAGCTGCAGTGGCCGCAAGGTCCGCTCCCCCAGGTGAGGGGGAGGGGGGAGGGGCGCCCCGCCCCGAGAGGCAAGGCAGGTGGGGGAGGGGCGCCAGGGGTTTCGGAGTCTTTGTCCCTGGGGAGGGGGGAGGGGCGTTTAACCCTTGGGAGCCCCGAAGGACCCTATCACCTCGGAGGCTTGGGCGCGGACCGGCCGACCCCCTCAGGGACTCGCCCATCCAGGTGGCCGCAGCCCGAGTTCGCACGCACCCCTACCCACGCCGCCACCACCCTGCACCCGGCCCCAAGAGGCGTCTCTCCAACACGCACACTAGCCCCGGACTCACCTGCGAAGGAGATAAGGGAAATTCCTAGGCCGAGTGTCGGGACAGGGGCGGAGGCGGGGGTCTTAAAGAAGCGGTGACGTCACTGGACCACCGCCCCGGAGGAGGGGCAGAGACCCTGTCCCTGACGGCAGCGGGCGTGCGAATCCCAGGCTTGTCAGAGGGGGGCGCTGGAGGCTGGGGTCGCTGGGCCCGCCTCGGGCTGGCAGACGTCCAGACTCACCCAGGGTGAGGGCGCCAGGCTTAGGGTAGAACAGAGCTTGAGACTCCGCTTCACCACTTAAGCAGCGCGGTGACATGGGGAACTCACCTAACCTTCCCGAGCCTTCGTTTCCTACTCTGCAAAATGGAGATAACAAGTCTGCATTTTATTATGTAACTACGTCCTAAGGTACAAATTAAAGGGCATACTATTGGTATTATTTTAGAGAAATATTTTCACTGTGTCACCCAGGCTGGAGTGCAGTGGTGCGATCACGGCTCACTGCAGTCTCGACCTTCTGGGCTCAAGCGATCCTCCCGCCTCAGCCTCCTGAGTAGCTGGGACTACAGGCAGCACACGCCACCGTGCCCAGCTAATTTATGTTTTGTTTTGTATAGACAGGGTCTTGTTATATTGCCCAGGCGTCTCGAACTCCCGGACTCAAGCGATCCGCCCGCCTTGGCCTCGCACTGCGCTGGGATTACCGGCTTAAGCCACCGCGCCCGGCCAGATAATATTATTTTTATGTTGCTGGTTTTTTGTTGTTGTTGTTGTTTGTTTTTGAGATGGAGTCTCGCTCTCTCGCCAAGGCTGGAGTGTGGTGGCGCGATCTTGGCTCACTGCAAGCTCTGCCTTCCGGGTTCACGCCATTCACCTGCCTCAGCCTCCAGAGTAGCTGGGACTACTACAGGTGCCCGCCACCACCCCCGACTAATTTTTTTGTATTTTTAGTAGAGACGGGGTTTCACCGTGTTAGCCAGGATGGCCTCGATTTCCTGACCTCGTGATCTGCCCGCCTCGGCCTCCCAATGTGCTGGGATTACAGGCGTGAGCCACCGCGCCCGGCCTGTTTTGTTTTTTGAGATGGAGGCCCTCTCTGTCGCCCAGTCTGGAGTGCAATGGCGCTATCTCGACTGACTGCAACCTCCGTCTCCCAGGTTCCAGAAATTCTCCTGCCTCAGTCTCCCGAGTAGCTGAGATTACAGGCGCCCACTACCACGCCCGGCTAACTTCTTTCTTTTTTTTATTTTTAGTAAAGACGGGGGTTCACCAAGTTGGCCAGGCTGGTCTCGAGCTCCTGACCTCAGGTTTAATTGTTATACCCCCCGGGCCCTTAACAAAGCTGTAGTGGCCAGGCTAACCTGGGCAACATAGTAAGACCCTGGTCTCTACAAAAAATACAAAAATTAGCCGGACGTGGTGGGGCAGGGCCTGTGGTCCCAGCTACTTGGGAGGCTGAGGTGGGAGGCTCACCTGAGCCCAGAGAGCCGTGATCGTACCACTGCACTCCAGGCTGAGCAAGAGTGAGACGCAATCTCAAGGGGAGGTGGGGGGAAGGAAGCTGCAGTGATCTCTGCATGGATTGGTCGTGTGTCTGATTTCTTTTTATTGTTTGTTTGTTTGTTTATTTATTTATTTATTTATTTATTTATTTATTTGAGACGGACTCTCACTCTGTCGCCCAGGCTGGAGTGTAGTGGCGCGATCTCGGCTCACTGCAACTTCTGCCTCCCGGGTTCAAGAGATTCTCCTGCCTCAGCCTCCTGAGTAGCTCGGATTGCAGGCGCGCGCCACCACGCCCGGCTAATTTTTGTATTTCGAGTAGAGACGGCGTTTCACCACGTTGGTCAGGCTGCTCTCGAACTCCTGACCTCGTAATCCGCCTGCCTCAGACTCCCAAACTGATGGGATTAAAGGCGTGAGCCACCGCGTCCGGCCGTTCGTGTCTGATTTCTATATGTGCTGCCGAAGCGAGCACTCGTGTCTAATTTTTGATTTCCCCACACCACGCACGCTGGACTAGATCACCGGCTGGGCAAGGAAGGGGGTCTGCGTCCCTGCGGGGTCCTGGCAGCTCCCGCGCCAGGACTTTGTTGAATGAATGACTGAACTGAGCGGGCGCCGCGGGGCGGGGCGTCCCGAAGCGGACCTCAAGGCGGGCGGAGGCGAGAGCTCCGCCCCGGAAGGCGGGGGCGGGGGCGGGGCGGCGGCCGTGGGTCCCTGCCGGCCGGCGGCGGGCGCAGACAGCGGCGGGCGCAGGACGTGCACTATGGCTCGGGGCTCGCTGCGCCGGTTGCTGCGGCTCCTCGTGCTGGGGCTCTGGCTGGCGTTGCTGCGCTCCGTGGCCGGGGAGCAAGCGCCAGGTACGCGGGACTCCGGGGTCGGGGAACCCCGGGCCGGGGCTCGGGAGCCGGACTGGGTGTCTGGAGAACAGCGCCGAACTGGGGGAACAGGCGGATGTGGGGATCTGGGGTCAGGTGGCCTTCAAACAGCTCGCTCCCGGCTGTGGGAAGTTCCATCACTCTCCAAGCTTCATTCACAATCCGGGCCTCAGTTTCTCCCACCGTCCAATTGGGGTTGGGGGGGGTCTTCAGTTCCACAAGTCCGAAGTACTTCGAATGGAGAGAGAAAGTGAGTGAGGGCGGGATGTTTAGTCTAGGAAGGGGCACGCCCCCAGCCTGGTCCGTACAGGGTCTAACTAGCCCCAGTGATCGACGAGTTGGGGAGGCCGTCGAGAGGCACTAGGGTCTGTGCCCTCTATACCATGTGGGGTGCCCCCTTCCATCCGGTGACTTCAGTGCCCAGCTATGCGGGGGGAGGGACTGGGGTCGGGCCCGGTGCCCAGGAGTGAGTCACCCGCCGGCGGCAGGGGGGTTGTGGGGACCTGACCCCCCCCACCCCCAGCGTCCCGCGCTACGCCCTCCCTCCCGGAGCTGCCGTGTCCCGGTCGGGCCGTGCGGTCACCTGTGAGGAATGCGCGGGGAGGGCGCCGGTGACTCACGTTATTCGAGCCGGCCGACCCTGACCTCAGACCCCAGAATAGCCGAGTCCCGCCCCCAGCCTCTGACCCGAGGCCCCCTCCCCAGGCACCGCCCCCTGCTCCCGCGGCAGCTCCTGGAGCGCGGACCTGGACAAGTGCATGGACTGCGCGTCTTGCAGGGCGCGACCGCACAGCGACTTCTGCCTGGGCTGTGAGTGGGGGGCAGGGCCAGTGGCCAGCGGACCCCAGACTGGGAGGGAGGGTGGCTGGTGCGCAGAGCGGGGCCGAGAGCTTTGCATCTGGGAAATCATTCGGGAGGAGGTGGGAGCTGGGAGGGGGCTCCGGTCAGGGAGGAGGCCACGTTTGGGAGAAGGCAGAAGGCTCAGTCTTAGGGGGCGGGGCTGGCCTGGAGAGGGGCGAGGTCTGACTCCGAGTCCCGCCCCCAGGCGCTGCAGCACCTCCTGCCCCCTTCCGGCTGCTTTGGCCCATCCTTGGGGGCGCTCTGAGCCTGACCTTCGTGCTGGGGCTGCTTTCTGGCTTTTTGGTCTGGAGACGATGCCGCAGGAGAGAGAAGTTCACCAGTAAGTGTGCCCTGGCCTGCCCAGCCCTGTCAGCACTCGACCTTTTCTCTGCTGCTGACGACCCCACCTCTTATCTTGCAGCCCCCATAGAGGAGACCGGCGGAGAGGGCTGCCCAGCTGTGGCGCTGATCCAGTGACAATGTGCCCCCTGCCAGCCGGGGCTCGCCCACTCATCATTCATTCATCCATTCTAGAGCCAGTCTCTGCCTCCCAGACGCGGCGGGAGCCAAGCTCCTCCAACCACAAGGGGGGTGGGGGGCGGTGAATCACCTCTGAGGCCTGGGCCCAGGGTTCAGGGGAACCTTCCAAGGTGTCTGGTTGCCCTGCCTCTGGCTCCAGAACAGAAAGGGAGCCTCACGCTGGCTCACACAAAACAGCTGACACTGACTAAGGAACTGCAGCATTTGCACAGGGGAGGGGGGTGCCCTCCTTCCTAGAGGCCCTGGGGGCCAGGCTGACTTGGGGGGCAGACTTGACACTAGGCCCCACTCACTCAGATGTCCTGAAATTCCACCACGGGGGTCACCCTGGGGGGTTAGGGACCTATTTTTAACACTAGGGGGCTGGCCCACTAGGAGGGCTGGCCCTAAGATACAGACCCCCCCAACTCCCCAAAGCGGGGAGGAGATATTTATTTTGGGGAGAGTTTGGAGGGGAGGGAGAATTTATTAATAAAAGAATCTTTAACTTTAAATGGTTTGGAGAGGCAGTGATCCCCGACTGACTCCCCTGAGCTGGAGGGAGGGAGTGAGTCAGCCAGCCGCGGGGGCGGGGGTGAGGCTCTGACTCACACATTCTCAATGCCTGGAACTCAGCCGGCAAGGACCTGGCTGGCCCTAACAGTTTTCCAGGGAAGATCTTGAGGAGAAACCCCAGCATCCCGCGCCTCTGCCCTCTCCACCATCCCCAAAAGCCCCAGGTTCCAGACTGAAGCCTTCCTTTGCTCAGCAATCTTTATTCAGTTCTTCTTGGGGGTGGGATGCCTCCCTTCCCATGCTCCCACCCCTCCCATCCCAGAACTCCGTTGGGCTCAGTGTCCTCTGTTGAGGGAAGGTCTTGGTGCCCAGATGCCTACTCTGCAGGAGAGGGAGGAACCTTGTCCCTTTGCGGGAGTCGCTGGTCTCTTCTGTTGTGGGGAAGAAGGAAGGTGGGAGGGGCACTGTCCACCAGCACTCAGAGCTCCATTATGTCCCCAGCTGGGGTTGCAGGGTAGGGGGGACTGGGGGTGTCCCCCAGCCTCAGCAGACGGAGGGCCTCAGGGATGAGGCTGCCAGGATAGCGCCAGAGAAGCAGCTCAGAGCAAGGGCTCCTAGAAGAGGAAATGACTGTCAGGGCATGGAGCTGAGGCTGGCCTAGCTGAGCACCTCCCACCAGGTCCAGGTCCCCAGGGGCTCCTGGGTTCCCAGCACTTTCCAAAGAGCCAAGATGGGAAACAACCCAGAGGTCAGCTAGAGCTAAAAATGGCACGATGAGGCAGGGCCTGAGGTCAGCTGTGAGGACCGCCTGTGATTCTGCAGAAGGCCTGGCCAGTGGAGGAACCTACCTGAGTGGGGGCAGGGCTGGGGAGAAGGTCATGGGGGGGCTGCAGTAGGGGTGGTCATTGTGCAGGCTGAGTTGAGAGAAGTGGGTGGCCATGTTCTCCTCAGACAGAAACTGCTTGCGCAGAGGCTCCCTGGGGAGAGATGGCAGAGAGGCAGGCTGGGATACTGACACAGGAGGCAGCCTGTTGGGGACCAGAGGTGACAGAGATCTTGTTGGGAGTCCCTCCCTGCCCCCAAACTCACTGCTCCTCCTCCAGGCGCCGCTTGGTGCTCATGGGCACAGCTCCTCGGAGAGGGGAGCTGGGAAAAAAAGAGAGCCTGGTGCACCCCACCCTCTTGGCCCCTTCCCAAGGATCTGCCCGCCTAAGCCTGCAGCATCAGCCAGGAGCCCCAAGCCCATTCCTGTCTCAGCTGGTGCCGGTCCCCGCTCTCCTGGACCATCCAGCAGGGTACCTCGGAAGTCTCGACCCTCAGCCGCAGCCCCAGTCCCATCTCAGCTCACGCCTAAGCCCCGCCGATTCGCCCCACCCCGTATTCATCCTGCAGACCAGTCCTGAGCACCCAGCCAAAGCTCCTGCGGCCCTTGGTCAGGCCCACCCTGGTCCCCTACACGCACCTGGCGTCCAGGCCCCAAGTCACCCCCAAGGCGGCCCGCGGGAGGCGCTGGGCCCCTCCCTGGGGGCCTCGCTGCAAGGGCTGCTGCAGGATCATTGGGTTTTGGGGTCCTGCGGGTGGGATCTGGGCGACAGGGGAGGAGTCTCTGAGGGCGTGGCCAAGAGAGGATGGGCGTGGCTTTAGGCGGGCACAGCCGCGAGGTTCTGCGCGGGCGCGGAAGACGGGCGGCGCGTGGCGGAAGGCAGGCTTGCTCCTCGGGGTGGGGGAGGGTATCCGGCTTAAGGGGGCTGCGGTGGACACCACTTCTTAATGTCGGGGGTCTTCGCGGCGCTCACCTCGGCTCCTAGGGTTCGGGACGGTACGCACCAGCCACCTTCGCGCCGAAGGCGGTAGGGCGCCACGGAGAGGAACCGCTCTAGGCACGTAAGGCCTCGTGAGGTTGCGTCGCGCGCGGAGCACTCTGGGACTTGTAGTTCTGGAGATGGAGCGAGCTGTGCCGCTCGCGGTGCCTCTGGGTCAGGTGAGACGGACGTGGTGCGCGTTGCCTTCTGGGGTTTGTAGTTCACGCATGGCTGGGACGGGGCGGGCAGGGAATCGTGCCCTGAGCCCTGTTTTGCCTGGGCTATTTGTGGGACTCAGACTCTGACCAGGGGGGCGGGATAGTAACCCAGAAGTGCTTCAGGGGCTTAACGCAAGTCAGAGAGTAGGAATTATAAATCAGTACGTTTTTCTATGTTGGGGTAGTAGAGGTACTTTTTTTTTTTTTTTAATTTTCTAGTTCTTGCAAAGCACTTTTTTTTTTTTTTTGAGACAGAGTCTCACTCTGTCACCTAGGCTAGAGTGCAGTGGCGCGATCTCAGCTCACTGCAACCTCCGCCTCCCAGGTTCAAGCGATTCTCCTGCCTCAGCCCTCCAAGTAGCTGGGACTATAGGCGTGTGCCACCATGCCCAGCTAATTTTCGTGTTTTTAGTAGAGACAGGGTTTCACCATGTTGACCAGGCTGGTCTCGAACTCCTGACCTCAGGTAATCTGCCTGCCTTGGCTTCTCAAAGTGCTAGGATTACAGGTGTGAGCCACCACGCCCGGCCAAATTTTTTTTTTTTTTTTTTTTTTGAGATGGAATTTCACTCTTGTTGCCCAAGCTGGAGTGCAGTGGCTCCATCTGGGTTCACCGCAACCTCCGCCTCCCAGATTCAAGCAATTCTCCTGCCTCAGCCTCCTGAGTAGCTGAGATTACAGGCATGCGCCACCACTCCCAGCTAATTTTGCATTTTTAGCAGAGACAGGGTTTCTCCATGTTGGTCAGGCTGGTCTTGAACTCCTGACCTCAGGTGGTCCACCTGCCTTGGCCTGCCAAAGTGCTGGGATTACAGGCGTGAGCCACTGCGCCCGGCCCCACATTTTTAAATTTTTTTTGAGACAGAGTCTCACTATGTTGCCCAGGCTGCTCTCAAACTCCTGGCCTCCCAGAGCGCTGGATTACAGGCATGAACCACCACACCCGGCTTAAGCACTGAGTGACAGCCCCATGTAAAGCTCTTGTCTATACACTAGCTCATCTAATTGTGATGGAATCTTCTGTGAGCTCCATTTGTCAGTTGAGGAAGCTGGCAGGAGAGGCCTGGGTGCTTGCTCAGAGGTCCCTGAGGCATCACCTCAACTCTCCCCTTCTTCAGTGTCTTCTTGGAGCCACCCATGGGACTGCATGGGCAGGTGCTGGCTTGGGGCGGGGCCGCCTCAAAAGAAGGCTGAGAAGTCAGGACAGTGGGAGGCCTGGCAGGTTTTGGGGGAAGCAGGGAGGAATCTGTGGATGGGAGGTTTCATACGTCCCAGGCAGGCCTCATCCAGTCTTTCCCTGCAGACAGAGGTGTTCCAGGCCTTGCAGCGGCTCCATATGACCATCTTCTCCCAGAGCGTCTCACCATGTGGGAAGTTTCTGGCGGCTGGCAACAATTACGGGCAGATTGCCATCTTCAGGTACCCTCTGCCGCTGTCCACCCATTAGCCCTGGCACTTGGCCCTCATGGGACGGATGCCCCCGTTTCTGACTCCTGGGTCCCCTCCGCTGTCCCTGCAGCTTGTCCTCTGCTTTGAGCTCAGAAGCCAAAGAGGAAAGTAAGAAGCCGGTGGTGACTTTCCAAGGTGGGTATACCTGTGGAGTCTGGCTTCAGGACTTTGGGTGGGATTGGCTCACTCAGTTCTGCATTTCTCTTTAGCCCATGATGGGCCCGTCTATAGCATGGTTTCCACCGATCGACATCTGCTTAGTGCTGGGGATGGGGAGGTGAAGGCCTGGCTTTGGGCGGAGATGCTCAAGAAGGTAAGGAGTCGAGCTTGGGAAAGGGCTGGGGTGCCTGGACCCAGAGAGAGCCTTTGAGGTCACCTGGTATTTTCTCTTTTGAAGGGCTGTAAGGAGCTGTGGCGTCGTCAGCCTCCATACAGGTGAGCAGGGCCACGTGGATAGAGGGTGCATCAGGGTGAAGCCACTTCCTCACTGACCTTGCCTTTCCTTCCCCAGGACCAGCCTGGAAGTGCCTGAGATCAACGCTTTGCTGCTGGTCCCCAAGGTCTGAGCCCCATGTGACTGTTCTTGGTCCAAACTTTGATCCTTCACCCTCTGCCTATCCTGATTTGACATTGACTTTCTGCCTCATCCTGCTCCTCCACAGGAGAATTCCCTCATCCTGGCTGGGGGAGACTGTCAGTTGCACACTATGGACCTTGAAACTGGGACTTTCACGGTGAGCAGGGTCCTGGAGCCCTAGAGCAGGTCTAGGTCAGGGAGAGGCACTCTTCCTAGGTCTCCTCCTGACATCGCCCCTCTACATGCAGAGGGTCCTCCGGGGCCACACAGACTACATCCACTGCCTGGCACTGCGGGAAAGGAGCCCAGAGGTGCTGTCAGGTGGCGAGGATGGAGCTGTTCGACTTTGGGGTAAGCAGGTGGCTGGTTGGAGGGCAAGATGGCAGTGAAGGAGGCTGAGGCAAGTGGGGCACCACTCACAGTTCTTTCCCCGCAGACCTGCGCACAGCCAAGGAGGTCCAGACGATCGAGGTCTATAAGCACGAGGTGAGGGTGTGACCGTGGCCATTGTCCTCTTCTCCCCCAACTCCTTGAATTCTCCAGGTCTTCACCTCTTTCCCTCCTCCCCTCCCCATCCCAGGAGTGCTCGAGGCCCCACAATGGGCGCTGGATTGGATGTTTGGCAACTGATTCCGACTGGATGGTGAGCTGGGCAGACTGTGGGATGGGATGGCAGCTCCGGGCCCTGTCAGCTGTGGGCCTGTGGTTCACAGCTGGGGACTCCCACCTTTCTGTCCAGGTCTGTGGAGGGGGCCCAGCCCTCACCCTCTGGCACCTCCGATCCTCCACACCCACCACCATCTTCCCCATCCGGGCGCCACAGAAGCACGTCACCTTCTACCAGGACCTGGTGAGGCCCTGTGTCTCACTTCTGCCACCCCCACTGACTCTTCCCTTCAGTCCTGACCCCTGAGCACCTTCCCTGTCCTCTGCAGATTCTGTCAGCTGGCCAGGGCCGCTGCGTCAACCAGTGGCAGCTGAGCGGGGAGCTGAAGGCCCAGGTGCCTGGCTCCTCCCCAGGGCTGCTCAGCCTCAGCCTCAACCAGCAGCCTGCCGCGCCTGAGTGCAAGGTGGGTCCGGCAGGGGCCGCGGAGCGGCTGGGAGGCAGGGGTGTGGGCAGGCCAGTCATGCCCCTCTTTCCTCCAGGTCCTGACAGCTGCAGGCAACAGCTGCCGGGTGGATGTCTTCACCAACCTGGGTTACCGAGCCTTCTCCCTGTCCTTCTGATCTCTGACGACACCCCCAGCCAGCTCAGGGTTTTAGAGTGTTTTTCATTTTCTTTTTTTTTTTTTTTTTACAATAAAGTTTCAGGCTTTTTTACCATGCTCTTTCTTTCTATGAATGGGGGCCAAATCGGTGGAGTGATTTATATATTACTCTGTCCGATCTTGATACATAAATACCCAGCCCCATCCCTGCCCTAGAAAAGATAGACGTATATTAATTCGGAAAATAGCTCTGTTCACCTGCCCCTGCCACCCACCTGGAGCTCCTGCCCCACAAAGCTGGCCCCTGCTCCGGATGAGCCCCTGCTCCCGATGAGCCCTTGCCCAGCATCCTGGGGCGGGGAGGGCATCAGCTTCTTTTGGAAGACAATCTGGGCCCTGTCGCTCCATTGGCCTGAAGAGGAAAGTGAGCCCCTAAGTGGGCAAGGGCAGCCCTCTGGGCCCAGCCGTCAGGTCCTTCGGAAGAGGTTACTGAGAAAGCCACCGGCGGGCCCGGGGCCCAGGCGCAGCGAGAAGCGGGGCGCGGCACGGCGCGGGGTCGACGACGACGCGGAGGCGCTCAGCTCCTTCTGGCGCTGTGAGCGCAGCTGCTGCCCGATCACCACCTGCATGTCGTCCTGCGGGAGGCCGTGGTCGGCTCAGCGCCGGTCCCGCCCCTTGCCCCGCCCCGCACACGGGCCCCGCCCCTCACCTGCCAGGCCTCCAGCTCCTGCGTGAGCGCCACCTTCTGGCGGATGGCGCGCAGCAGCTCCCGAGACAGGGAGTCTCGCTCCAGCGAGACGCGGTTGAGCTGCAGGGACAGCTCCAGGGCCCTAGGCGGGCAGGAGCAGAAGACGCGTTTGAGGGCGCTAGGGCCTCAGGGAGCCGGGGTGGCGGGGGACTTCTGTACCCGGGCGGGAGGAGGGCTGCAAACACCTAGATCAAGGAGGTCAGGGGGCCCCTGGGTGGGAGTGGGGATCATTATAACCCGTATCAGAAGAGGAATCAGGAGCCCAGGAGGGCCCAGAGGGCGCTGGGGCGGTGGTCAATGGCTTGAGGCTTACTTGTTCACGGCCTCGTCCCGGTCTGAGAGGGCACTGTGCAGGGCCTCCCCAGGGTCTTCCTGCGCCCGCAGCTCCTTCTGCCTCTGCAGCTCTTCCCGCAGGGACTGCAGCTCTGCCTGCTGCAGCGAGATCTGTGAGCAGAGGAGGGGGGCCGTGCGGCAGATGGGCCAATGGGCCTCCCTGCTTCTCCCAGCAGCCCCGACTCTGGCTCTCCCCACCCCTCCTCTGCCTGCGACAGACACCCCAGGCAGCCGTGGCCCTGTGCTGGAGACTCCGATATGAGCCCTCTGAGCCCCTCAGGCTGGTGCGGGGTGGGGTGGAGCAGGGTTAGTTGGAGTGGTATAACCCTGCAGGAGGGATGCAGGGAGAAGCATTGGGAGTGGAACTAAGGGCAGAGGTGCTGTCCAGGAAGTCTTCCTGGAGGAGGTGGCATACAGGCTGGCTCTTGAAGTAAGTTTGTTGAGATGAAAGCCGATCCAGGTATAGGGAGCTTAGTGGGCAAAGGCTGGGAGGTGGACATGGGAGACAGAAACTGACAGCTGGAGGGGCCGTGCATCCAGCACCGTGCCCTCTGCCCCACCTCATCTTGCAGCTTGGCCACTTCCACCTCCTTCTCCTCCAGTATCTCCGCTGGACTGAGGGATGTTCGCTTCTTGGGGGGCTCTAAGATCTCTTCCGGGGGTGAAGGCTGGGGGCTGGACGCCTTTCGGGTCTTTGGGGACCGGGTGGTCTGTGGGCCAAAGAAATGGGTTAGTGGTGTGGAGTTTATTGGGGAAAGGAGGAAAGGCGGAGCCTGCAACCCTCTCGATGGCACAGGTAAGGGGGCTGGGGCCCCACGAGCTCACCGGGGTGTCTCCGGGTGCGTCGGCGCCCTGGCCCTGGTCGCCGTCGTCGAGGCTGTGGGCCAGTTCTGACTGCAACGAGGCAGCCGACACGTCGGCGTCCTGGAGGCGTGACTCCTCCTCCAGCTCGGAGACGCGCCGCTGCAGCCTCCGCAGCGCACTCAGCGCCTCCCCAGCCTCTGACCGTGCGCGTTCCAGCTGTGGACGGTCCCGCAGACGGAAGCGCGGGCGGTCAGCGGGACGCACGCAACGCCGACATCCCGCGGCAGGTCCACACGGGGGTGCCGCGGAGAGCCCCGCACCCCAGCGGCCCAGGCTGTTCCCGTTCCTGGATCGCTGGGCGCCTTGGGCCGTGCACCTCCCTCAGCGGATATATACAGTTTCCTCGCCTATAGAGCAGGGCCGCACCTCGAAGAGCCCCATCTCCTCCCCTGCCCAGTCTACCTCCTCATTCAGTAATTGTTTCATGCAGCATTTATTGGTGCTACTGAGGCTGCTTGTCCCACAGTAGTAAGTAAGAAGGGGCACCGGGATGCGAAGGAAGGCAAGCTGACCCCAAAGTGCAGACTCCTTTGATCTCTAACATCAGACACCGCATCCTCTTTTCATTTCTTTTTCTCCGTCTCCATTGCGCAGCCGTGGTCTAGGGGCTGTCATTCCTGGCCTGAGCTCTGGCACCAGCCCCCTCCCTGCTCTTCCAGCTGCCAGGCTCTGATGCACTCTAAGAGCATGCCTCACCTGCTCAACAGCCTTCCGTGGCTCCCATTTGCCCATGGGCTAATGCCCATGCTCTTGTGGGCCAGCCTCTGGGCCTCCCAGTGATCCAGCTCCGGCCTCATCTCCCAGAAAGCCCTGAAGCCATTGCTAAGGGTCCAGGCAGTTGTAGTCCCCCAGCCCTGCAGGTCACCTCCAGGCTGTGCTCCCGCCGCTCCCGCCTCAGCAGCAGCAACTCCTCGTGGGTGGTCTGCAGTCTGCCCTCACCCTTCTCCACCTCCTCACGCAGGCCTCGGATCTGGGCCTCCAGGTCCTGCCGGCGGCTCTGCAGCATCTGGTTCTGGGGAAAGGCCTGAGAGCTGGGGACAGGGGCAGCCCCTCCCAGCCCTCAGCCCGGCTTTTTTGGCTCAGATAATCCCCCAGCCCCAGCTGACACTCACTTCCCCCTGCAGACTCTCCAGCCGCGTCCTCAGCTCTGCTCCAGCCAGTGCCTGAGCCTGGCACTGTCCCCGAAGGGCGTCCAGTTCCCTCTGAAGTTCCTGCTCAGTCTGGGAGGCCTGGGGAGGTGGAAAGAGGGACAGAGGAGCCTCAGCACCAAGCCCAATGCACCTACTCCCCGCTGGGGACCCAGGCATCCTCCCCAACCTTGTCCAGGGCCCTGGGGTCAGGGCCATCCCACCTGAGCCAGCTGCTGGCTGAGCCGGAGGTTCTGCTCGCTGAGCTCGCTGAGGGCCCGTGCCCGTTCTCGCCCACTGTCCTGCTGCTCTGAGCGCTGCTCCCCAAGCTGGGCCCGCAGGGCCTCCACGTCCCCCTCCAGCTCCACGGCCCGGGCCTCCCACTCGGCTCCTCGGGCTGCCAGGCCTCGCCGGAGCTCATGGTTCTCCTGCTGGAGCCGCTGTGGGGGCCAGGGCAGAGGGACAGAGGCAGAGAGGCACCGATGAGACTGGGCAGGCACAGAGAGATGGCGATGGAGGGACAGACACCTAGGGAGAAAGCCTAAGGGGGCCTTGTGTCCAAGACAGACACAAAAGCAAGGGAGAGTGAGGGAGGAAGCGTGAGCAAGACCCAGAGATTTAGAGGGAAGGTTCCGAGCAGACAGGACGCGTGGGCCCGGGGCAAGGGTTGGGGTGGGGGGATCTCTGATGACCACTCACCTCCAGCTGCTGCCGGGGCTTCTGGACCTGAGGTCGCAAGCGCCGTTTTTGGCGCCTGAGTCTGGCAGAGTTCAAGCCCCGGCCCATGGCAGCACACACCTGCTGTGTCCCAGGGGCTCTGGAGGCCTGGACTCTGCCCAGCCCCCTCCCCAGCTCCTCCTAGCCAGTTCCCTCTAATTAACCCTGGTCAGCCCCGCCCTGGCCCAAAAACCTGTCTGACCAGCGGGGGAATGCCCTGGCACACCCAGATGCCCAGCGTGGGGAGGCAGATGAATCGGGGGTTAACCTCTGGCCCACTCTCTCTAGGCCCTCAAAGCGGGATGGGCCTGGATGAAGGTGACAATTGCCACAGCTGCTGCAGCGACTCGCAGGTACCCTGCATTAGGGCTCTATCTGCATTGCTTCATTTCATCCACTAGAGGGAGAATCACTAACGTCCTGGGTTTACAGATGGAACAAGCTCAAGAGTTGCTAAGTGCCTTGCCTAAGGACACACAGTCATTTATTGTTGTTTTTATTTTTTATTTATTTATTTATTTTGAGACAGATCTTTACTCTTTGGCCCAGGCTAGAGCGCAGTGGCACTATCTCAGCTCACGGCAATGTCCGCCTCCCAAGTTCAAGAGATTCTCCTGCCTCAGCCTCCCAAGTAGCTAAGATTACTGGCGTGCGCCACCCTGCCCGGCAAATTTTTTTGTTTTCTTAGGAGAGACGGGGTTTCACCATGTTGGCCAGGCTGGTCCTGAACTCCTGGCCTTAAGCGATCCACCCTCCTCGGCCTCCCAAAGTGCTGGGATTACAGGCATGAGACACCGTGCCCAGCCGACACACAATAACTTCACAAAGCAGGGATGCCAACTCAGGCAGCAGAACTCTTAACCGAATACTGCAGAGGCAACACAGCTTCAGGATTAAGCTGTCAGGTTCAAGGTCAGATTGTCCTGGCTGATGCTCGGCTCTGCTGATGCCTTGTGGCCTGGACACAATATCTCTAAGTCTATCCACCCACACTGCTATCAATCCTCCCACATTTCCTGAGCTCCACTTGTTCTGGGGTCTGCTGTCAGTGGCACGTGAGACCACCAAGTTCACTGCTTCAAGCAGCTTAGAGTCCAGAGGGCATGGACACATGCCGGAGCCAGGTAGTTTCAGGGAGACAGTAAGGGCTGTAAAGAGACCCGGGAAATGATAGAGAGTAAGGAGTGGGGTGGGGGTGGAGGGTCCTTCAAGGAGGACGTCATGTTTGAGTCGACTTCTGCAGGACAAGAAGAGCCACCAGAAAGAAGGCTAGGCATTAAGGAACAGCAAGTGCAAAGTTCCTGAGGGAACAAGCGTGAGTTCTTGGAGGAAATGAAAAGAGCCCTCATTGTCGGGGAGAGGGTGGTTCGGCTGCCCTTCTTGGAGGAGGGGAGAAAGGGGTGGTGCTGCTGTGATGAGGTCGGGGAGGAGCCCAGTTCTCTGGGACTTTTAGGCCCTGGGGAAGGGTTTTGGTTTCATTCTAAGTGTGAGGGGGAGATTCTGGTTGAGGAGTGAAATGATCTGATTTGCAGTTTTTGAAAGTCCTGGGCTGTCCCTTAGAGAACGGGCTCCAGGGGTCAAAGGTGGAAGCTGGGGGCTGGGCACGGTGGCTCACACCTATAATCCCAGCACTTTGGGAGGCTGAGGCAAGTGGATCGCCTGAGGTCAGGAGTTCAAGACCAGCCTGGCCAATATGGTGAAACCCCGTCTCTACTAAAAATACAAAAATTAGCTGGGCTTGGTGGCGCACACCTGGAATCCCAGCTACTTGGGAGGCTGAGGTGAGAGAATCACTTGAACCCAGGAAGCAGAGGCTGCAGTGAGCCAAGATCGCACCACTGCACTCCAGCCTGGGCGACAGAGCGAGACTCCATGTAAATAACAACAATAATAAAAGAGTGGAAGCTGGGGACTCAGGAGAAGGTGGCTGGAGTGTCTGTGGCAGAAGGGATGGAGGCTGTGATCTGTGATCAGCTTGGAGGCTGCAGAGCCGACCAGTGGGTGGTTGGAGTTTAGAAGAATCAAAAGGGCTTGCGGATATTGGGGGGAATTTGTTCACTCAAGAAAGGTTGGCTGAGCGCATTGACTCACACCTGTAATCCCAACACTTTGGGAGGCTGAGGCAGGCAGTTTGGTTGAGCCCAGGAGTTTGAGACCAGCCTGGGCAACATGGTGAGACCTCATCTCTACAAAAAATGCAAAAATTAGCCAGGTATGGTGGTGCATGTGTGCCTGTAGTCCCAACTACTCAGGAGGCTGAGATGGGAGGATTGCTTGAGCTCGTGAAGTTGAGGTTCCAGTGAGCTATGATTGCACCACTGCACACTATAGCCTGGGTGACAGAGGGAGACCCTGTCTCCAAAAAAAGAAAAAAAAAATAGAGAAAGAGTCCAAGGAGGTGCACAGGCTCTGGTCCTCAAGGTTGGGAAGGCGAGGATGGGGACAGCAGGTGATGGGGGCATGGAATCGAGTGCGTGGAATCAAGTGCCACTTGTGTTGAGATGCCCACTAGGTGGCCTGGTGGAGAGGGTTAGCTACCCAGGTCAGGCTCAGGGCAGTGGTTGGGGCCGACGCAGCAGATAAAGGAGGGTGTTCAGGAGACCAGATGTGAGCCCCAGAGCAAGAAGTGGGCCAAAAATAGAACCTGGGCAGAGGGAACTGTTCCTACCTCATTGGGCTGGGCAAGAATCAATGGAGAGTCATGGAAAGCACTCAGCCCAGTGCCAGGCAAGGAGTGGACACCCATGACTGTCGCCTGGTGTTCCGCTATACTGCTGAGGAGCTGGACCCAAGATCCAGAGAGGGCCAGCAGCTGACCCAGGGTCACACAGCTGGACGAGGGTCTGAACCCAGTTTGTTTTTGTTTTTTGAGATGCAGTCTCGCTCTGTCACCCAGGCTGGAGTGCAGTGGCATGATCTTGGCTCATAGCAACCTCTGCCTCCCAGGTTCAAGTGATTCTCCTGCCTCAGTCTCCCAATTAGCTGGGACTACAGGCACACCCCATCATGCCTGGCTAATTTTTTTTGTATTTTTAGTAGAGACGGGGTTTCACCATGTTGGCCAGGCTGGTCTTGAAGTCCCGACCTCAAGTGATCCAGCCACCTCAGCCTCCCAAAGTGCTGGGATTACAGGTGTGAGCCACCATGCCTGGCCTGAATCCAGGTCTTAATCCTCAGAGTTCATGCCTTTTTTCCTTTCCTTTCCTTTCCTTTTTTTCTTTTCTTTCTCTCTCCTTCCTTCCTTCCTTCCTTCCTTCCTTCCTTCCCCTTCCTTCCTTCCTTCCTTTTTTTTTTTTCAGGATCTCACTCTGTTGCTCAAGCTGTAGTGCAGTGGATCATAGAATCATAGCTTACTGCAGCCTCAAACTCTAAAATTCCTGGGCTCAATTGATCCCCCTGCCTCGGCCTCCTGAGTAGCTGAGACTACAGGTGCCACCACCACATCCAGCTAATTTTCTTATTTTTTGTAGAGACAGAGTCTCACTACGTTGCCCAGGCTGTTCTCCAACACTGGGCTAGTGATCTTCCTGCCTTGGCCTCCCAAAGTGCTGGGATTACAGGTGTGAGGTACTGTGCCCGGCACCCAGAGTTCATGTTCTTTGCCACTGGGCAACACTGCCAGGGGGACTGGGCCCAGCTCTGACCTGTTCCAAAGTGCCCCCCTCGCCCGGCTGTCCTCCCCAGCTCCTCTCTCCTTCCCTTGCCTGACTCCCTTCCCTTGTCCTCTCCAGGCCCACCCGTCCTCCCCTGCCCACCCACCCACCCACCCCGTCCAGTGCTAGCTCACTTCCTCACGCTCCAAGTGCTGGGCGCTCAGCGTCTCCAGCTGCCGCCGCAGCTCTTCATTTCGCTCCAGAAGCATCTTGCCGAGCTCCGCGGCCAACAGCAGGTCTTTCTCCTTCTGCTGCAGCTGCAAGGCTAGGTCCTCGGGCTCCTCAGGCCCTGGGCCCCCTCCCAGGAATGAGTCCCGCCGCTCCAGCACAAAGGGGAAGAAGCCCTCGTCGCCGCTGGGAGAGGCGCCCCCTGAGAGCGGCCCGGACGGGAAGCTGGGCCCATCTGGAGAGCTCATGTCACCTGCAGCATCTGCGGGGACAGGTGGCTGCGGGACACTCTACTCTGCAGCCTGACAGGGGCTCACCCTCCGCCCAGCACCTGGCCCTCCAGGAATTCTCCACCTGCTGCCAGCCTGCCCGGTCCTGCAGCCAGGGCTTCCTGGGCCACAAAGGGTTAATGACCTGTGTTTTGGCTACCCAGTTCCGTTAATGTCCCTGGGGTAAACTGAGGCAGGAAGCAGAAGGAAATGACCTGCCCAGCCTTTGGCCTCTGCCAGACAATCTCTGTCCCCAGGAAAGCTCATTCCAGTGCTCCAGGGCCACAGGCCACCTCTGCTCCCTGTCCCCTCTCTTCCCAGAACCCAGCAGTTTGGCTTGTAGCCCCTCGCCATCTGAGACAGTTCCCAGAACCCAGGTTCTCAGGGACTCAGCAGTTGGAGTTGGGCCCAGCCTCTTCTCTCAGGAATGCAGGACCCTAAGGCTTGGGAACTGAGGTATCTTCGCCCCCAGGAATCCAGCTCCTTCCCCTGCCAGAAGCCCAGATCCCAGCCCCTGACCTCCCGGGTCTCTCGCCCTCATTCTCCTGCTACCTCCTGAGCAGGTGCTTTGACTCCACCCTCCAGACTCAGAGGTCCCCACCTCCAATGTCCCCCACCAAGGATTCCCACCCCAGTCCCCATTTTCCACGGGACTCAGGCATTCATGCCCCCACCCCTCCGGACTCAGGAGCCCTGACCCTCAGCCCCCCAGTTTCCCAGGGCCCTGGCGTGGGGCCCAGGACAGGGCGAGGTAACAGGTTGTGCCGGCCGCCCGGCCGCAGCGCGGCTCGGAGTTTCTGTTTACTTCCCGGTCCGCCCCTGGGGACGGGAGCCCTGGGCTCCCCTAGGGCGGCTCAGGGGCTGGGGTTCAGGGGCTCGGGTCAGAGGGCCCGACACAACAGCTTTACCAGCCCCAGCCCTCCGGGGGCTCACCACCCACTAGGCACACACACCCGTGCTCTCCCTCCTCCTCTCGCCCGGTGTCCATGTGCAGCCCTGCTCGCAGGACGTGAGTGTCACGGTGGTCCCAGCCCAGCCGCCCCCAGGCCGCTCCCGGGGACCTCCCTGACTTGGCCCTCGCGGGCCCCGCTCCCCCGCCCCCCTCCACGCGAGAGACAGGGACCTGGAGACCGCTCCCCCTCCCCTTCCGCACCTAGCTGCCCAGGTGTTGGGGCCTCCAGCCCCAGGCGTCGGAAGCCCAGAGAAGCGGCTGGGCTCACCCCCGACGGCTGAGTTCCTGCCGGCGCCCCCGGTTCCCCGGCGATCCCGGTTCCCCTGCCCCCGCCCCGGCTCCCCCACCTTCTCCGCCGACGCGGCCGGACCAGGCCCTCCCCAGGCTCGAGGGGCCCGGCCCTCGGCGTCCCCCAGGCTCTCACCCGAAGCCGCCGGGCTCCCTCCGAGGTCCCCGCGGTCTCCGGTCCCCTCTTCCGGAGGCGGCTCCAGGTGTGCGGCCAACACAGGTGAAGGGGCGGGGCCGCGGGAGGGGCCGGGGCGCTCCCTGGCTGCCTGAATGGCCGGGCGGGGTCGAGGGAGAGTCGCTTCCACCTGGGTGGGGGGCACTGGCCCAACCTGCTGTGGTTGCAAATGGCCCGGCCAGTTAACTGAGCATCTACTGTTTGCAGATCCTACATTGAGGTAGCCTCCGCTCCTTTCCCGTCACGACTGCCTTGCCCTGTGGGGCAGGAAATTATTAGCAATGACAACAACACCGAATCTGACATCTTAAGCATTCTGCTAAGTAAACTCTTTTTTATTTTTTAGAGATGGGATTTTGCTCTGTCACGCAGGCTGGAGTGCAGTGGCACCATCACTGCAGTCTCGTCCTCCCAGGCTCAAGCGATCCTCCCACCACAGCCTCCCCCGTAGCTGGGACTGCAGGTACATGCCACCATGCCCAGCTAATTTTTGTACTTTTTGTAGGGGTGGGGTTTCACCATGTTGCCCAGGCTGGTCTCAAACTTCTGGATTCAAGCAATCCTCCCGCTTCGGCCTCCCAAAGTGCTGGGATTACAGGCATGAGCCTCTGCTTCTGGTCAAGTAAACTCTTTTATAGGCATAACTTGTTGACCTTTTTTTTTTTTTTTGAGATGGAATTTTACTCTTCTTGCCCAGGCTGGAGTACAGTGGTGCCATCTCAGCTCACAGCAGCCTCCGCTCCCGGGTTCAAGTGATTCTCCTGTCTCAGCCTGGTGAGTAGCGGGTACTATAGGCATGCACCACTACATCCAGCTAATTTTGTATTTTTAGTAGAAATGGTGTTTCAATGTTTTGGCCAGGCTGGTCTCAAACTCCTGACCTCGTGATCCGCCCACCTCAGCCTCCCAAAGTGCTGGGATTACAGAGTGAGCCACCTCCCCGGCTCAACTTGTTGACTTTCATGATGACCTGATGACGAGGAACTGCTGTCATCCCCATCTTACAGATGAGGAAGCTGAGGCTCGGAGGCGGAGGGGGGTCCTCCACCTTGTTTGGGGTCCCCTGGTCAGAACTGGAAGGTGAACAGCACAAGTGTGGCTTTAGGGTCATGCTCTTTACTGATTCCCATGCCGCAGACAAGGACACTGTAGCCCAGGCAGTGAGAGTGACTTGCCCAGAGCCATGCCCGAGTCCGTGTGGCTCCACACCTGGGGTTCTCAGTTCCTCAGTTATGCAGAGCTGGGGACCGTGCTCTTGTCTGGGACAGGGGCTTTGGTGTGGAGATGGGAAGGTCCGGGGCTGGGGACCCAGGGTGGCTTGGGCAGCAGTGATGCCCCATCCATGGCCTTGTGTCTTGTCACGATTTATCTCCAGACTCCAGGGCTCCCTGGGCCTCGTGACAGGGGCTCCTGGCCTGGAGAGCAGGACAGATGGAAGGCTGGGAGCAGTGGCGTGCTGGTAAGCGTTTAACAACAGGCTCCCCGGCTAAAACAATAGCCCTCGCTCGTTGCATTTGCCAATATCCATGATGCAATACCTGCTCCTCGGCTGACTTCCAGCTACTCACCTGGCGTCACGGAGTGCAGAGGTAGAAGGGGCTGTGCACATCAGCTCTGGCTGGCTGGTGTCAGCTGGGTCCGTGCACCTCTGGCTGGGGATCAGGACTCCTGAGTCTTGGGGGACTGGGGGCTACTTACTTGGGTTCTAGAAAAATAGGAGGAGGGTGGGGGCTGGGACTCCTGGCTTGTGGGAAAAGGGGAGCAAGGACTCCTTGGAGGGGTGACTTAGGAACTGGGACTCCTGGGTCCTGGGGCTGGGACAGGGTTTTCTGCCAGCAGAGAGTAGGGGAGCCAGAGATTTGTCTTACAGCCACATTGCCCAGCAAGCCTGACACTTTCTCCCACTGCACCTGTGGGAGCAGCCTGGTAGCCACTGGAGGACTGAAGACATCCCAGCCTCCCCTGGGTGCTGCTATGTGACCCTCTGGAAATAGAAGCTCAGTGTCCCCTCCAAATGCCAGTCACCCTGGGCCCCACTCACACCCACACGTAGCACATCTTGAGCGCCTCCTGCCAGGCTGAGCTCATCCCAGGATGAAGTGATTACAGCCCTACTCCCAGAAGGTTCACAGTCCACCTGGGCCATGGGAGGGAGCGTAGACCTATAAACCAGAAATGAACCAATAAAACAGTACAGCAAAGTGCTTGGCCCATGGGTGCTGGCATCACATAGCTTCGGTCCAGGATCCAGTTGGCCACATACCAGATGTGGGTGCCTATGCCCTTCAGCTGATTAACCTCTGCGGCCCTCAGTTTCCCCATCTGTAAAATGGGGATGATAGTTCCTAGCTTATAGGGATGTGAGGATTTTTTTTGAGATGGAGTCTCGCTCTCTCCCCCAGGCTGGAGTGCGGTGGTGAGATCTCGCCTCACCGCAACCTCTGCCTCCCGGTTTCAAGCGATTCTCCTGCCTCAGCCTCCTAAGTAGCTGGGATTACAGGCGTGTGCCACCACACCTGGCTAATTTTTGTATTTTTAGTAGAGACAGGGTTTCACTGTGTTGCCCAGGATGGTCTTCAACTGACCTCAGGTGATCTGCCCGCCTCAGCCTCCCAGAGTGCTGGGATTACTGGTGTGAGCCACCGTGCCTGGCCAGGTGTGAGGATTAAATGAGTGTGAAGTGCCAGCACTTAGTCCTTGCTGGTGATCTCCGCGCGGCCACCAGAGATGACTCACCTGCATGTCATACTCTATTTCATCCTCAGAGCAACCCTATGAGGTCACGCCATTCACAGGTGAGGAGCCCAGCTCAGAGAGGCTAAGTCATTTGTCTGTGGGTACATAGCAGAGCCTTCATCCCAGCTTGCCTAGCTCTCAGCCTCAATCACTCTTGGGAAATTTGTGTTGTTTTTGTTTTTTTCGGAGATAGGGTCTCACTCTGTCACCCAGGTTGAAGTACAGTGGCATGATCATAGCTTACAGCAGCCTCGAACTCTTGGGCTCAAGCGATCCTCCTGCCTCAGCCTCCTGAGTGACTGGGACAACAGGCAGATGCCATCATGCCCTGCTAACTTTTTTATTTTTTGTTTGTTTGTTTGTTTTTTTGAGACAGAGTCTCGCTGTGTCACCCAGGCTGGAGGGCAGTGGCACGATCTTGGCTCACTGCAAGCTCTGCCTCCCGGGTTCACGCCATTTTCCTGCCTCAGCCTCCCGTGTAGCTGGGACTACAGGTGCCTGCCACCACGCCCGGCCAATTTTTTGTATTTTTAGTAGAGATGGGGTTTCATCGTGTTAGGCAGGATGGTCTCGATCTCCCAACCTCATGATCTGCCCGCCTCGGCCTCCCAAAGTGCTGGGATTACAGGCGTGACCCACCACGCCCAGCCTAACTTTTTTATTTTTTGTAGAGATGCGGTCTTGCTACGTTGCCTAGGCTGGTCTCGACTTCTGGCCTCAAGCAATCCTCCTGCCTTGGCCTCCCAAAGCGCTGGGATCTGAGGCATGAGCCAGTGTGCCTGGCTTTGAATATTTGAATCTGGTCCTCAGTCTCCTCTGGACCCAGGAGTCCTGGCCTCCATCTCCCTGTTGGGTCTAAGAGTCCTGGCCACCCAGCATGCAGGGGACCTCAGCCCTCCCCTCACCCCCAGGCTCCCTGCCGATCCCAGGAGAAAAATGAGTAGGAGGGACAGAGTGACCTCAGGGAAGGCCCGGGGAGGCTGGGACATGTCTGGTTAAGAAGGAAGGGATTGGCCGGGCACGGTGGTTCATGCCTGTAATCCCAGCACTTTGGGAGGCTGAGGTGGGTGGATCACGAGGTCAGGAGCTCAAGACCAGCCTGGACAAAATGCTGAAACCCCATCTCTACTAAAAATACAAAAATTGGCTGGGCGCAGTGGCTCATGCCTGTAATCCCAGCACTTTGGGAGACCGAGGCAGGTGGATCACGAGGTCAGGAGATTGAGACCATCCTGGCTAACATGGTGAAACCCCGTCTCTACTAAAAATACAAAAAATTAGCCGTGTGTGGTGGCGGGCGCCTGTAGTCCCAGCTACTCAGGAGGCTGAGGCATGAGAATCGCTTGAACCTGGGAGACGGAGGTTGCAGTGAGCCAAGACTGCACCATTGCACTCCAGCCTGGGAGACAGGGTGAGACTCCATCTCAAAACAAAAACAAAAACAAAAGACAAAACAAAACAAAATACAAAAATTAGCCGGGCGTGGTGGCACGCGCCTGTAATCACAACTACTTGAGAAGCTGAGGCAGGAGAATCAGTTGAACCCGGGCAGCAGAGGTTGAAGTGAGCTGAGATCGCACCACTGCACTCCAACCTGGGTGACAGAGCAAGACTCCATTTCAAAAAAGAAAAAAAAGAAGGGAAGGATGATCACCCAGCCTCACCTGCTCTCCAGCCCAAACAAGCCAGCTTCCAGGGTGCTTAGTTTGGTATGCCCTCCCCGCCTTTCCATCCACCCGCTGAGCCCTGGGGGGTTCTGAGTCTTGGTTGGGAGTTGAGGAGGGGTCTCATCCCTGGGGAAGCCTTGTCAGACCTCACAATGCCGTGGGAGTCTATGCTAGGCATCCAGAGGCCAGCAGAACCCCACTCTCCTCTTGCCCTTCCCCAGAAGCAGTCTGGTAGAAATAACTTGGGTCCAGACCCAGGTGCCTCCAGGCTTTTATGACGTATGCTAAGTCCATGAACAGTAGGTAGTATTGTTTGGAGCATTTAAAACCTTTATATATAATATTTCACACTGAATTCATTGTTCTGCAACTTGTTTTTTTGATGTATGCTTATGTTTCCAAGTGTTTTCTCCCACTTATTAAAAAAAAAAAAAATCAGGGCAGGCACGGTGGCTCATGCCTGTAATCCCAGCACTTTGGGAGGCCGAGGAGGTGGGTGGATCATGGGGTCAGGAGTTCAAGACCAGCCTGGCCAAGACGGTGAAACGCCCTCTCTACTAAAAATACAAAAAATTAGCTGGGCGTGGTGGCAGATGCCTGTAATCCCAGCTACTTGGGAGGCCGAGTCAGGAGAATCGCTTGAACCTGGGAGACAGAGGTTGCAGTGTGCTGAGAATGTGCCACTGCACTCCAGCCTGGGTGACAGAACAAGAGTCTGTCTCAGAAAAAAAAAAAAAATCAGCTTTGGCTGAGCACAGTGGCTCACGCCTGTAATCCCAACACTTTGGGAGGCTGAGACGGGCAGATAACTTGAGGCCAGAAGTTTGAGACCAGCCTGGGCAACATGGCAAAACCCCGTTTCTACAAACAATACAAAAATTAGCAGGCCATAGTGCTGTGTGCCTATAGTCCCAGCTACTCACAGGGCTAAGGCAGGAGGATCACTTTAGTCCAGGAAGTGGAGGCTGCAGTGAGCTGAGATTGGGCCACTGTACTCCAGCCTGGGTGACAGAGCAAGGCCCTATCTCAAAAAAAAAAAAAAAAAAAAAAAAAATTCAGCTTTATTGAGGTAGGTATTAGCTTCCTAGGGCTGATGTATGTAACAAAACATCCACCAGCACGGGAAACAGAGCAAGACCCCATCTCTACAAACATAAAGAATAATTAGTGGCACATGCCTGCAGTCCCGGCTGCTTGGGAGGCTGAGGTGGGAGGATCCCTTGAGCCCAGGAGGTCAAGGCTGCAGTGAGCCATGATTGCATCACTGCACTCCAGCCTGGATGAGAGAGCGAGACCCTGTCTCAAACAAAGAAAGAGAACCAAAAAAACCACAAACTGGGTTTACACAACAGAAAAATTATTGTATTACAGTTCTGGAGGCCAGAAGCCTGAAGTGAGGGTTGGTTCCTTCTGGAGGCTCTGAGGGTGAATCTACTCCATGCCTCTCCCTGGGCCATGGTGACTATAGATGCTCCTTGGTGTTCTGTGTCTTGTGGCCACATCAGTCCAGTCACTGCCTCTGCTTTCACGTGACCTGCCCCTCTAGGTCTTCTTAGTCTATGACTGAAATTTCCCTCTTTTATAAAGATGCCAGCCATTGAATTTAGGGCCCACCCTAAATCTAGGATGATCTCATCTTGAGATCTTTAGCTTATGTCTGCAAAGACCCATTTTTCTTTTTTCTTTTCTTTCTTTGAGACAGAGTCTCGCTCTGTCGCCCAGGCTGGAGGGCAGTGGCACGATCTCAGCTCACAGTAACCTCTGCCTCCCGGGTTCAAGCAATTCTCCTGCCTCAGCTTCCCAAGTAGCCGGGACCACAGGTGCGAGCCACCACACCCAGCTAATTTTTGTATTTTTAGTACAGATGGGGTTTCACCATGTTTGCCAGACTGGTCTCGATCTCCTGACCTCGTGATCTGCCCGCCTCGGCCTCCCAAAGTGCTGGGATTACAGGCGTGAGCCACCGCGCCCGGCCAGCTTATGTATTTTTAAGACAGGGTCTCACTCTGTCACTTGGCTGGAATGCAGTGGTGCAGTACCAGCTCACTGCTGCCTCACTGTCCCTGGCACAGGTGATCCTCCCGCCTCAGTCTACCAAGTAGCTGGCACTATAGGTGTGCACCACCACTCCCAGCTAATTTGTGTATTTTTTGTAGAGACAGGGTCTCACTATATTGTCCAGGTTGGTTTCGAACGCCTGGGCTCAAGTGATCTGCCTGTGTTGGCCTCCCAAAGTGCTGGGATTACAGGCATGAACCACCACGCCTGGCCTAAAGCGTAGGCTTTAATTTATACTAGGTAATAAAGTGCCTGACTCCCTTTTTGATGTTTTACAGCTGACAGCTTTAAAGCCCCGTGCCTACCTCTTCTCCTTGTGCCCACATGTGGGCAAGCTGATCTGAAGGCCCTGGTGCCCTCTCCCTCACTCTATAGAGAAATTTAAATTAGGAAAGTCCTGGCTGGTTGGAAGGGACCCTCATCCCACTTTATCCCCTAACCATAATAAAAGCCCCTCCTTGAATTACTTGAACACGGGAGGTGGAGGTTGCAGTGAGCCCAGACTGTGCCACTGCACTCCAGCCTGGGCGACAGAGTGAGACTCCATTAAACACACACACACACACACACACACACACACACACACACACAAAACAACAACAACAAAAAAACCCTCCTTGCTCTCTTAAACCACTTTCAGAGCTGCCTGGGAGCCCACTCTGCTCTCCCAGAAAGCCTCATCGTTGAGTAATCAAACTCTTCTTATTCTCTTGGTGTGTTCGTGGCCTTATTGGTCTCTAATATGAACCAAATTTGGCACATAGGGTAAATCACAAAACATGTTTCTATCTGCAGAGGGTGAATTTCTTTTTATTTATTTATTTTATTTCTATATGAACAAATGCTGCCTCCCCTGCAGAGCATCCGTTTCTTTCTTTCCGTTTTTGGTAGAAATGCGGTCTCAGTATGTTGCCCAGGCTGGGTCTCCCTCAAATTCCAGGCCTCAAAGGATCCTCCTGCCTTGGCCTCCCAAAGTGCTGGGATTACAGGTGTGAGTCACCACACACCTGGCTAGAGCACGAATTTCATCTGGGTCACACCTGGCCAATACTTGGCATTGTCAGACTTTAAAATTTTGCCAATCTGATGACAAACATGGGATCTGTTATGGAGTAAATTGTGCCCTGTCAATATTCTTATGTTGACCATTACAGGAATGGTGGCTCACGCCTGTAATCCTAGCACTTTGGGAGCCTGAGGCAGGAGAAATGGTTGAGCCTAGGAGTTCAAGAAAGCCCTGAGCAACACAGGGAGGCCCCGTCTCTACCAAAAGAAAAGAAAAAGAAAAAAAAAAAAGAAAGAAAGAAAAAACATGGGCATGGTGGCTTGGGCCAGTTGTCCCAGCTACTTGACAGGCTGAGACAGGAGGATTGCTTGAGCCTAGGAGTTCCAGGCTGCGGTGAGCTATGATCATGCTACTGCTGCACTCCAGCCTGGGAGACAGAGCGAGACCCTGGCTCAAAACAAACAAACAAACAAAAAAACCAAAACCAACCAAACAAACAAAAAAAACAAACCAGAGAGAGAAGAAGAATTTGTATGTTAAAGCCCTAACCCCCAGTACCTCAGAATGTGATTATAGTTAGAGATAGAGCTGATAAAAAAGTGACTAACTTAAAATGAGGCTTTTAGGGTGGCCCCGATGATTGACTTCTTACAAGAGGTCAATGACCAGGCGCGGTGGCTCACGCCTGTAATCCCAGAACTTTGGGAGGCCGAGGCCGGCAGATCACGAGGTCAGGAGATGGAGACCATCCTGGCTAACACGGTGAAACCCCGTCTCTACTAAAATACAAAAAAATTAGCCGGGCGTGGTGGCGGGCGCCTGTAGTCCCAGCTACTCGGGAGGCTGAGGCAGGAGAATGGCGTGAACCAGGGAGGCGGAGTTTGCAGTGAGCCGAGATCGCGCCACTGCACTCCAGCCTGGGCGACAGAGCGAGACTCCGTCTCAAAAAAAGCAAAACAAAACAAAACAAAACAAAACAAAAGAGGACGATACTTCTGGGGTGTGCAAGCGCAGGGGGACGGCCGTGTGGGGAAACAGCAAGAGGACGCCCATCTGCCTGCCCAGGAGGAGGCATCCGGAGAAACTAGCCCCTCAGGCACCTTGATCTTGGCCTTCCAGTTTCCAGAACTGTGAGAACGTAAACTTCTGGTTGAGCCTCCCAGTCCTTGGTGTTTTGTTCTGGCGGCCCCAGCGAGCGGGCGCGGGATCGCAGTGTTTGCCTTTGCATCTCCAGCTCCGCATCCTGCTCGCTGTTTATTTTGTGAGCAGCTCCGGCGGCTGCCCCTGAACTGCTCCGAGACTGAGCAGTTTAACTCACACTCGCCCACCCGCCCTCCCCAGGAAGCCTCCCGCCCGCTTCCTCCAGTTCCTTCCCCACCTGTCCGGCCTCCTAGCCCGGTGCTCTCGGCGCGGGAGGAGGCGGCTCGCAGACCCCCAGGTCTCGGCTTCCCGGATCTCCCCCGCCTACTCACTCCCCGGTCCCCGGCTCCCGGCACTGGCAGGCGCTGTGGCTTCCGCGCAGTGGCTGCAGCATTTAAATGTCCGGCACTTAGGGAGAGGGGTGCAGTCGCGGAGCAGCCGCTGCTCCCGGCATCTAGAGGGGCCCAAACCCCCGCGTGCCCAGGCCGAGCCCCGCGCGCAGCCCACGTGGGCTGAGGGACTGAGTATTGGCCCTCGGGCAGCTGCAACCGCGCACAGCTGGAGCTGGCGGGGCGGAGGGCGGGCCGGGACCCCGCGGGGAAGGAGGCTTCCTTCCCAGCCTCCTGCTGCCCGGAAATCCCCCCGGCTCTCAGACAACCTGCCCCACGGGGTCCTGGGGGGAAGGAGAGGGGCGGGATACAGGGATGGGGAGGGCTGGCTGAGCCGAAGGCCCGGGCCGCCCTCCCCCAGGCCGCGCGGCTTCGAGAAAGCAGAAGCGAGCCCTGCCCCGGGGAGTCCCACAGGAGCGGGGATCTGGGAAGAGAAACTTGCGGACGAGGGAGTTAGAGCCGTGGACCCCCGGCCCCCGCCCGGGCGTCCTGCGTCGGAGGAGGGTCTCTGGGTCGGGCAGGGGCCACCTCTTGGCCCGCCCCTTGTCGCTGGACGTCCGAAGATTGGGCCATTTCCCTTGCCGCGCCCTTACCGCATATCGGGGTGCGCCCGGCCCGGCCCGGCCCGCCCCACCCAGCCCTCCGCTCGCGCCCGGAGAGGAGGGGCCGCTGGCGCAGCGCCCCGGGACCCCGAGAGGCCGCCGCGGCACATCCAGACCTCCGCCGCTCCCGCGCCCTCTCAACCATCCTGGGATTCCCGGGCCCACCCGACCCAGCGGCGCGACCCTGGCCCTCCGGGACCCTCCGCTGACTCCACCGCGCACTTCCCGGGACCCCCACACACATCCCAGCCCTCCGGCCGATCCCTCCCTACTCGGTGCCGGGTGCCCCCCGCCCTCTCCAGGCCCGGATCTCCTCCCCCAGGTCCCCGGGGCGGCCCCAGCCAGGCCCCCTTCGAACCCCGCCGGCGGCCCGGGCTGGGGCGCACCATGCGGCTGCGGCTCCGGCTTCTGGCGCTGCTGCTTCTGCTGCTGGCACCGCCCGCGCGCGCCCCGAAGCCCTCGGCGCAGGACGTGAGCCTGGGCGTGGTGAGCGCGGGGTCCGCAGGCTCCTGGGGTCTGCAGAGAGATTGGGAGAGGGAAGCCGGGCCCGGACTCCTGGGTCCGGAGGAGGCAGGGGCCAGATTCCAATATCCAAAGAGTGACTGAGGATGGGGTCTGTGCTCCCGGCTTCTTGGGTCTGTCGGGAAGTTTGGGGCTGGGATTTGGAGCTCTGGAAAGGAGCTGAGGTGCGGAGCTGAAGTCCAGACAAGACTGGCAAACCCGGGACTGAAGCGGGGACCTATGGAGGGGAGCAGGCAGGCATCCGGGGCTGGGGCCCTGGGCTCTGGGTGCCTGGGAGGGGCAGGGCTGCCAGGATGGTGGTGGGCAGAGAGAGCCCATACTTTTCACCCAGCCCGCTTCACCTGCCCCCTCCGATGCCCTAGGACTGGCTGACTCGCTATGGTTACCTGCCGCCACCCCACCCTGCCCAGGCCCAGCTGCAGAGCCCTGAGAAGTTGCGCGATGCCATCAAAGTCATGCAGAGGTTCGCGGGGCTGCCGGAGACCGGCCGCATGGGTAGGTGGCCCCCACCCCTCCCCAGCCCTGCCTCTGCACCCAGCCTGTCCACCGCCCAACAGCCTTTAGACCTCAGTGTGCTCCTGGAACACGGAGCTGTGAAGATGCTGATCTCAGGCCCCAAACCCAGAGGGCCTCAGGCGTTCATCTTTCCATAAGCATTTATCAAGAACCTGGTGGCTCATGCCGGTAATCCCAGGGTTTTGGGAGGCGGAGACTCAAGGATTGCTTCAGGCCAGGAGTTTGAGACCAGCTTGGCCAACAAAGTGAGACCCCCCCACTCTCCAAGGATTTTTTTTTTTTTTTTTTGAGACGGAGTATCCCTCTTTTTGCCCAGGCTGGAGTGCAATGGTACCATCTCGGCTCACCGCAACCTCTGCCTCCCAGGTTCAAGTGATTCTCCTGCCTCAGCCTCCTGAGTAGCTGGGATTACAGGCACGCACCATCACACCAGGCTAATTTTGTATTTTTAGTAGAGACGGGGTTTCTCCATGCTGATCAGGCTGGTTTCGAACTCCTGGCCTCAGGTAACCCGCCGGCCTTGGCCTCCCAAAGTCCTGGGATTACAGGTGTGAGCCACCGTGCCCAGTCCTCTAAGGATTTTTTTAAATTTAGCTGAGTGTAGTGGCATAGGCCTGTGGTCCCAGCTACTCAGAACGCTGAGATGGGAAAATTGCTTAAGCCCAGAAGTTCAAGGCTGCAGTGAGCTATGATTGCACCGTTGCACTCCAACCTGGGCAACAGATGGAGACCCAGTCTCTAACCAAATATACTTTGAGCATCTCTTAGATGCCACGCCCTTTCAGCTCCAATGGTATAGTGATAAATAAAGTAGGTAAGGTTCCTGCTCTCATGGAGCTAACTTTCTCGAGGGAGAGAGAGAGAGACAGATCAAGAACATAAATATGAAAGATAATTTCAGATGGCGGTGAGTGTTTAGAAAAAAATAAAATGCTATTGGCATTGAGGGGCTGGTCTGGTTAGGGCAGGTCCCTCTGAAAAGTGTCATATGAGCTGAGACCACAAAGAGGAGGAACCAGCCATGGGAAGATGTGGAAGAAGAGTGTCCCGGGCAAGTGCAAAGACCCCACGGCACGCAGAAGCTTGTGTGCCTGGAGCAAAAGGAGCATTGAAGAGCTCTGGCGAGAGGCCTCAGCCAAGGGCCCTGAAAGGTGATTAGGGTTGATTCCAAGGGTGATTAGCAACCACCTAAGTGTTCTCAGAAGGGAAGCAATTCAGAACTTGGTATGACTTGCAATTTTTTTTTTTTTTTTTTTAGACAGAGTCTCACTCTGTGGCCCAGGCTGCAGTACAGTGGCGCAATCTCGGCTCATTGCAATCTCTGCCTCCCGGGTTCAAGTGATTCTCCTGCCTCAGCCTCCTGAGTAGCTGGGACTACAGGCATCCGCCACCATGCCCAGCTAATTTTTTTGTATGTTTAGTAGAGACAGGGTTTTGCCATGTTGGCCAAGCAGGTCTCGAACTCTTAGCCTCAAGCGATCAGCCCACCTTGGCCTCCCACAGTGCTGGGATTACAGGCATGAGCCACCGTGCCCGGCTTTGACTTGCAGTTTTAAGCTTCCTCTGGGTCCTGATGGAGAATGGAAGGCAGGAGCCCTGAGACCAGGCAGAAGACGGCTGCGGAGTCCACACGAGGGATGGTGGCAGAAGGATGGGTGGCATATGTGGCCAGAAGTAGTTGGATTCGGGGTGTATATTTTGGAGGCAGGGCCGAGGAACTCTTCTGTGGGGTTAAGTGGGCAGGAAGAGGGAATTTGAAGGATCTGGCTCACTACAAGGAAAGGTAGGCCCTGTGTCTGTCCTGGTGACTCACAAACAGCCTAGAACAGTGTCTGGCATCTATATGTCCTTCATCACTATTTGCCGCCTCAATAAATGAGGCGCAGTTTGACCTTAATTTGGAGATGAGGCTACTGGGGATGGAGCCCAGCTGGGAAAGGGGACCCCAGAGAGACCTAACCCAGGAGGGGGTGGCTTGCCACAGGAGGCCAGAGACCCAGCCGGCCTGGGCACTTTGGACCTAATCTGGGTTTGAGGAGAACTTGGCAGTGATGGTGTGAGGCCTGCACAGCTCCCAGGGGGTTCCAGCCTCAAAGGGTCCTCACTGCATACCCAGGGCTCCTTTCTCCAGAGTCCGCCCACCAGGGCCCAGGGAAGCTGGATGCAAAATCCTGGCCTGAGCCTCTGAGCATCACCTGCATGCAGCCAGTTTGTCCCAGGCCAGGTGACGCCACTCCAAAGGGCAGTAGGAATGGCTTGGTAGGAGCTGGCTTCCAGAGACAGACTGCCTGGGTTCAAACCTGGGCTGTGGGGCCTTCGAGGGCACATTTCTTGAGCCCTCTGAGCCTCAGTTTTCCCATGTAGAAAGTTGACTGGTGCTATGATTAAGGCAGGCTCTCCTATTGTGGACACACCCCCCACCGCCAAATGTCTCCCGCAGACCCAGGGACAGTGGCCACCATGCGTAAGCCCCGCTGCTCCCTGCCTGACGTGCTGGGGGTGGCGGGGCTGGTCAGGCGGCGTCGCCGGTACGCTCTGAGCGGCAGCGTGTGGAAGAAGCGAACCCTGACATGGAGGTAGGTCCTGGGGCCCACCCGCACCCTGGCCCTGCCTGCTGGGCTCCGGCTTTGAATGGCTGCCTGCTCCCTCCACGGCCACCCTTACACCTCACTCCCCTCTCCCCAGGGTACGTTCCTTCCCCCAGAGCTCCCAGCTGAGCCAGGAGACCGTGCGGGTCCTCATGAGCTATGCCCTGATGGCCTGGGGCATGGAGTCAGGCCTCACATTTCATGAGGTGGATTCCCCCCAGGGCCAGGAGCCCGACATCCTCATCGACTTTGCCCGCGCCTTCCACCAGGACAGCTACCCCTTCGACGGGTTGGGGGGCACCCTAGCCCATGCCTTCTTCCCTGGGGAGCACCCCATCTCCGGGGACACTCACTTTGACGATGAGGAGACCTGGACTTTTGGGTCAAAAGGTAAAATCTCCTCTCTTATGAGAGATCCTCTTGCCAGGTCTGGTCTTAAGAATAAGTTTTCTGTTGTGTGTTTTGTTTTGTTTAAGAAACAAGGTCTTGCTCTGTTGCTCAGGCTAGAGTGCAGTGGTGCAATCATAGCTAACTGCAACCACGAACTTCTGGCTCAAGCAATCCTCCCACCTCAGACTCCAGAGTAGCTGGGATCACTGGTGCACACCACCATACCTGGCTATTTTTTTTGTTTGTTTTTTTTACTTTTTGTAGAAACAGGGTCTCATTATCTTGCTCAGGCTGGAGTGCAGTTGCACGATCACGGCTCACTGCAGCCTTCACCTCCTGGGCTCAAGTGATCCTCCCTCCTCAGCCACCACGTAGCCAGGACCACAGATGTGCACCACCACACCTGGCTAGTTTTAAAACTTTTTGTAGAGATGGGGCTTCACTATGTCACCAGGGCTGGTCTTGAACTCCTGGGCTCAAGTGATCCTCCCATCTTGGTCTCTCAAAGCATTGGGATTATAAGCATGAGCCACCACTCCTGGCCAATAATTAGGTTTAAATTATATTTACTGATGGAGGCTTTATCAGCTGGGAGGTCTCCAGAGAAACAAAACCAACAGGATGTGTGTGTGTGTGCACGTGTGTGTGGGATGTGTGTGTGTGTGTATGTGTGTGGGGGGGGTGTGTGTGTGCGTGTGTGTAAAGAGATTTATTTTAAGGAATTGGCTCACGGGATTGTAGGGGATAGCAAGTCCAAAATTTGTACGGCAGGCTGGCAACTCAGGATTTCAGTGACAGTCTGGAGGCAGAATTCCTTCCTCTCCAGGAAACCTTAGCTTTAGCTCTCAAGGCCTTGAACTGATTGGCTCTGCCCCCACCCCACCCCCAGCCACACTATGGAGCATGATCTACTTGACTTAAGGTCAACTGATTGTAGATGTTAATTGCATCTACAAAGACCTTCACCATGGCATCTAGACTGGTGTTTCACCAACCAGCTGGGCACGACAGCCGGGCCAAACTGACACACACAATGAACCATCACAGAGGCCTAGCAGGTGCCTAGCTCCAAGCCAGAGCTGGGGGCTTGCGGAGACGAAAACAAATCTTTACCTGGCAGCTGAGTCAGAAGAGTGACTGGCAATGACAACACCCACGGTGACACAGCTCCACAGAATCCCAGCAGAGGAAGTCCTCAAGCCTGCAGGGGCTCAGAGATGTTGGCCCAAAGCTCTTGGGCAAGGGGAGGCTTCCTAGAAGAGGTGACTTCGTTCCCTCAATATATATATGAATATAGGCCGGGCGTGATTGCTTTCATCTGTAATCCTAGCACTTCGGGAAGCACAGGTGGGTGGATCACCTGAGGTCAGGAGTTTGAGACCAGCCTGACCAACATGTTGAAACCCCGTCTCTACTAAAAATACAAAAAATTAGCCGGGTGTGGTGGTGCAAGCCTGTAATCCCAGCTACTGGAGAGGCTGAGGCAGGAGAATCAGTTGAATCCTGGAGGCAGAGGTTGCAGTGAGCCGAGATCGTGCCACTGCACTCCAGCCTGGGCAACAAGAGCAAAACTCCATCTCAAATATATATATATATATATATGAATATCCACACATACACACTGAGTGACTACTAGCACAAGACAAGACATACAGAGTTCCGCTCTCCCCAGGTACACAGGGTTGAGATCCAATGGGAAAGCAGTGAGCCAGCTGAGTCAGGGGTAAGAGGAGCCAGTGACCAGAGAAATGACCCGGGACATATGAGGCCAGAAGCCAAAACTATGGCATCAGTAGGGAGACTGCAGAAGGCGGCAGGTCCTGGATCACCAAGGACCTTGAAAGCATGTGGAAGACTTTGATCAATGGGGGAATCATTAAGGGGTTTTGCATTCCGGAACTATCATCAGCTTCAGCGGGGGGCAGGGGGTAGGATAGAGGCAGGGAGGCAGGAAGTTCTCGCAGGGTCCAGGCAAGAGATGGTGGAGTGTGGTCCTGGGGAAGGGGGCAGTGGACGGATCTGAGGGAGGTTCAGTTAGGATGGGCAAGGATTGAGATCTGGCTGGATCCTGGTGACAGGGGAGATGAGGCTGGGGCCCTTGGAGGATGGCGTCCTGGTGCTGTTAATGCAGGTGTGAGAGTGGGAGGAGGAGGAGCAGGCTGGCAGAAGGCAGGCACAAGTGCAGGTCTGGGCGGGAGTCTGCAGCGCTCTGGGCTGGCCACACCGGTGGGGCAAGGGAGGTGGAGGATCCTGCCCTAGAGCTTGGTCTCCTCTGTCTGAGGTCAGGTTCCCCAGAGGTGGGGCTCCAGAGGGAAATTCTTGTGCAAGCAGTTTCTCAGGGGCCATGTGCTGAGGGGAATGGGGAGCAGGAACAGCCTAGAAGCTGAGTGAGGATGTGGTCTCAGCTGGAGAGGAGGCTGATCGCATGGGAGCTCTGCAGCAGGGATGGCAATGCCGGGGAGGCGGTCCCGCCTGAGGCCAGGCCCAGCTCTTTGCAGCCCCATATTAACTACATTGGCTGCTGGGGAGCCTGAGTGACGGGGGAAGGGGGCAGCCAGGGAGGGTGCCTAGGCCCTGTGGAGGGCTTGGTAAGGCAGAGGCTGGGGAGGCTGTGTGCCTCAACATTCACATATGGGCTTCGGCTGGGCGTGGTGGCACATGCTTGTAGTCCCAGCTACTCAGGAGGCTAAGGCAGGAGGATTGCTTGAGTCAGGGAGGTTGAGACTGCAATGAGCTGTGTTCACACCACTGCACTGCGGCCTGGGTGACAAAGTGAGACCCTGTCACACACACAGAAAAAGAGAATGTGGGCTTCAAAGCTGAATTCAAGTAAGTCAGGGTTCTTCCACTTGTAATGAACAACTTCCTTAACCTCATTGTCTCAGGTTCCTCGCCTGAGAAATGCGAGGAGAACGGCGCCTGCTGGTGGCGTGGGCTTGCCGATGAAATGAGCCATTCACCCATGCCTCTCAGCACAGGGCCTGCCCTGGGCCGCATACTGTGCATTGTCAGCTGCTGTCGGAGCTGGGCTAGCGGCCGCCTTGAGAGCCAGCAGTCCACGGGGGTTGGCGAGCTTCTGGGAGGAAAGGGTGGAACGTGACTGTCAGGTACAGAGCTACAGAGAACCCCAGCATGAAGGAGTAGGTGGCAGGGGAGAAGGACTCAACAGAGATGGAGAAAGACTAAGCCCAAAGGTGATCAACAACAAGAGTGAAGGAGGAAGTGGTCAGCTGTGGCTGGGGCAAAACAAGCCCAGTAAGTTACATTGGCCTGTGTTTGGTCATCCAGGGACAAAGTGACCTTTTTAGTGCCTGTAGGCCCAGCGCGTTGGGGAAGAATTTAGAATGCAGTGGGGATAGGTGTGAGAGGAGCGGGGGAAGTGAAGATTGAGTTGAGACCACTGGCTGGAGAACTTGACCGGGAAGGGAGGGCAGAGAGCAGCATGGGGTGAGGGGAGGGAATGGATCCAACGAGCGTCTTAGGATGAGGGAGTTGTGAGCGCTCAACACCATTACAAAGAAGGGATCGGGGATTGATAGACTGACAGATGCATGCACAGAGGCAGGTATGGATGCATGCACAGAGGCAGGGATGGATGGACGGACAAATGCATGCATAGAGGCAAGGATGGATGGATGGACAGATGCATGCACAGAGTCAGGGATGGATGAATGGACAGATGCATGCACAGAGGCAGGGATGAATGGACGGACAGATGCATGCACAGAGGCAGGGATGGATGGACGGACAGATGCATGCACAGAGGCGGGGATGGATGGACAGATGCATGCACAGAGGTGGGGATGGATGGATGGACAGATGCATACACAGAGGCAGGGATGAATGGACAGATGCATGCACAGAGGCAGGGATGGATGGATGGACAGATGCATGCACAGAGGCAGGGATGAATGGACAGATGCATGCACAGAGGCAGGGATGGATGGATGGACAGATGCATGCACAGAGGCAGGGATGAATGGACAGATGCATGCACAGAGGCAGGGATGGATGGACAGATGCATGCACAGAGGCGGGGATGGATGGATGGACAGATGCATGCACAGAGGCAGGGATGAATGGACAGATGCATGCACAGAGGCAGGGATGGATGTACGGACAGATGCATGCACAGAGGTGGGGATGGATGGACAGATGCATGCACAGAGGCGGGGATGGATGGACAGATGCATGCACAGAGGCAGGGATGGATGGATGCACAGATGCATGCACAGAGGCGGGGATGGATGGACAGATGCATGCACAGAGGCGGGGATGGATGGACGGACGGATGCATGGCCAGAGGCAGAGATGGATGGGTGGGTAGATTGGACGGACAGATGATGGTAGGTTGTTCTTGTCCTGGAGGAGGTGATCCAGGCTGAGTCCTCACACTGGGCAGAGCAAGAGGCAGGAGGTGAGCATGGGGAGATGCAGCTGTGTGCCCCAGTGCACCGGAAGTTACAGATGACATCGATGTCCTGTCCTGATGAAACAGGAAACACATTTGTCATTTGAGAGTTAGTGGCTGGGGCTGGGTGGAAGCTTGAGGGGCTGTGGGCCTGGAATGGGGCTGAGGGGAGCGTGCAGGAGCTGCCTGCCAAAGCCTGGAGCAAGGATGACAGGAGGTGCCGGGGCCCCTGTGGACTGCCCTCTGGGAATCTTGTGGGGCTGGGTCTGCACAGCTGTGGTTGTGTAACTTCCCCCAGATGCATGGCGTGACAAGGGTGCAGGAAGGGGTGCAGGGCCCGGAAGCCCAGTATGGCCAAGGAGAGACAAGGCAGGGAAGAAGGTGAGAGATGAAAGATATCGCCCTGATTGAAACACCAAACTACCCCCAGTTTCTCAGAAAAAGGACTCAGAGCAACAAGAGAACCTACAGTCGACAGGGAAATTCGTCAGTGCGGATGTGATTTGAGCAAGACCATTGAAGCCCCTGCTGAAAGGCAGGCTGGCAGAGCCAGGGTACCTGGCCATCTACCTTGAAGTCTCTGTGCCTCAGTTTCCTCCTCTGTAAAATGGGCATAGGAGACAGGTTTGGTGAGAAGTGAACGAAAACGTGTTTGCTACCCCTCTTAGGTCTCACGTTTCATGCTTAGACGCTCAGCGAGTGGCTTTAGGGACCGAGAGAAATTTGCTTTTCAGTTCACCAGGTCGTTACCTATGAACCTGCCCTGAACAGTGCTGACCTTAGTTAGAGATGGCCATGAAACTCATCCGCATGGGGTAACTGGGGCCTCCCTGTGGTGCTGCGGGGCTGTGTCTCTGTCTTGGTCTCTTCAGGCCTCTCAGCAGCTGGAGCAGGAGCTGGCAGGCGGCTCACCGGTTGATGAGGAGCTGGGCTTCAGCCGGGGCTGGCGTGTGAATCCTCTGGGTCCTGGCAGTCCTGAGCGCCTGAGCTGAATACAGAGGGAAGAGGCTGGGAGCAAGGCCGGGTGCTGGGGCCGGCAGGCTGTGTTCTGAGAGTGCCTGCTAGAGGAGCTCTGTGTTCCCAAGGAGATGGAGGAAGACCTGGGGTGGGGGTGGTACAGGGTAGGGAGAGGAGGGGCAGAGGCTGTGAACAGGGAGATGGGGGAGGGGGGATGGAGGACTCAAGGGATGTAAGGGATATGGCTTGAGGAGGGATGGGGGCAGGAATGAGGGAAGGTCTTGGGTCAAGGACATGGACCTACATCCCCAGCAGATGGGGGTGGCAAGGGGGAGACGGGTGGGGGTCGCTGACTATAGACTGTAGCTGGGAGGAGGGGATGCTCCCAGGGCTGGGGCTGCCTGAAGAGAATGGCACGCACCTTGTAGGCTCCTGCCCTCACCCCACCGCCCTCTTAAGTTTCTTTTATTTTCTTTTTCTTTTTTTTTCTTTTTACTTTTTTTGAGACGGGGCCTTATTCTGTCCTCCAGGCTGGAGTGCAATGACATGGTCATGCGTCACTGCAGCCTCCACCTCCCGGGCTCCAGCGATTCTCCTGCCTCCCTGCCTCAGCCTGGGACCTGAGTAGCTGGGACCACAGGCATGCGCCACCACTCCTGGCCAATTTTTAAAATTTTTTTGTAGAGATGGGGATCTCCTTATGTTGTCCAGGCCAGTCTTGAACTCTTGGGCTCAAGCGATCCTCCCACCTGGGACTCCAAAAGTGCTGGGTTTACAGGCATGAGCCACCACACCCAGCTCCTCCCCCTCAAACTTCTGTGCACAAAGTGCTCCCTTCCCAGAGGAGGGGCCCCATCGGTGTGTAAGGTGGCCTATTCCTCTGTGTGTTCTCTGGATCTTTTCAGCCCTGTGGTCCAGTGTCCATCACAGCCATGCTGACTGAGTGACTGGAGACAGGGATGATGGAGAGTTCAGGAAGGGCTGGGCAGAGGAGGCTGGGGCCACCTCTGGAGGGTGTCCTGCTGTTCCTGTTGGCCCCAGCTGCACTCGCAGGGCCTTCCTGTGGCCCCTTTCCCCAAGCAGGGGCGGCCGCAGCTCTCACCCACTTTCTCCTGCAGACGGCGAGGGGACCGACCTGTTTGCCGTGGCTGTCCATGAGTTTGGCCACGCCCTGGGCCTGGGCCACTCCTCAGCCCCCAACTCCATTATGAGGCCCTTCTACCAGGGTCCGGTGGGCGACCCTGACAAGTACCGCCTGTCTCAGGATGACCGCGATGGCCTGCAGCAACTCTATGGTAGGGGGAGAGGGACCTGCCGCGAAACCATCATTGCCCCATCCAGTGTCCTCTGCAGCAGGGCCAGGGGACGCACACCTGCCTGACTCTTTCCTCACAGGGAAGGCGCCCCAAACCCCATATGACAAGCCCACAAGGAAACCCCTGGCTCCTCCGCCCCAGCCCCCGGCCTCGCCCACACACAGGTGAGTCCCCCACCAACTCGGAGACCTTGGGTGACCAGCTGCCCAGCCTCAGTGTCCTCTGAGATGGGGATGGTGGGGGTCCCTGCCTTGGAGAAAACAAACCCCCCTCTCTACTCACCTCTCCTTTCCTCCCCAGCCCATCCTTCCCCATCCCTGATCGATGTGAGGGCAATTTTGACGCCATCGCCAACATCCGAGGGGAAACTTTCTTCTTCAAAGGTGAGTCATTTCACTTGGCCTCATATATGTTGGTTTCCTGCCCACTTCCAGTGACCCACTGGGGCTGTGGGCTTACCCTGGAAGCGGAACTTTTTTCTTCTTTGAGACAGGGTCTTGCTTTGTTGCCTGGGCCGCAGTGCAGTGGTGTGATCATGGCTCACTGCAGCCTCAAAATACTGGGCTCAAGCGATCCTCCCACCTCAGCCTCCCTGGTAGCTGGGACCACAGGCACATGCCACCACGCCTTGCTAGTAATTTATTTTATTATTTTGTAGAGATGGAGTCTCACTATATTGCCCAGGCTGGGCTCAATCTCCTGGCTCAGGTGATTCTCCGGTGTCAGCCTCCCAATGTGCTGGCATTACAGGTCTGAGCCACCAGGCAAGGCCCTGGCACTTTTAGCGCTAAAAAGGGAAAAGTCTCAGGCGGGCCAGGATGGGCTGGTCACCCTAGATCCATTGCGCCCTTGATTTCCAGATGGGACCCCTCCCCACCCAGCCACACACCCTGGGGGAGGAGACCTCCTGCTGTCTCATGCCTTCCTGCGAACCCCTTTGTCCCCTGCAGGCCCCTGGTTCTGGCGCCTCCAGCCCTCCGGACAGCTGGTGTCCCCGCGACCCGCACGGCTGCACCGCTTCTGGGAGGGGCTGCCCGCCCAGGTGAGGGTGGTGCAGGCCGCCTATGCTCGGCACCGAGACGGCCGAATCCTCCTCTTTAGCGGTGAGTGGGGCCGGCGGCGGGGCGCGCTGGGGCCGGCGCGGGGAGCCCACCCCTGACCTCCCGGCCTCCACCCTGCAGGGCCCCAGTTCTGGGTGTTCCAGGACCGGCAGCTGGAGGGCGGGGCGCGGCCGCTCACGGAGCTGGGGCTGCCCCCGGGAGAGGAGGTGGACGCCGTGTTCTCGTGGCCACAGAACGGGAAGACCTACCTGGTCCGCGGCCGGCAGTACTGGCGCTACGACGAGGCGGCGGCGCGCCCGGACCCCGGCTACCCTCGCGACCTGAGCCTCTGGGAAGGCGCGCCCCCCTCCCCTGACGATGTCACCGTCAGCAACGCAGGTGGGGAGCGCGGTGACCTGCGGGTTACTGGGCCTGGGGGTGGGGAGAGGGATGTGGGGAATGGGGACATGGAGGCCACCCTGCGGGGATGGGGGTCCTTGGGCATCAGGGAGCGGCGGGGCGGGGAGGGACCGGGACTCAAGCTCTGCTCCTCCAGGTGACACCTACTTCTTCAAGGGCGCCCACTACTGGCGCTTCCCCAAGAACAGCATCAAGACCGAGCCGGACGCCCCCCAGCCCATGGGGCCCAACTGGCTGGACTGCCCCGCCCCGAGCTCTGGTCCCCGCGCCCCCAGGCCCCCCAAAGCGACCCCCGTGTCCGAAACCTGCGATTGTCAGTGCGAGCTCAACCAGGCCGCAGGACGTTGGCCTGCTCCCATCCCGCTGCTCCTCTTGCCCCTGCTGGTGGGGGGTGTAGCCTCCCGCTGATGGGGGGAGCCATCCAGACCGAACAGCGCCCTCCACGGCCGAGTCCCCCGCCGCTGGACCTGGTCGGGGGTTGTGAGGCGCTGCGGAGGCCCCTTGTCTGTTCCCACGGACGGGGGCTCGGGCGCGGACTAAGCAGGGGGGATCTCCCGCGCAGGGGCGGCGGCGGCGGGGACCGGTCGCCTGGCGCTGGGCTCAGTCTCCTCAGGGTCTGAGACCCCGGCGCTGCCACCGGAACCCGCCTTCAGGGGCGCACGCGCGCTGGGACCATGCGTCGGTCGTCGCCCCCGTCGTTCCCTCCCGGCTGCCGCCAGGGGGCGGTCGGACCCCGCCTCCCGAGCCCGGGGAGGGGCGGGGAGGACAAGGGGCGGGCCCGCGGCCTCACCCGGAGGGACGGCAGCCCCGGTCGCGCGCTGGCCCCGCAGGACCTTCCTTTTCCAGGAAGAGCCAGCTTTTCTCGGAGCGCAGTCCTGGGACTCTCCGCAGCCCCGCCCCGCCTGGCCACTGCGTCTGGCATTCCTGGGTCGTTAGAGGACAGGCCTGACTGCGAAGCTGTGCCTTGCCCCTCTCCCACCCGCAGTTTCTCACCCCGTTCTGCTCCCACAAGGCCCCCCTACAGTCACTGCCACACTGGTGGGGACCTGGGACCCAGACCCGGAACCAGCCCAGATATCACCCCTGAGGACCCATGCGCCACGTCCTGGGTGGTGGAATCAGTGGCTGGAGGGACGACCCTTGCTCTCCAGGCTGTTAACCTTTTCCGTTGCTCCCCCGCCACCCACCTCCTCCTCCCCAGGCCACCCAACTTGGGCACCTCCCTGGGCCCAGAACTGCCTTCCATTCAATGGGGAACCCTTCTATCCCCAAGAACCCCTTCCCTGCTTGCACCCTGGAGAGAACAGCTTGACTCCCATCAACTCAACGCTGGTGGAAAGACAGGGACCGAACCCTGGCTCAGGCCTGGTCATTGCCTCCTCAGCACTCCCTCCTGGGAGGCCTTAGCTCTAGAGTGAGGGGTGGGTGGAACCTGGGGGCACCTCGTTCACCCTGTCCCCACTCCCCACAGTTTTAGGATCTAAATGATTGCCTCTGGAACTATTCTTCTAGACTATCCCACATCAGAATCACTGGGAAATTTAAGTTTGCAGATCCCACACTCACCCTGAATCCTCACTCAGGGTGGGGTCAGGAATCTGCATTTTAACTAGTCGCGGGGATTGTGGGGGGCAGTAGCTGGCTGTTTCGTGGCATTTCTGTGGCTCTGCAGTGTTCCTCCACCCCAGGACCAATATGTTCAGGCCACACCGATGGCCTGAACCCCATGGGTAGAGTCACTTAGGGGCCACTTCCTAAGTTGCTGTCCAGCCTCAGTGACCCCCTAGTGCTTCCTGGAGCTGAGGCTGTGGGCGGCTGTCCCAGCAACCATGCGAGGGGTTGCCCCAGTTGCTCATACAAACAGATCAGCATGAGGACAGAAGGCAGGAGACTTTGGTCAGTTACCTGGGAATTCTGGGCTGCCAGGAAACGATTTGGGCCTCTGTCAGTTTCTTTTCCATGTATGAGGAGGGGGAAATTTGTATATTAGAAACTTATTCATCCCACTCAGGACAATAAAAACGAATGTACAAAAAGCCCTTCCATTCTTCTGAGCATTGATGGACCTGGGGAGAAGTGTGGTGGCAGGAACTGGACTGACCTGAATCTCCCTGCTTCGCAGAAGGAATCCATGGTTGATGGGGAATCTAAGAAGGAAGAGTGGGCCCGGGCGTGGTGGCTCATGCCTTAATCCCAGCATTTTGCGAGGCCCAGGCAGACGGATCATTTGAGGTCAGGAATTTGAGACCAGCCTGGCCAACACTGAAATCCCATCTCCACTAAAAATAGAAAAAAAATTAGCCAGGCATGGTGGTGCATGTCTGTTATCCCAGCTGCTAAGGAGGCTGGGACAGGATAATCACTTGAACCCGGGAGAGGGAGGTTGCAGTGAGCCAAGATCTCACGATTGCACTCCAGCCTGGCCAAAAGAGCGAGACTCCGTCTCAAAAATAAAAATAAAAATAATAATAATAAGAAGAAAGAAGAGTGGGAGGACGAAGTAGAGAGGAATCGAAAAGTTGGTTATGGGGCACCCGGAGGACGGACGGCCACTGTGGAATTGAGACTGCCTCATGGCTCCATGTAGACTTCCAGAGCCTTTAAAATTTTATGACTGCTACACAAAAATGTCATGTCAAAGTGATTATTTTTATTTTTTAAGTGGTATCGTTTAAAAATGGCATGGTCTCATAATCAAAATGTAAAACTTTTGTGCTTCAAAGGACATCATCCAGAAAGTTGGAAAGAGGCTGGGCACAGTGGCTCACGCCTATAATCCGAATAGTTTGGGAGGCCAAAGTGGGAGGATGGCTTGATCGCAGGGTTTCAAGACCAGCCTGGGCAACATAGTGAGACCTTGTCTCTACAAAATAATCAAAAAATTAGCCGGGCATGGTGGCAACCCGTGTCTGTATTCCCAGCTACTTGGAAGGCGAAGAGGAGAGAATCACCTGAAGCCGGGAAGTCTTGGCAACAATGAGCCATGATCACGCCACTGCACTCCACCCTGGGCAACAGGTGTGTCTCAAAAAAATAAAAATAAAAATAAAATTGGCTGGGCACGGTTGCTTATGCCTGTAATCCCGCATTTCGGGAGGCTGATGCAGACGTTTGAGAGGCAGATGTCACTTGAGTTTGAGAGTTTTAGACCAACTGGCCAACATGGTGAAACCCTGTCTCTACTAAAAATACAAAAATTAGCCAGGCGTGGTGGCGCATGCCTGTAATCCCAGCTACTTGAGAGGCTGAGGCAGGAAAATCGCTTGAACCCAGAAGTTGGAGGTTGCAGTGAGCCGAGATCGTGCCTCTGCACACCAGCCTGGGAGACCAAGCGAGATTGCATCAAATAAAAAAAAAAAAGAAACACAAAAATTGTCACATGGTACCATTTCAGCGCACTAAGATGGCTAGAATTAAAAAGACACAGAGCATAACAAATGTATCTGGGGATGTGGAGAAACAGGAACCCCCGGGCACTGCTGCTGGGAATGTAAAATGACAGACAATTTGAAACATAGTCTGGCTGTTCCTCAGAAGGATAAAAACACATTTGCCATGTAACCCAGCTATTCTTCTCCTTCATACGTATCCAAGAGAAGTGAAAACATAAGTCTGCACAGAAACTTTTGCGTGAATGTTCACAGCAGCGTTATTCAGAATAGCAAAAAAGGGGAAAGAACCCCAACTTCCTTTGAGGGGTGAATGGAGAAACCAAATGTGGTCTATCCACACAGTAGAATATCATTCAGCCAGAAGAAGGAATGAAGGACTGATCCGTGTTACAACACAGATGAACCTCAAGAACAGCATGTTCCGTGAAAGAAGCTAGACACAGAAGATCACGTAGTGTATAATTCTACTTATAAGAAATCTCTGGGAGAGATGCATCCATTGAGAGAGAAAGTAGATAAGCCCAGACGCAGTGGCTCATGCCAGTAATCTCAGCATTTTGGGAGGCCAAGGCGGGCAGATCACTTGAGGTCAGGAGTTCGAGACTCCTTGGCCAACATGGTGAAATCCCATCTCTCCTAAAAATACAGAAATTAGGCCAGGCTGAGTGGCAGAACAAGACTCCACCTCAAAAAAAAAAAAAAAAAAAATTGTCACGTGATACCATTTCAGCCCATTGGGATGGCTGGAATTGAAAAGACACAGAGAATAACAAGTATTGCTGAGGTTGTAGAGACACGGGAACCCTCGCACACTGCTGCTGGGAATGTAAAATGACAGACATTTTGAAAAATAGTCTGGCTGTTCCTCAAAAGGATAAAAACACATTTACCATGTAACCCAGCTATTCTTCTGCTTCATACATATGAAGTGAAAACATACGTCTGCACAGAAACTTGTACGTGAATGTTCATAGCAGCATTATTCGGAATTAGCCAAAAAGTGGAAAGAACCCAAATGTCCTTCGAGGGGTGAATGGAGAAACCAAATGTGGTCTATCCACACAGTAGAATATTATTCAGCCAGAAAAAGGAATGAAGGAATAATGCGTGTTACAACACGGATGAACCTCAAGAATAGCATGTTCAGTGAAAGAAGCTAGACACAGAAGATCACCTAGTGTATAATTCTACTTATAGGAAATGTCTGGGAGAGAGGCATCCATTGAGAGAGAAAGTAGATGAGGCCAGACACAGTGGCTCATGCCTGTAATCCCAGCACTTTGGGAGGCCAAGGCGGGCAGATCACTTGAGGTCAGGAGTTCGAGACTCCTTCATCAACATGGTGAAACCCCGTCTCTACTAAAAATACAAAAATTAGCTGGGTGTGGTGGCACGTGCCTGTAATCCCAGCTACTCGGGAGGCTGAGTCAGGAGAATTGCTTGAACCCAGGAGGCAGAGGTTGCAGTGAGCCGAGATCGTGCCACTGCCCTTCAGCCTAGACAACAGAGCGAGACTCTAAGAAAAAAAAAGAAAAAGAAAAAGTAGATGAGTGGTTATCCAGGGAAATGAGGACTGGCAGTGATGTCTCAGAAGGGCAGAATTTCTCTTAGAGGTGATAAAAATGTTCTAAAATGGGTTGTGGTGATAGCTGCACAGTTCTGTGCTTTGAATTGTACAGCTCAATGAGTGAATTGCATTGCCTGTAAATTGCATCACCATAAAGCTATAAAAACAGGGTACATACAGTCTGGGTGGATCCCAAGATGTCTTCAGATGGTGGCCTTTGAGAGTCATGAGGGGCTAGGGTTGGAGCTGAAGCCTAAAGCATGACTTTTAGCTGGTGCAGGAGTGGCTTCCTTCTGTCTCCCACTACAATTCAGAGGATACTCAGGGAAAGATCTGGACATCCTGTATGTGGAAAGGCGGTTGCGCACAGTGGAATGGACTCCTAAGTGGCAGGCAGGTGACAACCGTTGTCTACTTCACCCAAGGGAAGATTTCTCCATGGAGCGTGTTTTATAGGTTCTGTCTCTCCGAGTCCCCTTTGAGAATATAATGGGATACATTGCATCCATGCTGAATTCCTAAGCCCCAGGACCTCAGAATATGCCCTTATTTGGAAACAGGGTCTTTATGGAGGTACTTAAGGTACAATGAGGTCACTGGGGTGGATCCTACTTCTTTTTTTTTTTTTTCCGAGGGGAATTTTCATTGTTGTCCCCCAGACTGGAGTGCAGTGGCACCATCTCAGCTCACTGCAACATTCGCCTCCCGGGTTCAAGTGATTCTCCTGCCTCAGCCTCCCGAGTAGCTGGGAATACAGGTGCCGGCCACCACGCAAGGCTAATTTTTGTATTTTTAGTAGAGACAAGGTTTCACCATGTTGGCCAGGCTGGTCTAGAACTCCTGACCTTAGGTGATCTGCCCGCCTCGGCCTCCCAAAGTGTTGGGATTACAGGCGTGACCCACTGCGCCCGGCCTAGGGTGGACCCTATTTCAATATGACTGGTGTCCTTTGGAAAGGGGAAAGGGGGACAGTCACACCCAGGCAGAACGTGATGAAGATGAAGATGGCCATCTACAAGGGCAGGAGAAACCTGAACAGAATCCCAGCTCCGGGCCCTCAGAAGGACCCCACGCTGCCCACATTGACCTTGGACCTCCAGCCTGCAGATCGTGAGGGAAGAGACGTCTTCGACTTAGGGCCCCTTGTCGTGGTACTTCCTTAGTTTGGCCCCAGGAAACCATCCCAAAGGCAAGGGCGTGGTTGTGCTCAGCTGGGGGAAGGGGGCTGGGGGCCGTGAGGAGGAGGTGGGAGGCCCAGCCAGGCTGGAGGGTCAGAACCCGTGGAGCTAGAAGAGCCCGTAGGGGAGCCCCAAGATTGCTGAGACCAGTGACCTTCGGCCCCAGATGGCCTTGCCTTGGCCCAGAAGGGTCAGAAGGACCTGGTCAGCCAAGCTCAGACAGCCGGCAGGATGCCTTCCACCCTGCAGAGGGTCCTATCTTGTCCCACAGGTAGATCTACATCACCACTAGCCACCCCTCCAACGTGCACAGGCCCCTGCCCTCACGGCGCCCCTCTTAGGTCCGGCAGTTCCTGCCTCCTTCTGATCCAGAAGTTTCTCTGGCCTCTGGAGCCGGGGCACACCTCATGCAAGGACAGGGTCCAAATTCCTTTGTCCTTGGATCCCACTTGGCTGACGTCACCTTCCTGTACTCAGGGAGTTTCCCCAGCCAGCTGTCCCGAGTCTGGACTTTCCCTCTGCCCCTCCCCACTCTCAGGCTGGTGGGGTGGGGAAAGCAGCCCATTCCTGGGCTCAGAGACTCCCACCCCAGCTCAGAGGGAGCAGGGGCCCAGCCAGGGACGGACCCTCATTCCTCCCAGGGACCCCAGACCTCTGTCTCTCTCGGGTAAGTCTCCATCTCTGTCTGTCTCTGTCTCTGTCTCTGTCTCTGTCTGTTTTTCACGCACTCAGCAAGGCCTCCTGCCCTGAGAGAGGCTCCGCCCACTACCCCCCACTTTCCCCATAAAACCAGCTGAGTATTTGTGCCAGGAAGACTGCGTGCAGAAGGTGACTGTCTCAGTGGAGCTGGGTCATCTCAGGTGGGGAGTTGGGGTCCCCGAAGGTGAGGACCCTCTGGGGAGGAGGGTGCTTCTCTGAGACACTTTCTTTTCCTCACACCTGTTCCTCGCCAGCAGGCCTTGGCTCCTTGAACTTTTGGCCGCCATGTGCTTCCCGAAGGTGAGTGAGAGGCTGCGTGTGCTTTTGTGGGCATGTCTGAAAACAGACCGTAAGGGTGCGGGTGCCCTCAGTATTTCCCGAGGTGCCTGTGTGTCAGGGCTCAGTCAGGGGCACCCAGCGGCAGGAGGATAGTGATGGGGTGAGAGTGTCAGTGGAGGCGCTGGAGGTCATATGTGTCGGGGGCGCTGGAGAACGGCAGGGGTGTGGATGAGAGGGAGCACCTGTCCCAGGAGCCCTTCACAGCCCGGAAAGCCCGGGGCAGGGGTGGGGCAGGGCTCTGCTGGAAACGACTCGGAGAATGCTTCTCTCAGAGGCCGGCTCAGCTGGGTGGGCCCAAGAGCAAGGCCTGTGTGGGTCCTGGTGTCTCTTCCTCCTTTCCTGGGTTCCCTCCGACCTCCCATCCTCTACCACTGCCCCACCGCAAATGCTAGGCCCACCACACCCTCCAGGGAGCTCTTCGGCCTGTGACAATAGGGGTTTCCATGATGTGGCCTGGCTCAGGTTCAGGACAGTGACCCGGAGGACACATGGCTCCCGCATGTCGGCACGGTGCTGCTTTCACCCTGGTTCCTGGGAAATCAGGCTAGCGGGATGGGACCATCGCTGCCTGAAAGTGTGCAGACAGCTGCCCTGCCCAGAATATGTCCCCAGGCCCTGCGCACTCTGTGGGTGACTGTCACCACTCTATAGTGGGGGAAACCAGGCATGTCACCCCCGAGACTAGGCCCTTGACGTGGGGGCTCAGCGGGGATTCTGTGGGGTGCCTCTGGCCTCTGTGGATGCAGCCACGTGTCTGCAGGCAGGAATGGCCCGGGACCTGTGGGTCTGCATGTTGGCAGTCGGGAAGAGTGGCAGGTTGTAGGGTGGACCTACCTGGCACCCCAAATATTAATCAGCTCATCAGAGAGGAATGGCTGCTGTTACCTTCTCAATTGTCATGTCCCTAAACATTTTTTCCTTGGCCAACTCTCACCTGGGACCATAGTGGTTGTGGGAAACCCAGCTGAGCCAGCCTGCTCCAGGACAGTGTCCATCCTCCCGTGTGTGTACATGGGGGGGTGTGTGTGTGCAGGGAGGACACCCCGGCCCACGCAGGCCCTGCTCTTGTGAGGAGGGGTCACCTAGGCCCACGCAGGCCCTGCTCTTGTGAGGAGGGGTCACCTAGGCCCACGCAGGCCCTGCTCTTGTGAGGAGGGGTCACCTAGGCCCACGCAGGCCCTGCTCTTGTGAGGAGGGGTCACCTAGGCCCACGCAGGCCCTGCTCTTGTGAGGAGGGGTCACCTAGGCCCATGCTGGCCCTGCTCTTGGGCCTGCCCAGCTGAGCCGGCTCCTGAGAGAAGCGCTTTCTGAGTCGTTTCGAGGACAGCCCTGGCCGGTCTTTCCAGGCTGTGAGGGGCTCCTGGGACTGCTGTCTCCTCTTATCCTGTACCTCTGCCATGTGTCTCTGTGTGTGTGTGTGTGTGTGTGTGTGTGTGTGTGTGTGTATAAATTATCCTGGAGGAAAGGTTAAGGTGACACATGGAGACTGAGTGTCACCGTTATTTCCGCAGGTCCTCTCTGATGACATGAAGAAGCTGAAGGCCCGAATGGTAATGCTCCTCCCTACTTCTGCTCAGGGGTTGGGGGCCTGGGTCTCAGCGTGTGACACTGAGGACACTGTGGGACACCTGGGACCCTGGAGGGACAAGGATCCGGCCCTTTGGTGCCAACTCTGCCTCTCTTCACAGCACCAGGCCATAGAAAGATTTTATGATAAAATGCAAAATGCAGAATCAGGACGTGGACAGGTGGGTGGATTTCCCCTCAGGCACCAGGTCACATGTCCCCGCCCCCAGGCACTCCACCCTGTGTGGGGCTCAGGGTGAGAAGGATGAAGAGGGACCCACAGGCTCCCTCACCCCTTACCGTGGGCAAATGCTTGCACCTGGGTGGCAGTGAGTGGGCGGGTGGGGGATCTGGACGCCCGGGGAGACTGAGGGAGGCATCCAAGCCCCAGGGCTCCTTGAGGAAACAACAGGGGTGCCAGACGTGGCCCGGGCCCCTGGCTGGGCCCAGTTCGGGGTGTGTGGGAGCTGAGGACTCACTGGGCTTGAGGACTGACTGATGTGGGGTGCAGAGGAGGCTTGGGCCTGGAACCGAGTGCTTTGTTCCTAACAGGTGATGTCGAGCCTGGCAGAGCTGGAGGTGAGCCGTGGCCTCCCCCTCCACCAAGCTTAGTCCCTGGGTCTTAGGCTCCACAGGACACTGGGTCTGGGCCCCGGGTCCCCTTGGGAATCACCTGGACCAGTGGGGGCCACAGTGGGAAGGGGGCAGGCAGGAGCAGCATGAACCCCCTGTGCCCTCCTCTCCCCAGGACGACTTCAAAGAGGGCTACCTGGAGACAGTGGCGGCTTATTATGAGGAGCAGCACCCAGTGAGTATGACACACCCATCTGGGCACCTTGCCTTCCTTCACCTCTGCCCTGTCTTTTCTTTCTTTCTTTCTTTTTGTTTATTTGAGACAGAGTCTCGCTCTGTCGCCCAGGCTGGAGTGCAGTGGCATGATCTTGGCTCACTGCAACCTCCAAATCTCGGGTTTAAGTGATTCTCCTGCCTCAGCCTGACAAGTAGTTGGGACTACAGGCACCCGCCACCACTCCAGGCTGATTTTTTTTGTGTGTGTTTTTAGTAGAGACCAGGTTTCACCATGTTTGCCAGGCTGGTCTTGAACTCCTAACCTTGTGTTCCGTCTGCCTTGGCCTCCCAAAGTGCTGAGATTACAGGCATGAGCCACCGGGCCCAGCCAACCCCTGCCCTGTCTTGATGTGGTGTGGGCAGGGTGTGCCCAGCCCCTGAGCTTGGGGTGGAGGGCTGGGAGTGACAGCCTAGCTGGGACCTGCCCATGGCCTCACTCCTCACACAGTGGCACAGCCCTCAAGGCACGATGAGGGCCCTGACCTGGTGACCAAGCAGACACACCCATCCTGTCACTGCCATGGAGGTGAATGCAGAGGAGGGGGACTCTGGGAAAAGTCCCTCTTGCCCACGGGGCTGTGGTTGGGAAACCAACACCTGTGGGCCTCCGTCTCCCAGGGTCAGGAAAAGGCTGAGAGGCCTGGGTGTGGCCAGGGCCTGGGGCTGACACCCCCACCTACAGACCCTGAATGGTGCTCCCATTCCACAGGAGCTCACTCCTCTACTTGAAAAAGAAAGAGATGGATTACGGTGCCGAGGCAACAGATCCCCTGTCCCGGATGTTGAGGATCCCGCAACCGAGGAGCCTGGGGAGAGCTTTTGTGACAAGGTCATGAGATGGTTCCAGGCCATGCTGCAGCGGCTGCAGACCTGGTGGCACGGGGTTCTGGCCTGGGTGAAGGAGAAGGTGGTGGCCCTGGTCCATGCAGTGCAGGCCCTCTGGAAACAGTTCCAGAGTTTCTGCTGCTCTCTGTCAGAGCTCTTCATGTCCTCTTTCCAGTCCTACGGAGCCCCACGGGGGGACAAGGAGGAGCTGACACCCCAGAAGTGCTCTGAACCCCAATCCTCAAAATGAAGATACTGACACCACCTTTGCCCTCCCCGTCACCGCGCACCCACCCTGACCCCTCCCTCAGCTGTCCTGTGCCCCGCCCTCTCCCGCACACTCAGTCCCCCTGCCTGGCGTTCCTGCCGCAGCTCTGACCTGGTGCTGTCGCCCTGGCATCTTAATAAAACCTGCTTATACTTCCCTGGCAGGGGAGATACCATGATCGCGGAGGTGGGTTTCCCAGGGCAAGGCTGATCTGTTGCCGTATTAGTCCGTTTTCACACAGCTATAAAGAATGCCTGAGACTGGGTGATGTATAAAGAAAAGAAGTTTAACTGACTCACAGTTCCACATGGCTGGGGAAGCCTGAGGAAGCTTACAATCATGGGGGAAGGCGGAAGAGAAGCAAGGCACGTCCTACATGGCAGCAGGAGAAGCAGGGTGGGGGGAACTACCAAACACTTTTGTCCGCGTGTTTGTGTGTTTTTTTTATTTGAGATGGAGTTTCGCTCTTGTCGCCCAGGCTGGAGTGCAATGGGGTGATCTCGGCTCACTGCAACCTCTGTCTCTCTGGTTCAAGTGATTCTCCTGCCTCAGCCTGCTGAGTAGCTGGGGTTACAGGCATGCGCCACCATACCAGGCTAATTTTGTATTTTTAGTACAGATGCGGCTTCACCATGTTGGCCAGGCTGGTCTTGAACTCCTGACCTCAGGTGATCCGCCCACCTCGGCCTCCCAAAGTGCTGGGATTACAGGCATGAGCCACCACACCCGGCTGCCAAACACTTTTAACCCACCAGATCTTGTGAGAACTCACTCACTTACACCAGAAGCGCATGGGGGAAACCGCCCCCATGATGCAATCATCTCCAGCCCGGCCCCTCCCTCGACATGTGGGGATTACAGTTTGAGATGATTGGGGTAAGGACACAGAGAAAATCATCTCATTCTGCCCCTGGACCCTCCCAAACCTCATGTCCTTCTCACATTTCAAAACTCAATCATGCCTTCCCAACAGTCCCCCAAAGTCTAAACTCATTCCAACATCAACCCAAAAGGCCAATCCAAAGTCTCACCTGAGACAAGGCAAGTCTCTTCTGCCTATAAGCCTGTAAATTCAAAAGCAAGTTAGTTACTTCCAAGACACATTGTGGGTACAGGCATTGGGTAAATGTTCCCTTTCCAAATTGGAGAAATTGGCCAAAAAAGGGGGCTACAGGCCTCAGGCAAGACCCAAATCCACCAGGGCAGTCATTAAATCTTAAAGCTCCCAAGCGATCTCTTTGGCTCCATGTCTCATGTCCAGGGCTCACTGATGCAAGGGGTGGGTTCCCAGGGCCTGGGGCAGCTCCGCCCCTGTGGCTCTGCAGGGTGCAGCCCCCGCAGCTGCTTTCATGGGCTGGTGCTGAGTGCCTGCGGCTTTTCCAGGCACACAGAGCAAGCGCTTGGTGGATCTACCATTCTGGGGTCTGGAGGAGAGTGGTCTTCTCACAGCTCCACTAGGCAGTGCCCCAGTAGAGAGTCTGTGTGGGGGCTCCAACCCCACATTTCCTCTCTGCATTGCCCCAGTAGCCGTTCTCCATGACAACCTGTGCGTGGTCATCCAGGCATTTCCATCCATCCCCTGAAATCTAGGCGGAGGCCCCCAAAGCCCAGCTCTTGTCTTCTGCAGACCTGCAGGCCCAACACCATGTGGAAGCTGCCAAGGCTTGGGACTTGCACCTTCTGGAGCGACGGCCTGAGCTGTACCTTGGTCTTCTTTAGCCACAGCTGGAGCTGGAGTGGCTGGGGCACAGGGTGCCATGTCCCGAGGCTGCACAGAGCAGCGGGGCCCTAGGCCTAGCTTGAATTAATCCCCAGGAAATGGGTTTTCTTTTCTACCACATGGTCAGGCTGCAAATTTTCCATCTTTTATGCTCTGCTTCCCTTTTAAGTATAAGTTCTAATTCCAAAGCATCTCTTTGTGAGTGCATGTAACCGTATGCTTTCAAGAAAAGACAGGTGACTTGCTGAATGCTTTGGTGCTTAGAAATTTCTACTGCTGGCGGAGTGCAGTGGCTCATGTCTGTAATCCCAGCACTTTGGGAGGCCGAGGCCGGCAGATCACGAAGTCAGGATGTCGAGACCATCCCGGCCAACATGGTGAAACACTATCTGGACTAAAAATGCAAAAATTAGCTAGGCATGGTGGCACACGCCTGTAATCCCAGCTACTTGGGAGGTTGAGGCAGGAGAACCACTTGAACCAGGGAGTCCAAGGTTACAGTGGGCCAAGATTGCGCCACTGTACTCCAGCCTGGTGAAGGACCAAGACTCCATCTCAAACAAACAAACAAAAAAAACAAGGGACAGGTTCTTGCTATGTTGCTGAGGCTGCAGTGCAGTGGTGCAATCATAGGTCACTGCTATGGATGGATGGACAGATGCGTGCACAGAGGCAGGGATGGATGGACAGATGCATGCACAAACACGCTGAGCGCCTACTAGCACAAGACAAGACATACAGGGTTCTGCTCTCCCCAGGTACACAGGGTTGAGATCCAATGGGAAAGCAGTGAGCCAGCTGAGTCAGGGGTACGAGGAGACACTGAGCAGAGAAATAACCCGGGACATCTGAGGCCAGAAGCCAAAACTATGGCATCAGTAGGGAGACTGCAGAAGGCGGCAGGTCCCGGATCACCAAGGGCCTTGAAAGCATGTGGAAGACTTTGATCAATGGGGGAATCATTAAGGCATTTTGCATTCCGGAACTATCATCAGCTTCAGCAGGGGGCAGGGGGTAGGATAGAGGCAGGGAGGCAGGAAGTTCTCGCAGGGTCCAGGCAAGAGATGGTGGAGTGTGGTCCTGGGGAAGGGGGCAGTGGACGGATCTGAGGGAGGTTCAGTTAGGATGGGCAAGGATTGAGATCTGGCTGGATCCTGGTGACAGGGGAGATGAGGCTGGGGCCCTTGGAGGATGGTGTCCTGGTGCTGTTAATGCAGGTGTGAGAGTGGGAGGAGGAGGAGCAGGCTGGCAGAAGGCAGGCATGAGTACAGGTCTGGGCGGGAGTCTGCAGCGCTCTGGGCTGGCCACACGGGTGGGGCAAGGGAGGTGGAGGATCCTGCCCTAGAGCTTGGTCTCCTCTGTCTGAGGTCAGGTTCCCCAGAGGTGGGGCTCCAGAGGGAAATTCTTGTGCAAGCAGTTTCTCAGGGGCCATGTGCTGAGGGGAATGGGGAGCAGGAACAGCCTAGAAGCTGAGTGAGGATGTGGTCTCAGCTGGAGAGGAGGCTGATCGCATGGGAGCTCTGCAGCAGGGATGGCAATGCCGGGGAGGCCGTCCCGCCTGAGGCCAGGCCCAGCTCTTTGCAGCCCCATATTAACTACATTGGCTGCTGGGGAGCCTGAGTGACGGGGGAAGGGGGCAGCCAGGGAGGGTGCCTAGGCCCTGTGGAGGGCTTGGTAAGGCAGAGGCTGGGGAGGCTGTGTGCCTCAACATTCACATATGGGCTTCGGATGGGCGTGGTGGCACATGCTTGTAGTCCCAGCTACTCAGGAGGCTAAGGCAGGAGGATTGCTTGAGTCAGGGAGGTTGAGACTGCAATGAGCTGTGTTCACACCACTGCACTGCGGCCTGGGTGACAAAGTGAGACCCTGTCACACACACAGAAAAAGAGAATGTGGGCTTCAAAGTTGAATTCAAGTAAGTCAGGGTTCTTCCACTTGTAATGAACAACTTCCTTAACCTCATTGTCTCAGGTTCCTCCCCTGAGAAATGCGAGGAGAACGGCGCCTGCTGGTGGCGGGGGCTTGCCGATGAAATGAGCCATTCACCCATGCCTCTCAGCACAGGGCCTGCCCTGGGCCGCATACTGTGCATTGTCAGCTGCTGTCGGAGCTGGGCTAGTGGCCGCCTTGAGAGCCAGCAGTCCACGGGGGTTGGCGAGCTTCTGGGAGGAAAGGGTGGAACGTGACTGTCAGGTACAGAGCTACAGAGAACCCCAGCATGAAGGAGTAGGTGGCAGGGGAGAAGGACTCAACAGAGATGGAGAAAGACTAAGCCCAAAGGTGATCAACAACAAGAGTGAAGGAGGAAGTGGTCAGCTGTGGCTGGGGCAAAACAAGCCCAGTAAGTTACATTGGCCTGTGTTTGGTCATCCAGGGACAAAGTGACCTTTTTAGTGCCGGTAGGCCCAGTGGGTTGGGGAAGAATTTAGGCGGCAGTGGGCTTAGGCATGAGAGGAGCGGAGGAAGAGAAGATTGAGTTGAGACCACTGGCTGGAGAACTTGACCAGGAAGGGAGGGCAGAGAGCGGCGTGGAGTCGGGGGAGGGAATAGGTCCAATGAGCGTCTTAGGATGAAGGAGTTGTGAGCACTCAGCACAGGATAAGCTGATACAAAGAAAGGGATGGAGGATGGATAGACTGACAGATGCATGCACAGAGGCAGGGTTGGATAGCATGACAGATGCATGCACAGAGGCAGGGATGGATAGATGGACAGAGGCATGCACAGAGAGAGGGATGGATAGATGGACAGATGCATGCACAGAGGCAGGGATGGATGGATGGACAGATGCATGCACAGAGGCAGGAATGGAGAGACAGATGAGTGCAAACAGGTAGGGATGGATGGACAGGTGCCTACACAGAGGCAGGGATGAATGGATAGATGGATGCACAGGGGCAGGGATGGATGGATGGACAGATGCATGCACAGAGGCAGGGATGTATGGACGGATGCATGGGCAGAGGCAAGGATGAATGGATGGATAGATGCATGCACAGAGGCAGGGATGGACAGACAGATGAATGCACAGAGGCAGGGATGTACAGAAGGATGCATGCACAGAGGCAGGGATGGACGGAGGGACAGATGCAGGCACAGAGGCAGGGATGGATGGACAGACAGATGCATACACAGAGGCAGGGATAGATGGACAGATACTGGCACAGAGGCAGGGATGGATGGACAGATGCAGGCACAGAGGCAGGGACAGACAGACAGATGCATGCACAGAGGCGTGTATGAATGGTTGGAAGGATGCATGCACAGAGGCAGTGATGGATGGGTGGGGAGATTGGATGGATAGATGCCGGTAGGTCGTTCTTGTCCTGGAGGAGGTGATCCAGGCTAAGTCCTCACACCGGGAGGGGCAGGAGGCGAGCATGGGGAGATACAGCTGTGTGTCCCAGTGCACTGGAAGTTACAGATGACATCGATGTCCTGTCCTGATGAAACAGGAAACACAATTGTCATTTGAAAGTTAGGGCTGAGGGCCGGGCGCGGTGGCTCACACCTGTAATCCCAGCATTTTGGGAGGCTGAGGCGGGGGGGTCACCTGAGGTCAGGAGTTCGAGACCAGCCTGGCCAACATGGTGAAATCCCGTCCCTACTAAAAATGCAAAAATTAGCTGGGTGTGTTGGTGGGGCGCCTGTAATCCCAGATACTCAGGAGGCTGAGGCAGGAGAATCACTTGAACCTGGGAGGCAGAGGTTGCAGTGAGCTGAGATCACGCCATTGCACTCCAGCCTGGGTGACAGAGGAAGACACCGTCTCAAAAAAAAAAAAAAAAAGAGACAGAAAAGAAAGTTGGGGGCCGGGGCTGGATGAAAGCTTGAGGGGCTGTGGGCCTGGCATGGGGCTGAGGGGAGTGTGCAGGAGCTGCCTGCCAAAGCCTGGGGCAAGGATGATAGGAGGTGCTGGGGCCCCTGTGGACTGCCCTCTGAGAATCTCGTGAGGCTGGGTCTGCACAGCTGTGGTTGTGTAACTTCCCCCAGATGCATGGTGTGACAAGGGTGCAGGAAGGGGTGCAGGGCCCGGAAGCTCAGTGTGGTTAAAGACATGCAAGGCAGGATAGAAGGTGAGAGATGAATGATATGGCCGTGATCAAAACACCAAACTTCAGTTTCTCAGAAAAAGGACTCAGAGCAACAAGAGAACCTACAGTCAACAAGGACATTCATCAGCGCACATGTGATTTGAGCAAGACCATTGAAGCCCCTGCTGAACGGCAGGCTGGCAGAGCCAGGGTACCTGGCCATCTACCTTGAAGTCTCTGTGCCTCAGTTTCCTCCTCTGTAAAATGGACATAGGGGACAGGTTTGGTGAGAAGTGAATGAAAACGTGTTTGCTACCCCTCTTAGGACTCATGTTTCATGCTTAGATGCTCAGCTAGTGGTTTTAGGGACCGAGAGAAATTTGCTTTTCAGTTCACCAGGTCGTTACCTATGAACCTGCCCTGAGCAGTGCTGACCTTAGTTAGAGATGGCCATGAAACTCATCCGCATGGGGTAATTGGGGCCTCCCTGTGGTGCTGCAGGGCTATGTCTCTGTCTTGGTCTCTTCAGGCCTCTCAGCAGCTGGAGCAGGAGCTGGCAGGCAGCTCACCGATGGATAAGGAGCTGGGCTTTGGCCAGGGCTGACATGGGAAGCGTCTCGGTCCTGCCGGTCCTGGCGCCTGAGCTGAATCCGGAGGGAAGAGGCTGCTGTGGTGGGAACAGGCTGGGAGCCAGGCCTGGCGCTGGGGCCGGCAGGCTGTGTTCTGAGAGTGCCTGCTAGAGGAGCTCTGTGTTCCCAAGGAGATGGAGGAAGACCTGGGGTGGGGGTGGTACAGGGTAGGGAGAGGAGGGGCAGAGGCTGTGGACAGGGAGATGGGGGAGGGGGGATGGAGGACTCAAGGGATGTAAGGGATATGGCTTGAGGAGGGATGGGGGCAGGAATGAGGGAAGGTCTTGGGTCAAGGACATGGACCTACATCCCCAGCAGATGGGGGAGATGGGCGGGGGTTGCTGACCATAGACTGGAGCTGGGAGGAGGGTACGCTGCCAGGGCTGGGGCTGCCAGCAGAGAATGGCACGCACCTTATAGGCTCCTGCCCCTGCCCCACTGCCCCCTCAAGTTCAAGTTTCTTTTTCTTTTCTTTCTTTTTTTGAGACGGGGCCTTGTTCTGTTGTCCAGGCTGGAGTTCAGTGACATGGTCATGCGTCACTGCAGCCTCGACCTCCCCAGCTCAAGCAAGCCTCCTGCCTCCCTGCCTCAGCTTGGAACCTGAGTAGCTGGGACCACAGGCGTGCACCACCATTCCTGGCTATTTTTTAATTTTTTTGTAGAGAAGGGGGTTCTCCTTATGTTGCCCAGGCTGGTCTTGAGCTCCTGGGCTCAAGTGAAACTCCTACCTGAGCCTCCCAAAGTGCTAGGATTACAGGAGTGAGCCACCACACCCAGCTCCTTCCCCTCAAACTTCTGTGCAAAAAGTGCTCCCTTCCCAGAGGAGGGTCCCCATCTGTGTGTAAGGTGGCCCCTTCCTCTATGTGTTCTCTGGGTCGCTTCAGCCCTGTGGCCCAGTGTCCAGCACAGCCATGCTGAGTGGGTGACTGGAGAAAGGGATCGTGGAGGATTGGGGCAGGGGGGTGCTGGGCAGAGGCGGCTGGGGTCACCTCTGGAAGGTGTCCTGCTGTTCCTGTTGGCTGCAGCTGCACTTGCAGGGCCTTCCTGTGCCCCCCTTTCCTGGTGCAGGGGCACCCTCTGCTTGCTGAGACCAGCTCGGTCAGGGAGATCTTAAACCAGGGGCGCTAGAGGAATTAAAGACACACACACAGAAATTCAGAGGTGCGAAGTGGGAAATCAGGGGTCTGACAGCCTTCAGAGCTGAGAGCCCCAACAGAGGTTTACCCACATATTTATTAATAGTAAGTCAGTCATTAGCATTGTTTCTATAGATAATAGATTAACTAAAAGTATCCCTTATGGGAAATGAAGGGATGGGCCGAAGTAAAGTGGTGGGTCTGGTTAGTTATCTGCAGCAGGAGTGTGTCTTTAAGGCACAGATCACTCAGGCTATTGTTTGTGGTTTAAGAACGCCTTTAAGCGGTTTTCCGCCCTGGGTGGGCCAGGTGTCCCTTGCCCTCATTCCGGTAAACCCACAACCTTCCAGCGTGGGCGTCACGGCCATCATGAACGTGTCACAGTGCTGCAGATTTTGTTTATAGCCAGTTTTGGGGCCAGTTTATGGCCAGATCTTGGGGGGCCTGTTCCCAACATGTCCCCCCTTCTTTGATTTGCAACTCGATAAAAGCAAAGGCAGCTTTGTCACTGTGAGTTACTTCTCGCAGGAGTTAGGATCCACATCTGCAGACTATACAAAGACAAACAACACAGATTAAAAGCACAATCACATCATTGAAATTACAGAGCTTCCAAGTATTTTTATCCATTTTAATGGGTTACTAGCTGCAAATCTGTCTGCAGTTCCTTTAAGCACTCCAGTTGCTGGTATTAAGGTCAGGTGTGCCTGGGATGCTTTAAATATTTTTTCTTTTAATTTTACTGTATCCAAAAAGCTTGTAGAGTGTCCTTCTAGATGCTTTATTCTTTCCCCAATTTTGATCTTATTAAGAGCTATTAATAGTTTCTACAAATCCTTAATGTTTAGCTCCTACAGCGGGCCTTATCGTTTGAGGTTGAGGTGCCACTATACCAGCATGGTTCCAGATAATAGGAACTTTTGCCATACTTCTTATTGTTTCTACCATCTGACCGTTTTGTTCAGACCAGCTGCACATAGTGTGGCCGTGGCACGCAGGCTGAGAGGTGCAATTTAAGCTAAACATCCCCTTAGGGGACCAATTAACAGTGATTCCATAGGAATCGTTGCGCAGCACCTCTGCCTGTTCTGCAATGCAATCTTCCTAAACAAGTACGTTCATTTTTTCTGGCCAGGTTCAATTTTGTTTACAAATAGGTTTTTAAGGGCGGTATGCCTCAATTATAGGAGCAGATTATGGTAAATACTGAGATCAGAAAGCATGTGTAACTGTGTCATAGAGTGATTACATCTAGGCATTATTGCCAGCCAAGGTTGATAAATATGCCCAATAAGTATAATTGTTCTGTGTGTCAGCCCTTGTTGAAGGAATACTCACAGCAGTGGTGATAACTGCTATCATAGCTACCATGAAATTACTCATTGTGACTGGTTGTCCCGCTTTCCTCAGGTTTTCTTCTGCCATCTGTGACAGCTTCTTGATCTGTCCCCAGGTGGGTGGCTGTGTTCGACAGGTGTTGCTCGTGACAGTTGGGGTCCTCCTCAGCGTCAGTCTCAACATGGCTGCAACTGGGCCGTCCTCGGGATCCTCCCGGAGTCTCTTCCTCAGCATCTGGCTCATGATAAGATTTCAGGTGTCTTGATGGTATCCAGATCAGCTGTTGATTTTGGCCTGGAGAAACACAAGCATAACTTCTACCCCAAGTTATTATTTTACCTGTTTCCCAACTTTTTGTTATCAGATCTCTCCACCAAACCAGTTGTTCTGCTTCTGTCTTTGCAGCTGGTTTCTGGAATGCTGTTCAGCTGCTGATGACATCTGGCCTTTGGGCAGGTTCAAAAAATCTAAAGTTAATAATGCTAGATTCAATTGTGTATGGACTGTCCCATAATCCCTATCTCTCCCCCTTTTTTGTTTTTGTCATCAGTTGTTTATCTGTATGAAATAGTAACTGAGCATTTTTAATTAACTGTGTGGAATGAACCACATATGAAGAATCAGAAATCACATTAATAGGCTATCAAAAGCAGTCAATACCTCAATTACAGCTACAAACTTTGCTTTTTATAAGGCATCTGGAAAACTACTTTTTGAGCCAGAATAAGAAGCTTTACCATTACTAAACCCATCTGTAAAACAATGAAAACACTTAGCAGGCTGCAGGTTGTTGACTGCAGGAATGGTAAATGCAAACCATTCACAGTCTTGCTTAGCTAAGGGGATAGTAAAGAAACAGTCTTTTAAATCTATGACTATTAAAGGCCAACTTTTTGGAATTATAGCAGGAGAAGGCAATCCTGGCTGTAATGCTCCCATAGGTTGTGTAACTGAATTAATGGCTCTTAAGTCGGTTAACATTTTCTATTTACCTGATTTTTTTTTAAATTATGAAAACTGGAGAATTCCAAGGGGAAAATGTTGGCGCTATGTGCCCATTTTCTAATTGTTCAGTAACTAATTTCTCTAAAGCCTCCAGTTTCTATTTACTTAGCGGCCATTTTTCTATCCAAATTGGCTTTTCTGTTAACCGTTTTAAAGGTGTAGGTTCTGGAGGCTTAACAGTGGCCACCATCAAAAATGATATCCTAAGCCTTGGCGGGAACTTGTCTTTCCAATTGAAGTGGTTCTTTCAAACCTTGCAAATTTTTTTTCTAGTCACCTACCAGGGACATGCCCCATTTCATGCATGATATGTTGACTTTGAGGGCTATATAATTGTTCTGGAGTTAGAACTTGTGCTCCCCATTGTTGTAATAAATCTCTTCTCCATAAATTTATAGGCACAGAAGTTATAATTGGTTGAATATTCCCAGGTTGTCCATCGGGCCCCTCACAATGCAAAATATAACTACTTTGATATACTTCAGGGGCTTTACCAACTCCAACTATGTTAAATTGAGCGGGTTGACTTGGCCATGCGGATGGCCAGTGCTGTAGAGAAATGATTGAAATGTCTGCTCCTGTATCTACCAAACCTTTACATTTCTTTCCCTGAATAGTTATTTCACAGGTAGGACGTTTATCAGCAATTTGATTGACCCAATAAGCCACTTTGCCTTGTTTATTTGTGCTTCCAAATCCTCCTGTTCCTTTAGTTCCACTTTTCCCCATTCCCACATACGGCACAATCAGGAGCTGTGATACACATTCTCCTGGCTCTGCTTTCCAGGGAACAGAAGTAGATATAACAGTTTGAATTTCCCCATCGTGATCCGAATCAATGACTCCTGTATGTATTTGTCCCCTTTTAAACTTAAACTAGACCTTCCTAAAAGTAATCCTATTGCCCCGCTGGCACGGGTCCACAGACTCCTGTTGAGACCTTTCGCGGGTGTTCCCCTGGCAGAAAGCTCACGGCTTTCGTGCAGCATCAATCTACTGCGGCACTACCGGCTGCGGCGGGGGACAGACATTGTACGGGGGTGAGGGAAGGGCCTCAGCTGGAAATGCCCTGATTTAGAACCGGGCCCGGGACGGGCACCTCATGGCATTTCCCGAAATTGGGTTTCCAGCTTTATCAAACTTAGAGTGACACTGATTAGCCCAATGTTTTCCTTTTTTACATTTTGGACATATTTCAGGCTCAGCAGTTTTCTTTGATATTTTCTACATTCTTTTTTAGTATGAATATCTTGTTTAAATTCTTTGAGTAATTTAAAAGGGAAAGGCTCAAATGTAGCTATAATATTTCCCTGTTGATCTGGGGGGTGTATTCTAACAGGGAACTGTCAAGCCTCTAAATCACCCCCTCGTCTAGCTTGCTGAATTCCTGCCTGAATAGAACTAAGAGAGGTCGCTCGAGGTGCTGCTCAGTCACTGGAGCAACTACTTTTCGCCCAGTATCCTCCGGAAAAGAAAGATCTGGAGGGTCAGGCCGCCCTTTTTCTTCAAAATAATAAGTAGGGGGTGCAGAAGGGTAGGGATGAACGTCTCCCTCCTTTGCCGCTTTAGCTTTAGCTGGCAAACAAACCTGCTCTGTAACCTCTTCTGTTACTTCGTTATACTCTCCTCCCTCCTCATTAGCTTGAAAAGGTTCCAAGGTGGAAGGAACCAGACCCCAAACCAATCCCATTGTTACCCTGATGCTTCCGAGCTCCCCTTCTTACTCACCATGGGGATTGCTTTAAGAATACTCGGGTGTCCTCCAGCTCCTTCCACATTCTCCAACCATCGCTCCGGCGACCCTTCGACCTGGATTCGAGCCTCGGTCGGGGAGACCCTAACCCAGCGGCGCTAGAGGAATTAAAGACACACACACAGAAGTACAGAGGTGTGAAGTGGGAAATCAGGGGTCTCACAACCTTCAGAGCTGAGAGCCCCAACAGAGGTTTACCCAAGTATTTATTAACAGCAAGTCAGTCATTAGCATTGTTTCTATAGATATTCCATTAATTAAAAGTATCCCTTATGTGAAGCGAAGGGACGGGTCGAAATAAAGGGGTGGCTCTGGCTAGTGAACTGCAGCAGGAGCATGTCCTTAAGGCACAGATCGCTCAGGCTATTGTTTGTGGTTTAAGAACGCCTTTAAGCGGTTTTCCATTCTGGGTAGGCCAGGTGTTCCTTGCCCTCATTCCGGTAAACCCACAACCTTCCAGTGTGGGCGTCATGGCCATCATGAATGTGTCACAGTGCTGCAGAGACTTTGTTTATAGCCAGGAAACCAACACCTGTGGGCCTCCGTCTCCCAGGGTCAGGAAAAGGCTGAGAGGCCGGGGTGTGGCCAGGGCCTGGGGCTGACACCCCCACCTACAGACCCTGAATGGTGCTCCCATTCCACAGGAGCTCACTCCTCTACTTGAAAAAGAAAGAGATGGATTACGGTGCCGAGGCAACAGATCCCCTGTCCCGGATGTTGAGGATCCCGCAACCGAGGAGCCTGGGGAGAGCTTTTGTGACAAGGTCATGAGATGGTTCCAGGCCATGCTGCAGCGGCTGCAGACCTGGTGGCACGGGGTTCTGGCCTGGGTGAAGGAGAAGGTGGTGGCCCTGGTCCATGCAGTGCAGGCCCTCTGGAAACAGTTCCAGAGTTTCTGCTGCTCTTTGTCAGAGCTCTTCATGTCCTCTTTCCAGTCCTACGGAGCCACACGGGGGGCAAGGAGGAGCTGACACCCCAGAAGTGCTCTGAACCCCAATCCTCAAAATGAAGATACTGACACCACCTTTGCCCTCCCAGTCACCGCGCACCCACCCTGACCCCTCCCTCAGCTGTCCTGTGCCCCGCCCTCTCCCGCACACTCAGTCCCCCTGCCTGGCATTCCTGCCGCAGCTCTGACCTGGCGCTGTCGCCCTGGCATCTTAATAAAACCTGCTTATACTTCCCTGGCAGGGGAGATACCATGATCACGGAGGTGGGTTTCACAGGACAAGGCTGATCTGTTGCTGTATTAGTCCATTTTCACACAGCTATAAAGAATGCCTGAGGGCTGGGCGCAGTGGCTCACGCTTGTAATCCCAGCACTTTGGGAGGCCAAGGCGGGAGGATTACGAGGTCAGGAGATCGAGACCATCCTGGCTAACAGGTGAAGCCCTGTCTCTACTAAAAATACAAAAAATTAGCCGGGCGTGGTGGCGGGAGCCTGTAGTCCCAGCTACTCCAGAGGCTGAGGCAGGAGAATGGCGTGAACCCAGGTGGCGGAGCTTGCAGTGAGCCGAGATCGTGCCACTGCACTCCAGCCTGGGAGACAGCAAGACTCCATCAAAAAAAAAAAAAAAAAAAAAAAAAACAAAGAATGCCTGAGACTGGGTAATTTATAAACAAAAGAAATTTAATTGACTCAAAGTTCCACATGGCTGGGGAGGCCTGAGGAAACTTGCAATCATGGGGGAAGGCTAAAGAGAAACAACGCACGTCCTACATGGCAGCAGGAGAAGCAAGGTTGGGGGAACTGCTATACATCTTTTTTTTTTTTTTTTTTGAGATGGAGTTGTGCTTTTGTCGCCCAGGCTGGAGTGTAATGGGGTGATCTCGGCTCACTGCAACTTCTGCCTCCCTGGTTCAAGCGATTCTCCTGCCTCAGCCTGCTGAGTAGCTGAGATTACAGGCATGCACCACCATGCCAGGCTAATTTTGTGTTTTTAGTACAGATGGGGTTTCACCATGTTGGCCAGGCTGGTCTTAAACTCCTGACCTCAGGTGATCCGCCCACCTCGGCCTCCCAAAGTGCTGGGATTACAGGCATGAGCCACCACACCCAGCTGCCAAACACTTTTAAACCATCAGATCTTGTGAGAACTCACTCACACCAGAAGCGCATGGGGGAAACTGCCCCCATGATCCAGTCACCTCCAACCGGGCCCCTCCCTCGACATGTGGGGATTACAGTTTGAGATGATTTGGGTGAGGACACAGAGAAAACCACCTCATTCTGCCCCTGGACCCTCCCAAACCTCATGTCCTTCTCACATTTCAAAACTCAATCATGCCTTCCCAACAGTCCCCCAAAGTCTAAACTCATTCCAACATCAACCCAAAAGGCCAATCCAAAGTCTCACCTGAGACAAGGCAAGTCTCTTCTGCCTATAAGCCTGTAAATTCAAGTTAGTTACTTCCAAGACACATTGGGGGCACAGGCATTGGGTAAATGTTCCCTTTCCAAAATGGAGAAATTGGCCAAAAAAGGGGGCTACAGGCCTCAGGCAAGACCCAAATCCACCAGGGCAGTCGTTAAATCTGAAAGCTCCCAAGCGATCCCTTTGGCTCCATGTCTCACGTCCAGGGCTCGCTGATGCAAGGGGTGGGTTCCCAGGGCCTCGGGCAGCTCTGCCCCTGTGGCTCTGCAGGGTGCAGCCCCCGCAGCTGCTTTCATGGGCTGGTGCTGAGTGCCTGCGGCTTTTCCAGGCACAGCGTACAAACTCTTGGTGGATCTACCATTCTGGGGTCTGGAGGAGAGTGGTCTTCTTCTCACAGCTCCACTAGGCAGTGCCCCAGTAGAGAGCCTGTGTGGAGGCTCCAACCTCACATTTCCCCTCTGCATTGTCCTAGTAGCCGTTCTCCATGACAGCCCTGCCCCTGACGCTGACCTCTGCGTGGTCGTCCAGGCATTTCATAGGTCCACTGAAATCTAGGCGGAGGCCCCCAAAGCCCAGCTCTTGTCTTCTGCAGACCTGCAGGCCCAACACCACGTGGAAGCTGCCAAGGCTTGGGACTTGCACCTCCTGAAGCGACGGCCTGAGCTGTACCTTGGCCTTCTTTAGCCACAGCTGGAGCTGGAGTGGCTGGGGCACAGGGCGATGTCCCAAGGCTGCACAGAGCAGCAAGGCCCTGGGCCTAGCTTGAATTTCTCCCCAGAAAAAATTTTTCTTTCTACCACATGGTCAGGCTGCAAATTTTCCAATCTTTTATGCTCTGCTTCCCTTTTAAATGTAAGTTCTAATTTCAAACCATTTCTTTGTGAGTGCATATAACCATACGCTTTTAGGAAAAGACAGGTCACCTATTGAATGCTTTGCTGCTTAGAAATTTCTACTGCTGGCCTGGTGCAGTGGCTCACACCTGTAATCCCAGCACTTTAGGAGGCTGAGGCGGTCAGATCACGAGGTCAGGAGATTGAGATCATCCTGGCCAACATGGTGAAACCCCGTCTCTACTAAAAATACAAAAATTAGCTGGGTATGGTGGCGTGTCCTATAATCCCAGCTACTTAGGAGGCTGAGGCAAGAGAATCACTTGAACCAGGGAGTCAGAGGTTGCAGTTAGCCGAAATCAAGATCATGCCACTTCACTCCATCCTGGTGACACAGAGAGACACCCTCTCAAAAAAAAAAAAAAAAAAGAAAAGGAAAGAAATTTCTACTGCAGGACATGCTAAGTCATCTGTCTCAAGTTCAAAGTTCCACAGGGCAGGGGCAAAATTCCTTCAGTCTCTTTGCTAAAGCATAGCAAGGGTCTCCTTTACTCCAATTCCTAGCAAGTTTCTTATCTCCATCTGAGACCACCTCAGCCTGGACTTGATTATGCATATCACTATCAGCATTTTGGTGAAAGCCATTCAACAAGTCTCTAGGAAGTTCCAGACTTTCCCATATCTTCCTATCTTCTTCTGAGTCCTCCAAACTGTTCTACCCTCTTCCTGTTACCCAGTTCCAAGGTTGCTTCCACATTTTCAGGTTATCTTTATAGCAGTGCCCCACGCCTGATACTAATTTTCTCTATTAGTCCGTTTTCACACTGCTGTAAAAAATACCTGAGACTGGGTAATTTATAAAGAAAAAAGGATTAATTGACTCACAGTTCCAAAAAACTGGGGAGGCCTCAGGAAACTTACAATCTTGGTGAAAGGCAAAGGGAAAGCAAGGCACGTCTTACATGGCGGCAGGGGAGAGAGAGAGGGAGAGAGAAAGAAAGCAGGGAACTGCCAAACACTTTTAAAACATTAGATCTCAGGCTGGGTGTGGTGGCTCACACCTATAATCCCAGCACTTTGGGAGGCCAAGGTAGCACAGGAATTAAAAGAAATTAAAAAATGTGTAAGCAAAAACTCAGCTGTATGTAAGAAAAAACCAATTCCCCCTGAGGAAGAAAAAGAGCTAAAGTCCTTTAAAAATTGACTGCCTGTTTTTCTGTGGCTAGTGAGCCTTATCTCTCCCTTTCCCAGGCATCGTGAAGACCCTGTTTCTCTAGCTGTGCAGCTGCAAGGTCACTAAACAGATAATCTCAAGTCATAACACAAGTTGTTCCTTAAAAAGTAAGAAATAATGTAATGCATGTCTTGACTGAATAACTATCTTTGTTTCTCGCTTCTGTAATATGCTTCCCCCAGCACAAATCTCCCCCCATCCCACAAAATGCTTAAAAGGTAACCGGACTCTTTGTTCAAGCCTCAGTCCTTTGGATGTGAATCCCACTGGGTCAGTGCACCTAAATAATTAAATAATTCCACCTTAACCCCTCGGTCTCTCTGATTCCTTAATTATCCCACTGCAGAGGTGGGTGGATCACCTGAGGTCAGGAGTTCGAGACCAGCTTGGCCAACATGGTGAGGCCCCGTCTCTACTAAAAATACAAAAATTAACCGGGCATGGTGGCGTGCACCTGTAATCCCCGCTACTAGAGGGGCTGAGGCAGGAATTGCTTGAATCCAGGAGGCGGAGGTTGTGGTGAGCAGAGATTGCGCGACTGCTCTCTAGCTTGGGCAACAAGAATGAAACTCCGTCTCAAAAAAACAAAACAAAACAAAACAAACAAACAAGAAAAACATCAGACCTCGTGAGAACTCACTCAGTTTCACCAGAACAGCATGGTGGAAACCACCCCCATGATCCAATCACTTCCTACCAGGTCCTTCCCTTGACATGTGGAGATTACAATTCCAGATGAGATTTGAGTGAAATAGAGCCAAACCGTCTCAATTGCACCCCGGATGTGCTGACCCCTGTGATTTCCCCAAGTGTGGGACACTCGCCTGCATAATTTGTGGTAGTGGGGGACTGCATTCATACCTTCCCCTGAAAACAATAAAATAAAATAAAATAAAAGTTGCTTAAATAGAATCAGGTGCCTGTCTCCAGGCTTCTCTGACAGGCGGGAACAGGGAGGCGGGGGGCCCAATAGTGACAGCAGAGACCGTGGCTCTGATGGACCTACCCACATTCCAGATGTGGAAAAGCAAGGCCAGGCCCCTGACTTTCTTATTGATAATGTGCATGGGTCTCCATGCCCTGGTGGGTTGGTTGAGGACTAGAGGATTTCAGCCTGGCGTGTCCTTGATTACAGAGCCGGAAGCACAGAACCGCTCCCTGATCGCCACCCCTGGGCCCCCGGCCTGAGGGGACTTTGGCCCTGCATCTTTCTTGTCATGACTCCCTCTTCTGTCCTCATCCCCCGGGCAGGGCTGGGGCCGCAAAATCTCCTTGGTTTTCTCCCAAGATCAAGGGCCCCAGGGGCTGGGGCAGAGCGGACTCAGGAGTCCCCCACTAGGCCCTGGTTTCAGGGGAGAGGCAAGAAGGCAGAGGTCAAATCTCTGGGCCTGAGGCCTCAGCACCCTGCAGTTGCAGAGCCTAGGGCGGCCAGGAGGAACAGCTGGGAGGGCACTTCTCACCATTTCTGAGGCCACGCTCAACGGGCCTGGCAGAGGCTCCCGTCTTCCTCCACTTCGTGCCTCCGCTGACTCACACAGACCACCCTCCCCCATTCAGGGGAGGCTTGGCAGCCAGCAGCAGCCGGTGAGATAAAGATGGGGCTGGGGGCCCTGTCCTGTTCTGTTCCGTCCTTTCCTGGGGTTCCATGACTCCTGCCTTTGGGCTGAGCAGGAAGGAGGAAGGGGAAATGGGCCACAGCCTGGGGAGGAGCAAACACCCACAGGGGAGGCTCCCTGAGCAGCTCTCCTAGGGCTGAGCCCACGGTCTGGGAGGGACACTGGGGTGTGCTCGAGGGTGTGGGGGGCTTGGGGACCAGGAACATTGCTGGGGGTCAGTATGCCCCTCCCTGGTCTGCCCGTTTGGAGCATTGGATGCACTCTTGAGTTTTGGAGCACGCACTCCTTGGCGCAGCCTAGTGTCCAGCAGGGGAAACAGCTGGACAGCGACCCCGACAGTCACCTTTGGTGGCCCTGGTCACCCTGAGGGGCCCTGCTTGCTTCCAGCCCCTGTCCCAGCAGCTCCTGCAGGACTGAGGGAGGTGACCAGTGGGAAGGAATGATGTCACCAGGCTCTCTGGGCCCTGCTGCCCCCAGCCTTCCTGAGGAAGGAGGCAGCTGGATCCGGACTTCTCTCTGCAGAGCCTCAAAGAGCCCCGCAGGCTTTCCTCCTTCGCATCCTGCAGAAACCTCTGATGTCCCTTTATCCTGGAAGGACTGTCTCTGGCCTGAGACCCCAGCTCTGAGGGGCCGCCCATGGCTCGACCCTGGTCCCGCCTCTCCTTACCCCGGGCCACATGCTGGGATCTACCCTCTGCCACTGCTCAAGTTCTTTTTTGTTTTGTTTTGTTTTTCTGAGACAGAGTTTCACTCTGTCCCCAGGGGCTCTGTCACCCCCAGCCTGGACAGCAGTCTCCGCCTTCTAGCTGCCGTCCCTGGCCTTGCCTCTCTCAATCTATTTCCATGCAGTAGCCAAAGCTGAAGTGATTTTATTACTAGAAAAGAAATCCCTCCCTGCCTGAGCCCTCTGCAGGTCTCCCATTGCACATGAGCCCAGGGCTGGCGTGTCAGCCCTCAGTCATTGGGAACTGTTGTGTCCCCCTCCGGGACAGATGCTGTCCAGCTGCATCTGGGGCTCCTCCCTTCCCCAGGCCTGGCTTCCTGATACTCCCTCTGCCAGGGCCGCCCCTCCCACATCCTTCCCAGGCCACCTTCCCCTTATTCCCCTCAATAACCCAGCACCTTCCCTGGCACACAGTAGGCACTCAATACATCAGGAGGGCTTCCCGTGCTTCAAATGTGGCCTCTCCCAACTCCTCACCCTCCATCTCTCAGTTGACTGATCCCTCCTCCTTGAAATGTCCTTTCCTGGGGTCCACAAGAGGAATTTCTCCTGCAACATCTGGTGACATAGTCTCGCTCTGTTGCCCAGGCTGGAGTGCAATGGCATGATCTAGGCTCACTGCAACCTCTGCCTCCCGTGTTCAAGGAATTCTCCTGTCTCAGTCTCCCAGGATGCTGGGACTACAGGCAGACACCACCACGCCCGGCTAATTTTGGTATTTTTTGTAGAGACAGGGGTTTCACCATGTCGGTCAGGCTGGTCTTGAACTCCTGACCTCAGGTGATCCACCCGCCTCGGCCTCTCAAAGTGCTGGGAGCATGGGCACCATGCCCAGACAACTTAAGGAGTCTTATGTGACAAGTGAGTACTTACCGCACAGCACAGATCAAGGGTAGACTCCAGAGGAGAAAACATTCCAGGGTCAGATTCCTTGGCTCTCCCCACAGCTGGCTGTGAAGGCTGACATCTCCCCCTTCTCCCTCATTCTGGGTGGCGACACTCTCCCCCCACCTGCTCCCAGTCAGCCTGCTCCAGAAGGTGCAGCTGTGTCCCTGTGCCCCAGAGGGAAAGCTGACAGTTCGAATTTTGGTGGGCTTGTAAAGAAATAAAGAGGGGCCATTTTGGAGAAGGCCATTTTACTTCGGGCGTTTTAATTACATAGCTGAGGCCAGAAAGCAATGCCTCGGCCAGGGAAGGACAGCTGTGAAAGTGGAAGGAGAGGGAAGTGGGGTGTGGTGGGAAGGGACATTCCTGCAGGCCTCCGCTGTGGAGGACCCCGGGTAGGTGGCGCAGGGCGCGGCTGGCGGAAGGCGGGCCAAGCTAGTACAGCGTCTCGCGGGCGTGGGTGCGCAGGTGGCGCAGCAGGTGGGAGTTGCGGCTGAAGCTGCGGCCACACTGCGTGCAGGAGTAGGGCCTGGCGCCCGTGTGCACCAGCAGGTGTCGCAGCAGATTGCAGCTGCGGCTGAAGCTCTTCCCGCACTCCACGCACTCCTGCGGGGGCTCGGCCTGCTCCTGCCCGGGCTCCGCATGGGTAGCCAGGTGCCGCCGCAGATGCGCGTTGCGCCGGAAGCTGCGACCGCACGTCTGACAGCTGTAGGGCCGCTCGCCCGTGTGGCTGCGGCGATGGCGGGCCAGGTTGGAGCTATTGCGGAAACGGTGGCCGCAGGTGTCGCAGGCGTGGGGCTTCTCCCCTGTGTGGATGCGCTGGTGGCGCGCCAGGTGGGCGCTCTGGCTGAAGCCCTCACCGCACTCGCTGCAGCGGCAGGGCTTCTCGCCCGTGTGGCTGCGCTGGTGGCGGGCCAGATCCTGGGTCTGGCCGAAACTCTTCCCGCACTGGGTGCAGTGGTGGGGCCGAGGGCCACCGTGGGTCAGCAGGTGGCGGGCAAGGCTGGCCCGGCGCACAAAGCGCTTCCCGCACTGCGGACAGGCGTAGGGCTTCTCGCCCGTGTGCACCCGTTGGTGGCTGACCAGCTGCGAGCTCTGCGTGAAGCTGCGGCCGCAAGCCTGGCAGGAGAAGGGCCGCTCGCCCGTGTGCACCCTCCGGTGGGCCACCAGGTGCTCGCTGCGCCGGAAGGCCTTGCCGCAGTCGCTGCACACGAAGGGCCTCCGGTCGGAGTCCCGGCGGCGGCTGCCGGAGCCTTCGGAGGACCGGCGGTCCTTGTCCCTGGCGTGGATCCGCAGGTGGCGCTTGAGGCTGGAGCGGCGCTGGAAGCTCTGGCCGCAGTGGGAGCACAGGACATCGGTCAGTGGCGGCGCTTCGGCCTTACTCTCAGGAGCGCAGGGCGGCTTCTGGTCCTGGGCGTGCGCCAGCAGGTGCTGCACAAGGCTGGCGCGGCGCTGGAAGCCGCGGCCGCACTCTGCGCACAGGAAGGCGGGTTCGGAGGAGTGGGTCAGCAGGTGCTTGCTCAGGTGCGAGCTCTGGCGGAAGCGGTGGCCGCACAGGTGGCAGGCGTGCGGCCGCTCGTCCGTGTGAGTGCGCATGTGCAGCTTGAGAATGGAGCTGCGGCCGAAGCTCTTCCCGCAGCAAAGGCACAGGAAGGAGCGCCCAGCCGGGTGCGAGCGCAGCTGGTGCGCCTTCAGGCGAGACAGCTGCGGGAAGCTCACCCCGCAGTCCGCGCAGATGAACTGCAACTCCGGATTGGGCTCGGGGACGCCCTCAGCCACTTTGACCTCCAAAATTTCACTGCTGCCAAGAAGGGACCCATCTTCACCAGGGCCGCTAGCCGCAGCGCCCCGTCCGAGCGACTGGGCGCAAGGCTCTCCCGGCACCCCAGGACTATCTGCCTGGGACTCTGCTAAGATGGGAGTGGGCCAGGCAGCCCCTTTGGGCTCTTCTTGTTTAAATTCCTCCTTGTCTGGGGTTCTGCTTCCGAATCCTGGGAAACAAGACAAAACAGGGACGGTCAGGCCTATTCCCAGGGCCACTATCAATCACCAGAACCTGATTGGCCTGGAAGTGGAAAGAAACCCAGGATCCTGCAAAGCTGGTAGGTAAAAGGCCGGGCACAGTGGTTCACGCCTGTAATTTCAGCACTTTGGGAGCCCGAGGCGGGCGGATCACTTGAAGTCAGGAGTGAGTTCAAGACCACCCTGGCCAACATGGTGAAGCCCCGTCTCTACAAAAAAAAAAAAAAAAAACCAAAACAAAAATTAGCTGGGTGTAGTGGCGCATGCCTGTGGTCCCAGCTACTCGGGAGGCTGAGGCAGGAGAATCGATTGAACCCGGGAGGCGGAGGTTGCAGTGAGCGGAGATGGTTCCACTGCACTCCAGCCTAGGCAACACAGTGAGACTCTGTCTGAAAACAAACAAACAAACAAAAAAACCTGGTAGGTTGGTAGAGAGGGTGGAGGTCAAACAAGGGTGCCCTTTTATTTGACCTCTCTACAAAAAGTTAGCTGGGCGTGGTGGCACACACCTATAGTCCCAGCTACTCGGGAGGCTGAGGTGGGAGGATTACCTGAGCCCAGGAGGTCCCGGCTGCAGTGAGCCATGATTGTGCCACAGTCTGGGCGAGTAACATCCTGTTTCAAAAAACAAAAAGGCCAAAAAGTCAGGTAGGGTCTGGAGCTTCAGGCAAAGAAAGAGGTGTTGGCCGGTCACGGTGGCTCATGCCTGTAATCCTAGTACTTTGGGAGGCTGAGGTGGGAGGATCACTTGAGCCCAGGAGTGGAGACTAGCCTGGGCAACATAGCGAGATTCCATCTCTTTAAAAAAGACAAGAAAAGAAAGAGGCATCAGTGGTCACTTCTCCAGGGAAGGGTTGCTTACCCAGGGGGTGTGCAGGCCACGCCTTATTCTCTGGCACATCCTCAAAGGTCAGGCACTCCTGTATCAAGAGCAGAAACCCTTGGTGAGTGAGGAACATGCCTCAGGAACCTGTGGGGACTGAAATGCTTCCTAGGACTGAATCAGGGAAGGTATGGATTTGCTAAAACTACAGGGTAGAGAAGTTCCTGGGGCTTGAGGACACCCTGGGGTGCGGCCCAGCTCACCAGCACAGCCGCCAGCTCCTGATCTCGGGAACTCTCCTCTGGCCATGGTGAGGGGCCCTGGGGACCTGACGGCATTGGGGAAGAGGGGAGGAAGTGCTGTTAGAAGGCAGCCCTGCCTGCCATATGGCTGCAAGGACACACACCGCATCATCCGGGCCCTGTGAAGACACCTTGGCGCTCTCCTGTCCTGGTCACCTGGGGAGGCCCCACTTCTCACCCCACCCCAGACATCCAGGCCCCTCCGCGACACCCAGTCCTTGGCCTCCTAGGGCACAAGCTCCTCACTGCTTTCTTGCAGGGCCTGGAATGTCTTCTGGGGCCCCGGGCTCAGCGGCTGCTTTGAACTTGGGGGAAGCCTCCACTGTCCCGGCTCAGCAGGCTGGGCAGCCCTTGGCTGGGGTCGGGGAGGCTCATCCGATGGGCCCAGCACTGAAGGCTCTTCCGCAGGCAATTCCTTCTTGGGGCTGTGGCTGGGGACCTGGGAAGCACACCCCTTTTCCTCCAAGGTGACGTCTGCACGGGGACAACTCTTGCCAGCATTACAACTAAAATCCTGTTCAAAACACATTCAAGTTAAGTGACTCCCGGGGTGGCAACCTGTGTCCTGACTCCGAGGGGACATGGGACAGAAACGAGGTTAGAGTCAGCCAGGGGAGGAGTTAGGAGGTGAAGAAGGAATGGTCAGGTGGGGGAAAGTGAAGTTTCCAGAGATTCCTCACTGGGGGGATCAAGTCCCCATCATCCGCATGCTGCTCAGCCCGCTGCCCCACCCTCTCACCAGCGGCCCCGCGTGGCTGGGCTCCCGGTGGATGCCCTCGAGCAGCAGCACCACCTCCTCCCCATCCCTGAGCGGCTGCCCCTGCAGGCGGCCCAGGAGGTGCGGAGGCAGCACACTCAGGAACTGCTCCAGCACCAGCAGCTCCAGGATCTGTTTCTTGGTGTGCAGAGCCGGCCGCAGCCAGTGGCCGCAGAGCTCCCGGAGCCGGCTCAGGGACGCCCGTGGCCCCATGTCCTCCTGATACTGGAAGCATCTGAACAGCTGGTGAGCCACCTCGGGCCTCAGCCTGGACTCTGGTCGCCTGGGGTCCTCTGGGCTGACAGCCTCCTCCTCCTCCAGCTTGACTTCCCCCAGCTGCTCCTGCTCCACGGCAGCTGGGACTGATTCTCCAAGCATCCTTCACTGCGGGGATGCCTCCCTAACGCCAGCCCCGCTCTTGGGTCTCTCTCCTCTCCTCCCACACCTGCGAAGGTGAACACCCTGGGTTAGGATCTGCTGCGAGGAAGCTGGCCCCATACCTGGGTCATCCATGTTAAAAGACACCCAATACGCAGACCCAGAGGAATCGCTTTTCTCACTGGGTAATGGCTCACGAGGGCAGGACAGCCCCCGGTCTCAGGGTTACCAACAAAGCAAAGGCCAGAGAAAACTGACAGTTCTGTATTATCATCCCTCCTTAAAGCATTTAGAGATTTACATCACTTGGCCGGGCACAGTGGCTCACACCTGTAATCCGAGCACTTTGGGAGGCCGAGGCGGGTGGATCACGAGGTCAGGATATCGAGACCATCCTGGCTAACGCGGTGAAATCCCGTCTCTACTAAAAATACAAAACAATTAGCCAGGCTAATTTAGTCCCAGCTGCTGGGGAGGCTGAGGCATGAGAATGGTGTGAACCTGGGAGGCGGAGCTTACAGTGAGCCGAGATCGCGCCACTGCACTCCAGCCTGGGTGACAGAGCGAGACTCAGATCAAAAAAAAAAAAAAAAGAAATTTGCATCACTTTTCCCAAGTGATTAAAGTGACCATCCCTGAAAGAGAAACACCCTGCCCTTCCCTTCTTCCTGATGTAGCCACTGGGAGCACATGGCACCATCAAGATGGATCCTGGCCAAAAAAGTTTGTTTTTTAAAGCTTTTTTTTTTCTTTTTTTTTTTGAGATGGAGTCTTGCTATATCACCCAGACTGGAGTGCAGTGGCATGATCTCAGCTCTCTGCAGCCTCCACCTCCCAGGTTCAAGCGATTCTCATTCCTCAGCCTGGGTTTACAGTAGCTGGGATTACAGGCCTGTGGCAGCACGCCCAGCTAATTTTTGCATTTTTAGTAGACACAAGAGTTTCACCATGTTGGCTGGGCTGGTCTTGAACTCCTGACCTCAAGTGATCAGCCCACCTCAGTCTCCCAAATTGCTGAGATTAAGGCGTGAACCACTGCACCAAGCCTGTTTTTTAAATTTTTAATTTAATTAAGTAATTTATTTATTTTTTTGAGACAGGGTCTCACTCTGTCACGCAGGCTGCAGTGCAGTGGCGCAATCACGGCTCACTGCAGCCTTGATCTGCTGGGCTCAAGTGATCCTCCCGCGTCAGCCTCCCGAGTAGCTGGGACTACAGGTGCATATCACCATGCTGGGTTAATTTTATTTATTTTTTGTAGACACGAGTTCTCATTATGTTGCCCAGGCTGGTCTCAAACTCCTGGGCTCAAGTGATCCACCTGCCTCAGCCTCTCAAAGTGCTGGAATTACAGGCGTGAGCCACTGTGCCTAGCCCAAAAATACCTAATCTCAATCCAACCAGCCTTTATTTATTTATTTATTTGAGATGGAGTTTCACTCTTGTTGCCCAGGATGGAGTGCAATGGCAAGATCTCGGCTCACCGCAACCTCCGCCTCGCGGGTTCCGGTGATTCTCGTCCGTCAGCTTCGTGAGTAGCTGGGATTACAAGCACGCGCCACCGCATGCCGCTAATTTTGTATTTTTAGTAGAGATGGGGTTTCACCATGTTGGCCAGGCTGCTCTCAAACTCTTAACCTCAGGTGATCCGCCCGCTTCGGTCTCCCAAAGTACTGGGATTACAGGCATGAACCACCCCGCCCGACCTAATGGTGGCCTTTAGATCCAACTTCCAATGTTTAGGGCCTTGCAGGGAATATGGAACAAGTCAGACCATCTCTCAAAGAAATTGGCCTGAGTTACTCAGTGTCATAAAAAGTAAGTGCCTGTAGGAGGCGCTGGTGGACAGGAGCCCAAAGAGTCCTCACAACTAAGTGGGTGAACCTAGATTGGATCCTCATTCATTTTTCTTAAAGGCTTTAAAAGACATCCTGGGGCCAGTCGGAAAATGGTGAGTATGGTGGGGATACTAGATGATAACAGTATGACTACCCATTTCTGAGATGAAAGTCTAGTCTTGTAATATATAGGAAATGGCTGAGTTCTTAGAAGACGCTGAAGAGTTTGGAGAAGGGGCCTGATATATGAGATACATATATGAATGTTCATTTCACTGCTCTTTCAAGTTCTCTGGATGTTTTCGAATTTTCAAAATGAAAGGTTAGCGGGGCTGGCTCACGCCTGTTATCCCAGCACTTTGGGAGGCTGAGGCAGGAGGATCACTTGAGCCTCAGGAGTTCAAGACCAGCCCTGGGCAACATGGCACGACCCCCGTCTCTAAAAAAATTAAAAATGTAGGGCAGGGTGTGGTGGCTCACACCTGTAATCCCAGCACTTTGGGAGGCTGACGCAGGCAGATCACAAGGTCAGGAGATCGAGACCATCCTGTCTAACATGGTGAAACCCCGTCTCTACTAAAAATACAAAAAATTAGCCACGGGTGGTGGCGGGCACCTGTAGTCCCAGCTACTCGGGAGGCTGAGGCAGGAGAGTGGCGTGAACCCCGGAGGCGGAGCTTGCAGTGAGCCGAGATCATGCCACTGCACTCCAGCCTGGGCGACAGCGAGACTCCGTCTCAAAAAAAAAAAAAATTAAAAATTTAGCCAGTTGCTGGGGGCACTGAGTGGCTGACGCCTGTAATCCCAGCACTTTGGGAGGCCGAGGGTGGATCACCAGGTCAGGAGATCGAGACCATCCTGGTTAACACGGTGAAACCCCGTCTCTAATAAAAATAAAAAAAATCAGTCGGGCGCAGTGGCGGGTGCCTGTGGTCCCAGCTACTCAGGAGGCTGAGGCAGGAGAATGGCGTGAAACAGGGAGGTAGAGCTTGCAATGAGCCAAGATCGCGCCACTGCACTCCAGCCTGGGCGACAGAGCCAGACTCCATCTCAAAAAAAAAAAAAAAAAATTTAGCCAGTCATGGTTGTGTATACCTGTGGTCCTAGCTACCTGGGAGGCTGAGGTGGGAAGATTGCTTGATCCCAGGAGGTTGAGGCTGCAGTGCAGTGAGCTGTGACTGCAACATTGCACTCCAGCCTAGGCGACAGTGCCAGCCCGTCTCAAAAAATAAAAAATATAAAATAAGTCATCTATAGCCACCAGGAGGCACTGACATCCTCCCCCAACCTCCTCCCAATCTAGGGCTGTGGGGCTTCCCCTTCCTGGTCTGGTAGCCCAGTACTACCCATGGGGAACCTCCGAAATTTCGGCCCCACCCACAGGGGACTCAGTTCAGCCCTGCTCAACTAATTGAGGCTGGATGATTTAAGCTTTTCTGAGCAGAGCAGAGCAGGCTCATATTTTTGTTTGAGTCTCTTTTACATTTTATTTCAGGCAGGGGTCATTTTATAGACATGGAAATCCAGGCTCCTGCCCTCTGCTTTCTGCCCTTCCTGTTCTCTAGCCTCAGGGCTACAAGTGAACCTCTCCTAGAGCCTCCCACCCTCCACTCCCAGTTGGCACCCCAGGTAGGGGGATGTGAAGAAAGCCTGAAGCACCACTCCACTCACCTGAATGGCACAGGGCACTGTCCAGCATGCAGTGGCTGGCACACAGTAGGCATCCATGAGCACGAGCTATTACTGTTCTCATTGCTGCTGATTACAACACCAAGCACCGCAGCAAACAGTGACTCACAGTTCTGTTGGGCCCATCACTGACCCATTCTACAGCCGAGGACACTAAGGCTCAGCAAAAAGGTAACCCAGTGGCCGAGTGCAGTGGCTCAGGCCTGTAATCCCAGCAGTGTGGGTGGCCGAGGTGGATGGATCACCTGAGGTCAGGAGTTCGAGACCAGCCTGATCAATATGGTGAAACCCTTGTCTCTACTAAAATTACAAAAATTAGCCGGACGTGATGGCATGCGCCTGTAGTCCCAGCTACTCAGGAGGCTGAGAGAGGAGAATTGCTTGAACCTGGGAGGCGGAGGTTGCAGTGAGACGAGATCGTGCCACTGCACTCCAGCCTGGGCGACAGAATTAGACTCTGCCTCAAAAAAAAAAAAAAAAAAATTATCCGGGCATGGTGGCATGCATCTGTGGTCCCAGCTGTTCGGGAGACTGAGGCAGGAGAATCTCTTGAACCCAGGAGGCAGAGGTTGCAGTGAGCTGAGATTGCATCACTACACTCCAGCTTGGGCAACAGAATGAGAATCTGTCTCAAAAAAAAAAAAAAGTAACTCAGCCTTGGGCAGCCTCTCCCTGGTAACGATGGCCTAGTTGAGAGCCTTGGACAGTTTGCTGTACCCCCTTAATATGAGCCTGAGGGTTCCCTGAACCTCCTCAGGTGGGGTGGTGTTGTGGTACAGAATGGGGGATTTTAAGCTTAGCCGCTGAGAAGGAGGGGAGGTGATTCTAGAACATGACCCATCTCTCCCAACCTCCCTGCAACACACAGTATCTTCCAAGCCCCTCACCCCTACCCCGGCTCCCCTGCATCTCCCAACCTCAGCCACCTGGGGAAGGACTCTGACAAAATGGAACGGGAAGTTCCCTGCCCCAGTCCCATCCCATCCAGGTGTTGAGGGGCTTCCTAGCGTTAACCCTCAAGCTCCCAGTTTGGGAGGTGGATGGGGACAGGGTGGGGCCAGATAAGCGAAGACAAAGTGAGAAATCCAGATTTCAACCCCTGCATGTGTGAGAGTGTAACCACCCCCGAGCCGGAACTACGCTTTCCTGCCCTCTGGCATCCACTCCAGGCAGCCCCCATCCTCCCACCCCATCTCTCCCCACTAGGGCGATGGAGTGCCTCAATCACAGATGAGCGTATTTCTCTGCCTGGCCTGGGAGTAGGAGCTGTGTCTAGTTCAATGAGTGTTCATCCAGCACTTGAAGTTGCTTCAGTGTCTGTTAGCAGAAATTAGGGAATGGCAGTGATTCTGGCCATCTCGAAGGAAAGCATGTAACAACGTCTAGGACAGAAAAAGTCTGTGATAAATGATCAGAAAAATGGTGTTGTGAGGCCGGATGCGGTGGCTCATGCTTATAATCCCAGCATTTTGGGTGGCCAAGGCAGAAGGATTGCTTGAACCTGGGGGGTCAAAGCTGCAGTGAGCCATGTTCGCGCCACTGCACACCAGCCTGGATAAAAGGCGAAGACCCTGTCTCAAAAAAAAAAAAAAAAAAAAGAAAGAAAGAAAGAAAAGAAAAGAAAAGAAAAAAAAAGAGTGGGGGAGGGGGAAGAAAATGGGATTACGTTTCACTGGTTTTTAGTAGCATGCACAAAATAACAAGAAAACTAATCACTGCTCATCCATTGCCGTGCAGGAGCAGCGGGCAGGTACTGAGTGTCTGGCGATTAAGCTCATTTCATCCCAGTCCAGCCCACGCACGAAACAATCACTTCTCCCTTTGCCAAGTGCAAAGACCAAGCTTTGCACTTGGTGACATGCTCAGGGTCACACCAGGTGGAGCCAAGGTTTGCTTTAGGCTGAGAGTGTAGGTCTAGAACACAGTGCCAAAGCTCTGAAACAGAAAAGGAACTGATCTCCATCCTGCTCTGTGCCATTTTCCTAGCCTTAGCCGAAATATCACAGCATGAAACAGAAAAAAAATGAAGATTCCAAATTTCAGCTCTCAGGGCAAGCCACACAGGGAGGCCGGAATCTCCAGGTGAGATCTCTCCAAAAGGTTTCAAAGAGGTGGAATTCGAGACAAGTTGGCTTCAGAGAATCTCTCCCTCCCCCCAGATCTCCAGGACAAAAGCTCTGTTAATATGCACCTCTGTTGGGGGTGGGCTGGGTAGGGAGGCAGGCAGAGGCTCTACAGCCACCATCCAACATTTGAGCAGCTTAATTTGGAGCCCGGGGTGGAGGTGCTGCCACGAGACCCACCCAGGTCACCTGAGAGCCCAGAGTTGGGGAAGGCGGCAAAGGTGGGGTCCTCAGCCGGGAACACTCCCTTTCTCCCTGGACACAGTTGGCAGCTGCCTGATTTGTTGTTTGTTGGAGGGGCCTCCCTCCGCGTGCTGGGCTGAGTGGACAAGGCCCATCAGTCCACCTGGGAGCACGTGAAGCCAGCCTTCTTCAATGTCACAGGAAGTTCTGCGATCTCCCTCGTCCCCAACGCCCCCATCGCGACAGGTCCACCAAGCTGGCTGGCACGAGGCTCCCCAGCAGACCCTCTACATCCTCCCAAGACTCTTCCAGCCCCCACCCCAGCACCAAGGCCTGGAGCCTCCCCTGCTCTCTCCAAGCTGCTGCGAGCTCCTAGCACCCGTCCTGGCAGCCTGCACCCCGACCTCCCTCCAACTCACCACTCGGAGTCCCCACTACACAGGCAGAGATGCTGGGGGGTTTTCTGAGGACTCCAGGGCCAAAGCCAGCCTCCGCCAGCCTGGGGAAGGGCTCTGGGAAAATGGAACAGGAAGTTCCTTGCCCCAGTCCCATCCCATCCAGGTGATGAGGGGCTTCCTAGAGTTAACCCTTAAGCTCCCAGTTTGGGAGCGGGATGGGAAGAGGGCGGGGCCAGTGACATGAAGACAAAGTGAGAAATCCAGATTTCAATCCCAGCCTGTGTGAGAGTGTAACCACCTCCCAAATCAAGACTGGCCTGGTGCCCCTTGCAGGTCTGCCCGTCTTTCCTTTGGGCTAAGAGCTGCCATTTTTAAATGCCCACAGTGTGCTGGCTTCTTTGCTAGGCTTTTCATTCACGTGACTACTCTTTGCAATGGCCTCCTGTGTGCCAGGCACTGTTACAAAGCAGGGGCTAAGGACACAGAGAGAAACTGAAGGAATGAGGCCCTGCTCTCAGGGGCTTACATTCTAGGGCAAAGGAGCAGCGACGGTGCTAGGAAAAAATGGAAGAGGAGGATGTGATGGGGCAGAGTTTGCTCCATCTACACGGTCACCTAAAGTCCTCCCAAGTCCTGCCAGGTGGCTTTTGTCCCAACTTTACCGATGACGAAGCAAGGGCTCCCCGGGAGGGAAGTGACCTAACCAACAGCGTTTGGCCCCAAACTAATTCCATCCCTGTGCTTAAGGTGCCTTCTTGGGTTGTGCCCTTGGCTGCAGCTGGTGCCTTCCTGAGCGTTCTGAGCCCCCGGGGAGCCAGGACCACCTCTCAGGTGTTGGCCGTTCCCCCGGCCTAGACCCCTCGGTCCGTTGGGGCCAGGACCCTCCTGACTGGCTCATCTGACGGGTCTTTGTTTTCCTGCACTTAACACCTGAGCTCATCCTGTTCCTACTTCAGTTGTCTAGTGCTCCCTTCGTACGACGGTCTTTCTCCTTGGTCTGCTCTGCATTCCCCGCGTCCCGCGCCTCGCTCTCCCAGTCGCGGGCTCCTCCCACTCCATAGTTTGTTCAGGGGCGGGGCCAGAAAACCCCGCCCCCAGGGAAGTGGGCCTGAAGGCCAAGGGGCGGGGCGGGGTTCTGTAGGGACGGAGGGGGCGTGTCCGGGGCGGGGCGGGGTGCTGTAGCGCCGGAGCGGGTGTGGCCTTGGCGGGACCAGGCAGCCATTACAGTCTCGGAAGCGAGAGGCGTGGGGCCTGTCTCATCATGCCCGGTTCATTTTTTTTTTTTTTTTTTTTTTTGTAGAGATGGGGTTTCATCATTTTGGCCAGGCTAGTCTTGAACTCCTGAACTCAGGTGATCCACCTGCCTTGGCCTCCCAAAGTGCTGGGATTACAGGCATGAGCCACCGCACTCAGCCTCTTTAATCACCTGAGGTCAGGAGTTCAAGACTAGCCTGGACAACATGGTGAAACCCCATCTCTACTAAAAATTTTTGTTTCTTTTAAAATTGTAATTTTCCCAATTCCACTTATTTTATTTTATTAGAGACAAGGTCTTGCCATATCTCCCAGGCTGGACTCAAACTCCTGGGTTAAAGTGATCCTCCCATCTCGGTCTACCAAGGAGCTGGGACTACAGCTGGGACTCCATGCCATCGAGCGTTCTTTCCCTCTCGTTGCTGAATGATTTTCCTCATTACATCAGTTATTCATTCTGCTATGGGTAGCCCGTGGGCAGTTTTCAGTTTGGGGCTATCTCTAGTGGTTCTCATATGTCTCTGGTGACCATATATGGGACAGCAGTCTGAAGTAGGTGAAGAGCAGAGTGAGAGGTTAGGTTTATCTTTGGGAGGTAAGGACTGCACGTGTGTACTCCGAGGTCTGAGGCCACCGAGGAAGCCTCAGGGACTGGCCTCCGTGTAGAGCTGCTCTCACTGCCCTGGGCATTGGGGACAAGGCCAGGACAAGCAGGACCCCGTGCGTGTTTCCTCGAATGGCTTATGGTCGCTTCAGAAAGACACTGGGTGTTTGTTGGCGTTCGGGCTGCCAGGGCCATCGAATCCGGTTGTCTGCCAGGGTGTGCAGGGGGAGTGGCGCTTTTCAGGTGTAGGAACAGCTCTGGAAATAAACGAGGGATGGAAAAAGGAGACAGACTAGGCCCTCCACAGCCCAGCTGCATGTGTCCTTGGCGAAGTCACTTTTCATTTGAAAACCATCACTGCCTCCTCTGTAATGTGTGAACGATGATCCCACCTCCCAGATGTATTGCAGGAGAGGGTTGTAGAAGAGAAGGTTTGCAAAAGCACTGAGACCTGAAAGATAATAAACGTGTATGAATCCGTACCTGACGCTAGGGGGCGTTAAAGAGAGTGTGGTTCCCTACTGGGTTGGGGTCAACTGTGCGGAGTGGGACGGGGAACCTTTGGAGTAGTGTCCTTCAAGAGAAGTGTGGTGCCACCCACAGCCGCAATTTAAAATTTTCTGGTAGCCACCATTAAAGAGGTAAAAGGAAACAGATGCGATTAATTTTCTTTTTTTTTTTTTTTTGAGACGGAGTTTCGCTCTTGTTGCCCAGGCTGGAGTGCAATGGCCCGATCTCGGCTCACCACAACCTCCACCTCCTGGGTTCAAACAATTCTCCTACCTCAGCCTCCCGAGTAGCTGGGATTACAGGCGTGCACTACCACACCCGGCTAATTTTGTATTTTTAGTAGAGAAGGGGTTTCTCCATGTTGGTCAGGCTGGTCGCGAACTCCCAACCTCAGTTGATCCGCCCGCCTCGGCCTCCCAAAGCGCCGGGACTACAGGCATGAGCCACCGCGCCCGGCCAGCGATTAATTTTAATAATACGATTTAGTTAACTCGTTATATCCAAAATATTATTTCAACAAATACAGAAATTTGCTAATGAGAGGCTGCACATTCTTTTTTCTCATAAAAGTCTTCAAAATCCAGTGTGCATTTTACAGCGAGAGCACGTCTGAGCTCCGACTCGCCCCATTTAAAGCACTCAATAGCCTTTTGTGGCTTTGGGGCGGTTCTGGGACCTCAGAGTTGTGGTGTTTCCTGCGGGGAAAGACTATTGTGGCTGCTGGAGGGCGGAAGACGAATAACAATAGGCGGAGTGCAGGGCACTGGGTTGCCTTAGGACCTCGCCTTTCCCCTGGAGAACACAGCTGCTTCCTGAAATGATCAGGAACCTAAAACCTCTGCAGGGAAGAAGGGGAGATGGGAAGTGAGGAAGGAGCCCCGGGGGACACCGGGGAAGTGAGTAAATGGAGCCGGGGCAGCTTGATTTGCAGCAAATTTATGATTTTAAAGGCCCGGCAAGGTCAGGCACCGTGGATCACTCTTGTAATCCCAGCACTTTGAGAGGCCAAGGCAGGCGGATGACCTGAGGCCAGGAGATCAAGACCAGCCTGGCCAACATGGTGAAACCCCCGTCTCTACTAAAAATACAAAAATTAGCTGGGCGTGGTTGCGGGCGCCTGTAGTCCCAGCTACTCGGGAGGCTGAGGCAGGAGAATTGCTTGAACCCAGGAGGCGGAGATTACAGTGAGCTGAGATCGCACCACTGCACTCCAGCCTGGTGACACAGCGAGACTCCGTCTCAAGAAAAAAAAAAAAGAAAAAAAAAAAGGTCTACCCAGAAGGTAGGTCACTCCCAGTCAGCAGAATTTTTGTTGATTTGGGATTTGGGAGGGTGAGCACTTAGAACCACAGTCCAGGCCAGTGCAGTGGCTCACACCTCTAATCCCAGCACTTTGGGAGGCTGAGGTGGAAAGATCTCTTGAGCCTAGGAGTTTGAGACCAGCCTGAGCAACACAGTGAGATCCCGTCTCTACAAAAAATTTTAAAATTAGCTGCACATGGTGGTGCGTGCCTGTAGTCCCAGCTACTCAGGAGGCTGAGTCAGGAGGATCACTTGAGCACAGGTGGTTGAGGCTGCAGTGAGCCATGATCCCACCACTGCACTCCAGTCTGGAAGACAGAGCCAGACCCTGTCTCAAAAACAAACACACACACACACACAAACAAACAAACAAAAAAAAGAACCATGTTCCAGCTGCAAAGACTGAACAGTGCTAGGAAAGTATTTTGGTCCCTATACAGGCCACAGAAAAAGAGAGTGTTGAACCTACATCCATCGTTTGTCCTGGGGGTGGTCCCAGCATGGCTTGTTCAGGACCGTCTTGGCCCTGCTCTGAGACCCCTATAAGGAGTGAGGCCCTTCTAACTGGTTATGCATCTTAGTTTTCTTACTGCAAGGTGGTGCCAAAGCATATGATTCTGAATAACTCCCAGCATAAGCCAGGTGCAATGGCTCACATCTGTAGTCCCAGCTCCATGGCAGGCTGAGGCATTGGCTCACTTGAGCCCAGGAGTTGGAGGCCAGACTGAGCAACATATCAAGACTCTGTTTCTAAAAAGAAAAAACAAACATACAACATAAAATATTTGCATGTCAGTTCCTTCTCAAAGGACCTTGAACTTTCTGCTTTGTGATTCTCTCTGAAAGCTCTATTGCCAGTAGCAATCTTCAACGTGATTGCTTAAAGAGTGGCAATACATCGGTTTTTAGTATTTACATATTATTGATTCCAGCAAGACCTGCAGAGAGTTCCCTGTTTGGGGCATTCCCCTTTGCAAGTGCAGAATCGTGTACTGCAGGGAAAGCCAGGGCACTGGGCACCCCCAAGACATAATAGAGTTTCCACAGCGCCAACTGCTTGTAGGATGCTCATTTGGGCAATTCTGCTATTACTTAGAAATATACTATTAAGAAGGAAGTAGGGCTGGGTACAGTGGCCCACACCTGTAATCCCAGCACTTGGAGAGGCGGAAAAATCGCTTGAGCCCAGGAGTTTGAGACCAGCCTGGGCAACATAGTGAGACCTTGTCACTACAGAAATTTTTGAAAAATTAGCTGGGTGGCCGGGCGCAGTGGCTCACGCCTGTAATCCCATCAGTTTGGGAGGCCGAGGCGGGTGGATCACCTGAGGTCAGGAGTTCAAGACCAGCCTGGCCAACCTGGTGAAACCCCATCTCTACTAAAAATACAAAAATTAGCTGGGCGTGGTGGTGTGTGCCTGTAATCCCAGCTACTTGGGGGGCTGAGGCAGTAGAATCACTTGAACCTGGGAGGCAGAGGTTGCAGTGAGCCGAGACTGCACTACTGCACTCCAGCCTGGGTGACAGAGTGAGACTCCATTTCAAAATAATAATAATAAGAAGAATAAAATAAAAATAAATAAATGAAAACATGCCCCATCATTAACTTTTTTTTGTTTTGTTCAGCATTCCTGTCCTTCCGGGCACTACTAGATTCTCCAGGCTCATCTCTCACATTTCTTACCAGAGTCCTAGAATTGGCCATTTATCGAAGGAGCCCTGGTTCTCATCCTTAATTGGTTTCTTTAAAAAAAAAAAAAAAGTATAAAGCGTTTACAAAAACAGAATTTTATTTATTTAGAGACGGAGTTTTGCTCTTGTTGCCCAGGCTGGAGTGCAATGGCGTGATCTTGGCTCACTGCAACCTCTGCCTCCCGGATTCAAGCAATTCTCCTGCCTCATCCTCCGGAGTAGCTGGGATTACAGGCATGTGCCACGACGCCTGGCTAATTTTGTATTTTTTTTTTTTAATAGAGATGGGGTTTCTCCACGTTGGTCAGGCTGGTCTCAAACTCCTAAACTTAGATGATCTGCCCGCCTTGGCCTCCCAAAGTGCTGGGATTACAGGCATGAGCCACCGTGCCCGGCCACAAAAACACAATTTTTAAAAGAACGAGATGGAAGCATGGAAGTTCTACATTTTTGACACCCAATAGAGTGAGAAGAATGTGATAGGGATTCGTGGGAAAGAATGGAGAGGCCAGGGGTGGTGGCTCACGCCTGTAACTACAGGCATGCACCTGTAGTTCCAGCTACTGGGGAGGCCAAGGCTCGAGAATCACTTGAAACCAGGAGGCAGAGGTTGCAGTAGGCCAAGCTCGCACCACTGCTCTCCAGCCTGGGCGACAGAGTGAGACTCTGTCTCAAAACAAACAAACAAACAAATACCCATCTCTACTAATACAAAAATTAGCGGGCATGTTGGCATTTGCCTGTAGTCCCAGCTACTGGTGGGCTTAGGCAGAAGGATCACCTGAGCCTGGGAAGTCAAGGCTGCCATGAGCTGTGATCATGCCACTGCACTTCAGCCTGTCTCAAAACAAACAAACAGGCCGGACGTGGTGGCTCACGCTTGTAATCCCAGCATTTTGGGAGGCCAAGGTGGCCAGATCACGAGGTCAGGAGATCGAGACCATCCTGGCCAACATGGTGAAATCACATCTCTTCTAAAAATACAAAAATTATCCGGGTGTGGTGGCGCGTGCCTGCAGTCCCAGCTACTCGAGAGGCTGAGGCAGGAGAATCGCTTGAACCTGGGAGGCGGAGGCTGCAGTGAGCTGAGATTGGGCACTACACTCCAGCCTGGGCGACAGACCAAGACTCTGTCTGGAAAACAAAAGAAAACAAAACAAAAGAAGCACCTGGTGTTGTTGCCTAGGGATGCTCTTCCTGTCCTCCCGGGGTTTGTTCAAGACGGGAATAGGCTGTTTTTCCCAACTGTGAGAGGCAGGCTGCCCAGGCTGAGATTTGTGAGCCAGGTTTAGGCCAGAAGCCTGGGGCTGAGGACACTCCTGCGGGAGCGTGAGGATAGCCTCTCTTCCCGCCCTATTTGCAAGCTCAGATGTCTGTTCATTCACTAGAAAGCCACCAAGGCTCCATGGTAGTAGCTGTTGGGGTGGTTCCTGTTACTGCAAGGCAAGGGTGTCAAGACGTGGGTGGTGAGCAGAAGCCTGGTTAAGGAAATTGTAACAGACTCATACAAGAGAATGCTACCTAGTTTAAAAAAAAAAAAAAAGAGCAAGGCAACGATGCATTTTTTTTCTATTTTTCTCCTTTTCTCTATGTTTTTTATTTTGAACAATCTCTAAGATATATGTCACCCACACAGAGGGGGCAAGACCCAGGTAGACCATATAGTATAGTCCCATTTTTTAAACAAAACCAAACACCCAAAGCAGGGGAGTGTGAGGCCGACCCTCGGCCGGGGAGGCTGGACCCGGGCGCCCGGGCGGGGGTTGGCGCCTCATGGATCGGGATCCTCGCCCGGGAGGGTGGACTCTCCCTTCATTAAGACCCCCAGGTCCCAGGCATGGAGGAGGCCTCGGCGCTTCCCCGTGGAGGCCTTCGACCAGGCAGCCTCAGTTTCCCCACGGGCGAAAGCCGACTCGAGGGTGGGGTGCCCTCGCCCCGCCTGCTCCTCACGGCGATTGCCCCCGCGCCCCGGGCTGGACAGGTGGGGCGCCGCGAAAAGGCCCGGCAAGCCGGAAGTTGCAATGGGGCAGCCGGACGCAAAACGCGGGGACACCGGCCGGGGTCCGCCAAGCTAGGGTGAGCTGCCGATCGGGGACGCGAACGGGAGCGCGCAGGTGAGGGCGGCGGGGCGGGGCTGGGGCGGGGGCGGGGCCACTGAGGCTGCGGCCAATCACCGGCGCCTCCCGTGGGCGGGGCGGGGCCGTTGCTTGGGCGACAGGCTCCAGCGTCTGCGTTCTGTGAACCTAGCCGCTGGGCTGTGCGGACAGGTTCGCGTGGGGCTCCTGGGCCTCCCGCAGCCGCGTAGGTTTCGGGAACCGGGTCGCCTCCCTGCCTCCGGATTCTCACGCGCTGGTGTCCGGTGGCCCTGGGAAATCTTTTCTTTTAACAATGTGTATTCCTTGGGTCCTACCTATCTAACACTTCTGCTGGTTTCTTTTTCTTCTCTTTTAGAGTTCAATATTTGCTCTGCTCTTTTTTGTTGTTTGTTTGTTTGAGACGGAGTCTCACACTGTCGCCCTGGCTGGAGTGCGGTGGCGCGATCTCGGCTCACTGCAACCTCCGCCTCCCGGGTTCAAGCGATTCTCCTGCCTCAGCCTCCCAAGTAGCTAGGATTGCAGGCGCCCGCCAGAACGCCCAGCTAATTTTTGTATTTTTAGTAGAGATGGAGTTTCACTATGTTGGCCAGGCTGGTCTCAAACTCCTGACCTCGTGATCCGCCCGCCGCGGCCTCCCAAAGTGCTGGGATTACAGGTGTGAGCCACCGCGCCGACCTGCTCTGGTCTTTATTATTCTTATTTTTCTTTACCTTGCTCAGTTCCCTTGTTTTCCCCTATCGTCGTCTCCTTCCTTCCTTCCTAAGGCTGGCTACATCTCCCTGTCTCCAACCTGGCTTAGCCACCTTAATTAGCACCAATTATTTTGTTCTTACTTCAGATGGGTCTTTTTTTCCCTAGTTTTTGTTATTCCTTAAGTCTTGACTTAACTGTCAGGTCGATCTCTGAGAGCAGATCATGATTTATTTATTGAAGGAGGAGTCCTCTCCTTACTCAGGGTCAGTGAAGCCGCCAGCTACAGGAGTTGGCATTTATTATTTACCATGCTCGAAGCTCTGCTAAGCGGCTTTGTGCATTATAGTCAATTCTTTCTTTCCTTCCATTTTTTTTTTTTTTTTTTGAGACGGAGTTTAGCTCTTGTTGTTCAGGCTGGAGTGCAATGAATGGCACCATCTCGGCTCACCACAACCTCCGTCTCCTGGGTTCAAGCAATTCTCCTGCCTCAGCCTCCCGAGTAACTGGGATTACAGGCGTGCACCACCATGCCCGGCTAATTTTTGTATTTTTAGTAGAGACGCGGTTTCTCCATTTTGGTCAGGCTGGTCTCAAACTCCTGACCTCAGGTGATCCGCCCGCCTCGGCCTCCCAAAGTGCTGGGATTACAGGCGTGAGCCACTGTGCCTGGCCCCAATTATAGTCAATTCTTTTTTTTTTTTTTTTTTTTTTTGAGATGGAGTTTCACTCTTGTTGCCCAGGCTGGAGTGCAATGGCGTGATCTCGGCTCACCGCAACCTCTGCCTCCCAGGTTCAAGCGATTCTCCTGCCTCAGCCTCCCTAGTAGCTGGGATTACAGGCATGTGCCACCACACCCGGCTAATTTTGTATTTTTAGTAGAGATGGGGTTTCTCCATGTTGGTCAGGCTGGTCTCGAACTCCCTACCTCAGGTGATCCGCCAGCCTTGACCTCCCAAAGTGCTGGGATTACAGGCATGAGCCACCGCGCCCGGCCTATAGTCAGTTACTGAGAGGTAAGTACGTCCCTACACAGATGACCTGTGAGTTGAATGCAGACAGCAGGTGTGTTCTGCTGACTTGTATGGAATTCTTTTTTTTTTTTTTTTTTTTTTTTTGAGGCGGAGTCTGGCTCCGCCCCCCAGGCTGGAGTGCAGTGACGGTATCTCGGCTCACTGCAAGCTCCCCTTCCCGGGTTCACGCCATTCTCCTGCCTCATCCTCCGGAGTAGCTGGGACTACAGGCGCCCGCCACCACGCCCGGCTAATTTTTTTTGTATTTTTAGTAGAGACGGGGTTTCACAGTATTAGCCAGGATGGTCTCTATCTCCTGACCTCGTGATCCGCCCGTCTCCGCCTCCCAAAGTGCTGGGATTACAGGCGTGAGCCACCGCGCCCGGCTGGAATTCTTAAATTTTAAAACTTTGTCATCAATTTAAAAGTCAGGAGGTCACAGAGGAATCGAATTGTTTTTTGGCTTCTCTTCAAGGATTTCTCAAAGGCCTCTGAAGTCCCTTCTCCCTCCCGTCTTACTCCCAAGCCATTGGTCCCGTATGTAAGCTGGTGGCTGGAGGCATTTAAGTTTTTTGTTTTTAAATAGAGTTGGGGGCCGGGCGCAGTGGCTCAAGCCTGTAATCCCAGCACTTTGGGAGGCCGAGGCGGGTGGATCACGAGGTCAAGAGATCGAGACCAGGAGTTTGAGACCAGCCTGGCCAACATAGTGAAACTGCATCTCTACTAAACATACAAAAATTAGCTGGGCGTTGTGGCGGGCGCCTGTAGTCCCAGCTACTCAGGAGGCTGAGCCAGGAGAATGGCGTGAATCCGGGAGGCGGAGCTTGCAGTGAGCTGAGATTGTGCCACTGCACTCCAGCCTGGGCGACAGAGCAAGACTCCGTCTCAAAACAAATAAATAAATAAATAGAGTTGGGGTCTCATTATGTTGCTGAGGCTGGTCTGGAACTCCTGGGCTCAAGCCATCAGCTCACCTTGGCCTCCCAAAGTGCTGGGATTACAGGCACGAGGCACTGCACCCAGCCCCGTTTAAGTTTTTAATGTCTGCTCTACTTACTGACTCACCCTGCCCTGACGCCTTTCGGTGCTCTTTTAGGGGTTGCTGTTGCCACATGGCGACTGTGGTCACCGTCTCTCCTGGACCTGCCTAGATCCAAAAGCCAGCCCTGGAAGGAACACCTCTCATTCTCAAGAAGAAGTTAATGTCTGCCTTACAGTAGATGTCCAATAAATCTTCTTTGAACAATTAAACAGATGCTCAGACTTCATTTGACCTAATTTAGGTGATCCTATGGAGGGATCCAAACCTTTGGACTCCCCCAGTATCCCTGAAGTGGCCTCTTTTGCTGGTAGAGAAACTTTTGCCCAAGAGTCGGGACACATCGACACATCCACTTTTGGGGGGGCTTGGTGCACTCCTGGGACAGTGTGGGGTGAAAGGGTCCCTTTCAGGAGTGAATTCCCTGACCCTGGACACTCAGCTCTCCTCCTGGTTGGCAGAGTGAAGAGTGTCATGATTTCCAGGACCCCTCCCCGCTTCAGCTTTCAGTTCATCGCTCACTCTGGCTTGAAAACAGTACTGACTTGTTAAGTTGCATGTCTCTCTTCGCCTTGAGGCTTAAAACACCTAGAAGCCGGGTGTGGTGGCTCGCACCTGTGGTCCCAGCTACTGAGCAGGCTGAGGCGGGAGACTTGCTTGAAGCCAGGAGTCCGAGACCAGCCTGGGTGATATAGCGAGACCACATCTCTAAAAAATCAAAAACAAAAACAGAACACCTGGCCAGGCACAGTGGCTCAGCCTATAATCCCAGCACTTTGGGAGGCAGAGGTGGGTGGATTGCTTGAACCCAGGAGTTCGAGACCAGCCTGGCCAACATGATGAAACCCTGTCTCTACTAAACATACAAAAATTAGCTGGCCGCGGTGGCACACTCCTGTAATCCCAGCTACCTGGGAGGCTGAGACAGAAGAATCGTTTGAACCCAGGAGGTGGGGGTTGGAATGAGCCGAAATGGTGCCATTGCACTTCAGCCTGGATGACAGAGCGAGACTCTGTCTCAGAAAAACAAAAACAAAACAAAACAACAACAAAATCCCAAAACCAGAACACCTGGAAAACACCAGACACAAATCCCAGGAGTAATTTTTCTTTCATCAAATTGACAATAGCATCAATCAGAATCCCAGGACTCCTAAAACATGTTTAACTCCAAAAGCAGAGTTGCAAACTCAAATGCTACAGGGGCCAAGCAGGCACTGTGGCCACCTAGAAAGTGGACCCTGAAGGTGGGGAAGGTGGGTCCAGCATCGGTAAATGTTCTAATTTTTTTTAAAGAATCAATTTTATAGGCTGGGCGCGGTGGCTCACGCCTGTAATCCCAGCATTTTAGGAGGCTGAGGTGGGCGGATCACCTGAGGTCAGGAGTTCCAGACCAGCCTGACCGACATGGAGAAACCCCATCTCTACTAAAAACACAAAATTAGCCAGGTGTGGTGGCACATGCCTGTAATCCCAGGTAATCAGGAGGCTGAGGCAGGAGAATCGCTTGAACCCAGGAGGCGGAGGTTGGGGTGAGCTGAGATTGCGCCATTGCACTCCAGCATGGGAAGAAGAGCGAAACTCCGTCTAAAAAAATAAAAGAATCAGTTTTATGAGTGTCAATTTTTTAATGTTAGAAACTAAGTTAAAAAAAAAACAAAATTAGCTGGGCGCGGTGGCTCACGCCTGTAATCCCAGCACTTTGGGAGGCCAAGGCAGGTGGATCACTCAAGGTCAGGAGTTCGAGACCAGACTAGCCAACACGGTGAAACCCCGTCTCTACTGAAAATACAAAAATTAGCCCGGCATGGTGATGGGCACCTGTAATCTCAAATACTTGGGAAGCTGAGGCAGGAGAATCACTTGAACCAGGGAGGTGGAGGTTGCAGTGAGCCAAGACCACGCCATTGCACTCCAGTCTGGGCCACAGAGTGAGACTTCATTTCAAAAAAAAAAAAAAAAAAATTAAACCCTCTGGGCATGATGGCTCACACCTGTAATCCCAGCACTTTGGGAGGTGGGAGGATTGCTTGAGATCAGGAGTTCAAGACCATCCTGGGTAACAAAGCAAGACCCCCATCTCTACAAAAAAATTTAAAAAATTAGCCAGGCATGGTGGCATGCGCCTGTGGCCCCAGCTACTTGGGAGGTTGAGGTGAATTGCTTGAGTCCAGGAGGTTGAGGGTACAGTGAGCTATGATCGTGCCACTGCACTTCAGCCTGGGTAACAGAGCAAGACCCTGTCTCAAATAAGTAAATAAATAAACAAACAAACCCTTAAAAGCCCACACAACATAGCACGAGCTGGTACAGAGGCAGCTGGGCCCATCTTACTGTGTGAAGCTGTGCACCTCAGGGGATTCTGGTGAGCCAAAGACAGTGGCATGGGGACGTTTCCTAGGGAAACTTCCTGGAATCTGATTCCAGGACTGGGCCCCTGGCCCTTTTCCTGACACCCAGCCCCCATGCCTGCCCAAGAGAAATGGTTCCTTCCCCCAGAAAGTAAAGCACAGTCTCTGTCCTCTCTATTTGAGGCCTTACTTCTCAGGGTCTAAAGGGAAATGGTGCCTGAGAGGCAGAATCTGCAGCTGCCAGGCGTGTTTGAGAACTTAGAACCCCATTTATAGCTGGATCACACCCTCTATCCCCAAGCTGAAATGGGCCTGGAAGAATCGGATTAACCAACTTCTTCCCAAGGTGTGGGGCATCCGGATTGGGGGGAGTTCCCAGCCTGTTTCCCAAGTTCACTCTTAGGGAGAGAGTTCTGTGCCAGTCTTGGGGGGACCCAGAGGGCCCTTGACTAGGAGTCCCTAAATGAATTCAGGGTCCCTCAGGAGACAATAACCTTCAGAAACCCCGAGTGCTAAAATAAATGGTCCTGCCCTCTCCACCCTGCAAAATGCCCTTCTTTCTACCTGTGAGGACAACTGCAGTGCTCGCTTTGAAATTTCAAATAACACAATCTTTCCACAAAATGCATCTTCCATTTTTCTGTTTTGGTGGCTCTGCCTTGCTGGCATCATGAACGCGTCCTGGGTAAAGCCATCCTCATGAGCTGGCATTGCGGCTCTGGGAGTCACCTCCCGGCCAAGAGCAGGTGCAACCCAGGCTCGAGACTCCACACCCGGAACCCTCAAAACCGGGAACGCTGTAGGGCTGCGGCTGCATGGGGAATGGGATCTGGGAGGGACTTCCTGTCTTCCCTACTCCCAGTCTCCACCCAACTCCCCCGCCCGCCCCGTGCAGGCTGTGGAGACTCCCTTCCCGGGGGAGGGGGCCCCCACTGCCGCAGGTGCCCCCTCTGCCTCCACCCCGGTGAGAAGGGGGTGCTGGGGAGGGCATCTGGATCCCGAGACCGGCGCAGATGATCAGCTTGCAGGAGGGGATGGGGTCAAAGGTGGAAGGCTTCAAGCTGGCAGGAGAGAAGGGGGCCAGGACCGGGTTTGGGAAGGAGAAGGACATTGTCTGCCAGGACCGAGAGCAGGATGGGCATCCCAGGCCTGGGGCAGGTGGTTGCAGCTGCAGGGGGGCTGCTGAGAGCGGGCAGGTTGATTTCTGAATTCCTGGTGGGCATGGGAGTCAGGTAGGGACACACGGTGTATGTCCTGGGGTCGGGGGACAGCAGGTCCTGGATTACCCTGGCCTTGACGGGCGGGGCCCCACCAGCACCTGTTCTGCAGGATCTCTGCAGAACTTTCTGCTCCTGATGACAGGAAATAGCGATTCCAATTTAGCCTCGGCTTTCCCTGAGCCGGTTACACTGAGATGCGAGGCTCTTGCTTCAGCAATAAAGGGGACAATACAAAATAGCATTCTTTCAAAAATAGGACCCAGAAAACATCACAGAGAGTGGGACCATCGGATAGGATCTGGGAGACTTTCTTTCCGATTGGGACCAGGGAGCGCTGGTACTCGTGGGGATTTTCAGGGCTCTTTGGGGGTGTCCAGGAAGCGAGGGCTGGTTTCTGTCTGCTCTTCTAGGCTCCTGGCCAGAAGCTGGAGGGGGCTTGGCCAAAAAGAGGGAGAAACAACTCAGCTGTTCTTTCTAGCTCTGAAATAGAAAATGTCTGCAGACGGCGGAGGCATCCAGGACACCCAGGACAAGGAGACACCCCCGGAGGTACAGATGGGGCTGGCTGAGGGAGGTGTGCGGTAGAAGAGGCTGGTGCGGAGGAGATTTTCAAGGCACAGAGTCTGGACCCCTGGAAGAGTTAGACTCACTGGGGTGGGGAGATCAAAGAGAAGGTGGCATGCTGGGTAGTACCCTCTGTCTGGAATTTACAGCATAACAGTTTTGCTTTGCTGGTGAATTCTCTAGCCAGTGGCCACAGGAGATGGAAGAGGTCTGGGTGGAGGTCCTATCAGTGAGGTTTTCTTTCTGAGCAGCGCTCAGAGCACACAGGGAAACCTGTTCTCCTTCCCCGTGCTTCTCCACCTGGAACCACAGCTTCTCATCTCTGTGGGTCTGAGCTCCCGGTCCTTTCTCCTTCCTGTACCTGCTACCCGTGTGTGTGTGCGTGCGTGGTTGAGTGTGTGTGTGTAATTACTATTTGTGGGGGACCTGGGTCTCCGGGCTTGGAGTTGGAGGAGTATGAGTCAGCGACAGGCCAGGGGCCAGTCCCTGGCCTCTGGGAACCAGATGTGTCATCTGTAAAATGCAGACCACATGCCTGCCATTTCCACCTGTCTCGCAGGGTCACTGGGAGGCTCTAAGGATAATAGGCATGAGACGCCATCATCTATGGTTTTCATGCCATAGAAGCACAAAGAATTGTTAGCATGGTTCAGTTTCCCATCCACTTCCCGTGTGCCTTGAACACCTTGGGCATGTCAGTAGAGCCCCACATGTTGGCATTCTCTGCTGGCACTGGCTTCTGTCTGGTGCGCACGGCGGGGGGGATTAATGACCAGCGCCACCCTGTGTTTATCCAGGACTTTCCTGAGCTGGCAGCTCCTTCTCCATCATTATCTGCGTGAACCTCATGACCATTCTGTGCAGGGGCAGAGCAGCTGCGTCCTGAAGGCTGCCTGATTGGGGAGGGGTGTCGCTGGGTCTGGCACCCAGGCACTCTGATTCCTGGCCTGAGGTTCTTTCCCTTCAAGACCCAAACACAGACAGGGCGTGGAGGAAGGAGTGTGAGACCCCAGCAGAAGTCCGGCCAGTTCCTGTGCTGTGGATGAGGCCCCACCAGGGCCCTCCCTGACTTTCCCAAAGCTTTTGAGCTATGTGGTCACGGGGCATTGTCTCATCCCCAGCCATGGTGTGTTAGTCTCCCGTGGCTGCTGTAACAAGTTTCCACTCTCTGGGGGGCTGAAAACAACCAGAATTGGCTCTCTCACAGTCCTGGAGGCCTGCAGTCCAAAATCTAGGTGTCAGCAGGGTCACACTCCTTTTGAAAGCTCTAGACTAAGAGGACCCTCCCTTACCTCTTCCAACTCCTTGGGGGCTCCTGGTGTCCTTGGTGTGGGCATCCCTCCAGTCTCTGCTTCCTTCTCTGTGTCTCTGTGTCCTCTCCTATTCTTATAAGGACATAAGTCATTGTTAGATTTTAGGCTCACTCTAAATTCACGATGATTTAATCTCAAGATCTTTAACTTACCTGTATAAAGACCCTTTTCCCCAATAAGGTCCCATTCTGAGGTCCAGGGAGGACACGGATTCTTAGAGGACACTATTCAAGCCACTACACTTGGTTTCTTCATACACTAATAGACAGCAGTCTACACTGCTGAGGTCAGTGTGAGGCTGGAGCTGAGAAGGGGTAGCTGCCCTTGGGCACCACGCCCACCGGCACTGTGGAGGCGGCTTGGTGAATATTCCTCCTCTTGCCGCCCGTCCTTGCTGGGGTGAGCTGGATGAATGCAGCAAGGACAGTCCTTCAAGCTGCGTCTTGCATGTTGGTTTCCGACGCTGCCGGAGCGCACTGCCATGTGGCCCTGGGTGTCTCTCCCACTCATCTGGGTGCTGATGGGGCTGTCCTTTCTAGGTTCCAGATCGTGGACATCCTCATCAGGAAATGCCTTCTAAGCTGGGGGAGGCGGTACCTTCAGGGGACACTCAGGAGTCACTGCACATTAAGATGGAGCCCGAAGAGCCACACTCCGAGGGGGCATCGCAGGAGGATGGGGCTCAAGGTGCCTGGGGCTGGGCACCCCTAAGTCACGGCTCTAAGGAGAAAGCTCTCTTCCTGCCTGGCGGAGGTAGGAGAGGGACGGGGAAGAGGCGCTTTCCCAGGGAGGCAGCTGTGGGGAGGTGGAGGTTTGGCCCAGGTCCAGGTGGGGCTGAGGGTCTCTATGCCAGCAGGGGACGCTATCCCCCCATGGCCCACAGCCCCCTGGCAGCGTCAGAGCCATCCGACCCTGTCCTTGGGTCGGGCCAGGGGTGGAGTTTGAGGCAGCTGAAGTAGCAGCAGGTCCAGCAGGATGAGCTGATCACCGTGAGGACCTCTCTCCTCCCACAGCCCTCCCCTCCCCCCGGATCCCCGTGCTTTCCCGAGAGGGGAGGACCAGAGACCGGCAGATGGCTGCAGCGCTCCTCACTGCCTGGTCCCAGGTGAGTGGCCCTTCCCCGGCCCCTGCATGGTACTCAGCCCTTCCTGCATCTGCTGGTTCTGTGTGAAAGCCAGGACCCCGCTGGCCCCACTTGCAGCCAAGCCTGAAGCCTGGGGCTCTTGCTAGTGTTGCTGGAATTGTCCAGGCTCAAGGCCCATGGTCAGGCCTGGGCCAAAGCTGGAGGAGAAGCAGCAGGAATTAGAGACACAGGGCCTCTCGCTGGTAGCCGTTGGGAACCGTCCTCCGAGGTCTCAGCTGAGGCTGGGGGCTGCATGGACATCCTAAGTCTTAACTGTGATCCCTGAAAATACCTCTTGGTCTTTGTTCTTTCTCAACTCCCCAGAAGGCCTTGGGTGGCTCACCTGCTTCCCGATCAGATGGAAGTGGCAGGCCTCACTCGACACAGTGGGTTGGGAGTCCGGGGTCTCACCACACATCTCATGCCATGGTGTCCCTCCACCGTGTCCACGTCATGTCCTGGAGAGTGGATGTTTCACATTGTTTCAGATGCCAGTGACTTTCGAGGATGTGGCCTTGTACCTCTCCCGGGAGGAGTGGGGACGGCTGGACCACACGCAGCAGAACTTCTACAGGGATGTCCTGCAGAAGAAAAATGGGCTGTCACTGGGTAAGCACTCGCCTGGAGGGGGGACTGGGGTGTTAGGGAGAGGTCCTGCTCTGCCGTCTCCTCTTTCCTCCCTTCCCTCCCTCTCTCTCCCACCCTTCTCCTTGTCCCTTGAGACAGCACTGTTCTATGGAAACTTCTGTAATGATGGAAATGTTCTGTGTGTGCTAGGACGGGAGCCACAAGCCATGTGTGGCTACTGAGCACTTGAAATGTGAGTAGAGCCCTTGAGTTTTTAATTTTACTTGGTTTTGTTTTGTTTTGTTTTGAGACGGAGTCTCGCTCTGTCACCCAGGCTGGAACACAGTGGCACGATCTCGGCTCACTGCAAGCTCCGCCTCCCGGGTTCATGCCATTCTCCTGCCTCAGCCTCCCAAGTAGCTGGGACTACAGGTGCCCACCACCACGCCCGGCTAATTTTTTGTATTTTTAGTAGAGATGGGGTTTCACCGTGTTAGCCAGGATGGTCTCGATCTCCTGAACTCGTGATCCACCTGCCTTGGCCTCCCAAAGTGCTGGGATTACAGGCGTGAGCCACCGCGCCCGGCCAATTTTACTTGGTTTTAATCAGCTCAAATGAGAGTTTAAATAGCCGCATATGGCTAGCAGCTACTGTACTGGACGCTGCCCCAGGAAGTCCGCTTTTCCTGGGTTCATCCGCAGGGCTCACTCCTATAGCTCCATCTTCCTTTCCAAGCCCCAACTTCAGAGGTGTCTGAGCAGCAAGCTTGGCTTCGGGGCCCGAGGGCTGCTTGCCCTGGAGAGAGATGGCATGAACTGAACTCCCCAGGCCCCGCAGACCCTTGGGTGTCCCATCTGCTTTGAGGAGCAGGTGCTTGTCTCCGAGGGGTCTTGGTTCCCTTTGTTTCTTGGATGTTAAGTATTTAAGTCCCAGAGCTTTTTTTTTTTTTTTTTTTTTTTTGAAACACAGCCTTGCTCTGTCACCCAGGCTGGAGTGCAGTGGCACCATCACGACTCATGCAGCCTCGACTTCCTGGGTTCAAGTGATCCTCCTGCCACAGCCTCCTGAGTAGCTGGGGCTACAGGTACCACCATGCCCAGCTATTTTTTTCTTTTTTTCTTTTTTTGGTAGAAATGGGATCTCGCTATGTTGCCCAGGTTGGTCTTGAGCTCCTGGGCTCAAGTCATCCTCCTGCTTTTGCCTCCCAAAGTGTTGGGATTATAGGCGTGAGCCACTGTGCCCAGCCATCCCAGAGCTTTTGACTCCTCAATTCCAGACTTTAGTTTTAATACGGAAAAATCAGTATTCATTTATTCATTTATTCATTCATTCAGTTGACGCTTAGCTTTTTTTTTTTTTTGAGACGGAGTCTTGCTCTGTCACCCAGGCTGGAGTGTAGTGGCGTGATCTCAGCTCACTGCAACCTCTGCCTCCTGGGTTCAAGTGATTCTGCTGCTTCAGCCTCCCAAATAGCTGGGGCTACAGGTGCCCACCACCATGCCCGGCTTTTTTTTTTTTTTTTTTTTTTTGTATTTTTAGTAGAGATGGGGTTTCACCATCTTGGCCAGGATGGTCTCGATCTCCTGACCTCGTGATCCGCCCACCTCGGCCTCCCAAAGTGCTGGAGGCATGAGCCACTGCGCCTGGCCAACACCCAGCTAGCACACTTGCTAGTCCAGGCAGAATCCAGGACTCAGCATTCCAGGTGGTGGCATCATGGTGGTCCCAAGGCCCCGCTGGCTGGCACCAGGGATGGTCACCCCTCAATTAGCTCAGGCTGCTCACCGCTCTTATGGTTCCCCAGTGCCTGGGCCAGCAAGCCCAGGCAAGTCCTGAGGGATCAGAAGGATCTCAACACCCATTTTCAGCACCACGGCAGGCCTCGCAGATGCCTCAAGCCACCCGGTTGGTCCAACACATTCCTTTCCTCCCACGGGTGGTGGAAGCCAGGGCCCCCTCTGCTCTCTTACTGACTTGACCAAAATTCCTGGGGCCACACCCCCCCAAGACTTGACAAATGGGATGACCTTAGTCGTTGGAGATCCTGGCCCTCCTGTCCCAGGTCCTCCCACTTGGAGGGCCACTACCCTTGCCCCTCCAGGTGTGGGTGTAGGAGCGGGATACCCGTCCCGTGGGCGTTGATGTAGGGTGTTGCCCACTCCCGTCCCTTAAACTCCGTTGCTCTTTCAGGGAAAGAGGAGACAGGCCTAGTCAGCTCTGGCAGCCGCCAGGCAGGGGGCGGACCCCCGACCCAGGGGGCCTTCTTGAAACTGCTTTATTTTACCCCCTGTTTCCAGAGCCTCACCCCCTACTTGGGCCCATCAGTTTTGGGGAGATGCTGTCTGCAGCTGGGCAGCGCCAGAAGGCCTGTGACAGCACAGCATCTCTTTCTGGGCAGGCTTTCCCTTCAGCAGGCCTTTCTGGGCCCCTCAAGCGCACGGCAAGGGTGAGGCCTCGGGCTCCAGCCGGCAGGCAGGAGATGAGAAGGAGTGGAGAGGCGCGTGCACAGGTGAGGGACGGGCGCGCGCCTTTGTCTGCGGGAGTGGGGCGCAGACGCAGGCCTTCTGGCTGTTGTCTGTGGGAGTGGGGCAGGGCCACCAGACCCCCTCCTGGGCGGTTTGCGCCCAGGGCGGCCCTTGCGCTTTCTGGTCTCTGAGAATCCAGCCCCCACCCTTAGCTCTGCCTTCTCCACCCTCCTGGGGTCCTTAGGGAAGCTCGTCCCTAGCTGGAAACGACTTTCTTTTTCCAGGAGCCGTCGAGGTGGGGCAGAGGGTGCAGACCTCATCCGTGGCAGCCCTTGGGAATGTGAAGCCCTTCAGAACCAGGGCAGGGAGAGTCCAGTGGGGCGTCCCGCAGTGCGCGCAGGAAGCAGCCTGCGGCCGGAGCTCAGGGCCGGCCAAAGACTCCGGGCAGCCGGCTGAGCCAGATCGCACCCCGGATGCAGCTCCGCCAGACCCCAGTCCCACGGAGCCCCAGGAGTACCGCGTCCCGGAGAAGCCCAACGAGGAGGAGAAGGGCGCCCCGGAGAGTGGCGAGGAGGGCCTGGCCCCTGACAGTGAGGTGGGCAGGAAGAGCTACCGGTGCGAGCAGTGCGGCAAGGGCTTCAGCTGGCACTCGCACCTGGTGACGCACCGGCGCACGCACACGGGCGAGAAGCCCTACGCCTGCACTGACTGCGGGAAGCGCTTCGGCCGCAGCTCGCACCTCATCCAGCACCAGATCATCCACACGGGCGAGAAGCCCTACACCTGCCCCGCCTGCCGGAAGAGCTTCAGCCACCACTCCACGCTGATTCAGCACCAGCGCATCCACACCGGAGAGAAGCCCTACGTGTGCGACCGCTGCGCCAAGCGCTTCACCCGCCGCTCGGACTTGGTCACCCACCAGGGCACCCACACGGGCGCCAAGCCGCACAAGTGCCCCATCTGCGCCAAGTGCTTCACGCAGAGCTCGGCGCTAGTCACCCACCAGCGCACCCACACTGGGGTCAAGCCCTATCCGTGCCCCGAGTGCGGCAAGTGCTTCAGCCAGCGTTCCAACCTCATCGCGCACAACCGCACACACACAGGCGAGAAGCCCTACCACTGCCTCGACTGCGGCAAGAGCTTCAGCCACAGCTCGCACCTCACCGCGCACCAGCGCACCCACCGTGGCGTGCGGCCCTACGCCTGCCCGTTGTGCGGCAAGAGCTTCAGCCGGCGCTCCAACCTGCACCGGCACGAGAAGATCCACACCACCGGGCCCAAGGCCCTGGCCATGCTGATGCTGGGGGCGGCGGCGGCGGGGGCTCTGGCCACACCCCCACCCGCTCCCACCTAGGAGGCCAGGAAAGGGGGAGCGGGGCGCCCAGGGCCACTGGAACAGCCCCACTGGAGTCAAGGCTCCGAGGGAGGAGAGAGGGGCTCGGGAAGGGAGCTGGGGCGGTGAGGGCATGGGGTGAGGCATGGCGATGGGGGAGGGCGAGGGCGAGAAAGGGCAGGCACTCTGCGAATTAAAGGCCTTGGACTTGAAGCGCCCGCCTACACAGCTTTGTCTCCTGGTGCCCTGGCGCTGATTCCCCGAGCGTGGGGGAGCTCCTGGGCTAATCCCCTGTCCTCATTGAGGCATCCCCGCATCACCACTCTTGGCTTGGGTCTCCACCAGGGTTGGGGTCCCTTTTGCCAAAGGCCCATTCCAAAGCGTTGCACACATTGGCAAGCAAAGGCTTCAAGTACAGAGAGGTTTCCAGGGCTGAAGCCAGTCAGCCGCTCCTGGACCTGGGGACCCCTTGCCGGCCGTCTGCTGCTGACGCCACTTGTCCCAAGGGCACTGCTTACTGAGCCCGCACTCTCCCTTGGCTCTTCTCTTTGGAAGCCAGGAGCAGGCAGAACTGGTCCGGAAATTCCTGCCTGCCCCATCTCCCACTCAGGCATCGGTGGCTGGGTTTTGTGACTGGCCTTTGCCATTTGCTCCCACCATGGCCTGCCTGTGGTCCTGCGAGGGCTCCTCACTCACCAGGGGCCACTTTCCTTCTTGGCCCATGCTGCAGCTGCTGTCACCTGCCTCTGCTATGTCTCACCTCCTTGGCCTCCTGGTATATGTCCTATATAATTCGCCCTGCTCGCCCCTGCCTGGCTCTGAGCTTTGATTTACTCCTGGTCTTTCCGCTGGCGTTTGTTTTTGTTTTTGCGACAGAGTCTTGCTCTGTCGCCCAGGCTGGAGTGCAGTGGCCTGATCTCCACTCACGGCAGCCTCCACCTCCTGGGTTCAAGTGATTCTGCTGCCTCAGCCTCCTGAGTAGCTGGGACTACAGGCGCACGCCACGATGCCTGGCTAATTTTTGTATTTTTAGTAGAGACAGGGTTTCACCATGTTAGCCAGGATGGTGTTGATCTCCTGACCTTGTGATCCACCCACCTCGGCCTCTCAAAGTGCTGGGATTACACACCTGAGCCACTGCGCCTGGCCCCCTGTTTTTGTTTGTTTTTTGTTTTGTTTTTTGAGGCAGAGTCTTGCTCTGTTGCCCAGGCTGGAGTGCAGAGGTGCGATCTTGGCTCACTGCAACCTCCAGCTCCTGGGTCCCAGCGATTTTCCTGCCTCAGTGTCCCGCGTAGCTGGGACTACAGGTGTGTGCCACATGCCTGGCTAATTTTTTGTATTTTTAGTGGAGACAGGGTTTCACCGTGTTGGCCAGGCTGGTATTGAACTCCTGACCCCAGGTGATCCGCCCACTTCGGCTTCCCAAAGTGCTGGGATTACAGGCGTGAGCCACCGTGCCTGACCTCTTTCCCTGGTTTTAACCTCTGTAGCTCCCAACTCCCATTCTCTGCTTTTTTCCCTGGGTGGGGATGGGCTCATCCTGCCTATCATCCCATATTTGTGGCCCAGCTCCCGAGATAACTTTCAGCTCTGACACCAACTGACCACGAGGATGTCTGCACCAAGAAGGCCCTTGAGACCCCACCTGTCTTTGTGGATTATGGGGCCACCAGGGTGGCCACAGCCCTGGTTGGCTCCCAGATCCTGAGGAAAAGAGTGGCTTGCTGAGGACGGTAGACTGAGAAGAGTAATCATAGCTGCCAGTTGTCAAGCAGCTGCTCTTCCAGGCACAGGGCCAAGCACTGTAGATACCGCTCTCTACAACAATGTAAGTGTGCATTGTTAGCCCAGGTTTTTTTTTGTTTTTTGTTTTTTTTTTTTTTGTCTTTTTAAAAATAGAGACGGGGTCTTGCTATGTTGCCCAGGCTGGTCTGGAACTCCTGGGCTCAAGTGATCCACTCACCTCAGCTTCCCAAGTAGCTGGGACTACTGGTGTACACTACTAGGCCCCATGCAGGGCTATCTAAAAAGAGGAGGACAAGGCCAGGCGCAGCGACTCACACCTGTAATCTCAGCACTTTGGGAAGCCTAGGTGGGTGGATCACTTGAGGCCAGGAGTTTAAGACCAGCCTGGCCAACATGGTGAAACCCTGTCTCTACTAAAAGTACAAAAATTAGCTGGGCATGGTGGCAGGCGCCTGTAGTTCCAGCGACTTGGGACGCTGAGGCAGGAGAATTGCTTGAAGCCAGGAGGTGGAGGTCACAGTGAGCTGAGATCTTGCCACTGCACTCCAGCCTGAATGATAGAGCAAGACTCTGTGTCAAAAAAAAAAAAAAAAAAAAAAAAAAGAGAGAGAGTAGGACAATAGACCTGACCTTCAGGAATGTTAGACTCAGCTAGAGATGTGGGTGGGGTGGGATGTAATCAACGGGACACCAGGGAGCTGCTCACTAGCGGAAGCCCAGGCAGGACTTGATGGTATCCAGGAGGTCTCTGGAATCTAGGCTAGGGATGCTGGCAGGATTGGTTGAATTAAATGATTATTTCCAAGGCCAGAAAAAAAGCTGTTTCCTCCCTTCAGTTTGTCTTCATGGTCCCAATCACTCAGCCAGAAATAGGATTGCTCTGCTTGGTTCAGTGTGAGGGGGTGAGGGAGACTCATTTGTAAAGCAGGGTTGCTCTCAAAAGAGCTCATTTTCTAAGTAAGGAGAGAGACAGAGGTGGGAGAGTTTCTAAAATGACCCTGGAAGCCGTCATCACTTGGCAAGAGAGCTGAGCAGAGTACTCACTTGCACAGTGAGTGCTGCTTGCTTTAATTTCAGTTCCTTAGGCTCCGTGGCCAGCGTGCCAGGGACCAGATGTCAGGACCTGAGTGATTCAGAGGTCTGTCAAGGCTTGGTGTGGTGGCTTACACCTGTGATCTGAGCACTTAGGGAGGCTGAGGCAGGAGGATGGCTTGAAGTCAGGAATTTGAGACCAGCTTGGGCAACACAGCAAGACCCTCGTCTCTAAATAGTTAAAAAAAATTAGCCAAGCATGGTGATGCGTGCCTGTAGTACCAGCTACTTGGGAGGCTAGGGTGGGAGGATCGCCTGAGCCTGGGAGGTTGAGGCTGCAGTGAACTGTGATCGCACCACTGCCCTCCAGCCTGGGCAACAGAGCAAGACCCTGTCTCCAAAAAAAAAAAAAAAAAAAAAAAAAAGACCGTTGAGTGATCTAGGGAGTCATTTAAAAACTTCACTCTGGCCTCCAGGGAGCCCAGACAGCAGACAGTTTCCTGGTGAAACGTTTCCCCTTTCGTGGCAGAGTGCAGGAGCACGGGTTCCAAGGGCCCCGTGGAGGGTGCCTGCAGATGGCCATTCCTTATGGCTGGCCCACTTCTCCCTCTAGGGATCCCTCCGGAGGCCCCACTGTGGGATAGATCTGGAAAGAGTATCTTAAGAGTGGAACTTGGCAGTTTCGGAAATATTCGACAAGCACAAATAAGACAGGGAGGAGTAGGGGCTGTGCCAGGGAAGGACCTGGAACGCCAGGCTGAAGGGTGCTCATAGTTTGGTAGGTGATGGGCGTCACTGAGAGGTAGGAGGCTGGAGGGAAGAAGCCAGGTAAGGGTCTTGGTGTCTCCCTGGGTAGAGGATGAGGAGGTTCAGCGGTTTCCCTGGCTTCCTCGGGGCTTCTCGGCCACTGGAGAACTCCACCAGATCATCACTGATGCGGTGTCAGGAGCACGGTGAGGGCGGAGGCGGAGAGGCAGGATGTATGCATCCTGGCTTCCCACCTGCTTCCCTGCGGCCCCAGGTTCCTGTTGCAAGCGCTCAGGGATCGGCTGTCGGCGCTGCCCCTCTGGGCCGGGGGCGTCGGCCTCAGCGCCGTCCTAGCCTAGGACACCGTCTCCCAGTTCCCGGGCCCGGCCGTGTAGCGAAGCCCAGAGCCTGCAGGGTCCCATGGACCCAGCCTCTCGCTCGGCGGCCCCGTCGCCGGCATGACTGAATCCAGGAGGCCACGCCCCCCTGCCCTTAGCCATTCAGGCATCGGGGCGGGGAGAAAGGCGGCTCCAGCAGAACCAGCCAATCACGGCTGAAGTTTGTGCCCGGCCCTTTTCCCCTCACCGCCACGCCCCAAGCCGCACGGTTGCCCCGGCAACTGCTCCAGGATCCTGTCTTTGAAGCATTTCGTCTTACCCTTCGCTGGGCGTTCGTTGCCGAACGAAGCGAAGACCACGGGGCTGGACCTTCGCTACAGACCTCAGTCCTCACAGCCCGCCCCGCCCAGCCACTGACTTCCTGGGTCTATCACCGAGATGCCGAGCCTCCTGCAGTCCTAGAGAGCATACGGCGCAGGGCCAGGGCCACTTCCGGCCCAGAGGACTCCCTGTCAATTTGCTGCAATGGCTCCTGCACCAGGGTTGGGTGGGTTCGCTGCACTGGCCGCGGAGCTAGAGCATCTTCCGAGCTCCCGAGCAGGGGCTGACGGTGCTGCCAGCTGTCGTGCGGTACGGCCGGCAGAGAGCGGCCAGGAAGGAGACCGTGCCCTCTTCCGGGGGAGCAGAAGAAACGCGCGGGCTGTGCGAGGCGGCTCGCGGCTCTGGAGTGCCTGAGGGGCAGAGGGCGGCAAACGTTAACTGTAGGGGCTTTGCTGCGTTCCTCACACATTCGTTTTTTTGTTTGTTTTTCGGAGATGGATTCGTGCTCTGTTGCCCAGGCTGGAGTGTAGTGGCGTGATCTCAGCTCACGGCAATCTCCACCTCCTGGTTCAAGCGATTCTTCCGCCTCAGCCTCCCGAGTAGCTGGGATTACAGGCGCCTGCCATCATGCCCGGCTAATTTTTGTATTTTTAGTAGAGATGGGGTTTCACTATGTTGGTCAGGCTGGTCTTGAACTCCTAACCTCGTGATCCGCCCGCTTCAGCCTCCCGAAGTGTTGGGATTACAGGCGTGAGCCACCGCGCCCAGCCAATTTTTGTATTTTTAATGGGGTTTCACCATGTTGGCCAGGCCGGTCTCGAACTCCTGACCTCAAGCCCGCCTCGGTCTCCCAAAGTGCCGGGATTGCAGGTGTGAGCCACCACGCCCGGCCTCACTAGTTCATTTTTCAAATACAAAATGAATGCCTGTTAATTTAGCAAAGGTCCTTTGCTAAATGTTGAGTTGTAAGTGAGGAAGATTCCAGACAAGACCCTTGCCCTCATGGGGTTCCAGTGTGGTGGGGGAAACTGACAGACACATACATGGCACACACTTTAACTTCAAGTAGTTACAAATGCCAGAAAGAAATGAACTGGGTAAAACAGGAGAGGACGGTCGGAGCTTCATTGTCAGGGAAGACCCCTCCAAGGAGGGGACATTTAAGCTGAGACTCAAAGGGTGAGAAGCGGTTTTACAAGGATCTGGAGTACGAACCTTTCAAGCAAAGGGAACAGGATAAACATGAGGAGGAGACTGGTGCCCAGTAGCTGAAATGACCCCTGCCCCGAACCTTCCCCGCCCCCACCCCAACCCCCCCATGTGGAGGGGAGGGGAGTGAGGAGACAGGCTGGAGAGCTGCGACTTGTCAGGGGGCAGTGGCTTGAGGCTTCTCCCTGGTGTCCTGTGAAGACAGTCCAGCCTTCCTCATCGCACGCTCCTCTGGCAGCCTGAGACATGGGGTCAGGCGGGCTTCCTGCCTGGTGTAAAGGCAGCACCCAATGAATGGCCTGCACCTCAGTAACTTAAGACAGCAATTTTTATGTTCTCAACTAACAAAGCCCTAGGCTAGTCATGGAGATGAACACAGATCTCACAGAGCAACCACAGAGCTCTTCAAGGATTCAGGTGATCCTGTCATTAATGCCTTTCTCAGAGACTTAGTGAAGCCAGTGTCTACTGGTAAAAGATAGCTGGGGATGGGGTGGGTACACAGGTCATGCATGATAAGGCCACTCAACATTTCCATCTCCCTAAGGAAAAGGAGCCTTTGGTTTCCTTCTTTCCTGTCATGCCACTTCAGCCATCTCAACCTTGTTAACTGAAGGCCACCAATGAGTCCAAATTTCAGCCAACCAATGGAGTAAACTGCTAAAAAGCCACCAACAGCCACACACGCTAACATTAAATTTGAAGTCTACTAAATGCACCTATATCATTGAATTTGATTTCTCATTTTGTGTGTGTGTGTGACAGAGTCTTGTTCTGTCACGCAGGCTGAAGTGCAGTGGCATGATCACAGTTCACTGCAGCCTTGACCTCTCAGGCTCAAGCGACCCTCCCACCTCAGCTTTCTGAGTAGCTGGGACTATAGGTGCTCACCACAACACCCCGCTAATTTTTGTATTTTATGTTTCAACTATGTTGCCCAAACTGATAACAAACTCCTGGGCTCAAGTGATGATCCTCCAGCCTCTGCCTCCTAAAGTGCTGGGACTACAGGCATGAGCTACTGCACCCGGTCTAATCTCATCTCTTTTTATATTCTGTCCACTTTGGTATGCTATCCTTAGAATCTACTCTTGCATCTATCCCCCAGGTTTCTGCTAGTTTATATCAGCAAAGTGAATTATTTTAGTGTATAAGCTATTTCCTCCTGGGTCATAACGTGTATCTTTCCCCTCTCTCTCTGTCTCTTGCACACGCTTGTGCAGCCTCTCTCTCCACACACACACATATATAGATTGTGTTGAGATTTGACCCTAGTTGTTATGAGTTTACTGGCAATGGAGCGCAATTGTGGTGGGTTTTCAGGAGAATGGACATCCCCTTTTAGGTCTTCTGCCCCTGGGAAGGTTATCCTAAGGTTTTCAAGCAGAGAAAGGCTATTCTATTCAGATACTGAGGGCAAACTACTTCTACTGGTAAAGGAGGCTCAGAGTGACCTAAGGAATCAAGACTGTCAATTTCATCTGGGTCCAAACATATATCCCCACTTTGAATTTCAGGATCACCTTCTGTTTTTTCGTTTTGTTTTGTTTTTTTGATAGAGTCTCGCTCTGTCGCCCAGTCTGGAAGTGCAGTGGCGCCATCTCGGCCCCCTGCAACCTCACCTCCCAGGTTCAAGCGATTCTCCTGCCTCAGCCTCCCGAGTAACTGGGATTACAGGACTGCACCACTGTGCCTGGCCAGGATCACCTTCTTTACCAATCAGCGCAGTAACCTTCACGTGAGATTTGTTGGGCCTGGGAATTTAGCTGTCATTATTATTCAGCGACTCTACAGTTAAGTTTTGTGTTTGATTTTCAGTGACAGTATTGTGGCTATAAGAGCTGCTTCTAAGCTATCACAGAAGTTCTCAGGTTCTCAGACCATGACTTGAACTGAGCTAAGGGACTTGGGCTTGTCATTTTCTCACTGTAAATGCTCAAGTGCACTAAAAATAATGTATCCCATACCATGGTTGTATAATCATCATTATACATCTGTGGACACCATAATGGCTGAGTGCAGCAGCTACTTGTTCCCACCAGGTACATGCTTTCATTGGCACTTCATCATCACCTGCAGGTGGCTGCTTGATTAATTGTGATATCGCTGCAAGCCGTGGATAACCAGCACCCTGTGATGGTTAATTTCATGTTAAACTATACTGGGCCAAGGCATGCCCAGACAGCTGCTTAAACATTCTTTCTGGGTGTGTCTGTGAGGGCTTCTCAAGAAGAGATTAACGTTTGAATTGGCTGAGTGAGTAAAGCAGACGGCCCTCACCACGGGTGGGCATCATCCATCCGTATGGAATTAAACAGAACAGCAAGGCAGAGGAAGGCTGAATTCTCTCTGTGCCTGAGTACTTGAGACCTGGGTACTGGGACATTGATCTCCTGGTCTTGTGCTCCTGATTCTCAGGCCTTGAGTCTTGAATTGGAATCTACACCATTGGCCTTTGGCTCTCAGGCCTTAAAATTACAAAACTGTTAGGAGGCGGAGGCAGGCGGATAGCTTGAGCCCAGGGGAGTTCGAGATCAGCCTAGGACATACAGGGAGAGGCCATCTCTATATAAAAATATATATATAGAACAAATTAGCTGGGTATGGTGGTGTCCACCTGTAGTCCCAGCTGTTCAGGAGGCTGAGATGGGAAGCTTGCTTGAGCTGGGGAAGTCAAGGCTGCAGTGAGCTGTGATTGTGCCACTGCAGTCCAGCCTGGGCAACAGAGGGAGACCCCATCTGAAAAAAAAATGCTGCACCACTGACCTTGGGTCTCCAGCTTGCAGATAGCAGATTGTGGGGCTTCTCGACTGCCATAATCATGTGAGGCAATACCTTAGTGTGTGTGTGTTTATATATATACATATACACACACATAAAAGCTCTCTCTCTCTCTCTCTATATATATATATATACACACACATACACATGTATATATAGATTCTGTTATTCTGTTTCTGGAGAACCCTAATACATATCCTATTTCTCATTGTCAAGGAGCTCAGTCTGCACTCAAGCCCAAATACCCAAATCCGTCCCCATATCCCTTCTTTGTGCATCTATCTCTTGAGACCACTCCTTGTACTAATTTTGTATCAAGCAAGGTCCAATCAGGAGAAGGGAAGCACACAGTAATTTGAACTGGGAAAATTTAATATATAGAATTAAGCTATAAAGGGCTTAGACTGGGCGCTCTGGCTAACGTCTGTAATCCCAGCACTTTGGGAGGCTGAGACAGGTGGATCACCTGAGGTCGAGAGTTTGAGACCAACCTGACCAACATGGAGAAACCCCGTCACTACTAAAAATACAAAATTAGCTGGGCGTGGTGGCACATGCCTGTAATCCCACCTACTTGTGAGGCTGAGGCAGGAGAATCACTTGAACTCAGGAGGCGGAGGTTGCAGTGAGCCACTGCACTGCCTGGGCAACAGAGCGAGACTCCGTCTCAAAAAAAAACAAAAAACAAAAAGGCATTTTCAAGAGGTTGGCTGGTAAGAAGTAAAGAGAACTCTGATTCTCTGGTCACAGCACATAGCAGCAGCCATACCTTCTGGCCTGAGTTCCAGCACTCAAGCAAGAGGTTTCCTGGTCCCTGGGCTTAGATCCAGACCTTGAAGAGGGCACAACGGCAGTTTCACTGAATGGCAGAGAAGTGGCTGTGGTACCACATGGGCAGAATTTGCTGGAAATCCATCCTCAAGGGTAGAAAAAGCTGCTCACAGGGAAGTGTCTCATGAGAAACGCGCTGCTACAGAACTACCTGAAGAGGGTGGCAGAGAAAGCTGCTAGGTGCCGCTGGTTGAGGTTCACTGAGGCGGCGGCACTGGAGACGCTTTGCAGGCTGCGGGCGCCTGCTGTCACAGGAGCTGCCCATGCTGCAGGAGCTGGGTGCTGGCGAAGCCCTGTGTGCTGCAGAAGCCAGACTCGGAAGAAGTCACCCGTCATGCCGGAGCCTAGAGAGAACACACCAGAAGCAGGAAGGGAAACTCGTCTCCTGCAATGTCTCTCCAGCGCCCTCTACTGACAAAGCTTAAGATCATGCCAGCTGGTAAAGGAAAAACTAAAGGGCCAGAACCATTTCACAGAGCAGGCAACGCAGGAGCTGGGACGTAATCAATAACTAGCACAGGTTTATATTATGATTCGTCTGTAGCGGCCTGCCAAAGGTTCCATATAACATCCCTGCGGCAGGAACTGACACTTCAGGCCCCACCGAATCAGCTAGATAACGGCCCACATTGCAGAGCAGCCAATCAAAACCGGAACATATTTAGATCATTTGGTAAACGGGACACTCAAGCAGTCCTATAGGGAGGCCTATGTGGGGAGGAACTGAGGTCTCCTGCCAAGAGCCACGTGAGTCATCCGCCTTCTAAGTGGGTCCTCCAGTGCCAGAGGACTGGGGTCCTCGTTGGTGTGGTGTCTGCAGTATCATGAGAGATCTTGAGCCAGAACTGCCTAGCTTAGCAGCTCGCATATTTCTTTTTTTTTTTTTTTTTTGAGACGGAGTCTTGCTGCTGCCCAGGCTGAAGTGCAGTGCCATGATCTCAGCTCACTATAACCTCCACCTCCCAGGTTCACTTTACTTTCTTCATTATTTATAGACTATATTTTCTTTTTTGTGAGACGGAGTATTGCTCTGTCATCCAGACTGGAGTGCAGTGGCGTGTTCTCAGCTCACTGCAACCTCCGCATCCTGGGTTCACGCCATTCTCCTGCCTCAGCCTGCCGAGTAGCTGGGACAAGGTGCCTGCCACCACGTCCGGCTTATTTTTTGTATTTTTAGTAGAGCTGGGGTTTCACCGTGTTAGCCAGGATGGTTACAGGCGTGAGCCACCGCACCTGGCCACTTTAGACTGTATTTTCTAGCGAGAAAAAACAGTGGGCCGGTCCCGATGGCTCATGCCTGTAATCTTAACACTTTAGGAGACCAAGGCGGGTAGATCACTTGAGGTCAGGAGTTTGAGACCAGCTTGGGCAACATGGCAAAACCTCGTCTCTACTAAAAATACAAAAATTAGCCGGGCATGGTGGCACACACCTGTAATCACAGCTACTTGGGAGGCTGAGGCAGCAGAATTGCCTGTAATCCCAGCACTTTGGGAGGCCAAGGCGGGTGGATCATGAGGTCAGGAGTTTCAGACCAGCCTAGCGAACATGGTGAAACCCCATCTCTACTAAAAATACAAAAAATTAGCCAGATGTGGTGGTGTGCTCCTGTAATCCCAGTTACTTGGGAGGCTGAGGCAGGAGAACTGCTTCAATGTGGGAGGTGGAGGTTGCAGTGAGCCAAGATGGCGCCACTGCACTCCAGCCTGGGCTACAGAGCAAGACTCGGTCTCAAAAAATAAATAAATAAATAAACAAATAACCGGGCGCGGTGGCTCACGCCTGTAATCCCAGCACTTTGGGAGGCTGAAGCGGGCAGATCATGAGGTCAGGAGAGCGAGGCCATCCTGGTTAACACAGTGAAATCTCTACTAAAAATATAAAAAAGAGGCCGAGGCAGGTGGATCACGAGGTCAGGAGATAGAGACCATGCTGGCTAACATGGTGAAACCCCGTCTCTACTAAAAATACAAAAAATTAGCCGGGCATGGTGGTGGGCTCCTGTAGTCCCAGCTACTCGGGAGGCTGAGGCAAGAGAATGGCATGAACTCGGGAGGCGGAGTTTGCAGTGAGCTGAGATCGCGCCACTGCACTCCAGCCTGGGCAACAGAGCAAGACTCCATTTCAAAAAAAAAAAAAAAAAAATTAGCCAGCCGTGGTGGCAGGTGCCTGTAGTCCCAGCTACTCAGGAGGCTGAGGCAGGAGAATGGCATGAACTCGGGAGGCAGAGCTTGCAGTGAACCGAGATCGCGCCACTGGACTCCAGCCTGGGCGACAGAGCAAGACTCCATCTAAAGTAAGAAAGAAAAAGAACACGTGAAAAATTATCAGAAGGAACAAGAAAGTGCAATCCGGTAGTCAATTTCAATATAATTTTATGCAAATTTGCCATATACCAGCAATGCTCAATAGAAAATACAGTTCATGTGCCACTTACCAATGTATGGCCTCTCAGCCCAAACACATCCTTTTCGTTCTGCTTTGTGATACTGAGCTGGATCACATCTAAGCTTTGGGTGAGATCCAGTGTGATACCCAGCTGGACCCTGTATACAGTTCCTTGCTAGCCAGCTTGATGTTGTTCTTCGCTAATACAGGGCGATGGATGAACACTGTCAGGTCAGAGCAGGAGGGAGGGGCTGTCTTCTCCACTGTGGCCAGCGGAGGGCAGGAGAGGTAACCAGCGGCCTTCAGTTCCACTGTCCTCACCTTGGTCCGGCTCCTGCCCTTTCCACTGTCCGCTAGCTGTGAGTTCTCGGGGCACCCACTCCCTCTTCTGAGGTCCAGTCTCCACCTTGAATTGAAAGGGGAAGGGCTCTTTCGTGTTTCCAAGTTTCCCTCCTTTTTACTTCCTCAGTCCTAAGGGCACAAGTTCCTTCCTGCAGTTGCTATTCTGTAACTCTTAGAAATCTCTCTTACCAGTTGGGTAGTTAACCATCTTTACAACTGACCAATTATTTTTATCAAATTTTCTCTTCAAAATAATGGTGTGGCCGGGCACAGGTGCTCACGCCTGTAATCCCAGTACTTTGGGAGGCCGAAATGGGTGGATCACCTGAGGTCAGGAGTTCGAGACCAGCCTGGCCAACATGGCAAAACCCCGTCTCTACTAAAAATACAAAAAATTAGCTGGGCGTGGTGGCGGGTGCCTGTAATCCCAGCTACTTGGGAGGCTGAGGCAGGAGAATTGCTTGAACCCAGGAGGCAGAGGTTTGCAATGAGCCGAGATCGTGCCATTGCACTCCAGCCTGGGCAACAGAGTGAGACTCTGTCAAAAAAAGAGAATATTCCAATGAAAATAACAACAGACAATTCACAAAAGGATAAATAGAAATAATACTGGAAAAAAAGAAAACATATCCAGCTTCTCTAGAAATCAAGGAAATGGTAACTATATTCATGGAATTTCTCCCATTGGGCTGTTGCACAGAATGAGCGCAAGACGTAAAAGACTTAGCTCAATGCCTGGCATATAAACACTCTATACATGGTAACTATCATGATTTAAAAGTTTAATAGGATGGGTGCAGTGGTTCTCACCTGTAATCCCAGCACTTTGGAAAGCTGAGGCAGGCGGATCCCTTGAGGTCTGGAGTTCAAGACCAGCCTGGCTAACCTGGTGAAACCCCATCTCTACTAAAAATACAAAAATTAGCCTGGTGTGGTGGCGTGCACCTGTAATCCCAGCTACTAGGGAGGCTGAGATGGGAGGATCGCTTGAACCTGGGAGGTGGAGGTTGCAGTGAGCCATGAAATTGCACTACCGCACCAAAAAAAAAAAAAAAAAATTTAATTACTGTGGACCTTATGGGGACGCTACATCAAGCTGTTTCCCAATTGAATTGGAATGCCACAACAACGGCTGAACACTGTAAATGTCCAAATCTGGAGGAACAGAGGAAGGTAAACATTTGATTCTCAAGTGGAAGTTCAAAGCATTACATTCTTTCTGGAGGACAGTTTGGAAACATGTACACAAAGTAATCTGGCAATTCCATTTCTAGTTTTTCTCAGGGAAATGTTCAAGCAAATGAATAAAGGTGTACGTAGAAGCATATCTGCAAATACAGAAAGATGGAAAAAATCTAAATGTCCAAGGGTGGGGGACTTAAAATATGAAAATTCCGCCAGGCACGGTGGCTCACGTCTGTAATCTCAGCACTTTGGGAGGCCGAGGCGGGCAGATCACCTGAGGTCAGGAGTTCGAGACCAGCCTGACCAACACGGAGAAACCCCGTCTCTACTAAAAATACAAAATTAGCCGGGCGTGGTGACACATGCCTGTAATCCTAGCTACTCGGGAGGCTGAGGCAGAAGAATCGCTTGAATCCAGGAGGCGGAGGTTGCAGTGAGCCAAGATCGCGCCACTGCAGTCCAGCCTGGGTGACAGAGCGAGACTCTGTCTCAAAAAAAAAAAAAAAATATATATATATATATATATATATATATACACACATATATAATATATATTCACAGGCATATAACTGTCTGAACAGTAAAACTGTAAGAACACACTAAAACATGAATAGTACTTATTCCTGGATGGTCGTATTAGAAATGTTTTTTACCTTCATTCATTAAACAAATATTTACTAAGCATCTACCATGTGCCAGGCACAATTCTAGGTGCTTGTCATAGGGCATTAAAAAGTGTCTGCCCTCATGAACACTTATCGTTGAGTCGTGGGAAACACGTATATGTCAGGTAGTGATAAACATTAGGGAGAAAAGTTAACGCCGAGCACAGGTTGTTTACAGAGCTGGGGAAGGCCTCCTTGAGGGGGTGACATATGAGCAGAATGAGGGAGCAAGCCTTGTGGCTATCACGAGAAAGCTATCTTTATGGTTTTCCAATTAATTTTCTAAATTTTCTCTTCCAAGCATGCAACACCTACATAATTAAGACAAAACAAACCAAAAAAACTCTTTCCATTTATGAAAGAGATCTGGAGCCTGAAATCATCTCCGGGTCGAGGCGTGGAGAGAGTGGGAGAGGATCCGAGGGTATGGAAAGGACCCCGAGCCCCCCTGCTCTAGATCCCTCCGGGCCGTGGGACCCCTGACGCCCAGCAGCAACTCGTGGACAAAGCAGCTGGTGAGAGAACGCGGGACTCCGGCCAGGTCAGTGTCCCGCTTGCCGCGTCCTGCTAAGGCGACCCGAAGACAGAGGATCGCCGCAGGAGGCTCCGCGCCCCTTACCCGAGGGCACTTCCCAGCAAGCTCGACGCCTCTCCAGGGAATTGGGAGGAGCGGGACCCAAGAGGCTAGAAAAGAGTCTCCCCGGCCCGAGCTCCACGGCCCGCGGCCTTTCGGCCCTCACCTACTAGTTGGCAAAGAAAGACCGTGGCAGAAGGAAGAGGCCGCTCCAGCGCATCCCTTCGGGCGGAGCAGAAGCTCCACTTGTGGCTAGGCCATGTGCCCTCTCCGTTCCTCGGGCCAGCCTTGGCTTCCCCTTTTTGTCGCTCAAGGGCCAGGGTCGCAAGGAAATGTGAAAAAAAAGCGGAGACAAAAGAGAACGAGGTAAATCTAGATGCAGAGCCTCGCCTTTCCTCCCGGGTGCAGGTGTATGACGCGTATGGAGTTTCTGTCTTCTAATAGGCAGCCTGAGAATTCTTCCTGTTCATTGGCCATCGGTCATGGAGAAGGCGGGCTCAGTGGACGAACGGCTTTCTGGGAGCTGGGGAATGCTTG